>NC_000008.11:86964222-88214222 GCF_000001405.40 Homo sapiens | reverse complement strand
GATGAATGTGAGAGGCCCATGGAGACGTGGATGTAAATGTTTGCTGGAAAACGTGATAGATGTTTCTGGAGTTCTGGAGAGAGTTCATCTTGAGCTATACATGGAGGAGTCATCACGTTTATGTATTGGAGACATTATTGTTGTTGTTGCTTTTGTTGTTATTGCCATTGTTGTTATTACCAGCTTTCATATATGGAAAAACTACAGTCTGTTAGGCGCTTGTTAGAATCAGAGAGGTTGAATTACTAGTAGTACCCTCAGGAGAAGATGAGTTCTCTAAGTGAAGAGAGATTAGAATAGGTAGATCATTTCCAAACATTTGGAATATGGTTTTTGAGGGATGGGAAGGAAGAAGCATCAGGAAACAGAAAGAGAAGGAGAAGGAACAGTCATTTATTTTCCAATTTGATATTTATGGTTAATTTTTACTATTCTAAGTGATTACTCCTTTTTCTAGACTGCTGCTTCTTTGGTATGTAATTATGACATTAAAGTTAATACCTAGCCTCAGGGCCATAGGCTCAGAAAGCTCATGGGGAAAATAGCATCTAGGACTGGGACTAGAAAAAATATTTGTACTTTTTGTAAATCAGTCTTATGACTGTTATAATTGATCTTATAACTGATCATTCTTCTATCTTTGCTCTAAGTTTTAGGAAATTCGGAGAAGTCAGTTATATGGCAACTATACCAGATAGTAGAGTATACATAATCTACATTAATTCTGCCATTGGCGTTACCTTATTTTCTATTCTTTTTCCCTTAAGTGTTAATGTTATAATATATGAATATATTAGTAACATTAAATATTGAATACGGTAGAATATTTTTAAAGTGAATAAAAATGTAACCATGTAAATTAATTTTATAAAGCATTTTTTCTCATTCTCAAACGTCTCGTGATGACAAGGTTGACCCATTTCAAATTTTAATTTGCGGTATTTATCAAGTCAGAATGGCATGTTAAGTTAAACACAGATGAGTAACATGTAAGAGTCAGTGTGGAGGATCTTAACAGTGTTTATTGAATAAGTAGTCCAGTGATACTGCTAAAGAATTACAGAACTCATGTTTGTTTAATCAGCACAAGTACAGCCCCCAAATCCATTTAGCATGCATTGTTTTAGGCCATCTTTTAAAATTTTGTCAGATAACATGTTATACATACAAAAAAATGCTTTCAACCAAACTTTGCCTCTCAATTTTCATATTTACTAAATCCTTTAAAATTATAATCATAGAAAAGTTTATTCAGAAGTAGAGTTTTCTGCTTCAGCCCTTTGCCTACCAAGTTCATTCCCCAGGAGGTAACTATTTTTAATAATTTCTTATCTAAACATACAGAAAATATCTATACATGTTGCACACATAATACGTAGATATGTGTATGCACGTGTGTTTTCATTTACCAGTATTTTATGTGCACCTCTTCCTATCTTTTCGTATGGATTCATCTGATTCTTCTTTAGGATTATATAATATTCTACTACAATAATCAGAGAGTAGAAAACAGGATTTATGGTGGAGAATGGATACAGTTCAAAGGACCTTTTCCTAAAGTGATGAAATCTCAGAGAGGCTCATGAGATGGTAATCAGTAATAATGTTGTAGCAGAGGGACATTTTTTGTTTGTTTTGCTTTCTTTGTGGGTATAGCTATCATAGATATTTTTGTTAATAAATTTAACAAATCTGTTACCTAAATTTGTCATATGTTCTTTAGATATTTTGGAAATATTATTATGTTAGATATATAACTGAAGCATGGACAGATATATAATTTTTATCTACTGTTTTGAGCTGTTTTGTGCTATTCCCTGTGCTAGGAATTCTTGTAGGGCCAATTTTATTGAATTCTCACCACAACCCTGTAAGGAAGCATAATCATTATCTTCATTTTGTACATGTATAATTTGAAACTTAGCAAATACCATTTACTTTGTTCAAGATCATAATTCGTAGGCATCTTATTCAGGCCCTGAATCTGTGTCCTCCATACTTAAAGCCTGTGTCCATACCCACCACACACCATTACCTCTCACATGATGACTTGTTAATTATTCAGCAAGCCATCTACACACTGAGTGCTCTCAGAGGCAAGAGAAACACAGATAAGGAAAGAGAGAGACTTCAAGGAAGACTAGGACTTGATTGGTCAAGGCCCTTTGGTATATACAGGACACTGGAGATGTGGGGCCAGTGTGAACATAGGTGAAGCCCAGGAGGCACATTCTGTGACCCAGTTTGGATAATGCCCAGGTGGTATATAAGCCTTTAGGAGAATTGAGCTTGTAAAGGTAGATATGTATGAATTTTTGAAGTTTACTCAATGCAAGGATAAATAATTTTCAACCATTTCGGTAAGTAAATCATAGTAATCATAGCAATCATAGTGTTTTGAGCAGGGAAGTTAAATAAAGGAAATGATATTTTGGGATACTTAATCTTTCCATACTTAGTAGGGTAGGTCAAAATTGAAAGAATATAGAGCCACGGAAATGAATTAGGCAATTAGGAAAGTGTTGCAATATTCAAGTATAAGTAAAAGAGAGCCTGGTCTAGGAAGGTTACCTTGAAGATGAAAAGGAGGCAGAGGAACTTTTTTATAAACTCAGGGATTTAACATTTTGTGAAAGGCTTTTCAAGTTGTGTTTAAGATTCCATTTCCATTCTCCTAGTGCTCTGCCCCATGAAGTTTGGAGCTTTATCATTGTACACTTGTATACTCATACAAACCCCTATCACAACACCTGCTTGTGTCTCTGATGGTTAAACTATGAACTCCTTGATAACAAATACCTTACTTTTTACTTTTGTATCCTAGGATCTAGCATTCTGCCCCCAAATCTGTATGCACCAAAAATTAAATGGGATTACAATGGCAATAATAATAACTACAACATATTTTATAACTTACAACCTTGTGGCTGTCTACCTCTAAAGTATCACTTGTTTGTTGTTTGAATTTTATTTTGTTCTTCCAGCAAAATGGCCCACCTGTACACTGGTGAGATTCAGCTGTATGAAACCAGACAGTGGATTTCTGAGCTAGAGTGGCCTGTGTAGATCATCCTTAATCTTATGTAGTAAAGGCTAGGTTTGTCACCCACTCTTCTGGGCTTCCTGGAAGTTGTTAAGAGCAAGAGCTGTTTCAAAGTTACAATGACACTTGTATCCATAGATATTGCCTACTCATTCTGTAGCCCTGGGCAAGTTGATTAACCCTTCTCAACTTGTTTCCTCATTTGTAAAATGAAGATAATAATACCAATCTCATAGGCTTGTTGTGATAATTATATGAGCTAATGTGTTAAGGAGATTAGTGCTGTGCCTGGCTTAATAAATGTTAAGCTCTTGGTGTGTTGTTTACATTGAGTATCAGTACTCTCCAGAATGCAGTTTTCAAGCAGTAAAACAATTCCACATTGATTTTTATCTCTGGGTATGGGGATGGAAGGTAGAATCTAAGAAGACAAAGATAAAAACCTCTAAGTGCTTGCCCAACAGTGGCCTAAATTATCACTATTACCACCTATTGTACCTTGCTGTATATTTCCTAGAGCTTTCCCAGATGTGCCTGGGAAGCTGCTAATCTTTGCTATATGTGTGATAAAATGAGATTTGTTATCCACCTTTGGAGCACTGGACTTCCTACTGGGTTTCTAGCTGTGTGTGTATATGGGGGAGAGTACGGTGGTAAATAACCGGGTAGTAAACCCAGTAGGCAGAAAATGGCAAAATATGATTTGTACAGTTGATTGTGTTATCAACTGGGCATTAATACATGGGTGCCCCACTTAGCGAGCCCTTGTAATTCTATCACTCAGGCTCAGAAAATGTGCCAGGAGCTGTTTGTGTTGACCCTACTGTGTTGAATAAAACAGATGGAAATACAGAATAAAACCATAAATAAACAAAGCAACCATGTAGTGATCTCAATAAGTGCAGCAATAGACATAAACTGAGTGCTGTATGTTTGAGTGGTGAAGTAGTCAGGGAAGCCCTCTGTTTCTTTGTCTTACTCAATTCAGGCTGCTATAAAAAAGTGTCGTAGACTGGGTGGCATTTAAAGAGCAGAAATTTCACAGTTTTGGAGGCTAGAAGTCTGAGGTCAGGGTGCCAGCCTGGTGGAGGTCTAGGAAAGATTCTCTTCCAGGCTGTAGACTGCCAACTTCTTGTAGTATACTCACTGCTGGAAAGAGGGATAGAGAGCTCTCTGAGGTCTGTTTTATAAGGGCATCCCATTCATGAGGGCTAATTACCCTCCCAAAGGCCCTACCTCCTAATTTTATCACCTTGGGGTTAGGATTTCAACATATGAATGTTGACAGACACAAACATTCAGTCCATAACATTCTTTGAGAGATGAATGGATAAACAAAGTGTGGTATATACATGTAATGGGATATTATCTGGTCTTAAAAATGCTACATTCTACACACTGCAACATGGGTGACCATTGAAAATATTAGTATTCTAAATATAAGCCAGACACAAAAGGACAAATATTATAATGAATCTACTTATACGAGTTACATACATAGAGAGAGTAGAATACATAGAGAGAGTAGAATACATAGAGAGAGTAGAATACATACAGTCAAATACATAGAGAGAGTAGAATAATAAATTTTACCTTTGAACAATTCAGGGATTAGGGACACAGATCCCCATGTAGTCAAAAATTGGCATATAACATTTGACTTCCCCAAAACTAACTACCAATAGCCTCCTGTTGACCAGAAGTCTTACCAATAATATAAAGTTGATTAACCCATATTTGCATGTTATAGGTATTATATACTGTATTCTAACAATAAGTAAGCAAAAGGAAAATGTTATTAAGAAAATCATATGGAAGAAAAATATATTTATTTTTTATTAAGTGGAAGTAAATCATCATAAAGGTCTTCGTCCTCTTCATCTTCACTTTGAGTATGTGGAGGAGGAGGAAGAGAAGGGGTTGGTCATGCTGTTTTCAAGGGTGGCAGAGGCAGAAGAGGTGCAGGAGGTGGAAGGGGAGGCAGGAGATGCAGGCACACTCATACAGAAATACATTTTTTAATTATTTTGCCTTTTCTCTAAAAATGTGTTTATATGGTATCAATCCTTCCTCCACTGATTGCTTTAGTTTCAGTGCTTGCTTCATAGAAAAGCCCATAGTTTTGAATAAACGGAAGCCTTCTACTAGATTGTCTAATATCAGTTTGTTTTCCAGCACGGCTTCTTTTACGTCTTCTTCCTCATCTGGCACGGTTCAGATGCACTCATCGCTATTAAGTCATTTTCTGTTAATTCTGGTGTGGTATCCATCAGCTCTTGAATTTCTCCAAGATCCATATCTTGAGTACATTCCCTCTCCTCTTTTTATTTTTTTTTCTTTTCTTCCTTTTTTTTTTTTTTTGCCATATCTACAACCTCTTTCATGATTTCCTTGATTGGCTGCATCATAAATCCTGTGAAGTCATGCACAACATGTGTGTACACAGTTTTCTCCAGCAAGAATTTATTGTTTCAAGATTGATGGCTTTTTATATAACAATGATGGCATCTTTCATGGTGTGATTCTTCTAGACTCTCATGATTTTCTCTCTATTGGGGATCTGTTCAATAGCACTGGCAATCCTTTCCATAGAGTACCATGTGTAATGAGCCTTAAAGGTCTTTATGACCCCCTGATAAGATGTTGTGTTTGGGGCCAGGTAGACCACTTTGACACCTTCAGTGTTGGATTTATGGGGTTCTTGGTGACCAAGGAAATTTTCTAATATAAGAAGAACTTTAAAGAACAATAAAAGAAGAACTTGCCTTACTGGCAAGGTACTTCCTGACTTCAGGGACAAAGCATAAATGGAACCAATCAATATTCTCATTGTCCAGACAACTAAAATACTGGCAGCTTGTGTTTATCTTTTCCCTTTAAGGCTTATGGGGTAGCAGCTTTTAGAACATGGGCAGTCCTGACCATAAACCCAACTACATTTGCACAAAACAGTAGAGTTAGCCCATTTCTTCCTGCCTGAAAGCTTGGTGCTGGTTCTCTTCCTTACTCATGAATGTTCTTTGTGATATTTTTTCCAGAATAGGGCACTTTTTCATCTACATTAAAACTATATACAGGCAACTATGTTTTCTTCTCAATGATTTTCTTCAAGACATCTAATAACTAGTCTCCTGCTTCGTTATCAGCCGAAGCTACTTATCCTGTTATTTTGACATTTTGTAAGCCAAACCTTTTTCTAAAATTATCAAACCATCCTTTCCTGGCATTTAATTCTCCAGCTTTAGAACCTTCACCTTCCTTTTGCTTTAATTTTGGCATGTAATGACTTCAGTTTTTCTCAAATCATGTTATAATCTATAGACAAGGCTTTCTTAGAGTAATCCTGCACCCACATACAAGCTCCTTTTTCAACTGGAGATTAAAAGGTATTTTGCAAAAAGTGCAAGGCTTTTATGCCTACTGGCATAGCTGCAGCAACACCTCATGGATTTCCTTATCTTTCTTTCTTTCTTTTTTTTTTTTTAACAATGGTCCTTACTCTGAATTCATTTACCTTGAAATGACAGGTAGCCTCAGCTGCAGACATCAATCTGTGCTACAAGTGAAGCAATTCACAAGCAATTCAACTGTTGCTTGTAATGCCATGACTTTCATCTACTTCTGAGGAGTGCTTCCAGCATCACTAGCAGCACTTTGTATGGGTTCCATGGTATTATTCAAGGTTTATGGTATTGCAGTAAACACAATAAAAATACGTGAGAACTGCAAGAGATCACTTTTTACTGAGATATGCAATTAAGTGGAGAGACAACTTCTCACAGAGAGATGATTTGCATCACATAGCGTTTTCAGCAGATACAACATTTGGGCTCACTGCAATAGCAACAGGAGGTGGCTATGATATTATCACAGTAGTACAATACGTACTACAGTTAATTTTATGCAGTTATTATTTAACACTGCATCTTTGTGTTTATTTACATTTCTCTCAACTAGGAATAACACCGTATATAGTCTGTGTTTGTGTGCCTAAGTTTTAATACGTTTTAACTTTTTATAATAGATTTGTGTATATTTTTTGGTAGTAAATGATAAAATAGATGAGTTACCACATATGTTTTATACATTCATGACATATCTAAATTTTAGAGTTTTTTGATATTTCCAGGATATATGGTTCATCTATGAGGTTTTTCAAATTGTTGAAGCTTTCCCCAAAATTTTCCACTGTATTTAATGAAAAAATATACATATAAATGGATTGAAACCCATGTTGTTCAGCAGTCAACTGTAGTTACCAGAGGCTGGGAGAAGCAATAATGTGGAGTCACTATTTAATGATCACAGTAAGTCTTTATTTAATGTCATCATAGATACACTCTTGAAAACTTCATCTTTAAGTGAAATGATGTGTAACATAACCAATTTTATCATAGGCTAATTGATACAAGTAAGAGTTAAGTTCCTACAGCATATTTCTGGTCACAAAAACCATCACCAGACTTCTAAATAAAGACCAAAACACTTCTGATATTAAACACTGAAATAAATGTAAGCTATACATAACATTTAAGATTAATAAAAAGTAAGATAATTATGTATCCAATTATTCCAGCTTAGAATCACAGATGGCCAGAGCCTATCCAGCAGCTTAGGGCACAAGGCGTGAACAGACCCTGGACAGGATGCCATCCCCTTGCAGGGCGCACTCACACCCTCCCTCACTCTGACTGGGATCCTTTAGACATGCGGTTTCCTAACAGGCACATCTCTGGGATGTAGGAGGACACCTAAATACCCAGAGAAAACTCACACAAACATGGGGAGAACATGCAATCTCCACACAAACAGTGGCCCCAGCTGGGAATTTATTTTTTTTTATCATCATCATCATAACGAAACCACATTGAGAAAAACATTATTTGAGGACTTTTCTATATATAGTTTCAGTTTGGGGTGATGAAAAATTTCAAGAATGGATGGTAGTGCTGATTGTATAACAGTGTCAGTGTACTTAACACCATCAAAGTGCATCCTTGAAAATTGTTAAAATGATAAATTTAGATTATATATTTTTTTTACCACAATTTAAAAAAAGGCAACTTACCCTAGTTGGGCAATGAGAGAGATGGTAGCAATATGAAAACACAGAGGCCAGCTGGAGAATCTTGTAGTTTCTTGTGGAAAATGATTGTTTCCTTGACAAAGGAGTGGCAGCAGAAATAAGTATTTCCATTCGAGATAAAATTGTAGCTAAAACCTGATGATGGATTGGATATCGATGATGAGGTAAAAGAAAAAAGAATGACTGATATCGATTATGAGTAAAAAGAAGAAGTGAAGAATGCTGTATTTTTTATTTAAACAGCAGTGTGATCTCAGAGTCTGGACATTTGGCTGAGGTCAGAATTACAGTTAAATGGTGTGTCATAGGTGCATAGATTGTATTTAAGTGATTAATTTTAGAGAAGATAACCAAGGTTGCTGGTCATCTGTAGATACTAGCAACCTTGAGACTATAGTAAGAAAGTGCTGTTAAAGAATAAAGTGAGAAGAAAGGGTGTCTCTGGCAAAGAAGGTTTCAGTGGTTTTTTAAACTGTAAAACTGAAATGGCCGTAAGTGAAATACTCTAGCATAGAAATAAGAATATTAATTAGGCTGGGCAAATTGGACCATGCAAGGCTGTTTTGCACTGGCAATTAGAGAAGCTCTTAGAAGTAGGAGTTAGTGTTATACCCAGAACATATGCAGCCACAGCTCAGTGCCCTTTCATGGTGCAAAACAGGGTGTTTTGTTTGCATAAAAACTGAACATTCTTGGTTATTGTAGGTATCTTTTCAGACAGTCTGCCTTCTCATTTTTTTAACATGAATAGGGTCTCCTAGGCTTTCCAGCATACAGACAGACAGCTGGGTCTCCTCTCTCTAAAAGGCAGTCTAAATTAACAGAGCCAAGCTTGGTGTCAGTCAGGTCTCTATTTGAATACTGATTCCTCCTTTTTACTATTGATGTGTCCTTGAGCAAGTTACCTATTTTTTCTGGGGTTTTATTTCATCATTACAGAGGTTATAGTGCTGAATATGAGAACTTACTATAAGGATTAAAGATAATGCATGTAAATTGCCTGGTACATAATGGGCAGTAAAGGCATGCTAGCAGTTGTTTTTATGGAGACCTGCTGGGAGTGGAACTGGAAGTTCAATGTGACCAAAGAACAGATTCTGTGGAGGAAAGCAGCAAGGGAATAGTTTGAGAGACAAAATCATACATGGCTTGGAAGGCATTCTAAGAAATTGTTTCTGTAGGATACGGGCAGCTTCAGTAGTGCATGATGGAAAAGGAAAAGCTTGAGAATTGTCATAGTCAGAATAGAATCTAATATCTAGATATTGATAAACTGCTTTCTCACCTTTTCAGGAGAGTAAGTGTGGCACATTGGAGAGAATTTAAGGAAATAGCTTCTTTTTTAGAAATAAAGTAGTTTCTATCAGCTTTATGATCTCTACACTTTTTATTGTACATCTTAATTTTTAAAATGTACCCTGTTTTACTTATAATTATATTCATTAACTAAATCACTAAAATTATGTATATTGTAGAACATTATAATAGAAATATTAAGGTGAACTAAAGATGTGTTTTAAAATAATTTTTATTTTTTATTTATGAATTATATTTACATTGTTTTGCTCTTATTAGAAATGTTATTAATCATTTTTTTGAGAGTTCTTTGACTGACTCTTCCTTATTCTTCTTTAAAATGCTGATTTAACACTTTGAAATACAGCAATTTCAAGATCAGTTTATTTATAATCTTTATCTTAAAAATAGTCATAGCCAAAAATGACACCACACAGGATCCTGGAGAAGTTGCATCATTAGCTGGTTATAAATCATGAGCCTTATTTTGTAATGCTATCCCTCAATTCTGTAAAGGCTTTTGGTAAAATTCAGCAGGTAAATTACCATTTTCTCTGATGTCTATCAGTTCATTCTAAAAACCAATCAAAAGGTGTTGCATTTTTATATTTTTAACAAATGGGCTTAAAACCCTCTGCAACTGTTCTTTCGGCAGATTATTTTACAGATGGAAAATTCTGTTGCTGGGATTTTAAAGTAGGGAATTATGACAGTTGGAATAGGTCATGAATTTCTGTCTTTCTGAGTGTAATGTCATGTGATGATAGAAACATTTCCAAACATCTGTCTTTAAAAATAGTTGGCATGGCATATCTTTCCTTGAAAAACAATTTCTTTTCTCTTGCATTGGAAAAACATCACTTTTATCTTGATGGTACAGATTAAAAGATTTTTGTTTCTCATATCCCAAAATAGCTATTGAATAGCACACTATTTGCAGCTACTTGTCTTCACAGAAAAGGACAGCACTTTTGTCTTTTCGTAAAAGAAAATACATAACTCATTTAAGTTTGACAACTTATAAGTACCTTGCTATGAAACAACCAGCAAACATCTATATAGCACAAAATATTTTCGTAGTCACTCCCCATCATATTTGAAAGTATTATAAAATTTCTTTTCTGTAAGATGATATAATTCATAAATCCATGTAACCTGGCACAGAAAAATAGCTATATGTTGTATTGTGCCTGTTGAGGTGACAATGTGAAACTCTTTGCACTGTGGAACTCCAGCTCCTCCTTTAGGACATCTAGTGGTGATGAATGTATGAAGTTTGGTTAGTCTGTATATTAAGTAAAAGTCAAGTTTATTTCTTCTTATATTAGGTTTAATCTACAGTTATGCTCATGCATGCATGTGTGGATGTGCACATTTTATAAAATGTTCTGGTATTGGCCGGGCGCAGTAGCTCATGCCTGTAATCCCAGCACTTTGGGAGGACGAGGTGGGTGGATCACGAGGTCAAGAGATCGAGACCATCCTGGCCAACATGTTGAAACTCGTCTCTACTAAAAATACAAAAAAATTGCTGGCCGTGGTGGCAGGCACCTATAGTCCCACCTACTCGGGAGGCTGAGGCAGGAGGATGCCTTGAACCCGGGTGACGGAGGTTGAAGTGAGCCAAGATTACACCACTGCACTCCAGCCTAGTGACAGAGCGAGACTCTGTCTCAAAAAAAAAAAAAAAAAAGAAGTTCTGGTATTTTGTACCTTCATCTCAGTGGGACATTTTGCACCCCCCACTTTGCAAGTTTAATTGAGATTAATTTCTTTTTTGTATTTTTGGTGTCAATGAAACTGAATCTGCTCCCAGTAAATAAAGGCGAGTTGAGTCTGTGACTCACATGACAGACTCAAGTAAGTGCTTTTAGAACGTTTACCTGGTGCATTGTTCAGCATTTCTCTTCACTTGGCTAGTGTGAAAAGACACAAATTTGAGGGGGATTTTACTGTTTTGAGTTTTTAGGTAATTGTGATATAAAGTAGCATCATGTCAATGATTATTACAGGTAGTTAGTTTTTTGGTAATTATTTCTGTCTACTTCAGAAATATAGGGGTTGTGGTATCATATACATGCTTTGTTATTGTTTATCATTGGTTGTGTTTTGCTTTTATTTTGGTCTTGTTTTGTCACCATTTATGTGTGTGTGTGTGTATGTGCATGTACACTATAAATCTTTCTTTAAAAAATCTAAACAACTTAGAAGAAAAAAAAACAGTAAAATCTGAGCAGATGGCATATCATAGTCTTCTGCAACTTTCCAGCCTGATGACTAGCACATAATGGAATTTCAGGTAAGGGCACTGCTCTCTTTTTAACACTGGGGCTCAGCCATTACCGTTTGAGGGGTTTTGCTCCCACAGCTACTACGAAGTGTAACTCACTTTATGCAGATTGGAAAACCTCTCCACAGCATTGACACCATAAGTAATTGGCTTCTATCATAAATGAGTTTCCTGTTAAGGTATAAAATATGATCATCACGGTCATCACAACTTTTAGTATAACTCAGCTGTTTTCTTCTCTTCCTGTCCAAATGACAGTTGCCTCTTAATTGATAAGATGTTTAGTGGAGTAACTTTTGGTTGTTTCACTATTTCCTTTCCATTTCAAGAAGCCATTAAAGAGATGGTAAAATTCTAAGTGAATTGAATTCTATTTGTGCAATTTCGTACACTAATCCATTCATGCTGGGGATGGGATGGTGATTTAGAGCCCATTTAGGTTTTTGAATGAAGAAAAAGGCTAATTTCTGCCTTGTGAACTTATCCTATGAATCTTCAATTTGACCAATTCTGAATGATTACTCCAACGTGAGTTTAATTTTTTGGCTAATAGGTAGTTATAATTCACATTTATAGCCATTTTTAGACGAGAAAATGTAGGCCACAAATCCTGCCACTTTTTAAAACCAGTAAGTATATGGTATTTCTGGAAAAAAAGTCCTTAAGCTGTTACTGCCTTTGCTGATGATACCACAAAATAGAGGGGCCATCACCTTTTAGTTGTTAGTTAATTTTACTTTGTAACAAAATTTAGCCAGTGCGTTTATAAGTCTCATACTGAAAAATGGAAATTAATGTTTTATAACATTGAGAAGTTATCTGTTAAAATGCATTCTTTCAGTTGAATTTCATCTGAGAAAGTCAGTTAATTATATCAGAATATATTTTAAACATCATAGATTTAAACATTTTGTTAGTATGTTAAAATTTGAGGTGAAGTCAGTAATTTAAAAAAATTGTTTCCCAAAATAATAAAAATGTTTACATAATCAAGTAAATGGAAGAGATTCTTACTAAATAAATGCTATAAAATAAATTTATCACCTTTGCACTTTTCTATTCATATGAGTACTGTACTTTGG
This sequence comes from Homo sapiens, assembly GCF_000001405.40. Lineage (NCBI taxonomy): Eukaryota > Metazoa > Chordata > Mammalia > Primates > Hominidae > Homo > Homo sapiens. The sequence goes on along the minus strand of NC_000008.11, from coordinate 88,201,425 downwards.
ATCATATAATCACAGGGTACAAGGAACTTGCATTTGCCATACCACATTAGGTGGAAATTAACTATACTTGAAATAACCTGAAATAACTAATTCAGTCACAAATAGGCATTGTGGACTGGCAAAGTGATTTTTCAGATTAAATAAAATCCTAACACAGCCTTCCTTATATTCCCCTTCAATTATTTCTATAATTTCTAAAATGTATCTCTTCTAGCCCTAATATATTCAGTAGTTTAATCACCTATTCACTTATTCCATTTTTTTTTTTTTTTTTTTTTTTTGGGGGGGGAAAGGATGTCTGCAATTAATCAGAGTCAGTATTTCAAGATGTTTTCTCTATATGTTATGTCCTATCAGTGGGGAAGTTTAAAAATTGTTCTTGCATTTGTGTTTCATCTAAGCAAATGAATAACAGTATCTAGCTTTATATTAAGACATTGATAAACTTACTAGCTTCAAGGCTAGAGGGAATTTTATTTCTCTAGGTTGTAGTATTGGCCTGAAGGAATAAATAAGGATACATATTTTAAAAAATTACTGCTTAGATTTGCTCTTAGTGGTGAGAAATTCTACTGTCTCCATTTTTTATATAATCATTTTTCAGGATACTGCTTAATATATGTGGGTGAATGAGTCAATTAACATAGGTTTTCACAGTATGGGCACATGAAATATTAGTGACAAAGTCATTTTTGTCACTAATATTTATGAATTAATGAATTCATTAATGAATTTTGCTGAAATTTTGTTTGCCTGTCCTTATTTGTACTATAATCTAGTAAAGGCAATATCTGTTGGCACAACATTTAATATTTAAGTGTTTACCTTTTACTGCTGGATATATCATCTTACTCTGCAGAGAACAACAGTCTTCTGGTTGTTCCTCCAACTGAATAATCACTAAGTGCTGGAAATTGGTTTTGTCTACCAGGTAGCAAGATGTTTGAATGAGTTAGTAAAACAGGAATGTAATTCAAGGTGAGATTTTATTGCTTCATTTGAGGTTGGTTGTTCTAGAGATAATGAGATGGGGTAAGTCCCAGATAGTAAAGAGTCAAAGTTTGCCTTAAAGGAACTTGTTTGTCCCTTGATATTTTTTCAGTGTTCTCAAAAGCACTTCTCAATCTAGTGAGCACAAAATGAAGAAAACATAACAAAAATCAGTTTGTCAAATGTATCACACCTTCCTTATTTGCTTTTGGATTTGGGGAGTTTTCAAGCACTCTGATTCCTTACCCCATGTTGTTTGTCTTTCCTGACAGCTATGACTAGTTCAACCTCACCTATTTTTAATATTGCCCTATCCCAAAGACAAATCTTAAGTTTAACAGGAATGATTTTAAGAACTCAGGGTAGTTGGTAAGCATAAAATAATAGTATGACTTACTGAGCAAGAATTATGCTAAGGGCTTTGTGTATTCTCAGTTAATCCTAACATCACCCCTACAAATTGTATATCATTCATCCAAGTGCACACAAGAATGGATAATTCTTTAACTATTCATAATGTGCATTTGAGAACATTGAAAAGACATTAAGGCACAACCAGTCTCAAGAGACAAATTTAGTATTTGCAATAATCCAGGAGATGAAGTATTTTAAGACAATGATGAAAACAGGGATATACTTCAAATAAAAACATACGAGGATGGAAGGGTATGGTATAATCTGTGATATATATGTATATATCTTTACAGATACACATACATACTCACATATATATTTATATCTCAAAATTTATTTTTAAGAACAGTGAAAAAGATGCAAAGACTACATGCCAAGTCATTAACCTTGGATAGCAGAATACTAGGGTAAGGGGAAAGATACATTTCCAAATATTACTTAATAGATGTAATTTTTTATCAAAAAAGATATTATAAGTTTGTACTTTGGAAGGAAGGTTTGCTTCCTAGGTGACAAATCAATCTTGATTAGCCAGAAAACAAACCTTGACCATAAAATGGTAGAACTCATAGCTTTCCCAGTATTTTACACTTAAAAATAATGATCCACTCTTCAGTCATTCAGAAAGAACTCCCTTTCATAAGTGACAGTGTAAAAGAAAACTTGAAGAAAAATCTCAATTCATTTTTTACATTATTTTAAAACATTTGTTTGAAAGGCTAATGCATAAATCAAATATGTATTTTTTATTCTGTTCATTATGCACTTAACATTTACATATTTTATAGTTCCTCTATCTGTACATAAGTCATAGGGTTTATTGTTAATGGTTTTCTCTTTGCTTTCCTCATAAACATAATTGCCTGTAGCTTAGCACCCATGAGTAACCTAGCAACAAGTCAGCTCTCTAGCAAGTAAGAAATGAATGCAAACAAAGTGTTATGGAAAAAGCATTCAGTTTAAGAATATTGGTGCATGTATATTATTAAAAATCAAGATACAACGTTCTAATTTTGAGACATTACGTTAACAATAGGTATTGACTTTCATATTAAATAATATTGCCTGCCTCCTTCATTCAGAAAAAAAGTGGAGTCTACTTCAGACTGCACCACTGTTAACTAGGAAACTGAATATTCATATTTTCCCTGGCAGTCTGTTCATTACAGATTAGATGAGAAGAGTGTCTTGGCATGCTTTTACTATATGGTACATGAGTTTACTAGATTAGGTTTCACTAATACACCTTCCTGACAGTGATGCATTGCTCATTTCTTAAATGGTTTTAGAATAAATTTTGGGTTTTTTTTTTATTTTCAAGGGGATGTGCTTATGGTACTGTTCTTTTGAGGTGGTCAGTTTTTGGAAATACCATGAAAAATTCCACTTTGTGTTTCACATTTTAAGACTTTGATACATTTAATACCAGTTTCTTTTGGTGAAATTTAACTTCTATATTTGCTGGTTATTTTCACTGGGAAAATATGTCTCCTGTTTTAGACGTTGAAGTTCATAAAGGAAGAATATCAGTTATTTGGGAAAAACTACAATTTCATAGGATGGTCATTTATGTGATAAATAGACTGAGGTAGGAAGGGTAACACATGCTGGCAAATAGCTTTCACTAAATAGCAAGGCTTCTATTTTTATGCCAGGGACAGAATTACTTGGCCCTTATCAATTTGAGAGGTAGTTCACTAAACTCCAAGAAATCTTAGAGCCCTATAGAAGATTGAGGTAAAGGACAGCAGGATGGGATGTGGCCTGAACATATGATTGTGCATTTAAAATGAATCCATAGAGTTGTAAAACTGGAAAGCATCTGCTCCCTGGTGGAGATATATGTTTTTTTCCAAATGCCCTGCATTTGTATTAACTTTTAAAATTTAACCTTAAATGACTCCGAATTTTTGCTCCAATCACAATTAGAATGTGAATTCAACTATGATTTCTTTCTCTGTCCTCCCAGAGCCCCCTTCACCAGGGAAGGTGGGGGATAAAAATCATGAGACCCTTAAAGAGAAGTCTAAACACTCTTAAGATGATAGCTGGATTTCTTCTACAGGTGAAAAACTTGGTTACTTGTGTGATTTAGATTAAAGTGAGTCACCATAAATAAATGAAGAAAGAATATTCTTTACCTGGTAAAGTCATCAAAAGATACCTAGCTACGATTGGATAGAATGGTTTTATGGAATTTACACCCAAAATGTCATAGAGTAACATGGTTTATCTGTAAAGATGCTACACGTCATAGCTGGAGTCACTGGTCAATTTCAGGAAGACGGCTTTTTTAATGTGGTATATGCACATTGACTGCCCTTTGCAACATAAACATCTCAATAGAGTCATACTGTTGAAAAAGCATCCTTCATTTTGGGAGGTTGAGGTCCTAGAGGACAGGGATAATCTTACTTAAGTTTTTATCCAGTATTTGCTATAGTACGTTATACATTATAAGCTTGCAACAAATAATTACTCTTTTTTTAATTAACATTAGAAGGTATGTCAAAAAGATCCATAACAGTCGCTGCAATTATATTAAAATAACCTAACCTACATAATATATATATTACAAAAAGATCAAACACTTAAAATACTGTATGCCCTTGTGGAGAAAATGTTCAAAACTCTATTATAGATATACATTAATTACCAGAAAATTATTGTTAAATTGTAAAATTGATCTAAAAGAAACTGTACTTGTTATTGCAGGTTTGGTTACAAAAGTACGGCTACCTTCCACCGACTGACCCCAGAATGTCAGTGCTGCGCTCTGCAGAGACCATGCAGTCTGCCCTAGCTGCCATGCAGCAGTTCTATGGCATTAACATGACAGGAAAAGTGGACAGAAACACAATTGAGTAAGTAATGGCTCCCATCCTCCTTTCTTTTTGGTCCTTGAGCCAAACTAAGTAGTCTGGAAAACTTTATATGAACTCCACCAACCAGAAATGGAGTAATTTGTCTCATGAACTTTCTTTGGAATTATATAACCTAATTTAACCCCACTCCTCCAATATTTCATAAGATATTTAAGGCCCAATGTCAGGTTTGCTTACCTGATTTTAGCAACATAGTTTCAAAGTAGTAAAGAAATATGAATGAAATGTTGAGGTAGGTGTACAGTTGAAGCTACTACAAAAAGAGTGACCATGAGCAACAGAGGTGGGTTGTGTGATTGATGAGAATATATTGTACACATGGCTTCCCAAATCTCTGTTCATTGGTATCATATTAGGAGCTTGAAATTGGCCAAATGGAAATATCTACACCCTGGAAACTAGGAAACAACACAAATTAGGGCTCTTATTTTGGGTAGGAGGGGCAGCGTCAGAGAGCCAGTTAACAGTTTACTAACTCCCCACTGCTGACGGTTCTAAATCAAAGATAGGTTTCACTGGAAAGTTACTTCTTTCAATTTCTTGTTATCACAGGGCTTGTTCTTATTTTTTAATAATTTTGCTTTTTAATGATTGGTTCATCAATCATTCACTTATTTATTCAGCTCTTTATTGGGTGCTTTATCTGTGAAAGATAAAGCATGTACAGATTCAGAAGGCATAATCTCTTCATCAAAGGAGCTTAATTCTTATCTTCTGCATAGATAGACATAATCGCAAATGGTGTTACCACAGGTACACAGTAAGTTTCGTAAGATTATGAAACAGCATTACTTTTCTGGACAGCAAAGGAAGAAGTGATTAATTTTTTTCAGTAGAGGGAAAAATTATTTGTGTTTTTAGAATCCTTGATACTCACAAAGTTTACATATTTTTTGTTACTTAGTTTGATCATGGTACATCAACCTTCAACAATAGGAAAGACAAGCATGCATTTTTCTCTGCTTTCTCAAATAGAGGAACTAAATGTCAAAGGCTAAGTGAACTTCAGAGTAGTTGCAGAATCCGTCTTTTGACATTTGATCTGGGGAACTTGCCCTGCTATATACCTTGAGAAAAGACATACTGTTTTTCTTTTTAAACCTTAAATACCTGGATTATCTAGACTTAGACATCCTTAATTAATTCTGACATATCAAACTAATTTAATACATAATTTCAAAATTTTGCCATCTAAGTTTGCAACATGATGTTAGTCATAATTTTTCTATTTTATCAACACAGGAAAACCTTTATAAATAATAAAAGCTTTGAGATAAACTTCAAAGCAGTTTGGAAACATAAATACATTACCTCCCCTAGTACTTTTGAGAGATGCATAAATATTAACTTTGATCTACATCTTGGAAAACAGAATCAAGAATAAAAAGAATATGTTCTGCCACAATTAGAAACTTGTTCTAAATATTGGGAATAGAGTTTTGATATTTTGGACCTGCTGCCCTCTAATCACTGCAATTCTCTCTGAATGCTATAATATCATTTTAAGGCATAATATGCCCCTTGCCTTAAATAAATATAGTTTTAAGTTAACAAGCAAAAGCCTCCAGCAAATCCTGTGTTTTGCTGCCACGTATAGTACCAAATTCCATTTAAATTGTACTCCTCATCACAGCATTTTACAAAGTGCTGTGGACAGCGTTCTTGTTCTTAATGGAGAGCTGTTAGCTTCTGATTCACTTTCTTGGAAAATATGACGCAATTCATAAAAATACAAATAAACTGAGGACTTGGGAAACAAATTAGTTCACATTGTTTGAAGGTCTAACTTGACTAGTGCCAGAATAATAAGGAAGTATGTAATACTTATTACTAGTTATTAAATTTAAGAAAGTGGAGTCCTAGAAAAGGTACATTTCCGCAAGTTTTGTGAGCTCCTGTTGGTCATTGGAAGGACTTGGGATGGAAATGTTTGTTTTCTGAAAGTGGCTGGAGGAAGGTTTTTGTGAGGAGGTAATGGAAGAGTAATGTGCACAGGTTTTATTTGGGCCCTTCATATGGAAAGGGGTCTGAACAGTTTGCTGTTCTCTGGCAGGAGGATGTAAAAAATGTGGAGGAATAGAGAAGGACACAGGCCTTTTTGGGGGCACAGAGTGGCTCAGATTCCAGACCAGTAAAAATGATGGTGTCAGTGCGTGGGAGTTAAAGTAGCATTTCTGTGATAGGGCATTATAGAGAAAAGATCAACTATATAGGCAGCCCATAATTTAAAATCAAAGGGACTTTTTTCCTTGTTTGTTTTGGTTTGGAGCTGTATTGTTTTTATTTTTATTTGAACAAAGCCATGTTCTAATTCAGGTTTGGATTTTTCTTGGTGTCTTTTTAGGAATTGGTAGTGCATCTTTCTCTTCAGAGTATTACACCTGGCAGTTATTTCTAGATGAAACAACTAAAGCCTTGTTAACTCCTCCTCATCTTCCCTTCCTAGCCTGCCATGCCTCCTCTGCTCCCTGTGTCTGCTTGGAGACTTCATTCTCATTGTCACTTGAACTAGAAACCCGGTGGCTTCATTTGCTTCCTGCCTATTTTTTTCTGCTGTCGCATCTCTACTCTTAAGGTGTTATTGATCAAGGTACTCAGCTGAAATAGTGTACTATTTTTGGAAGTATAATCCCCATCATCATGATATTAAAGCTATCATCTGTGCTTTTGTAATCTTGAATGTGTGGTAACAATCCATGCTGAAATCACACTCTGTTATATTACGGTCAAATTATAAGGTATGAATTTTTATCTGACACTTATTACATAAAATATGGACTATAGTTATAGATCCAAATTATTCCTCAGTATTAATATAATGTCTTAACCATTTTCGATGCTATGAACTCTTGTCTAATTTTAGACTCTTGTCAAGATCAATTGTTTTTATATTAAATAATTATATCCTTTTTTGGCAGATAGACATGGGATGCATTGAATCTGTAATTACTGGGTAATTAAAAGTAATGATGACAATTGCAGTAATCCCTATATTATGTTGAATAAATTAACCATTTTCAAACAATAAATTAAGGTATTACCTTAAATGTCATATAATATTGCCTTAATATTAATTAACAATGGTATTAGAGATCATAATAAATACTTATTCCCTCCCACAGAATGAGTTCATCAGTGATTCTTTTAAATTATAGATGCATAGCTAATTTTTGGAAGCAAGCTCCCCTAAATTCTTTAATGAATGGAGCAATCTGTATTATACATAAAATATATATATTTTACAAGGAAACAAAAAAATAGCAAGGCAATAAAGAAAATGAGTCTGATATGTTTTATAATTTTAATAGTAATTTTTTCATATTAGTTTATCTTTTATATGTGTACAGTGGCATGCACTCAAGTGTGCTTGGTGAAATATTTCTTTTTTAAATTATTTTTAATTATTATGGATATATAATAGTCCTATATATTTATAGGGTACTTGTTATGTTTTGATACAGGCATACAGTACATAGTGATCAAATCAGGGTAGTTGGGGTATCTATCACCTCAAGCATTTGCCATTTATTTGTGTTAAGATCATTCCAATCTTACTCTTTTAGTTAAATATGCAATAAATTGTTTTTACCTGTAGTCACCCTAGTGTGCTATTTACTACTATCTCTTATTCATTGTATCTAACTACATTTTGTACCCATTAGCCACCCCTTCTCTTTATCCCCACCTCCCTCCTATCCTTCCCAGCCTCTAGTAACCATAATTCTAGATAATTCTAGTCTCTGTCTCCATGAAGTTCTTTTTGTGTGTTTTGTTTTGTTTTGTTTTTTAGCTCCCACATATGTGAAAACATGCAATGCAATATTTGTCTTTTTGTGCCTGACCTATTTCACTTAACATAATGTCTTCCAATTCTATCCCACGTTGCTGCAAATTACAGGATTTTATTTTTTATGGCTGAATAATATTCCATTGTGTATAAATACCATATTTTCTTTATCCATTCACACATTGACAGACATTTCAGATGATTCCATATCTTAGCTGTTGTGAATAGTCCTGCAATAAACAAGGGAGTGTAGATATCTTTTCAATATACTGATACCCTTTCCTTTGGATATATGCCCAGCAGTGGGATTGTTAGATCATATGGTAGTTCTATTTTTAGTTTTTTGAGGAACCTCCATACTCTTCTCCATAGTGATTATCCTAATTTATATTTCCATCAGTAGTGTATAAGGATTTCTCTTTCTTCAGATGCCCCCCAGCTTTCATTATGGCCTGTCTTTTCGATAAAAGTTTGTTTAACTGGGGTAGGATGATATCTCATTGTACAGAAATTTAACTTAATTAAAATTTATTTAAGGTTGAATAAGTAGATTTTTCAAGTCATTTCAATGAAACTATAGTGATATTTGGATTCCTAATTTGATAATTGAAATACTTATTTAGATGTACCAAGAACCCCAACATTTTTGGCTTGTCAATATGTTTTATGATTTTTATTCTTTTGTCTAAATTGCCAAGGGAATATTCTCTATCTTCTTTTTCAGTTTGGATATAAAAGATATGTTCTTAATCAATTGATGTTCTTCTTTTTATTTCTGAATATACCCATGGCATTAAAACGCTATCACATTATAGGATGGGTCAGCCCACATTTTGGTGGCAGCAGAAGGAAGGTTGATAGCTAGTGAGCAGGGACCTTAGATTCCTATTCTGAAAGGTAAAAAGTTGAAAGAATTGGTTAGAGCTAACACTGAAATTGTGTTCACACTGAAGATCATAGTGGCTTAATACAGTTTTGTTCTTGCTCAGGTATTTAGGTACTTTAACTTTGCCATTTCAATCTTGTGAATAACCTGTGTGTCTATACAGGCAGTTAATGAGTCTGTAGATAAAAGAAACTCTGGACTGGAATGAGCTGTCAGCCGCAACATTTTTAGCCCTAAGTTAATTTACTTTTAAAAATCTTCCCATGGCAACTGGACTTGACTCTATGAATACAAATAAAACCTAAGGATTTTTTAAAGTAATTAAAATAAGTATATTTTTAAATTTCTGGAAGGATCTTTTGGGGACTACTATAAATAGTAAATATTATTCATACTTTTAACTAAAACTTGTGAAAGTATGGAGAATGGAAACTTGTTTAACATATTATCCTGGTGAATATTGTCTTAGAGCATGAGTTGATAAAGTACAACATATGTATTTGGCAGTCATTTTCTTTTCTCATGGTAAAGGTAGGTGTATTTACACAGAGCCACTGTGTGGCAGAGCTCTAGCTGCAAGGGATGACGTTTCCCTGGTATTTTGTTGAAGCACGGCCTTCCTGCAGCACCAGCACAGGATACCCAGTACCAGGACTGTAACCTAAGGGCACCTCTTAAGAGTCATGCAGTGAGTGGCCTTATGTGTTTGGCATGAATGCCCAACTTATTAAATACTTTTTAAAAATATATTTTACTGAAGCTAATGGACACTTTCAGATATATGTGTGTGTGTCTGTGTGTGTGTGGTACACCAAACTGTTTAGAAGCTTCTGGCTACTTTATTTACATAAAACAGGGGACAGTGAAGTTGTTTATTTATATTTCTATTATCAAAGTACCAAAAAAAATCCCTGTTTTAAATAACATATATACAGGTCAAAGGGAGGTGAAGCACATCAATATTTGTACGCTGCTGCTGCTTCTACCATGACTACCACCAGTATAACTACTTCCTGATATTTGTAAAATAATAATAGTTATTAGAATTAGAATTGTAAGTTAATAATAGTAGTTACTGTCTGCTAGACACTATTTTAAGTGTTTAAATGATTTAACTAATTCATTCTTCACAATAACCCAATAATAGAGGTAATATTATCATCTCCTTTAAAGATGCGGAAACCGAAGTATAAAAAGAAACGGTAACCTATTGTCATAGGACTATTGAGTCAGCGAGGTAACTCTACAGTATGGCACCAGGATCCCTGCTTTCAATTTTTATACTCCTCTCAAAAGCACTGATTTAGATTTTTTTTCTTTTTAAGTTGAGTTAACTTAAATAAGGACATTAATGATCTGCCCACCTAATTTTAAAATTATCTAAAATTCCCAAAAATTAAATCAGTATTAAAAATCAGTATTACGTTTATGAAAATTGAAGCCATGCCATTATTTACACCTTGATAATTACAAAGTTGCAGTGCCCCTTCCCCATGTCTTTGTTTGCTTTGGGATGTCAACTTAAAATTTCTCACAAATGAGTCAGTCAAGAAAAATAAAAAGCACAGTTATATGAGTTGTGTGTTGACACACTGAAAAAGTAACTATGTTTAAGCAATGACACTGTCGCAAAAAAAGTACTGCCTGAAAATAACATTATTGAAAGCTTTAAAAAAAAGGTGGTGACTAGATTTTACCAAGTTGCCAGTTGGTAATAAGCTATATATATATATGTATAAAATACACTTATATGTTAACTTTGTATGTGGATATAGATATAGTTATATATTCCTGTTTTTTGTGTGAACAGGTATATATGGGATTTATCAAATTGATATTTGAATGCTACTAACATTTTGGTGCCTAACAAATTTATATTATCTATTTGGGCAACTGGAAATGAACCTGACTGCCAGACTCTAACTGAATAAAAACATTAGCATGCCAGTTTTGTATTTAATGTTAGACAACATTTCATGCATTGATGAGTCCTGTTAAACACTGAGCATTCTTTATATCCATTGGGAACTTTAAAATTTCCATAAGAAAGAACCTGCCTGCTTATGAAATCAAATGTTTAAAGTCACATACAAAAGCCTGAAGACCAATTTAGCTCGGATTCTGTGTCATGTTCAGTAGTGTGATGTGCTTTGATCATATTTATGGTATTTTACCTACTTTGAGAAGATAATACCCACTAATATCTCTGTGCCAGAATGTTTAGATACAAATATTGGTGAAGTTAACATAGAGTATTCTCAACTTTACCAATCTTCATTCAGAGTTCTTTTCATTAAATCATTAGTTGATATTATATTATATATGTTATGCTTATTTCTTATGTGTAAATTATCTACTTCATGATTTTGTTTTATATAAGTATCCACGTAATGTCTCTGCAATAATCATTTGTTCAAAGCACAGAGCTGGAAAAAGTTATGAAGTCCTCAAGAAATATATAGGATTGTCGAAATGATCAGTATATGCAAAATGACATATAGACTTAGTTCATTTGCTTCATGTTCCTTATTGGCGACTTCACTAGGCACTGACCTCATGCTTGGCTCTCTACCCTCACTCACAGGTCAGTGGTAGATAGAGACAGACACATACAAATCAGGATACACATTATAAGACATGCTGCATTGGGGTGGTAAACTGTATCTATGTGAGTTGAATATTAAAGAATAATTAGGATTCTCAGGGTGAACAAGGAGTGAAAAGTATTCCAGACAGAGGTCATTGCATATAAGGGCAGGAAGAGGTTTGGTTCTGTAGGAACTCAATTGGATTTTGAGAAGGAGGACAGGGGACACCCTCACTAGGTAGACATAAATCAGATTCTTTCTACAAAGGCATTTCATGCTCAGAACATGCAGAGAACACACTTTTGCTTTGGGAAAATGTATTGTTAGTATTGTTAGTAGTGAAAATGAAGGAAGTGTTGAGAGTGAGAGATACAAGAGACATTTTGAGGGTAGAAGAGACTAGACTGTGATTGACTGGATGTGAGGAAAGAGTAGTGGAGGGTTATACCTGGATATCTAGTGTGGGCATTAGAAGATGCTAAGGCTTTCAGCTGAGATGAGGCATCAGATAAATTGGTGCAAGTTTGGGGTAGGAATATCATGATTTTCTTTGTATTACATATAACATTAGAGCTGATGACAGGATATCTAGATGGAGGTGTGACAGCACTTACCCCATTATATTGTACTTTTTAAATGATACATGTCTTACCTGTGTGCTATGAGCTCAGTAAGGAAGGGGCTCTTTTTTTCTTCATCTTCTAATCCATACTTTCTTTTATATATCTTAGCATGTTGTAAAAGCTCAAAAATACTATATGATGAATAAATCAGGATGAGATGGGTAAATGAACAAATAGTTAGAACACAAGCAAACAACTATATGAAGTGGGCAAAAGCCCAAGACTTATATAAGGGATTCAGCAGAAATGTCTTTTAGCACAGGAATCTAATATTCCTCCCTAAAATATCTGTTCTTTGGGCCGGGCACGGTGGCTCATGCCTGTAATCCCAGCACTTTGGGAGGCCGAGGCAAGCAGATCACCTGAGCTCGGGAGTTTGAGACCAGCCTGACCAACACGAAGAAACCCTGTCTCTACTAAAAATACAAAATTAGCCAGGTGTGGTGGCGCATGCCTGTAATCCCAGCTACTCAGGAGGCTGAGGCAGGAGAATTGCTTGAACCCGGGAGGTGGAGGTTGTGGTTAAGCCGAGATCGTGCCATTGCACTCCAGCCTGGGCGACAAGATCAAAACTCGGACTCAAAAAAAAAAAAAAAAATCTGTTCTTTGGAAGATGTACACACTTGACAAAGAAATCTTTTACTGGCTCCAACAAAAGCATGACATTACTGCCTTCATTTTTCAATTTTATACATACTAAAGTAATTTTAGAGACTATACCCTCATTGAAAATACATTTTATTCTGATAATAGTTAATTCTGTTGTTTCAAATTTTACCCAACTATCCATTTCAGGTTTTTTTCACAGATTGCTTACTTAAATGTTTTCCTTAGCTAAATGTGAATGTAACCATATCCCACGTTAAGTAAATATATTCAGATTTCATAATTACGTATTGTTTGTTCTCCCAGTACTTTCAATGAGATAAGTAAAGATAAGTACCTACCTTAGGAATATTATAATTTTTTGAGACTATAATTAATACCCATATATAAAAGCAACTTAAATCATCGTAGGCACACCATTAATACAATTGTTAATTAAATCAATATCTAGATCTTAAACTATGCAATAAAAATAACCATATCCATCTAGTCCAGTAATATTTATTTGTTAATTCTCCTATTCCAGTTGTGCAAGATACAGAGAATACCAAAACCCCTTCTCTTGAGTGTTTTACAGTATAGTGAAATATCTCTCAAATTCAGTGTGTTTAGGACTCCCCTGGGAGTGTTAGTTAAAAATGAGAGGCCTCTGATCTCACCTCCTGAGAGCTCAATTCCATAAAGCTGGATACCCTCTTAGAATTTAGCGTTTACAAGATGTATTTTTTAATTCGTGGACTTTAATAAAGGGGAAGAATTATTTTCTGAAGTAACTCTACAATGCATTTAAACTAGGATGGAATTTGTTAAATCTGGTAACTGCATGGTCTACATTACTGGGGTCAGAATAAGAAAGCAGAATCTTTTAATGTTTTCTGGAAAAGTGTCATCTTTCTTAAGAAGTAAAAGTTATTATTTCACTGATGCAGGAAGTTATTATGTTTGTAAAAGCACATTATTGGATTTTGTTGCATAACATGTAAATTACTTCACATGCAAATTACTTAATGTGTAAATGACTTAGAGAGTCATCTCTATGATCACTCCTTTTCCATTTAAAAAGTGTAGAAATTGTAAAGCAAATACTCCAAAAATTGATTGTTTTTCATTTCTACTTTCTGAACCATGTAGTACTATGAATTTTCTGCCTTACCTTTGTAATTATTAAAATAAAGGGGCTAATAAACAGCAAAGTCACTTTATAACGCACTAAAGAAAAACTACCCCCAAATCATGAAAATCTTTCTACTTAGATAAGATGCAAGAATAGATAGAAAATGTGACAGTGGTCCAATGAGACTCTCTAGAAGAGAAATTAGACTATTTTATCTGTATATGTGTTAAGATTAATAAATTAAAAGCAGCATTTCCTTTTCAAATTTAAGTACATCAAACCTTAGTCTTGTGAGTGCAAAACCTCATATTCAGAAAAATATTTTTTAAGCATTGAATTTGGTTATTTATCAAATATTCAAAGCAAGTGGCTGCTACTTGGAAATGAAATAATGATCAAATGTAAAGAAGAAAAGGTAGAGAAATGAATATTTTATTTGAACAAACAGTTGACTGCTATGTAAATTAGAACAGAGTAGCATATACCCTCTTGAATCCTGGCATTTAAACTCAGGTAATAGATTAGAATAATCTTTGAATGTTAAAGGTGGAATAACTCCTTAGTGGCATTTTATGAGTAGCACTAGGAATTAAAGACTTGCCCAAGATTATATACCTTGTTAACAGCAAATTCTTAGAAGCTTTAGACTACCTCTGTCTATAGTTAGCCCAAAATAAATTAGAGAGAAGAAAATTATCTAAAGGATCTGAATAGTAAACTAGTGATTCTTGATAATTCAGGAAAAACTATGCTATCTACTTAGATTCAAAGTGCAAGAAAATTCACAGTGTTCCCTTTACTTTATATTTTGCCATTTTCATCATCACTGTCTCAGATTAACCTCTTAATTGATTTTCTTTTGAATTTAATGATTAGGGTTGTTAGTAAATAACTGGAAAATACTGCTTTTTTTTTTTTTTTTTTTTTTTTGCAGCTGGATGAAGAAGCCCCGATGCGGTGTACCTGACCAGACAAGAGGTAGCTCCAAATTTCATATTCGTCGAAAGCGATATGCATTGACAGGACAGAAATGGCAGCACAAGCACATCACTTACAGGTATAAGAACTCACGATTAATCTCCCCTTTTCCCCATATTTCATTACTATTTGTTTTGACACATAGTTTAGTATCTTCTGCACGTTGACTACATGTTAATATATAGGGATATAATGTTAACATAAGAGATTTAAAATTGCTATTGAGAGGAGAGTAAATTGTTCATTAGACACCCTATGTAGACACTCTGAGACACTTGGGCTCTTTTGTAAACTATTCCAGCTTCTTGAATAAATGTCAATATTATGAGGGACTTTAAGATGAATGTTCTAACATATTACATGCTTTGACAAATATTTATAATCTCTAAAATAATCAAATAATAAAATATATAAATAACTGCTATTTAAACAGAATGTTGTTGAATTCATTAATCAGTGTTTAATATCAGTCTAACCATTTTGATTTTTATCTTTTTCTTAATTATGCAAGTGGTTTTGTCTTCAGTAACAGAAAGTATTTTCCAACCTAGAGTGACAATTGTTATTAATGGATTTTCACATTTATTTATTTTGTAATTGAACAACTGCTTACTGAGTCCCAGTATGAACAAAGAACAATGCCAAGGCCTGGAGATGTAGCAACAAATAAAACATGAGGACCCTGTTTGTCCTCATGGAATTTACAGTCACAAAAAGTTGAACAGTCATATAAATACAATGCTTGTTATAAAAAGAAAGGACAGGATGCAAGAGAAATGTAAACCAGGGTCATCCAACCCATTCTAGAAAACCAGATGAGATCGCCCTAAAATAGCTTTTCAACTAAGACCCATAGGAAGGAAAGAACTTGTTAAACCAATGGGCAGGAGAAGAGGAAAGATACTTTGGTGAGAGGGTAGAATGTCAGGAATCATCTGTCAGATTATGTGAATAGAAATGATAATTTTATAATTCTTATTCTTCATGTAAATAACCCTTTGTGTATGATTAAAGATAAAATGAAAGCCTCAATATATTGGTTTTCTACTTATATAACTGGAACATGTCACTTGAACTTATTTTGGTTATTTTGGCGACGTTTTTTTTTCTTTCCATCACCCAGGTTGGAGTGCAGTGGCACGATCTCAGCTCACTGCAACTTCCACTTCCCAGAATCAAGCAATTCTCCTGCCTTAGCCTCCCAAGTAGCTGAGATTACAGGCATGCACCACCATGCCCAGCTAACTTTTGTATTTTTTGTAGACACAGGATTTCCCCGTGTTAGCCAGGCTGGTCTTGAAGTCCTGACCTCAAGTGATCTGCCCTCTTCAGCCTCCCAAAGTGCTAGGATTACAGGCATGACCTACCATGCCTGGCCTGGGAACACTTTTCTGTCTTCTTGTATATTTTTATGCTGTCTTCTCACACAGCATGATCCTAGATTATTGTCTTATGCTACTTACTTTAATTATTTCTGCAGATAAGAAAAATCAAAGATGAAGCAGCTTTAGGCCAAGCCCATGAAGTTGGTATTCACCATCATTTAAATTTGCTCACAAGATATTTTTACTTCACATATTTTTTTATCATCTCTACAATCTATATTTCCAAAACAGAGTTAAGAAAGTATTATACCAATAAGTTCATATGGAACATACAGTTATTTTCCCAATAACTGTAATATTTATGTCTCTTGTCTGGTGACCCTTTTTCTATAAGTGAAATTAGTGGTGACAGTGTTTTCTGAGAGGAAAACATGGATTCTTTTTTCTTTTCTTTTTTTTTTTTTTTTTTTTTTTTTTTTTTTTGAGACAGGGCCTCACTCTGTCGCTCAGGCCTGAGTGCAGTGGTGCGATCTTGGCTCACTACAAACTCTGCCTCCCAGGCTCAAGGGATCCTCCTGCCTTAGCCCGTTGAGTAGCTGGGATTATAGGTGTGCACGACCATGCCCAGCTAATTTTTGCTTTTTTTTTTTTTTTTTTTTTTTTTTTCAGAGAGAGAGTTTTACCATTTGCCCAGGCTGGTCTTGAACTCCTGGGCTCAAGTGATCCTCCTGCCTTGGCTTTCCAAAGCACAGAGATTACAGGAGTGAGCCACCACACCCAGCTCATGGATACACCTTGAAAAGCATTTGTAGATTTTGATGAAGAATGATAGATTATTTTTCTGGTCACATGGCAGAATAGAAAGCCTAAAATATACTGCCGATTAGGGCAAACCTTGGATGAGATATGTTAGATTTTTAAAACTAAAATATATCTTAAAAGCATTGTTGAGCTGAAACAAAAGAAAGAAACCTAAAAACCAAAAGTAGAGGAAAATTAGGAAATTTAGTAGGCATGTGAGCATGTAGGTCAAGTAGAGAGATGTTGAACTTCTGTCTTAGCAGTAATATAGAGTATTAAATAATAAACTGCATACTATTACCTTAATAGATACAGAAAAGTAGCCAAGGAAATTTACCATCCATTTTTGGTAAGTAGGAATCAAAGCAAAGAACTACATTTTGGGCCGGGCGCGGTGGCTTGCGCCTGTAATCCCAGCTCTCTGGGAGGCTGAGGTGGGCGGATCACTTGAGCTCCGGAGTTTGAGACCAGCCTGGCCAACATGGAGAAACCCTGTCTATACTAAAATAAAAAAAAATAAATAAATACTAAATAAATAAATAAAAATTAGCTCGGAGTTGTGGCGCATGACTGTAATCCCAGCTACTCGAGAGGCTGAGGCAGGAGAATAACTTGAACCCGGGAGGTGGAGGTTGCAGTGAGCCGAGATCGCGCCATTGCACTCCAGCCTGGATGACAAGAGTGAAACTCCATCTCAAAAAAAAAAAAAAAAAAAAGAAGGACATTTTGTTAAACAGAAAAATGGCATCTATGAAAATAAATACTACACTTTCGTTATATAGTTCACATATAAAAGGTTGGTAAAATCTTTAAGAGGCAACAGCAGTATCTGCTACCTCTCCTCTATTCAGCAACATTGCACAGCTACTAATAGAGGTAAAGAAAGAAAAGGAAGTAAAAGATGTAAGATTTGAAAAGAAACAAACTATCATTAGTCTCAGATTATATAAATTTCTATAGGG
Organism: Homo sapiens; assembly: GCF_000001405.40. NCBI lineage: Eukaryota > Metazoa > Chordata > Mammalia > Primates > Hominidae > Homo > Homo sapiens. The sequence continues at coordinate 88,183,466 of NC_000008.11, read as the reverse complement.
TAAACCCAGAAGAAATTCTGATGATTGTTTAGAAATAATTAACAAATATAGTCAGCCTAAAAACAGATTTTATTTTCAGAACAATTTTTTATTTACAGAAAAATTAAGCGGATAGTACAGAGAGTTCACAGAGTTACTGCATACCCTCTCCTCTATCCCTTATATACTCCACCAATACAAATGGTTTCTCCTATTATTAACATCTTGCATTAGCATAGTAGATTAGTTAAAATTGATGAGCCAGTACTAGTACATTATTACCACTTAAGTTGATAGTTTACACTGTGTTGTACGGTTCTATAGATTTTGATAAGTGTATAATGTCATTTATCTACCAATACAATATCATACAGAATAGTTTTCCTTCCCTAAAAATTCAGTGTTTCACCTATTTATCCCTTCTCTCCTCTTCCAAAAGCCCTGGCCAGCACTGGATTTTTTTTTTAATGTCTCCATCGTTTTGCCTTTTCTAGAATGTCATATAGTTGGAACTATAGAGAATGTAGCTTTTTTTCAGACTGGCTTCTTTCACTTGGCAATAGGCTCGTAAGGTTCCTTAACATTTTTCATAACTTGATAGCTCATTTTTTATTGCTGAACAATAATCCATTGTATAAATGTGCCATTGTATATTTATTCATTCACTTATTGAAGCCATCTTGGTTGATTCCAGTTTGGGGAAATTATGAAGAAGGCCAGTATACACATTTGTGTTCATGTTTTTGTGTAGGCATAAATTTTTAACTCATTTGGATAAATATCAAGGAGTGTCATTGCTGATCATATGATAAGACTACGGTTAGCTTTGTAAGAAACTGTCAAACTGTCTTCTGACATGGTTATGCCATTTTGCATTATTACCAGCAGTAAATGAGAGATACTGTAGACCTACAAGCCCCACCCCCAGCATATGGTGTTGTCAGTGTATTCAGTTGTAGTTATTCTAATAAGAGTTAGTGATATTTTTTGAGATAAAATAATTGAGATAAAACAATTATTGTAAATCAATTATGTTTATTAAGATAAGCAATTTTATTGATATAGATTGTTTTAATTTGCAATTCCCTGATGACATAAGATGCAACTTTTCATATGCTTATTTACCTACCATCTCTGTATCTTCTTTGGCGAGGTGTCTGTTGAGATCTATCAATTTTTAACTGACTTGCTTGTTTTAAGATTTTCTGTATATTGTGTATATTAGTCTTTCATCAGTTCTGTTTCCAAATACTTTCTTCATATCTGTGGCTTGTCTTTTTATTCTCTTTAAAATGTCTTTTTCAGAGCAGAAGTGTAATTTTAATAATGTCCAACTTAGCATTTTCTTTCCTTCTCGTATTGTGCTTTTGGCGTTGTATGTTAAAAATCATCATTAAACCCAAAGTCCCTAGATTTTCTCTTATGTTGTATTCTAGATGTTTAGTAGTTTTATGTTTTGCATTTGGGTCTCTGATTTCTTTTGAATAAATGTTTGAGAGTGTATAAAGTCTGTGTCTAGATTCACTTCTTTTACTTGTGAATGTCCAGTTGTTCTAACACCATTTGTTGAAAAGATCATTCTTTCTCCATTGTATTGCCTTTGCTCAGTTGACTCTATTTGTGGTGATCAATTTTTGGGCACTTTCCTTTGTTCCTTTGATATATGTATTTGTTATTAATCCAATATCACCCTATGTTGATTACTCTGATTTTATAGTAAGTCTTACTATCAGGTAGTTTCTGTTGTCTGATTGTGTTTATTTTCTTAAGTATTCTGCTGGGTATTTGGAGTCTCTTGCCTTTCAATATAAACATAATAGTTTGTTGATTCACACAAAATAACTTGCCATGAGTTTTGCTTGCATTGTATCTATAGTTCATCTTGGAAATAACATAAATATTATATATTAAATATATAAAATATAGTTCATCTAGGAAATGGATATCTTCCTATTTATTGAGATCTTTGAATTCTTTCATCAAAATTTTATACTTTTCCTCATATGCATATTTTGATAGATTTATTTCTAAGTATTTTACTTTTCTGGTGCTAATTTAAATGGTATTATGTTTTTCATATCAAATTTGAGTTGTTTATTGTTAGCAGATAGAAAAGCAATTGACTTTTATATATTAACCTTGTATCCTGCAACTTTACTATAATTGCTTATTAGTCTAGGAGATTTTTTGTTGTTATTGGTACTTTTCAAATAGAGGATATATCATCTGTAAACAAAGACAGTTGTATGTATTTTTTTCTTCCTAATCTGTCTCTTTTCTTTTCTTTTTATTGTTGCATTACATTAGCTAATGTTTCCAGGATGGTGTTGAGTAGGAGTGGTAAGAACGGAACTCATTGGCTTTTCTGATCTTAGGAAAAATACGAATAGTTCTTCAACATCAAGTGTGTTTTAAACTGTAGATTCTTTACTAGATGTTGTTCATCAAATAGAAGTCTCTCTCTATTCTTAGTTTGCTAAAAGTATATATTGTGAATGGGCGTTGGATTTTGACAAATGCTTTTTCTGCCTCTGCTGATATGATAATATGAATTTTCTTCTTTTGCCTTTTGATGTGAAATATTACATTAATAGATTTTCAAATCTTGAATCAGCCTTGCATATCTGGGATAATTCACAATTTGACATAATGTACAGTTCTTTGTATAGATTATTCTATTTGATTTGCTGACTTTTTTGAGGATTTTTACATCTGTGTTCATGAATGTTACTGATCCATAGTTTTTCTTTTTTTTGTATCTTTATCTGGTATTGATATCAAATAGAGGGATATTGGAAGTCTCCAATTATAATAGTGCCTCATGCATTTTTTTTTGCAGTTCTATCAATTTTAGTAACATGTTTTCTTGCTATATTGTTAGGCACTTGCACATTAAGTATTGTAATATCTTCTTGGAAAATTGAGACCTTTATCATTATGTAATGGCTCTTTATCCCCAATAATTTTCTTTTCTATGAAATCTGCTATATCTTAAATTAATATGGCTTAGTTTTTTTAATGTGCATAAAGATAATATATCTTTCTCCATACCTTCACTTTTAATTTATCTGTATCCTCATATTTGAGGCAGGTTTCTTGCAGGAAACATATAGCAGGACTTGCTTTCTGTTTTTGTTAAATTTTGTTGTTTTTTTTTACTCTGTGCTGTTTTTATTGGCATATTTAGTATTGACTTTTTTTTTTTTGAGACGGAGTTTCACTCTTGTTGCCCAGGCTGGAGTGAAATGGCGCAATCTCAGCTCGCTGCAACCTCTGCCTCCCAGGTTCAAGCGATTCTCCTGCCTCAGCCTCCCGAGTAGCTGGGATTACAGGCGTGTGCCACCATGCCAGGCTAATTTTGTATTTTTAGTAGAGATGGGATTTCTCCATGTTGGTCAGGCTGGTCTCGAACTCCCAACCTCAGGTGATCCGCCTGCCTCGGCCTCCCAAAGTGCTGGGATTGCACGTGTGAGCCACCGCGCCCACCTAGTATTCACATTTAAAGTGACTATTGATGCAGTTGTATTAATACCTACAACATATATAACTATTTGCTGTTGTTATTGGTTTTTTGTACTTGTTTTTGTCTTCCCCTCTTCCAGTGCCTTCTCTGGTTTTAGTTGACCATTTTATATGTTTTCATTTTCTCTTAGCCTGTCAATTGTCCTCCTTTTTACTGTTATTTTTAAGTGGTGACCTTGGGGCTTGCAATATACATGTGCAAGTAATCTAAGTCTACTTTCACATAACATTATACTACTTCACAGGTATTACAGATATAACAGAGTTTCTAATTTAATTCTTCTGTCCCTTAGAATATTCTCATTATTCATTTTATTTATCCATGTGCTATAATAACCCAATACATTATTTTTGTTATTATTTTGAAAAGTTATTGTTAGATCAATTAAAACTAGAATAGTAAAATACTTTATTTTACTTTCATTTATTCCTTCCCTAATGATCTTTCTTTTTTAAAGAGATATGCATTTCTGATCAGCATCATTTTTCTTCTTTCTGAAGAACTTCTCTTACTTTTTTTTTTTGCAAGGCAATTCTGTAGACAATAAGTGTTTTTAGTTTTTATTTGTCTAAGAAAGTCACTTTTCCACCTCACTTTTAAATGATGGTTTCACTGGATACAGATTTCTAGGTTGGTGGTTTTATTATTTAAACCTTGAATATTTCAAGCCCCTTTGTTTTTGCTTGCATGGTTCTTGAAGAGAGGTTTAATAGAATTGGTATCTTTGTTCATCTACAGATAAGGTATTTTACCCCCTTCTGGCTTTTTTCCAGAGTTTTCTTTTTGTCTTTTGTTTTCTGCTTTGAATATGATATGCTTAGGTATAGTTTTTTTTATATTTATACTGTTTCATGTTCTCAGAGTTTCCCAGATCTATGATTTGGTTTCTGCTATTAATTTTGGTACATCCTCAACCATTATTACTTATATTTCTTTCTCTCTTCTCCTAGTATTTTCATTGTGTGTATTTTCTCTCCAGTTCTTGGATATTCCGTTCTCTTTTTCATTCTCTTTTTTTCTGCTTCAATGCATTTACTAAAAACCCACAGCTAATATTACACTCTGTGAGATAGAGATTAGATACAATATATTGTCCTATCCCAGCTCTCTCTTTAATTCAAAGTGAAATATCCAATAACACCCAGAAATACAGAAAAAAGGAAAAGGCAACATATAAAAATAATAATTTACATGCGGTTATACTGCATAATAAACTTTACATGCTTACAAATTGGCACGAACTCTTTATTAGGTAAAAATAGAAAATAAACTTATTACATTAAAAAAAGAGAAATTTTTCCCACAAGAATAAAAGCTGTAATACATGAAATAGGTGAGGATATGCAGAACTTGCCACATAAGGTGAGTAAGAAAAATCTTAACAATAAACAGACACAATTTTCAGTGACCTATTAATCACATAAGAATTAAACAACTATATAAAAATTAAATCTATCTGACATTCATTTCAATTCTTTTTTCAATTTGGGATGTTTCTATTGACATATCTTACAGCATATTTCCTTTGCCATGTTTAATCTAATATCAGCTCATTAAAGGCATTCTTAATTTCTGTTTGGATTCTTCTCTAGAGCTGCCATCTTTCTGGTTATATTATCCATGTGTTTTCTTTATGTTGTCTACTTTTTTCATTAGACCCCTTAGCCTATTGATCAGTTATTATGAATTCTCATTCTGAAACTTCCAAAATGTTGGCCATATCTGAGTCTGGTTCTGTTGCTTGCTTTATCTCTTCAGCCTCTGTTTTCTCTTCCCTTTTGCAAAGCAAGCAACAGAATTGTTTGTAATTTTTTGTTGAAAGTGGGAAGATATTGAGTAATAGGAAATGAGGTAATAAGCCTTTGATGTGAGCTTTTATGTTTATCTAGTTAGGGGTTAGGTTGTATTTAATGTTGGCTGTAACTGAATTTCTTCTAGAGTTCTTTTTTTTTTCTTTGTCTCCTCCTGTCTTTAAATATCTCTAGAAATTCCTCTTTAAATACATACCATGTCTTTAAACTATCTCATATATATATATCTCATCTTTAAACTATCTCATATATATAATATAGTGGAGCCCTGTTGGTTTGCTGTAACATATTGTACAGAGGAAGCATCTGCAATCCTGTGATTAAGTCCTTTTGAGTGGGTCTGAGTATCTGAGCTGTGACCTTCTGACAAGTCTATTAGGCTTTTTGTTTTTCTTCGTTTATGTAATATACGAAGGCAAAAGGAGGTTGAGCTGTCTAATTATCTTTAAGCTAGATCAGATAATGCTTTGATAAAATAGTTTTCTTTTAACACTGGCGTTTATTATGGAGAATAGAATACTCATGGCATTATTTCAAAATTGTTGCTTTTTTTCCTCCCCATGCTGGAAGCAGGAGAGGATCTTTCTCAGATCTTCACTGTAAGAATTTGATGAGGGTCCTGGGGGTAAAACACGTAAAGTGTAGAGCTCTCTCCCCGCCCTCCACCCCTAAGGCTGGGACTTTGAGGGTTTTTCCTTCTCTTGGCTTCAGAGGCTTTTGCTCTTGATAAACCGTGAGTCTCTGTATTTGCCCCTCTCTCCACTTTTGGGGCAGAATTTTGCCCTATGACCTTACTTTTTTGATGGAATGAAGAAGAGTTATTTCAATTTATTCCGTTTTATTTCTTGTGAGGTTTGAAGTGATAACTTCCAAACATTTTATATATCGAAGCAGAGACTGCAAGACCATATCAGTCTTTTTAATAAAAAACCAACATACGAAATATATACACACATGTGCCCACATAAAAAGCAGTTCAAGTGTATAACCTTTACAAAGGCACCATTTAAAATAGACACAAAAATATAAGAGCTAAGAATAAATCCACAAAAGATGTATAAACCTTTTATGGAGAAAATTATGAATTTTTATTGAAGGACATAACAGAAGATGAACAAAAAATGAAGAGATATATTTTGCTTTCAGTAGAAAGACTTAATATAATGAAAGTTTGACTTTTCCACAAAATCGATGCAATTCCAACAAAAATCCCAGTAAGACTTTTTTTGTATAATTTAACACACTGAATCAAACATCTCTGAGGAACAGTGAAGGCCAAGGAGAACATCAAAATGTTCCCACCCACAAGATATGAAGACTTACTTTAAAACAATACTAATTAAGGCAGTTTTGGGTATTAGCACAAAGATAGATTAATAGGCCAGTAATACAGACAATAGATCATGGAAACAGATCCTTGTATATATAAAAAATTGATTTATGCCAAAGTAGACTTTATAGATCAATTGGAAAAGGATTCACTATCTCATCTACAAAATTATTCTGTGATAATTGATTATGTGTATGAGAAACAATGAGAGTGAGTTCATACCTACCCCTTACCATACAAAAACAATCAATAAGTAGTAATGGAACTAAAATGTATAATCAGCTACAGAGCTGTAAACGTTAGACAGCTCCATATATTGATACACTGTTTTCATTTTAGATACTGTCCTTTTTTGACCTGATTTCCAAACTGTTGGCAGTGTACCCTAATTAGTATCTCTGAATCCTTATTTACTCACTACACTTTTTCTTTAAATGAAAGAAAGGAAGGAAGAAAGGAAGGGAGGGAGGATTAAGAACTATTATATTCAGAACTGATTATAATTTCACTCATTCTGTGTTACTGTCCTGACAATGGCCTCAGCCAGTTTTAAGCATACAAGTAATTATGTTTGTGTCTATAAACTTTCAGGTCATTGATAAACACAGCATCAGTTAAGAGTCTGTTTTATAGCAGGAAAAACCTGGGTTTGAATGCTCTCTGTGTCACTTGTAACCTGTAAAACCTGCAAGTTACTTAGATCCACTAAATCTTAGTGTCCCGGTGTGCAAAGTGAATATTGTAACAATACTACCTGTGTTAGTCCATTTTCATACTGCTATAAAGAAATACTCATGACTGGGTAATTTATAAAGAAAAAACAGTTTAATGGACTCACAGTTCCACATGGCTAGGGAGGCCTCACAATCATGGCAGAAGGCAAAGGAGGAACAAAGGCACAACTTACATGGCAGCAGGCAAGAGAGCTTGTGCTCTTTATAAAATAACAATCCTTTATAAAACCATCTGATCTCGTGAGACATATTCACTATCACAAGAACAGCACAGGAAAACCTGACCCCATGATTCAATTACCTCCCACGGAGTCCCTCCCAGGACACATGGGGATTACGGGAACTACAATTCAAAATGAGATTTGGGTAGGGACATAGCCAAACCCTATCACTACCTCACAAAGCTTAGGGAAAATTAAGTAAGATAATGGAAAAAATAATGAAAGTAGCATAATGCTTGAAGTATGGTTAGTATTTAATATATGCCAATTATTATCTTTACTTCTTTTAATTTACCAGACAAATTGCAGAAATTGGTTGAGAGTGCGCTGACAAGACTATGGAGAGTTAGAAATGAGAGCTAAGTATATTGCACTTTAAAGTTAATGTATGTAAGGTGTTAAGAAATTGCCTAGTGTATCGAAAGCATTATACAATCATTTTCTATTCTTGTTTTTCTAACTGTATTTAGAGAAAATAAATTAATAAGTAAAATCTGACATTTAAGCTCAAAAAATAATTATTCCTGAAAAGGATAGCTGAACTGTACCCTGACAATATGCAGACAGGAATTGGGGTGAGAGTGGTGGAATCTAGGTTTTATTTGATAGCAAACTCATTATAAACCAACAGTATAATGTGACCCAGAAAAAGCTAAAATGACCGGATTACTTTGGTATACAAAGCAGTGGTGATGCTAATTTTTCTCTTTGGTTTTTTCGGCCAAGCCTTACCCAATATACACTTTTCTCTTCTGGCCATCACCTTTTTGGCTGCTTCCTGGACAATTAATGTCCTCCTCTCAAAAAGCAGTCAAGGCCAGGCACAGTGGCTCACACCTGTAATCCTAGCACTTTGGGAGACCAAGGTGGACATATCACTTGAGGTCAGGAGTTCGAGACCAGCCTGACCAACATGGTGAAACCCCATCTCTACTAAAAATACAAAAATTAGCTGGGCGTGGTGGCGCGTGCGTTTTATCCCTGCAACTCAGTAGGCTAGGCAGGAGAATTGCTTGAACCCGGAAGGCAGAGGTTGCAGTGAGCCGAGATTGTGCCACTGCACGCCAGCCTGGACAAGAGACTGAGACTCCATCTCAAAAAAAAAAAAAAAGCAGTCAAAATGTAAGGGAGCTGGAAAGCAGTCTGCATGTGGAACAACTCAAGATTAAAGCTAAGCATTCTCAGCATCATGGCAAGTGTATTTAAGGGGGAAATTTCCAGTTATTCTCAAATTGTTAAAGGCTTTCAGAAAAATCTAATGTTTTAAATGATTGGAAAATTAAATTATACATCATATGAGTTATCTTCATTTTTGGAAGTATTTAAACCAAAAATGTATTCACTTAGGTTAAATTAGAGACTATGTACGCATTTATGTAATGGTTGGAAAGTTGGTTGTTGAATAAATTCATTAATTCCAAACAGGCTTTGGTTAAACTTTTTTTCATGACAGTGATAGAAGCTTATTGAGTAATATAACTTTTATCAAATAGATCTGTATTTCCCAATTGTTGAATATTAATAAAATGGACTTACAGTAAGTTCTTTTTCTCTTCGAAATCTAAGTTCCAAAATGTTATTTTGTGTGACAAATGGCCAATGGGACAGATACCTAAATTGCCAGATGAATATGAGTATTTATGATATATTAGTTAATATAATAGTGCTATATTGATTAGTTTCTATTTTTCCAGTATATTAATCCTTTAGCTCCGCTTGTTTTTAAATGAATGACTCCGTTACAACTGAGGACACACTGGAAGTTATTTTACTTTAATAGTGTATACAGAGAAAAGAGGTTACTAAGTAATTTTTTTTAAATGCCTACACAGAAACATTTTTCATTATTCTCTCTAAACCCAAAGACTTCATTGAACTTGATGATCCTGTTGAGTTCAAAGAGAACTCAACTTGTGTTTCCAGAGAATACATAACAGACTGAAAAAGCAGAACCCACTTAAACAACACCCAATGTAATATGTACTTAATTAAGTCTGCCCTGCCTAGAAAGCCAGCATCTTGGGAAATAGCCAAATATTTAATGTAAGGAAGGTTTCCTGGAGGGACTCCATATTCACTTTCTATTTTGTCACCATTTCTCATACTTAAGAAAAAAGTTGTGAAGCTCCATTAATTAGACAAGCATAATATGAATAAAAGTAAATTGGTCTATTTTATTTTCTTTGGATAGAATATTACAGCACATTCAGGAATGTTAATAATTTAACTATATTATGTTTATCTTCTTTTATTCTTAGCAATTGTCTGCTTTCCCTTTTGTAGTAAATTCTATTTAACCGATAATCATTTTACATAAAACATTAGTATGCCTTTCTAAATAACTAATTTTTATCTATTTAATTGAGTAAAGGAGATTTAGCCCTGTTTATATAAAAATATTTTGACATAATATTATGAGATATTTGTAACCTGATTAGATGCCACAGTATTTAGAGTTTTTTTTCTAATATTAGGGTTCAAACAATACTTTAAAAAGGTATCAAATACTTTAAAGAGAGCCGGGACCGGTGGCTCACAACTGTAATCCCAGCACTTTGGGAGGCCAAGGTGAGTGAATCGCTTGAGCCTAGGAATTCAAGACCATCCTGGGCAACATGGCAAAACCCTGTCTCTACAAAAGGTATAAAAATTAGCCAGGCGTGGTGGTGCACAACTGTAGTCCCAGCTACTCGGGAGGCTGAGGCAGGAAGATTACCTTAAGCCCAGGGAGATAGGGGATGCAGTGAGCTGTGATCTTGCCACTGCACTCCAGCCTGGGTGATAGAATGAGACCCTGTCTTAACCACAACAACAACAAAAACCTTTAAAGAGTTATAACCATTACTAATATGTAAAATTGTTATTAGATGAAATTGTTTTGATCTAATGATAAGACATCAATTTTATTTCCAAATCTAAATCCTGTTTCACATTTATTTTTATTATATTATTTTGCTTCTCTTTTCTCAACTCTTTTGTACTTATAAAGACATTGGTTTTGTTATGTAAGATTGTGTAAGGCATGGTCATTAAAGATAAAATTTAACAATTTTTAGATTAAAATTCCAAAATTTACCAAAATGGAAGTTTGAAAGAATCAGTGAAATAATATGATGAAATGCCAGATATACTTCAAAAAATGAAATCTATCATCTGTTAAAATAAGAAGTATACTCACTTTACTCTTTTCACAAAAAGAAAGGGCCAGTAAAAATATTTTAAAATTAAATTAGCTTCATTAAGTTTTTCAGACTTTTACTCATTTTAAGTCAGTGTCTTTTATTCTGCAAATATATTTAATCATTTCTGCATTTTTATTAGAATTGTTAGTAGCAATCTTATTACCTCATGATCACTCTGTGACCTTTGTTAGTTCAGTTATGAATAAATACAAAATACATCTCTCTTCAGTTCAGTTATAAATACAAAATACATGGCATAAAAGTTTCTAAACTCTTGTTTTTGTTTGCACCTAGTTCAGAACTCTAGCTCTAACTTTGAAGCATACTTGTATATCTTGTATTTATTTATTTTTTTACTACATAAAATGTGTTGTCAGAGATCATTAAATTACCACTACATTGTATGTGTTATAAAAAGTTAGTAATTTTAATCATCTAAATTGGAAATTTTAACTACAATTTTTTCTGAACTTTCATAAAAAAAATGAGGGGTTACTACTTTTACATTATTTATACTGCTAATTCAACATTACCAAATCATTGAGAACACAATTAAAAATGCATCATATGGCCGGGCACGGTGGCACACGCCTGTAATCCCAGCACTTTGGAGGCCAAGGCGACCTGAGGTCAGGAGTTCGAGACCAGCCTGGCCAACATGGTGAAACCTCATCTCTACCAAAAATACAAAAATTCACTGGCTGTACTGGTGGGTGCCTGTAATCTCAGCTACTCGGGAGGCTGAGGCAGGATAATTGCTGGAACCCAGGAGGTGGAGGTTTCAGTGAGATGTGATGGTGCCACTGCACTCCAGCCTAGGTGACAGAATGAGACTCCGTCTCAAAAAAAAAAAAAATGCATCATATCATTGAAATTCATCATATATATTTAAATAAGAGCAATAAGTATTTTTTCTTCCTAAAGTAATGTTGTTGAATTTTCCATCTTTGTTTAATTCGAGTAAGACCACTGAGTGCTTATTTCCATTTTGAACAGTCCTTTTAACTTTACATAGCAAAACCTATTAAAAATGAAATAATATCTATAATTATGTTTTTTCCTATTTTTTAATTTAGAATTTTATATTTTGTTTAACCAGCTATCTTTATTCTATCCAAAATCCACAATTAAGTGGGCCTCCAGAAGATAAATAAAGCAGTGTCAGTTTCTATTTATTCTGATTTATTATTGAAAATACACCTTCCTTTCAGCTCACGTTTTTCAACCTTAATGATCCTTTTTATCTCCACCCTTCATATGTGAAACTGGGCACTGACTTCCCAGATTCAACCTAGGCCCAGTGTCATCAGCATCCATAACCTTTTACTCTCTTTTTTGTAATCTTTCATTTTATGTTCAGGGGTGCATGTGCAGGTTTGTTATGGAGGTAAACTCGTGTGATGAGGGTTTGGTGTACAGGTATCTTGTATTTACTAATGGTAATCATATATAATGTAGTTAAGCATATCTGGAAGCTAATCAGTACATAGCTTTGAAAAACACAGCGATGTGTTGTCAAATCCAAATAGTACTCCACATTCATTATTTTTATTATATTATTTTGCTTCATTTTTCTCAAAACTATTATGTACTTAGAAACAAATCATACTACCATGATTTCATTTCTCTATTATAAGATTATTCTTTATTTGAAATCAAAATCAATTTCTCCATTACATATCAAATCCATCACCAATCCCCATGAACAATTCTCTCAGAACACATACTGAAACTAATTCTTCATATCTCCATGGCTATCACACAAGTCCTAGTCTCTATCTTCTCTTATGTGAACTTCTGAAATGTTTTATTACTCCCATTTTTGTCCCATCATCCATTTTTCCATCAGACACAGTGATTGTGATTGCTCCAACTCACTGAGCAGTCTGGTTCTTTGAACTGGCCATGTTTGTTTGGCGTTCTCACCATTCCCTCTGGCTGGAAACTCAGTGCTAGGCATCTTTGGCTCCTTCTGCCATTGAACTCCTGTTTATCATCTCCTCACCCCCTCACCATCTGAAATTATCTTTTTTTTCTGTTTATTATTTATCTCATAACTAGAATATATAAGCACTGTGGGAGCAGAGTCTTGCCCACAGCTGTATCTCTGGCACCTGGAACAGTGCCAATTATGTAGTAAGTTCTTTCAATGATGTGTCATAGGAATATCAGCCCGCTAATGAGGGAGTTCTGAAATCCCATAGGGTGCATAGAAAATAAAAGACTATTAGGAAAATTAATTTAGACGAAATTCAGTGTTACATTACCTCTCATGCTTCTTTAGCCATTAGACAAGAAATTTAGAGACTAGCAAGGTAGACAAATGTCTGTGCTATCTCAGTGTAGATGTTTATTCTTCCTCAAAATATAGTTTATAGCACCATGCTGAGTATCACATAAAGTTAAAACAAACTAACAAAACAATAGCAACAAAATATTGCATAGCCTTCTCCCTGAGCAGGCATGAATTCTTTTGCTCTGTCCATCCTTTGGCTCAGGTCAAAAAAATAAATGCTGTCTTCCTCAGCTCTTACTTTTTTCCTCATAGCCTATGTCTAATCCATTGGTATATCTTGGGAGACATATTCTCAAAATATATCCAAAATACAACCACTTCTCAAAATCTCTACTGGTACCAACCTGGTCCAAAGCACCATCATCTCTCACCTGGATTTTTGCAATAGTTTCTGATGTGTCTTCCTGCCTCAAATCTTGCCCTACGTCAATATATTTTCAACATAATGTCTCAAGACATTTATTAAATCATAAGTCAAATGTCATGTCTCTGTTCATGACGCTCCAGTTTTTCATTTCTCAGAGCAAAAGCCAAACTCTATTTAGAGTGGCCTTCGGGGACCTACCTTATTTGGTCTCCTTCTAACTTTCTGATCTCATATCCTGACACTTGCTCTCTCTCTGTGACCAAACTACACCAGCTGCCTTGCTGTTCTTTGAACCTGCCAAGAATATCTTCACTTCAATGCCTTTCACTTGCCATTTCTTCTTCCTTGCCTGCACTCTGTTTCCACTTGGTTTGCTATCTTATTTCTTTTATGTAATGAATAATATTTACCACCAAATAATCAATGTAAATATAATCTAGATATTTATTAGAAAATAGTGAAAAATTTATCTTAGATATGTGGTCTAACACAGAATTTAAGGCAAAAGAGTTTTAGCCCAAATGTTTGGATTGAAAACCCAGCTCTGCCACTTAGAGGTTTTTCTCTAAAATTCTTATAAATCTCCACTGTGCTTTTGGTAAAATAGGTATAAATACCCATCTCATTGAGTTACTCAGAAGGTTAAATAAGATAATGTGAAGTGCTCATCTAGCTCATAGTAAATGCTCAATTAATACTATTATTAGTTTATATAATTCCTGCCCAATGTTTATAATTGTATTGACAGAGAATCAGGTTAAAAATATAATATGCATATTATTTTTTTCCACTGGAAAGTTAATCCTACAAGTTTTTCCATGCTGATAAAAAGTCTTAAAAGGGCAAAATAATTTTGAATCCTATTTATACAATGACATGCATTAGAGATGCCATAATTTAACCATCACTTCATCATTTTAAATTGTTTCAGTTTCAGTTCTCTTTTATGATTGCATTTCAATATATATTCACCTGAATATGGTATCCTCTTTTTTGTAATTAAATATTTTATTTATCAGCTGGGCATGGTTATTACTTCCTAAATCCCATCTCCTTGAAAGGCAAAGGTGGGAGGATTGCTTGAGTGCCAGAGTTCAAGGCCAGTCAGGGCAACACAATCAGATCCATCTCTAAAAAAGAAAAAAAAAATCAAAAATATTTCATTAGTGTAAGTTCATAGATATGACATTATTGGTTGAAGGGATCTGAAACTTATTTATGACTCCTATGAAATTTACCCATTTTTTTCACATGCATGCTTTGAATTTATAGTGCTATAATATAAAAAAATACAAATACTAGTTCCATTTTTGTTGTTTAGAAAAAAGCTGAGAAAAAAATAAACATCTGATTTAGTGCCAAATGAATCAAGTACAATATTTATAGTGATTTAATGTGTTTGTTATTAGCATCAGGACAAACTAAAGTACATAATGTCCAAGTTACTAAATTGACGTAATTGTGAAAACTTTGTATTAAATAGCTGTTTACTCACAATACATTTTTAACTAGAATGAATTAATAAGAAACAATAGAACATCAGAAATTGTAGTTCTTTGATCATTTCGTTACAAATTAAGAAATAACTATATATCTGCTGAATTCATATTTACAGATCAAGAAGAGCATAAAGACATTGTTTGAAATGGATGTGTGCAAATACAATGGTGTGCCTCTAAAAATTATAACTAGAAAAAATTGAAATTTTTATTTCAGCTCCAAACTGTTTTGCCTCTTTGGTCATGTGGCAAATCTGCCTTTCTCTTTCTTATTCAGAAGGTAAAGTAACTGATTGATCCAATTGCCCTACTGTTAACCATTCTACAGAGATCTTCTCATTTAAAACTTTGGTACATGAATACTATCCTGAAGAAAATTAAATGATTGCAGTGTAGTGAAATCTAACAGTAGAGACAAGAGGAATGAATACGTGTTATTCCTATTTAATATGACTATTTTCTCTAATATTTTACTTAACTGAATCGATCAAAACCTGTACTAAGTTAGCTTATACATAACAATACTGATGATTATATTTTCTAACTTTCAGTATAAAGAACGTAACTCCAAAAGTAGGAGACCCTGAGACTCGTAAAGCTATTCGCCGTGCCTTTGATGTGTGGCAGAATGTAACTCCTCTGACATTTGAAGAAGTTCCCTACAGTGAATTAGAAAATGGCAAACGTGATGTGGATATAACCATTATTTTTGCATCTGGTTTCCATGGGGACAGCTCTCCCTTTGATGGAGAGGGAGGATTTTTGGCACATGCCTACTTCCCTGGACCAGGAATTGGAGGAGATACCCATTTTGACTCAGATGAGCCATGGACACTAGGAAATCCTAATCATGATGGTAAGTACATGTTTGTTTTACAGTGTAAATATTTCTATTATTATTTCAGAATAACCAAGAGATTTAACAATTTACAAACTTAAGGTATAGATCCTAAATTTACTTTTAAAATTCCAAAGCAATATGTAAGCATATTTTATAGCATTTTAGGATAAGAATTTGTGTGGGTCATTAGATAATATAGTTATATATGTGTTCCTTTGATTAAAGATTAGAACCTTATACTGTATCTATAAATACTCTAAAGTAAGTTTTGTCTTCTTCACAATGTGATTCCTTAAAAGATTTTATAATCAGTATTTAAGTCATGAAATACATATTAAGAAAATTCTGCTGTTTTTTTTGCATCTTATCCCAATGTTTCTACTTGTAATTTAATCCGGATTAGCATCTGCAGTCTGGCTTCTACTATATCTTTTCTACATTATTTTCTATTCTTTTTTGTTTGTTTGTTTTGAGATGAAGTTTTGCTCTTGTCGCCCAGGCTGGAGTGCAATGGCACAATTTCAGCTCACTGCAACCTCCACTTCCTCGGTTCAAGTGATTCTCCTACCTCAGCCTCCTGAGTAGCTGGGATTACAAGTGCCTGCCACCATGCCCAGCTAATTTTTGTATTTTTAGTAGAGATGGGGTTTCACCATGTTGGTCAGGCTGGTCTCTAACTCTCAGGAGGTGATCCACTCTCACGAGGTGATCCACCCACCTTGGAGTCACAAAGTGCTGGGGTTACAGGCATGAGCCACCACATTCAGCCTAGTTTCTATTCTATTATTAACTTTCCAGTCTATAATTTTTGCAGGCTGGGCGCAGTGGCTCACACCTGTAATCCCAACACTGTGAGAGGCCAAGACGGGATCCCTTGAGCTCAGGAGTTCAATACCAGCCTGGGTCTGTTTTTTAAACAAACTCCCTCTGTTTAAAAAAAATTAAAATTAAGAATATATATATATATATATATATATATATATATATATATATATGTAATTTTTTGCTCCTTCTCTTTTGTCTCTCATCCATTTCATTGGTCTCCCAATCTGATGGGACTATATAATTTATTATATTTTCATTACATCTTAATTTTTACCAAAGATCATTTTTTGCAACTCTATCCTAACTATCCATCAGTTTTCTAATCCTTACAATTATTCTGATATGCAAAAATTATGTAAAAATCAAAAATCTCAATAACTTTTAGTTACTTAATATGAGAGTGGTTACTTAATATAAGAGGCATGTGTTTCTTCCTAGTCAACAATGCATAATTCAATTCTGTGTTTTAAAAAATTTGCAGTTATAGGATCATAGAATTATAAGATTTCTATATAGCCATATCCCCAGTTTTTATTGTGAAGACTTATTTTTCTTCTGATTGTAGAATGTTATTCAACTATAAGTGTACATTTCTTTAATGACAACTAATCATGTAATAAAACTCTTAATTTCACCTTGATAAGTTAACCCTAGTCATGACATTAAGCTTTGTTTGTTCATAAGAGGGTTCAGTTAGCTGGATTAGTGTAATTAATAGCCTTGCAGTTTTAGGATACCCAGGGTTCTCTCGTGTTTTGGATAGGATAAATTAGGTTGAGTTAAATTTAAAATAACATCAATTTCAAAGAAAAAATATAATAAATAACTGTTCATGTTTTCCAAAATAAAATAAAGTATATAGCAGTAAGGTGATTTTTTCAAATGGTTATTAATAGTTGCATGTGCTGTATTATTAAATTGTTATTACATTTTTAAGAACAGGTTTGAAGACTAGTGGAAGATTTTAGTATAATAGAATGAAAAGCCAAAAACTTTGGAGGCAAACAGACTTATGTTTACATGCTGGCTAATTATTAGTTCAAAAATGTGTAGACTTGTTTTTACCATATAGTTTATATTGCAGGTCTGTAAGCATTGTAGGTAGAAGTGCTTTTTATGCATGCATGTTTAACGTACTCTATACCTGAGCATCTAATAATAAAACATCTGGAACATGGTAGTTGGGGCATACCAGTTTGACACATAAATCATTTAAAATAAAATATGTTTGTTTTGTTTTTTCAAAATCACACAGGGATTCTAGTGAAATAATTCAGACTTCTTCAAGTCAATTTTAAAATTATTTTAAATAATATAAGAAATGCTTGATTAAGAATAGCACTTATAATGGTAGAATTTTACTGACACAGGCTGCATTTACTTCCAGGGGAAAGATTTTCTTTTGATATTCTGAAAAGATAAAAATTTATTTTATTGCAATAATGGATCTAATCATTAAAACAATTGTAAATCTGTAGTTTTGAAGATGTGTTAATTTGGCTTTGTGACCTCTTAAATTTAAAATTATTAAAATCCTATATGAAAGAAATGTCTATCAAATTCCCTATATTTTGTCTTAAAATATTGAAGTCCTCCATGAAGAAGGTTGCATGGATTCTTTAGCTATACACTTTATTAGCTGGGTTTTTTCTTTCTTTCTTTTTTTTTTTTTTTTTTTTTAGAGATGGGGTTCTCGCTATTTTGCCCAGGCTGGACTTGAACTCTTGGGCTGAAGCAATCCTCCTACCTTAACTTCCTGAGTTGCTGGAATTACAGTATTACCTAGCTTTTAGGCATCAACCAACACTCTGAAAATAAAGAAAATGTTTTGGGGAAAAAATCTACAGGGAGATTTTATGACAAGAGGTGATAATGTTTACACTGATTTGAGTGTGATCAGTGCTTAGAATGCTTATGTGTTTTGTATGATTTAAGAATTTTTCCAAGGAATGTATATGTGGGAAGAAATTCTGAAATATAACGTGGCCTAAGGGGGACAATCACGTCAATGCACTTTTGGCTGAGAGTATTCATCAGTCTACTTCCGGATTATGTTAAATATGTGTCCTAACAACTCTGGAAGTGTAACATTCTTTACGCATAGACGAATGACCAAAAAATCTAAACAAAACAATTGTTTAATATTTGAGTTTTTATTTGGAGGAAACTATGTCTTTACCTGTCTAACAAGAACACTTTGCTGGTGAATGAGCCTGAAGGAAAGGACCCTGCAAAATAATAGTGTTTCAGAATTTCAAGAGATTAGGGAGACATTAATTGACTGTTAGAGATGTAATGCCAAAAAGATTTACTGCTTAATTGAAATTCAAACTTTTAACCAGCAACAGCAGGGCAGCTAGAGTAGTGTCAGGCTGAAGTATTGATCATTTATCAAAAGAACAGCCTCTATCTTTGCTTGTGGTACTGGTGGCTATGGGGAGAATTAATTCATTTGTACATCCTCGATTCTAACTATGTGTGAAACTATTTTTGTATCACAAATATGCATGGCACAAATCTGACATCTTCATGGATAAACTTTTTTTTTTTCTTTAATCTAGTCCTGGAATGCCCCCTGGCTTACTTACCTGAATTACTTTCTTTCTCTTCTATTCAGAGCTCTTGAGAGCTGGGAAACAGAACAGCTTGTTTATTTAGCAAAAATGCAAATGAAAGAGCCTCTTGATAAGTACCCAGCACATTTTCCACAGCACATTGCTCAGCTAATGAAGGCAATTTGCATTCTATCTACCTTAAAAGAGATAAACAGTGTCTTAGGCTGCCAGTAACCCTTACTTCATTGTTATCTACTTTCCTATCAATTTGCTAATAGTCATACCTTTTGAAAATTCTAGCTAAAGACCATTAAGTGAATTACAAAATAGTTTTATTAAAATAAACATATTCACACACACCTATATACACAACCCTAATACAAATAATGCCTTTTTTAAGAGTTTTTATTTTTGTGGAATGAATCAGCAAAACAGTTAACATCATTAACTATTTTAAAACATGCAAATTAATTCAAAATAGAAAATATGTATCATGATAGTGGTTTTGAAAGATATACATTGCCTGAATGAGACTTGGAAAATTTAAGTCCAGCAAAATGTTAAGATTTATTTTGAGCAACAATAGGACATTATTTCCTTGTCTATGGTTAAAGTTAAAATGGTGCTATCAATGTAAACACAAACATATCACAAAGATTCTTCCTAATTAGACAAGCATCTACAGAAGTAATATAATTTTAAACGGATACTCCAAGCAAAGCAGGTTATCTATTAAAATAATATATAAAACTTATGACAGAATAATATCTAGAGGTATATCCTATTTTACCACGTAGTTGCAATTCTTTAAAAAGAATACATTGCAGTTACGCTGCTTACTGTCAGGAAGTTCACTGCCTAACATAAGGAGATAACCAGGAAGGTTATCAACGCTGTGGTAGCAGGCTGTCAAAAAAACAAAAAGAGACAAATTATGATAAAGATGTCATCTGAGACATCAAAACCGTTAAATTAAATTCATCATTCACTGTGAAGTGATTGACATCTGCATCCAAACCCACTCATTCCTGAATACACCTAATTTAAGTTAAATGTGTTCATGGTGTGATACTTGAGTCAACGGACAGGACTTAAGCTGACCTTGGAGAGTTAGCTTTCTGTAACTGACATGTCCATTTGGTGCCATACTACAGAAAACACCTGTGTAGAAGTAAACCTAAGCCTTCAGCAGGTTTACGTCTGCACAGGTGTGCCTAAGGTTTGCCTTCCCAACCTTTCCTGCTCATTTTACAGCTGCACTGCTATATAATGTTTCTTAGAGGCCTACAAAATTTGAACTTTGATATTTGAGGAAAGAAAGAGGTAATACTGCATTAGTCTGTTCTCACACTGATATAAAGAACTACCTGAGACAAGAGAATGTATAAACAAAAGATATTTAATTGACTCACAGTTCTACATGCTGTATGGGAGACATGACTGGGGAGGCCTCAGTGAACTTAAAATCATGGTGGAAGGGCTAAGGGAAAGCAAGCACATCTACACATGGTGGGAGGACAGAGAGACAGAGAGTGAAGGGAAAGTGCTACACACTTTTCAACAACCAGATCTCGTTAGAACTCACTCACTATCACAAGAACAGCAAAGTGCAAATCTGCCCCAATGATCCAGTCACCTTCCACCAGGCCCCTCCTACAGTACTGAAGATCAGATACCAACTGGATATTTACGAAGATGCCTATCAGTCAGTACCACCAACTGTGGGAATACTGTCTAAATTCATCTATCCTCGAGTTTTTGAAAAGGGAAGGACTTGATATGGACAGTCAAGGACTTTAACTCATCCTTAAAGTAAGATAACTTATTAAGATTTTAAATTCTAAAAATATTAACTCTACTACATTTTTCTTATCAGGTTTTAAAACTGGAGAACGAACTCTCTCAATAATTCGGCTTTCACACCCATTACAGAGGATTTATATATGTTTGTTCTTAAAAACATGACTTTTTTCCTTTTTTCCTGGAATGAGCTTCATTTTACTGAGTCTATTTCATTTTACAACACTGGTAATCAAAAGTTTGATAGTACTGACTTTTTTAAAACCTTTCAGTTACATAGCCTTACATGATTACTGCGCAGTCTCTACTTGGTTATTAATTTTTAGATCCTTATGTGCAGTTGGAAAGTAGCAGAAAATTTGGTATAGTCACATTCACAAAAATATGTCACTATGTTAGTATTACAAAAACATATAAATGGATCATGAACATTAAAATGCATATAATATAGAGTTGTTAATAAAGGAAGGAGATGTATATTCATTCTTCTCAGCACCACATCACACTTATTCCAAAATTGACTATATAGTTGGAAGTAAAGCACTCATCAGCAAATGTAAAAGAACAGAAATTATAACAAACTGTCTCTCAGACCACAGCGCAATCAAACTAGAACTCAGGATTAAGAAACTCACTCAGAACCACTCAACTGCCTGGAAACTGAACAACCTGCTCCTGAATAGTGACTATTGGGTGCATAACGAAATGAAGGCAGAAATAAAGATGTTCTTTGAAACCAACGAGAACAAAGACACAACATACCAGAATCTCTGGGACACGTTTAAAGCAGTGTGTAGACGGAAATTTATAGCACTACATGCCCACGAGAGAAAGCAGGAAAGATCTAAAATTAACACCCTAACATCACAATTAAAAGAACTAGAGAAGCAAGAGCAAACACATTCAAAAGCTATCAGAAGGCAAGAAATAACTAAGATCAGAGAAGAACTGAAGGAAATAGAGACACAAAAAAACCCCTCAAAAAATTAATGAATCCAGGAGCTGGTTTTTTGAAAAGATCAACAAAATTGATAGACTGCTAGCAAGAGACTAATAAAGAAGAAAAGAGAGAAGAATCAAATAGACGCAATAAAAAAATGATAAAGGGGATGTCACCACTGATCCCACAGAAATACAAACTACCATCAGAGAATACTATAAACACCTCTACGCAAATAAACCAGAAAATCTAGAAGAAATGGATAAATTCCTGGACACATACACCGTCCCAAGACTAAACCAGGAAGAAGTTGAATCTCTGAATAGACCAGTAACAGGCTCTGAAATTCAGACAATAATTAATAGCCTACCAACCAAAAAAACTCCAGGACCAGACGGATTCACAGCCGAATTCTACCAGAGGTACAAGGAGGAGCTGGTACCATTCCTTCTGAAACTATTCTAATCAATAGAAAAAGAGGGAATCCTCCCTAACTCATTTTATGAGGCCAGCATCATCCTGATACCAAAGCCTGGCAGAGACACAACAAAAAAAGAGAATTTTAGACCAATATCCCTGATGAACATCGATGCAAAAATCCTCAATAAAATACTGGCAAACCTAATCCAGCAGCTCATCAAAAAGCTTATCCACCATGATCAAGTGGGCTTCATCCCAGGGATGCGAGGCTGGTTCAACATACACAAATCAATAAACGTAATAAACATACGTGTGCATGTGTCTTTATAGCAGCATGATTTATAGTCCTTTGGGTATATACCCAGTAATGGGATGGCTGGGTCAAATGGTATTTCTAGTTCTAGATCCCTGAGGAATCACCACACTGACTTCCACAATGGTTGAACTAGTTTATAGTCCCACCAACAGTGTAAAAGTGTTCCTATTTCTCCACATCCTCTCCAGCACCTGTTGTTTCCTGACTTTTTAATGATTGCCATTCTAACTGGTGCGAGGTGGTATCTCATCATGGTTTTGATTTGCATTTCTCTGATGGCCAGTGATGGTGAGCATTTTTTCATGTGTTTTTTGGCTACATAAATGTCTTCTTTTGAGAGGTGTCTGTTCATGTCCTTTGCCCACTTTTTGATGGGGTTGTTTGTTTTTTTCTTGTAAATTTATTGCGTCACTATTCACAATAGCAAAGACTTGGAACCAACCCAAATGTCCAACAATGATAGACTGGATTAAGAAAATGTGGCACATATACACCATGGAATACTATGCAGCCATAAAAAATGATGAGTTCATGTCCTTTGTAGGGACATGGATGAAATTGGAAATCATCATTCTCAGTAAACTATCGCAAGGACAAAAAACCAAACACCGCATGTTCTCACTCACAGGTGGGACTTGAGCAATGAGAACACATGTACACAGGAAGGGGAACATGACACTCTGGGAACTGTTGTGGGATTGGGGGAAGGGGGAGGGATAGCATTAGGAGATATACCTAATGCTAAATGACGAGTTAATGAGTGCAGCACATCAGCATGGCACATGTATACATATGTAACTAACCTGCACATTGTGCACATGTACCCTAAAATTTAAAGTGTAATAATAATAAAATAAAATAAAATAATTTGAAAAAAAAACAACAAATCAATAAACGTAATCCAGCATATAAACAGAACCAACGACGAAAACCGCATGATTATCTCAATAGATGCAGAAAAGGCCTTTGACAAAATTCAACAGCCCTTCATGCTAAAAACTCTCAAAAAATTAGGTATTGATGGGACGTATCTCAAAATAATAAGAGCTTTTTATGAGAAACCCACAGCCAACCTCATACTGAATGGGCAAAAACTAGAAGAATTCCCTTTGAAAACTGGCACAAGACAGGGATGCCCTCTCTCACCACTCCTATTCAACATAGTGTTGGAAGTTCTGGCCAGGGCAATCAGGCAGGAGAAAGAAATAAAGGGTATTCAATTAGGAAAAGAGGAAGTCAAATTGTCCCTGTTTGCAAATGACATGATTGTATATTTAGAAACCCCATAAGCAACTTCAGCAAAGCCTCAGGATACAAAATCAATGTGAAAAATCACAAGCATTCTTATATACCAATAACAGACAAACAGAGAGCCAAATCATGAGTGAACTCCCATTCACAATTGCTTCAAAGAGAATAAAATACCTAGGAATTCAACTTACAAGGGATGTGAAGGACCTCTTCAAGAACTACAAACCACTGCTCAAGGAAATAGAAGAGGACACAAACAAATGGAAGAACTTTCCATGCCCATGGATAGGAAGAATCAATATTGTGAAAATGGCCATACTGCCCAAGGTAATTTATAGATTCAATGCCATCCCCCTCAAGCTACCAATGACTTTCTTCACAGAATTGGAAAAAACTAGTTTAAAGTTCATATGGACCCAAAAGAGAGCCCACATTGCCAAGACAATCCTAAGCCAAAAGAACAAAGCTGGAGGCATCATGCTGCCTGACTTCAAACTATTCTACAAGGCTACAGTAACCAAAACAGCATGTTACTGGTACCAAAACAGAGATATAGACAAATGGAACAGAACAGAGCCCTCAGAAATAACACCACACATCTACAACCATCTAATCTTTGACAAACCTGACAAGAACAAGAAATGGGGAAAGGATTCCCTATTTAATAAATGGTGCTGGGAAAACTGGCTAGCCGTATATAGAAAGCTGAAACTGGATCCCTTCCTTACACCTTATACAAAAATTAAGTGAAGATGGATTAAAGACTTAAATGTTAGACCTAAAACCATACAAACCCTAGAAGAAAACCTAGGCAATACCATTCAGGACATAGGCATGGGCAAGGACTTCATGACTAAAACACCAAAAGCAATGGCAACAAAAGCCAAAATTGACAAATGGAATCTAATTAAACTAAAGAGCTTCTGCACAGCAAAAGAAACTACCATCAGAGTGAACAGGCAACCTACAGAATGGGAGAAAATTTTTGCAATCTACCCATCTGACAAAGGGCTAATATGCAGAATCTACAATGAACTCAAACAAATTTACAAGAAAAAAACAACCCCATCAAAAAGTGGGCAAAGGATATGAATCGACACTTCTCAAAAGAAGACATTTATGCAGCCAACAGACACATGAAAAAGTGCTCATCATCACTGGTCATCAGAGAAATGCAAATCAAAACCACGAGATACCATCTCACACCACTTAAAATGGCGATCATTAGAAAGTCAGGAAACAACAGGTGCTGGAGAGGATGTGGAGAAATAGGAACACTTTTACACTGTTGGTGGGAGTGTAAACTAGTTCAACCATTGTGGAAGACAGTGTGGCGATTCCTCAAGGATCTAGAACTAGAAATACCATTTGACCCAGCCATCCCATTACTGGGTATATACCCAAAGGACTATAAATCATGCTGCTATAAAGACACATGCACACGTATGTTTATTGTGGCACTATTCACAATAGCAAAGACTTGGAACCAACCCAAATGTCCAACAATGATAGACTGGATTAAGAAAATGGGGCACCTATACACCATGGAATACTATGCAGCCATAAAAAATGATGAGTTCATGTCCTTTGTAGGGACATGGATGAAGCAGGAAACCATCCTTCTCAGCAAACTATTGCAAGGACAAAAAACCAAACACTGCATGTTCTCACTTATAGGTGGGAATTGAACAATGAGAACACTTGGACACAGGAAGGGGAAAAATACACATCAGGGCCTGTCATGGGGTGGGGGGATGGGGGAGGCATAGCACTATGAGATATGCCTAATGTAAATGACGAGTTAATGGGTGCAGCACACCAACATGGCACACGTATACCTATGTAACAAACCTGCACATTGTGCACATGTACCCTAGAACTTAAAGTATAATAAAAAGATAAAATAAAATGAAGCAGATGAAACCAGAAATTCCTATGGCTTAACACAACTGATTTTATTTCTTGCCGCTGTGGTGGGATAGAGGAGCTCTGTCTAAACACTCTATCAGAGACACCAAGAATAATGAAGGCTTAGCATCAACACATGACTTCGGAAGTTGCCTCAGGTGTCAACATCCAGGCAGCAGTTGATAAATTTGCTCATGTAAGGGATTTATATGCCATCCCCTGGTATCTTTGGGGAACGGGAGGACTCCCTGCAGACACCGAGATGCACAGATGCTCAAGTCCCTTATATAAGATGGTTTAATATTTGCATATAACCTGTGCACATTCTCCTTTATGTTTTAAGTCATCTTTAGCCTACTTATACTACCTATAACAAGGTAAATGCTATGTAAATAGTGGTTATACTGTAATTTTTTAGAGAATAAGGGCAAGAGTTAAAGAGTCTGTACATATCTGGTACAGATGCAACCGTGTATTTTTTTTGTTCAAATATTTCAATCCATGGTTGATTGACTGCATAGATGCAAAAGCCATGGATAGGGAGGGCCAACTATTCTACTAAACTGTTCCATTTCTGCCCTGTTTGCACTAGAGTGCAATACTATGATCACATCTAATCACAAGGAAGGCAGGAGAAAGGTGACAGGTTTAATGAACAGCTAGTCCATGTCTGCTGCAACAATATGTTGAGAAGTAAATCAGTACTACTTGGATTTTATATATACATTGAATCTCTTGGTAAGTTGCTTAATCATAATTCATACATATTTTGCCCTATTATCCATTATTTAGCTACTGTTATTTCTCTTCTCTTACATAGTCTCTGTAGAAATTTTCCTTCTAATTCATCTTTAAATTGTTTTTGTCTTTAAATCTAGACATCAACAAGACAAAATGAAATCAAAGTTTCAAATTTCATCCCTTTATTTCAATATAGACAATGTCTTTAAGTTTCTGAAAAAAAAATCCAATTGGTCTGAATTAATGATTTAATAGCCTTATTGCTTAAATTATCTAAGATTAATAACAGCTTTTTACTTTAGTTTTGTAACTTTTTTTTGCAGAATTACAACCATACCACTATCAAACCTAACATACTACAATTTTAGTAAATTTCTTACAATGTAAACAACACTAGCTATTAACAACAACATTTAATTTATAACTCTCTTCTTTAGTTGAAATCAAGAATTGCCAGAACCCCCGCCCTCCTCCCTAAGTCTGTTGACTGCATATCATGGAAGCAGCAGAAATAGACCTTATTATAATCCACAGTGGAGATTGTAGCTTTGCCATTGATTTAATGCATCAGAAAAGAAGACTGTGGGCATAAGGAAGATTCCACCTCTGTTCAGTAAAGCTGTACGTACCAGATGCATGTGTCCTGAGCAATGGGAATTGACCTAAGACCATGGAATATCAGCTTGCTTTCCAGATTTTAATTGAAAAGATTATTTGACCAGCAAGTTAAAAAAAAGTAGAGAAAGTAGGAGATATTATAAAAAGCCTCTCTATGGGTTATCATCAGCCTTAATCAAAGATGCATAAAGAAGAAAACAATTAATAAAATCAAGTGCTAATTTAAGTGCACATTTAATATGTTCCAAACACAATTCTAAATTAATTTTGTGTATTTAACTCATTTATTCCTCATAACAAATTTGTAAAATAGTGTAATTACTTCCATTTTGCAAGGGAATTGAGGCAGAAAATTTGTTGACTTGCCTAAGGCTAGGTAGTCGTAATAACAGAATGATACCATTAAAAGGATACTGAAGAATCAAGGAAAAGGAACATCTACTTGAAGACTCAGGAATAAAAGGCTGTCACTGAAAGTATTTTATCAAGAAAACCAGAAAAACAATATTGGAAACAACTCAGAACATCCATTAAAAGCTTGCTATGGAACAGGAAACAAAAGCCTGTTATTACTGTACAAACTGAATCTGTCATGTGGAAGAAAATCTTGGTAAGCCATTTCTAGGAAAGTATGAAGAGATAAAATGATATGAAAGCCAAGGATAAAGAATAGATATTGAAGATCTGGTAAATAAATCCAGCTTAAGAATGCAAGATTCTCTCAAAGGATGGTGGAAGAGTAGGAAAATTAAAGCAAAATACATAAGCAAACAGATAATAGCAAAAATATCCAATTCTAAAATGAGACAGTAGTGTGCAATTCAGAACTCATTTTATTCACTGCAAAATTAATAAAATCAGATCCATAAATACATATATCCTGTAAGTAAAGAAAAAGATTCTTTATATCACTATGCAGGAAAAAAAATTATTCCCAAAGGACTAAAAAATAAAACTGTTGTTTTTACCCCTACTATGCAAATTTCTAGACAATAGAAGAAAATAGAAGACATAATATTTTGTATATATTCTAATTACATGCATGTCCTTTGCATTATTAAATTGTATCTGTAGTTTTAAAGTATTCCTTATAAATATTTGTTTTAGAAATCATGTGTCCTGAATTACACTTACTGTGATTTAGTAGTAACATAATATAAAGATAGAAACAAAATTTGGACCAAACATTCAGTATTTGTATAAAATGTGATGTTAACACAGAAGTCTGATATTATGTATTTTCACATACTCATCCTTCAACAAACATTTTGTTGATCATGCTATTATCAGATATTTGATAGAAACCTAGGGAAAGACTTAGCATTATGTAAAATTTAAATGAAAATATTAATGATCTATACTGCCATAAGAAAAGCAGAATTTTACAACCTAGAATAGATATATAATACACGTATTTCTTTTTTTTTTCTTTTTTTTTTTGTATTATACTTTAAGTTTTAGGGTACATGTGCACATTGTGCAGGTTAGTTACATATGTATACATGTGCCATGCTGGTGCGCTGCACCCACTAACTCGTCATCTAGCCTTAGGTATATCTCCCAATGCTATCCCTCCCCGCTCCCCCCACCCCACCACAGTCCCCAGAGTGTGATATTCCCCTTCATGTGTCCATGTGATCTCATTGTTCAATTCCCACCTATGAGTGAGAATATGCGGTGTTTGGTTTTTTGTTCTTGCGATAGTTAACTGAGAATGATGATTTCCAATTTCATCCATGTCCCTACAAAGGACATGAACTCATCATTTTTTATGGCTGCATAGTATTCCATGGTGTATATGTGCCCCATTTTCTTAATCCAGTCTATCATTGTTGGACATTTGGGTTGGTTCCAAGTCTTTGCTATTGTGAATAATGCCGCAATAAACATACGTGTGCATGTGTCTTTATAGCAGCATGATTTATAGTCCTTTGGGTATATACCCAGTAATGGGATGGCTGGGTCAAATGGTATTTCTAGTTCTAGATCCCTGAGGAAACGCCACACTGACTTCCACAATGGTTGAACTAGTTTACAGTCCCACCAACAGTGTAAAAGTGTTCCTATTTCTCCACATCCTCTCCAGCACCTGTTGTTTCCTGACTTTTTAATGATTGCCATTCTAACTGGTGTGAGATGATATCTCATAGTGGTTTTGATTTGCATTTCTCTGATGGCCAGTGATGATGAGCATTTTTTCATGTGTTTTTTGGCTGCATAAATGTCTTCTTTTGAGAAGTGTCTGTTCATGTCCTTTGCCCACTTTTTGATGGGGTTGTTTGTTTTTTTCTTGTAAATTTGTTTGAGTTCATTATAGATTCTGGATATTAGCCCTTTGTCAGATGAGTAGGTTGTGAAAATTTTCTACCATTTTGTAGGTTGCCTGTTCACTCTGATGGTAGTTTCTTTTGCTGTGCAGAGGCTCTTTAGTTTAATTAGATCCCATTTGTCACTTTTGGCTTTTGTTGCCATTGCTTTTGGTGTTTTGGACATGAAGTCCTTGCCCATGCCTATGTCCTGAATGGTAATGCCTAGGTTTTCTTCTAGGGTTTTTATGGTTTTAGGTCTAACGTTTAAATCTTTAATCCATCTTGAATTGATTTTTGTATAAGGTGTAAGGAAGGGATCCAGTTTCAGCTTTCTACATATGGCTAGCCAGTTTTCCCAGCACCATTTATTAAATAGGGAATCCTTTCCCCATTGCTTGTTTTTCTCAGGTTTGTCAAAGATCAGATAGTTGTAGGTGTGCGGTGTTATTTCTGAGGGCTCTGTTCTGTTCCATTGATCTATATCTCTGTTTTGGTACCAGTACCATGCTGTTTTGGTTCCTGTAGCCTTGTAGTATAGTTTGAAGTCATGTAGTGTGATGCCTCCAGCTTTGTTCTTTTGGCTTAGGGTTGACTTGGTGATGCGGGCTCTTTTTTGGTTCCATATGAACTTTAAAGTAGTTTTTTCCAATTCTGTGAAGAAAGTCATTGGTAGCTTGATGGGGACGGCATTGAATCTGTAAATTACCTTGGGCAGTATGGCCATTTTCACTATATTGATTCTTCCTACCCATGAGCATGGAATGTTCTTCCATTTGTTTGTATCCTCTTTTATTTCCTTGAGCAGTGATTTGTAGTTCTCCTTGAAGAGGTCCTTCACATCCCTTGTAAGTTGGATTCCTAGGTATTTTATTCTCTTTGAAGCAATTGTGAATGGGAGTTCACTCATGATTTGGCTCTCTGTTTGTCTGTTGCTGGTGTATAAGAATGCTTGTGATTTTTGTACATTGATTTTGTATCCTGAGACTTTGCTGAAGTTGCTTATCAGCTTAAGGAGATTTTGGGCTGAGACGATGGGGTTTTCTAGATAAACAATCATGTCGTCTGCAAACAGGGACAATTTGACTTCCTCTTTTCCTAATTGAATACCCTTTATTTCCTTCTCCTGCCTGATTGCCCTGGCCAGAACTTCCAACACTATGTTGAATAGGAGCAGTGAGAGAGGGCATCCCTGTCTTGTGCCAGTTTTCAAAGGGAATGCTTCCAGTTTTTGCCCATTCAGTATGATATTGGCTGTGGGTTTGTCATAGATAGCTCTTATTATTTTGAAATACGTCCCATGAATACCTAATTTATTGAGAGTTTTTAGCATGAAGGGTTGTTGAATTTTGTCAAAGGCTTTTTCTGCATCTATTGAGATAATCATGTGGTTTTTGTCTTTGGCTCTGTTTATATGCTGGATTACATTTATTGATTTGCGTATATTGAACCAGCCTTGCATCCCAGGGATGAAGCCCACTTGATCATGGTGGATAAGCTTTTTGATGTGCTGCTGGATTCGGTTTGCCAGTATTTTATTGAGGATTTTTGCATCAATGTTCATCAAGGATATTGGTCTAAAATTCTCTTTTTTGGTTGTGTCTCTGCCCAGCTTTGGTATCAGAATGATGCTGGCCTCATAAAATGAGTTAGGGAGGAG
Organism: Homo sapiens; assembly: GCF_000001405.40. NCBI lineage: Eukaryota > Metazoa > Chordata > Mammalia > Primates > Hominidae > Homo > Homo sapiens. The sequence goes on along the minus strand of NC_000008.11, from coordinate 88,152,343 downwards.
TCCCTCTTTTTCTATTGATTGGAATAGTTTCAGAAGGAATGGTACCAGTTCCTCCTTGTACCTCTGGTAGAATTCGGCTGTGAATCCATCTGGTCCTGGACTCTTTTTGGTTGGTAAACTATTGATTATTGCCCCAATTTCAGCTCCTGTTATTGGTCTATTCAGAGATTCAACTTCTTCCTGGTTTAGTCTTGGGAGAGTGTATGTGTCGAGGAATGTATCCATTTCTTCTAGATTTTCTAGTTTATTTGCGTAGAGGTGTTTGTAGTATTCTCTGATGGTAGTTTGTATTTCTGTGGGATCAGTGGTGATATCCCCTTTATCATTTTTTATTGTGTCTATTTGATTCTTCTCTCTTTTTTTCTTTATTAGTCTTCCTAGCGGTCTATCAATTTTGTTGATCCTTTCAAAAAACCAGCTCCTGGATTCATTGATTTTTTGAAGGGTTTTTTGTGTCTCTATTTCCTTCAGTTCTGCTCTGATTTTAGTTATTTCTTGCCTTCTGCTAGCTTTTGAATGTGTTTGCTCTTGCTTTTCTAGTTCTTTTAATTGTGATGTTAGGGTGTCAATTTTGGATCTTTCCTGCTTTCTCTCGTGGGCATTCAGTGCTATAAATTTCCCTCTACACACTGCTTTGAATGCATCCCAGAGATTCTGGTATGTTGTGTCTTTGTTCTCGTTGGTTTCAAAGAACATCTTTATTTCTGCCTTCATTTCGTTATGTACCCAGTAGTCATTCAGGAGCAGGTTGTTCAGTTTCCATGTAGTTGAGCGGCTTTGAGTGAGATTCTTAATCCTGAGTTCTAGTTTGATTGCACTGTGGTCTGAGAGATAGTTTGTTATAATTTCTGTTCTTTTACATTTGCTGAGGAGTGCTTTACTTCCAACTATGTGGTCAATTTTGGAATAGGTGTGGTGTGGTGCTGAAAAGAATGTATATTCTGTTGATTTGGGGTGGAGAGTTCTGTAGATGTCTATTAGGTCCGCTTGGTACAGAGCTGAGTTCAATTCCTGGGTATCCTTGTTGACTTTCTGTCTGGTTGATCTGTCTAATGTTGACAGTGGGGTGTTAAAGTCTCCCATTATTAATGTGTGGGAGTCTAAGTCTCTTTGTAGGTCACTCAGGACTTGCTTTATGAATCTGGGTGCTCCTGTATTGGGTGCATATATATTTAGGATAGTTAGCTCCTCTTGTTGAATTGATCCCTTTACCATTATGTAATGGCCTTCTTTGTCTCTTTTGATCTTTGTTGGTTTAAAGTCTGTTTTATCAGAGACTAGGATTGCAACCCCTGCCTTTTTTTGTTTTCCATTTGCTTGGTAGATCTTCCTCCATCCTTTTATTTTGAACCTATGTGTGTCTCTGCACGTGAGATGGGTTTCCTGAATACAGCACACTGATGGGTCTTGACTCTTTATCCAACTTGCCAGTCTGTGTCTTTTAATTGGAGCATTTAGTCCATTTACATTTAAAGTTAATATTGTTATGTGTGAATTTGATCCTGTCATTATGATGTTAGCTGGTGATTTTGCTCGTTAGTTGATGCAGTTTCTTCCTAGCATCGATGGTCTTTACATTTTGGCATGATTTTGCAGCGGCTGGTACCGGTTGTTCCTTTCCATGTTTAGCGCTTCCTTCAGGAGCTCTTTTAGGGCAGGCCTGGTGGTGACAAAATCTCTCAGCATTTGCTTGTCTGTAAAGTATTTTATTTCTCCTTCACTTATGAAGCTTAGTTTGGCTGGATATGAAATTCTGGGTTGAAAATTCTTTTCTTTAAGAATGTTGAATATTGGCCCCCACTCTCTTCTGGCTTGTAGGGTTTCTGCCGAGAGATCCGCTGTTAGTCTGATGGGCTTCCCTTTGAGGGTAACCCGACCTTTCTCTCTGGCTGCCCTTAACATTTTTTCCTTCATTTCAACTTTGGTGAATCTGACAATGATGTGTCTTGGAGTTGCTCTTCTCGAGGAGTATCTTTGTGGCGTTCTCTGTATTTCCTGAATCTGAACGTTGGCCTGCCTTGCTAGATTGGGGAAGTTCTCCTGGATAATATCCTGTAGAGTGTTTTCCAACTTGGTTCCATTCTCCGCATCACTTTCAGGTACACCAATCAGACGTAGATTTGGTCTTTTCACATAGTCCCATATTTCTTGGAGGCTTTGCTCATTTCTTTTTATTCTTTTTTCTCTAACCTTCCCTTCTCGCTTCATTTCATTCATTTCATCTTCCATTGCTGATACCCTTTCTTCCAGTTGATCGCATCGGCTCCTGAGGCTTCTGCATTCTTCACGTAGTTCTCGAGCCTTGGTTTTCAGCTCCATCAGCTCCTTTAAGCACTTCTCTGTATTGGTTATTCTAGTTATACATTCTTCTAAATTTTTTTCAAAGTTTTCAACTTCTTTGCCTTTGGTTTGAATGTCCTCCCGTAGCTCAGAGTAATTTGATCGTCTGAAGCCTTCTTCTCTCAGCTCATCAAAGTCATTCTCCATCCAGCTTTGTTCCGTTGCTGGTGAGGAACTGCGTTCCTTTGGAGGAGGAGAGGCGCTCTGCTTTTTAGAGTTTCCAGTTTTTCTGTTCTGTTTTTTCCCCCATCTTTGTGGTTTTATCTACTTTTGGTCTTTGATGATGGTGATGTACAGATGGGTTTTTGGTGTGGATGTCCTTTCTGTTTGTTAGTTTTCCTTCTAACAGACAGCACCCTCAGCTGCAGGTCTGTTGGAATACCCTGCCGTGTGAGGTGTCAGTGTGCCCCTGCTGGGGGGTGCCTCCCAGTTAGGCTGCTCGGGGGTCAGGGGTCAGGGACCCACTTGAGGAGGCAGTCCCCCCGTTCTCAGATCTCCAGCCGCGTGCTGGGAGAACCACTGCTCTCTTCAAAGCTGTCAGACAGGGACATTTAAGTCTGCAGAGGTTACTGCTGTCTTTTTGTTTGTCTGTGCCCTGCCCCCAGAGGTGGAGCCTACAGAGGCAGGCAGGCCTCCTTGAGCTGTGGTGGGCTCCACCCAGTTCGAGGTTCCCGGCTGCTTTGTTTACCTAAGCAAGCCTGGGCAATGGCGGGCGCCCCTCACCCAGCCTCGCTGCCGCCTTGCAGTTTGATCTCAGACTGCTGTGCTAGCAATCAGCGAGATTCCGTGGGTGTAGGACCCTCCGAGCCAGGTGTGGGATATGGTTTCGTGGTGCGCCGTTTTTTAAGCCCGTCTGAAAAGCGCAATATTCGGGTGGGAGTGACCCGATTTTCCAGGTGCGTCCGTCACCCCTTTCTTTGACTCAGAAAGGGAACTCCCTGACCCCTTGCGCTTCCCAGGTGAGGCAATGCCTCGCCCTGCTTTGGCTCGCGCCCGGTGCGCGCACCCACTGGCCTGCGCCCACTGTCTGGCACTCCCTAATGAGATGAACCCGGTACCTCAGATGGAAATGCAGAAATCACCCGTCTTCTGCGTCGCTCACGCTGGGAGCTGTAGACCGGAGCTGTTCCTATTCGGCCATCTTGGCTCCTCCCCATAATACACGTATTTCTGATACTGATTTTAACAAGTAACATGTAGAGATTTTAAAAGAAAACTCTTGGAATGGTTACTTTTGGAAGACAAAATATTCCAGAGATTCTTCTTACTACTAAAGAAATAGATAAGCAATAATGTACAATTTTTATTGAATATTTTGACATCACATTCAGTAAGGATATCTCCAAATGATCAGTAAAACAGTGAGCTAAAACTAGAGTTTTGAGTGGTGAGCGTGTGTGAAATGCAGAGACCAAACCTTAGTTCAAGGGCAAGGTGAGCAAATTGAATCTGAAGCTCCCGCGTTAAAATACTGCACTTGGATGTGGACAAAATGATACACATACATACACAGCTCCCTGCATAAGCAAATATGTATCCTCTAGAGGAAACATACTGCATTTAGGCACCCAGCTATTTTCACCGGTGGCTATCATGCAAATAGAAGTTTAGGAGCAAAGATCACTAACACTGAAGGAAACATTATCATGAATGAGAATCAGCTCTAAACAATAGATTAATCTCCAGGATTTCAGATACTGAATTTATGAAATTAAGATACATAATATTAAAATAGGATATCTTTTAAAACTTCAATGCAGGATGTCTTTAAAAAGGAAAAAATGGAATCACAGAATTGAGCAGACATCAAGTGACTATGAAAAGGAACCAAGAAGAGCTGAGAAACAGAACCTTAGAAATGCAATAGTAAGAATAAAATGTAATCATAACAATTAAATTGAATAGCAGGCTAGGATTGGTTGAAAAAATATTTTGTGAACAAAAGGATAGATTTGCAGATAGTAAATCTGCAATTTGCAGTATAGAGAGTAAAAAAGATAGGAAATGTGAAAGGTTAGGAGATACGGAAAATAGTACAAAATGATGTAATATAATACAATTGGAGTCCCAGAAGGAGAAAACGGGGGAAAGAGTATGCAAAGTGCAAAGTATACTTGTTGATAATTATCTAGAAGTAAAAATATGAATCCACATATAGAGGAAGCTCAATATATTCAAAGCAGCATAAACTAGGGGCGTGCATGCACACACACACACACACACACAAACACATATTTTATAGTAACTACTGTGGACCAAAGAGAGGATTTTTCCAAACCAACAGATAGAAAAGACTCATTAGGTACAATTTCACAGGAAACTCCCATAGTCACTGGAGAGTCAAGAAGACAGTGGCATATATTCAAATGCCAAAAGAAAATAACTCAACCTAGAATTACCCAGCAAAACTCTTTCCAAGGTTAGGATGAAATGAAAAAAAAGTATAAAAAGTGAGGCAGTTGACCATTCACTTAACAGTTCTTCACAAATTTCTGAGACATGAAGTATAAGGAGAAAGAAAAGATTCCTAGAAAAAAACTTAGATGAAATAATATTGATGAAAGAAAGTAATAAACATTGCATGCACACATTAATAACAATGTGTAATCTGTGTAACTAAAAAGAAAAGTTTATTGGATAATAATAGCATGTAAACCATAAAACATGAGAATTAAAATATTCTCAGATCCTTATATTATTTTAGCGTTAAGGAATTAATTTTTTACTATGTTAAGTGGGCATAGTAAATCTTCAAGGATAACCGATAGTAGAGGAGGTAACAATAGAAGAAAACCAAAATAAATTTAAAATTGCATCAGAAAAAACTATAGTTTTTAGAAAGATGGAAATTATAGCATAAGAAAGCAAGTAAAGTGATCAGGTGATAATATAATTTTAAAATTTCAAACATATCAGTAACCACAATGAATATAATTGAACTAAACTTGCCACTTACAAAGTAAAGTTGTTGTAATAAATTAAAATTCTACTATCTGTAGTTTATAATAATTTATATACAAAATGTTATAGCAAGTGACAGTGAAGATGTGAATCAGCAAGAACATTTATACCTGCTATATAGGAGTATAAATTGTTCAAACAGTTGGGGAAAAATTTGGAGTATAAATTGTTCAAACAGTTGGGGAAAAGTTTGGCAAAAACCTAATAAAATTGAACATTTACATAAATATTTACCAAATAGTTTTTTTTTTTATTTTGGTTTATTGACATTCTAAAGAAAGCCTTGCCCCTGTACGTTAGTACATATATACCAGAATGTTTTCATGCCATAATTGCTTTTAATAGCCAAAAAAAGAAGTATCATTTAAATGTTCCTAGAATGAATATATAAAATTCTTATTTATTTACAAATACTAAGTGTACACAGAAATATAGTACTATGGTTGCAAGCAACAATCTAGATGAATTTTACAAACAACAATGAGTGAATAGGGCAAATTGCAAAAGACTAGATACAATATGATGACATTTTTTCTAAGGTTCAAAAACAAAATATATGTTCCATGTGGATATAGGCATATAAATGTGCTTTTCGAAACAGCAAAGGATACCACAAATTTTGGGATAGTGATTAGTTTTGAGGGAGGTAGAAGAGTAGAATAAGGACAAAAATACATGAGTAGATGTAAAGGAGTCGGCAATATTCTGTTTTCAAGTTGGGATGGCAGATTTTCAGATGCATGTTATTATTATGTTTTATAATTTACATATAAGGTATATTTTGCTGTATGTATCTAATTATAATTACTAATATCATAGAGTCTTGCTGAGCATATTGAACCCAAAAATATTTTATCTTAACTGAATTTTACCCATCACATTGAATTGAAGTTTTCATGCAAAAAGGAGCATTTGAATTGAGAATTGAAAGAAAAGTGTAATTTTGACAAAGAGAAATGGGAAGAAAGAAATGTTAAGGCAAAAGAACTATATGGGAAAGATGATATTAAAAATGATTAGGAATGTTTGTCTAGAACCGCATTTCTCAACCTCAGCACTATTGGTGTTTTGGAACAGATAATTCATTGTTGGGGTAGGAAGAGAGATGTTCCTATACATTACAGGCTTGATGTTTAGCAATATTCCTGGCCTCTATCCATAGATACTGGTAGCATTTCTGAATTACAACAACCAAATATCTTCAGTCTTTTCTAACTGTCCCCTAGGAGGTAAAATCATCCTCAGTTGAGAATCACTGGTCTAGAAGACAAGGTAATTAAGAGTGAATAGTAGTAATAACATGAAGACTAAGAAGATTGCTTTTATCCCATTTGTTGAAGTTAGTTAGTGACGTGCTAATGAGGTTGTATTTCTCTTAGGGCCCATTGGAATCTACTAAATGCTTTTCAACAAGGGAATAAAATGAGTATGCCTATAATTTAAAATATTTTACCCATGTTGCAGGATATGAGATCTATTAAGGTGTAAAATATGAGGGTTCAGTATGAACCTGTTCTGAGCTTATTTCTCTATTGAAATTGTTTTATGGCCTTTTTTCGATATTATCTCCCATACTATTACTATTATTTATTTCAAAATGTATATAGTCATGTGACACATAATTGTATTTTGGACAATGATGGCCCTTACATATGATAATGTTCCCATAAGATTATAATACCATTTTTTCCTGTACCTTTTCTTTCTTTAGATATGTTAATGTAGATACACAAATATTTATAATTGTGTTACAGTTACCTACAGTTTTCAGCACAGGAACATGGCTGTTCAGGTTTGTAGCCTAGGAGCAACAGGCTATACCATATAGCCTAGGTGTGTAGTAAGCTCTACCATCTAGGTTTGTGTAAGTCCACTTTAATGTTGGGACAATGACAAAATCACCTAATACATTTCTTGGAGCCTATCCCCATCATTAACTGACATGTGACTGTTCTAGAGACTTATGGGGTATTAAAAATAGAATAGTGTTTGAAGACACTCTACAGGCAATTGCGGGTTTTATTTAAATTAGATTATTCTACAAAATAAAACATATATAAGCATACGTAAGAAGCAATTTTTTAACTGCAGGAATTGACTTATTCAGTGAGAAAATTCTGTTAACTCCATCTGACCCAAGAGCAAGAACTCTTCCTGACTTCTCTGTAGCAATTGTATTTCATGTTTGTTAAACTCACCACTTACAGGTTTTTAAAAATTGTGATGTCTTAAATTGTATCTTGGATATATTGAATTTTAAATTTGCTCATTCATAACAGAAAAAAACTTGTTTTTTATTTAACACTGAGTTATTCAATTTCAGAGTTGAAAAAGTTGTTTCATATAGTATAGTATTGAAGAAGAAATCTCAAAATAATAACTTAATTCCAATTACTCTTACCTTATTTTTACATATATAAAATGGAACTTTATTATTTTCCCATATTATATTAGTCTCTCTCTATATAAATTATCCAATCTAAATTTGCTAAAATTAGATAAAAGTCTCTAATTTTTTCATTTTAATTTTTTAAACCAGACTTTATTATTTTTTCCCTTCATAATATACATTATCCAGATACATACACACACATATACATATATACCTATACAGGATACTTCATATCATGTATAAATTAAACAAAAATTTTAAATATTGTAATTTAGGTTATTTTTTAGAGTAAAATTGGCACTTTGTTAGAACTTTCTTTTTGTATGCCAACTGCCTGATTTTTTATAGCCACCTAAAAAATTTAATTTTGTTATTAAATGTCTGTTGGATAGAATATTAGATCAAGAAAACGGCATCATTTAGCTCTGGTATGTTTACTCATTCGGGACAGTGACGAAGGAAATACTAACAAGAAAATGCATTTGTATGCATATTAAGTACTTTTTAATGATTATACATTAAACCAGAGTCAATAGCCCCTGTTTAAAGTGAAAGTTTTTTACCTATAAAAGCTTTTTATTTAGAGCTTGTTTTGAGGTAGTGATTTTACTGGCACAGTTTATTGACAAAATTTTAGCCAGATGACAGGGATTAATGGTTTTTATCTAATGGAAACGTTGGAGAAATGTACATTTCTCTTATGTATGTTATTTCTTAGGAAGATGATTCAGAGAAATTAAATTGGGTATAATTTAAACTTTTTAGACTTAAGTTTCCAATCTGATTCCTGGCCTCAGTAAATAACAATGCATCTTAATTTACTAATATTGAAATCAGTTTATTTAGTTATATTTGTAGGTCTTTTCTACCTCTTAATTTCAGTTATTGTTTCTGTATGAATTTCTGCCTTAAAAACAATGACTGCATTTTATGCCCACTTCCTTCCATCATAAACTCCTGTTCAGTCCCTCAAGACCCTTATCTAATCAACCTAAAATCTTTTCCTAATCACTTTCTCCTTATAACTTTACACCTTCCTTTGCAAGTTTGTGGCATGCAAGATATATAGCACGTTTCCTTGACTATCTTAAGAACATAATGAATTCTTATGCAATAAATAAAATCAAACTAGAGGTGATGTACTTTACAGAATAAACTTTTAGACAGAATAGATTATAAGTTTTGCATTTGCTCAATATATCTAAAACAATGATTTTACTCAAGTAGTAGAAGGACTTCAAGTAGAACTCTTCACACTTTATGCTGAAGATACGGAAGAAAATAAAAGAGTCTTTGAGAAAGCATTGGGAAACACTTCTCTTTATCTAGGTTTATTATCAACTTATATAATTTAATCTTAACTAACCTAAATTGCCATGATTTATTTATAGCATACCAAAATGTATTTACTTCATTTTCCTAAATAGCCTCAACCTCTTATTTCTGTGGTACCACTCTGAGTACCACCACCCTTCCTATTCAGATTGACCCAGATATGTGATGTTAATTTACCGAGATATTTTAAATTCAAGACAATGCAGTCTGATGCAGTCTGATGCCTGCCTTGTTCTTTTTAGATTTGACATAATGGGCTCTGTCAAAATCTTTCTTCTTCAAAAATACCGATCTAGGCAGATACCCACTCTGATATATCTATATCCATACATCTCCATTTCATACAGATGAGGGACAAAATGATTATTAGTCTTCAGATAAAGACTTGCTATTTTTCTCAATGCTGATATCACATCTATTGACAATAGAACAATCGAGAATTAATTCTTCTGTATTTAACATCCCTTAAACTGACCAAGCCTTTGTTTTTCTTTTTTAACGTGTAGGGTGGGGAAGATAGTGGTAGTTGAAAAGGATACAATCACCATTTAAACAAGTTAAATATGACAATCCACCTACTTCAATACCTGGTAAATAATAAATATTAAAATAAATATTAAAACAGTTTATTTCCTGGTAACTACAGTGCCAACTGCACATTTTGATTTATCATTAAACCCATAATTTCTAGTAAATCTTTCACTGTAATATGGTTTATAATATTTTTAATCATATAAACAATATCTTTGTGTAAATTTTTTTAAAACTGGAAGTTAGAAAATTATTAAAATCTTTAAGACTTTCACTCAAAGATAACCACTGCAGGTCTGATAAATTTAATCACTTTCCTCAGTAGATATATATTAATTACTAGATAAAGCAGAGATGTAAATCTGGGCAGCTATATGTACAATTGTTGTGTATTGTTCATAATTTTAAAATATGTCTAATGACTAATATATAGCTTTAAAATATGTCTGATGACTAATATCTAATGAGTCATAATATTCTGGCATGTGATTGAATATAATAGGATTATTTTAATGGTGAAAATTCAGGTTATCTCTAATTTTAGCTCTTAGATATACTGTAATGAACGTATTTATGGCCGGGCATGGTGGCTCACGCCTGTAATCCTAGCACTTTGGGAGACTGAGGCGAGCGGATTGCCTGAGCTCAGGAGTTCAAGACCAGCCTGGGCAACATGGTAAAACCCCATCTCTACTAAAATACAAAAAAAAAAATTAGCTGTGCGCCTAAGTCCCAGCTACTTGGGAGGCTGAGACAGGAGAATTGCTTGAACCCAGGAGGTGGAGGTTGCAGCAGTGAGCTGAGATGGTGCCACTGCACTCTAACCTTGGCGACAGAGCGAGACTCTGTCTCAAAAAAAAAAAAACATATTTATGTGCATAAAATTTAGTTTACCACTCTAGCTATTTCTTTAGAATAGAGTCACATAATTATTTGACCAAGGAGCATGAACATTTTTAAAGAACTTAATATGTTGTTATGTTGTTTTTCAGAAATGCAGAGCAAGTTTATACTCCTACCAGTAATATGTAAGAGGGACAGTCCATTTGACCCTGAACATGACAATAACTATGAAAGTAATGGTGAAAATAATAAATTGCAAATAATAATAGTATTACTGAATATCAAATTCTGTTAAGTGCCATAGGTGAATTTTTATTTAATCATCACTGTACCTCTATTAAGTAGATTCTGTTATTATCTTAACTTTACAGATGAGGAAAGTGAAACACAAAGAATTAGATAATGTGTCTGAGGTAATAGTTGTAGGTGGGGATTCAGGTTGTATACCCAGATAGGATGGCTGCACAGCAGGCACACAGATTCAACCACTCGAAGCTATCCACATGAGTATTAACTCCAGCTAAATACCTGATTTTTTTCACCTTGACCAATCTAATAGATAAAAATTTAATTTCACTGATTTATATACTTTCTTAATACTGAAAGGCACATATTTTGTGTGTATTACTCCATTGTATGTGTTTTGTGAATTTTCACTAGCTATTTTCTGCCTTTGTGCCTATTAGACTACTCTACTGAGTTATTTTCATTAATTTGTAAGACATCTTTAAATAGAAAGGATATTAATTGATTATTTCATTTCCTTCCACTTGGTCATTTGCAGGAAGTGGGAGAGAGCCAAACTTTTTTCACAAGAAATTATAAGGAGGCTGTCTCCCTTCGACTTGCGTATGGAGAGTACCTTTCACTTAATTTGGGTACCAGGCTAGCAGTTACAGTTATTTTCTCTGTGTTGCATTACATTTATTCTGTTCCACAAAAATATTTTATTGATAAACTGGGAAGGACTAGTATTCAAATTTGATCCTAATGATATTTTAATTTTGATGACTTTTCACATAGAACCTCCTTTTGTTTTTGGAGTTTTAAATTTTCCCTATTGTAATATGTAGAATACATTTCTTAATTTCTTTAAGCGCAGAGTCTGATTTTGCAGACAGTATTTTATCTATTTTCTTTTTACAAATTTTGATATGAAATAATTGGTTTTCTGAATTCTTGTAGGCAGCAGTTCTTTCTAATCAAAATGTTATGAAATATGCTTAATAAGGTTATTAAGACTTTTGAAAAATATAGGAAAATATTAAAAAGAACTTAGTTATATATTCAATATCTCACCAAAAAAATCATTCAGTAGGATGTTATTCATAGCAACAGCAGGAACCAGATTAATTTCATCTTCCCAGTTTCCATAATTGAATAAATTATAATTTGAGTTTAAGGCACATGTGGCTGTTGTGGTGCTTCTAAAATATATCTACAAATTCTTTGACACTTGTCCCATTGAAACATAGATTCTAATTCATCTCCCAATGAATATGAGTCATACTTAGTGACTCCCTTCTAATGAATAGAATGTGGTAGAAGTGATGCTACGTGACTTCTGAGACTAGGTCATAAAAAGGATATAGTTTCTAACTAGAGCTAACCCTTTCTGTCTCTCCCTCTCTTACTCTCTTACTCTTTTATTTCTCTTCAAGATATTTGACTTTAGAGTACAGTCACTGTGTTTCACAGAACCCTAGGCCATATGAGACCCGAGACCCAAGTGGAGATAGACTTCCACCAGTGGCCAACACCAATTTGCAAGTTCTGTGAGTGAGCCACTTACCTTGAAGTAGACTCCAGCCTCAGTCAAGTCTAGAGAAGAATGCAGACCCAGACCGTATCAAATTGCAATTTCTCTAGAGACCCCCAAGGTAGAACTCCCTAGCCAAGGCTTTTCCAAATTCCTGGCCCAGAACATTAAGGAAATATAGCAAACGATTATTGTTGTTAAAATGCAGTAAATTTTTAGAGATCAGTGATACAGCATTAGATAAATAACATAGCTTTCTAAAAAAAGAAAAGAAGGTTATTTTCTAGGAAATTACCTAAGAAAATAGGAACTTAAATTACCTAGGAAAATAGGAATTTAAATTTCCTGTTTTCTATGAAATTAACTAAAACATTCAAGACAAAGAAGTATAGCAATATTTTGAAAGTAAAAGCATAGAGAAGAGGTAGGGAAAATGTATACAAATTACTAATTGAAACATGGCCAATTTTTTAATTAACATTAACATTATATTTATTCAGTAATTAATGGCTATATAAAAATTGAATGCTATTAACTTTGATTCTTCTGCTCATATCAGAAAATAAAGAAGAGGGTAAAAAAACTGGCAATTATCCCTGCTTTTCCCATGTTTTGTGGAAAGAAAGTCAATAAATACGTAGACTGTGTAGACAGAGAATACAAAAGCTCCCTACATATGTATAAATGGCATGTCTCTTTTTTCTTTCCAAATGTTTTTACTAGAGTCTTAAATGATGGTTTGAGTAATGCCCAAGTGTGAATTACTGTGAGTTTAAGTGGAATAACCTAAAGGAGAGATGGGGTAGTATACTCACCTGACTAGGGGTATTTAATAATGGGATACGCCGATGACCTATCATAAATTGTTTGAGAAGAGAATATATTGAGAAGCACCTGAAATTTTAAGGACCCTAAATTCACTGAAGAAGAAAAATGCTGAGGTAAATTTGCAAAGCTATAAGGGGAACTAACAGATGATTGAGCATAAATTGGAAGATGTGCTTATTATGAGAATGTGTAGTAATTTTTCTACAGAAAAAGATAATGCAAATGAGACATAGACAATGTCAGCATCTGAACAATCAGCTGTAAGTGAAGAATTTATTATTTGGTGACAAAATAACCTAGAGATAATTTAGCAGAAAAACATTTTTATGTCCCAAAATATGTTTAGAATTTAAGTTACCAGAAACATTTTCAAATGCCTTTATTGCTCACTGGCAAAGTCAAAAAAGTGATTGAGTGAACCTGAAAAACATAAATGCCTTGGCTATGTTGACAGAGCTTATAGCAAACCAACATTCCCATTGAGATCAAGAAAAGACAGATAAAATAACATGCATATGTATGTATATGTATATGTGTATGTGTGTGTATTCAGAGATATAAGAGAACCACCAGGATATCCAAGACATGAGATGTGAAGATCCTGGTGAAAAAGGAACCAAAGAAAGGTGAGCTTACATACTTAGGTGATCTTAGGACATTTGCCAATTCTGGTTGAGACTTCAGGTTGAGGGTTGATACTATCTTACAGAGAAGCCAAGATAACTTTTAGGAATCTTCTGGAGATAAGGAGACAACAAATTGGAGTGTGAGGCCATGAAGGAAGCCACGATTAAGGGGCCAAGATCCGTGAGAGTAGGGAAGCACCAAGATGTAAATTCCAATACTATTTATTGTTCCTTTCAAGGTTTTACCAAACTCATAGCCTGCACTGGATGAAAATCTAAGAGCCAGTCAAAAAGCCACTGAAACACAAAATAGTCTTCAGTTGGCTCATGGTTGTGAGGCTACGAAAATTAGAGTATAGGGCCTGTTAGGCCCTATACTCTAGGGAAGCACTACATTAGCACAGTTGGGACATCTAGAGAGTCAGCCTTAGAACAGGGTCTTAAAGAGAATGTAACCAGACTCCTCAGTCTCCAATAGGACACAGGTGATTTGCCCAATTTTAAGTCTTTTTCAGAGGATAGGATGAATATAGATGAAAATATTATCCAGCTTCTCCCCAATATGTATGCACACTGCCTGGTATTCAGTAAGATTGCCAGACATCCAAAAGAAACTAGACCTAGGAAAAAAAACACATACACACATGATTCAGGTGTTGGAATTATCATTCAGTCTTTAAAATAATTGTGACATATATAACTAAAAAGTAGATTTGAGGTTGCAATTTCAACTGTTAAATGAAATATATTGCAAAGGATCAAATAGAAACCCTAGAACTAAAAATATACAATAACTGAAATTAACAACTCAATAGATGTATTTCATAGAAGAATGGGCACAATAGAAGACAAGATATGTGAATTGAAAGAGACTAGTGTCTATCTTCCAATATCAAGAAAATAGAAAATATCCAGGCTTAAGCACAAAGAAATCAAGAAGACAGAAGAGAGGGAGCGCAAAATGAGTAGAGACATGCATATAGGACACAATGAAAAAACATCTAACACCTATGAAATTAAGATACTTCAAATGTGAGAAAGTGGAGAAAAAAGAATGAAAGCAATGTATAAAGAGAAAATTGCAGGAAAGTTTCTAAAACAGATGAAAAACATCACACCACTGAACAAGTGTTTGAACCCCAATCACATTGAATACAAAGATTATTACTCAGACATGTCATAGTAAAACTAGTTAAATCCAAAGAGAACATCTTAAATGCAGTCAGAAGAGGCAAAAAAATGAAGGCACATTTGTTTAAGAGAATAAAAATAAAATTGGCACCTGACTTCTCAATGTCAGCATTGAAAGTTAAAAGACAGTGATATTGACAGCTTTAACGTATTTAAAGAAGTACAGGTTCGGTATTCCTTATCCAAAATTCCAAATTATTGGGACCAGAAGTGTTTGGGTTTTGGGGGGGAGGAGTTGCCTCTAAAATAGGGCAAGTCTCAGACCCTTTACAGTCCTAAATGTAAACAGACAACTCCAAAATGGCAAAAAGAAATAGGTAACCCAATATGAAAATAGATAAAAGACTTCAACGAGCATTTCACAAAAAAAGAGTATACAAATAAGCGTATGAAAATTTGTCAACATCATTACTCATCTGGAAAATCTAAGTCACAATGTGATATCACTCATCCACCAGAATAGCTAATAAAAATATTGATGATAACAATTATTCAATTGTTCATGAGAATGTGGAACAGATGGAGTTCCATACAGTCCTGGAAAAGGAGAAAAAAAATATGTATATAACACATACACAAACATATGTATTAGAACTGTTTGTCACTATGTAAGCTGAATATATGCATGTCTGTTGAACAAGTATTTTAGTAGGGGGTGGGGAGTGAATGTAATGGTATAATGTGGTGTGGTGTATGAAAACATATGTAGTGGAATATTCATAGCATTGCTATTTTTAATAGTGCCAAACCAGAACAACTCCAATATTTATCAACACCAAAAATATAAACCATTTATTTATTCAGTGGAATGAGTTAAATGAATTTAATTCATATTAAATATGAATTCATTTTATTTAATGTATTTAATATGAATTTAATTCATTTAATATATAATTAATATGTATTTTGTTTAATATGAATTTATTTAATATGAAGTTCAAAAATGAGCACCCTAATCTGTGGTTATCAGGCTCTGATAACCGTTCCTTTGGGGATGTAGCAACCAAGAAGGAGACTCAAGCAGATGGATTACCAGTAACATTCAATTTCTTGATCTGGGAATTGATTACATAGGGTTTTCAATTTATGATGATCAACTGACCTGTACACTTAAGATTTGTGCAGTTTTATAGTATGTACATTTTACATTAATGAAAATTAAAGTTTTTAATTTGATTAAATTGAGAAAGACATGGGAACCCACACAATATGGCAGACCTCTGCAGTTTGTAGTCAAGCTCTTACAGTGCTTAGTGTCTATTTCACTCCTCCTACACTCTCAACTGGAGTTTTCCAGGCTCCTGTCAGAGGTCATCCTTGTATCTTAGTTGTCAAATCCATGAACCTTTTTTAGTCATCTCTTTCTTGACATCTAATTTTATTTAACCTCTACTTTATTAAAAAGTTTAGCTCTTTTTAACTTCCCAGTAGGCTACTCACTCTGTCTTCTACTGTTTGAACTATTCCGAGTTACTCTTCTTCAAGATTTCCTTTTTCCATGTGCCTCTACATTTTGACCCATGGATTTTATTATCCTTTCTTTTGTAATCTTTCTGTATCTTTTTTCTGCCTGTTTATTTATTGCTATGGTTTAACCCACTTATATAATAAAAACCTGTAAGAGCATTAATACTGAGTCGGTTTTTCTTCGAGAGTTCCAAACCCAAATTTCACTGTTCCATAGGAATCTCATCTGAATAAATTCAAAAGTTAACTTTTCATGTCCCCAGACCTGCTATAGTTTTTTATATTGTCTGCCTTTGTTAATATATCATCATGTAATTGTCCAAACCAGAAACCTGGTATTATCCTGGATTTTTTTGTTTGTGTTTGGTTTGTTAATTTGTCCGTTATCTCATTTTCTCTCCACAATAACATGGTTACGTCGATTCTCCTCTTTATATGTCTGTTATGTCATCCATGACACTTGCCATCCATGACATTTTTACCTTAGTTCATTATTTCTTACACAGGCATTTTGATTAGAGCACAACTGGTCACCCTGACTCCAGTTTTAAACCCCAAGACTCAGTCCCACAACAAAATCATAATAGAACTGTTCATTTCATCTGAGTCTTTACTAGCCTGTACATACTTCTGTCTTAGAACCTGCAACACTTGTAAAATATCCTTGAGTTTGCTTACCTATCTATCTATTATAGACTTAAACTGGGACCTTATTTTATTGACCTCAGAAGCCACTGTGCTTGCAGCATTTTAGATGCTAAGCATATGGCTATTGAAAGGATATCTCTGTGATTTTTAGCTATTTGTATTTTTGAGTTTATCAGTCTCCCTTATCAGACTAAGCTCATTAACAGTCAGGTCAATGTACTTAATCTAATACTCAATAAATGTTTGCTTAATGAATAAATGCATGTAGTAGAATTAAGTTTGGCTGAAATAAACTTTGATTAGGAACTTGTAAAGGACTAAAAGATTAATAAAAAGAGCTTTAAAGTAGCTCAAAGGAAGAGAATCATATAAAAATTCAATGGAATAGTTGTGAGATAGTGAATTCATTATAGGAAAAGGAAAGATTTATTTCTTATCCTTTTTTTAATGATGAAAAAGCTTATTTGGGAAAATTCTGTTAATATTCTTTTCCAAACATGAACAGACTGAAGAATTACCAATCAGATAGCTATCAATCTTATGATATTTTAGAACAATACATAAAAATAAACCTACATATATCAGTGGCATCAGATCTAGGTGTTTCATAAGGTGGCGAAGAAAAATAAAGATTAGTGGATCACACACATGTCTAGCCAAGCAAGGTAGTAGAAAAAAAATAAGGGATGGGTACAAAGAACATTTGTATTAAATAAGCTGCTAGGGGAAACAGCAACATTGTCTCTAGAAAGGATAATACTTGATGAATTAATTGGAATGTGTTGAGAGGAAAGTTAGAAAAATATATAGAGAGGAGATAGATACATGGTTTAAAATTATTTAGACATTCATAAATCTTTGACAGTGTATAATACCAAAGACCCCAAAACCTAACCCCTTTTTTATGAAAAAAAAATTGGCTTACAAAATAGAAAATAAAGTGTGTAGAAAATACAGGTACTTCTCTGAGTAAAAATAGTTTCTTGGGAAGATCTGTTCTAGGTACATATTTTATAAAAATTTGAATATCTTCAAGTTTGAAGTTGAATTAAACCTTACTGGATATTGAATATATAAGGAAAGAGGAATAAAAACAAAATTTCTTTATCTATGTAAGTGTGAAGAAAGATGCTTTTAATAATCTAAGAGCTACGTGTCTTTAATATTTTAGTGGACCAAGGGAGACTCTGGGATTTTGAAAGCAATTGCTTATGGTTATTATTTTTGTTAGAATTGGTGACATATTGCTGGAGTTAGAGTTTCTCATTAGCTGCTAAGAAGCATATGTTATAAAATAATTTAAAATTGCATATTCATATGCACATTTTTCCACAAGTGTTTTACATCTCTCTACAGGAGTGTCTTCCTTTTTAAATAGATGTCTGCTTTTGGAGGCTCTAATTAGTTATCTTTTCTTTGTTTTTACATTCCATTTTATTTACAACAGAAAACTGTGCTTAATGCTGTGTATACTGATACTGAATTGCAATCTACCTTCTTTCCTTTTATTTTTTATATGTTTCAACTTGAAGATTATATTGCAAGATGAAGGTCAGCAGGATACAAAATGACAAAAAGTGATTATAATTAATATGTTAGATGATGATATGATAGTTATAATGCGAACCATGATAATTAGAGAAAACCAGTGAATTTTTATATTAAAATTTTAATAATGTCTGTCACATTGTTAATTCAGGTTCTAAGTGTTGTATTTAATTCTGCATCATTATTTTAAGCTCTAATTTTTTTTGTCAAAAAATGGCTACTAAGACTTAAGAGTCATTAATATGAAAATATGTCTGCATAATCTCTTTGTCAAAGGTAGAGAAGGATGACTGAATTACTCATTATAGCATGTAAGGAATGTGACTACTGTAGCAAAATGAATAGAGAACATATTCTTCAGATATAAACAAATCCTATAACTCAAACATTAAAAGTTCAGTTTACCCATCACTAGCTCCTGATTCTCCAGCCTTTGTAGAACAGTAACTGAGGAGGGTTATTGAAAACTCCTAGTGGACAAGACAATGATAAAGAGGGCCCTGTATTTCTGCCTGATTATTGGGAGAACAGTTCTGAGCATAAACACTTCATTTCAAAATTTAGCAAGTCAGAGCTGTATAATTTTTCTTTATCTAAGTGTCATGTTGAAAAGTAGCAGATTTTGAAGCTTGTATTTTTTTTCTTAAGAATCAAATTTAATAAAGGTAATGGCAAGATAATTCAATACGATTCTTTTTTCCTCTCTGCTTAAGTAACATGAATTCCCAAAACAGTATGTGGAATAAAAATCATTACAGTTTAGATCATTTTCTATTATCATAGAAGAAAAAAAAGGTACAGTGTTAAAGGGGAGAAAAATTGCTGACTTTGAATACAGTAGACCTAGGTTTGAATCCTGGCTTTACCAGTGATTAGCAGTACTCCTTGTTATTTATTTAACATTCCTGAGTATCAGTTTCTTCATAGGAAAAACTTAGATGGAAGACTTTCCCTTGCATACATATTACAATGAGTGCAAACACCTAGTACAATATCTAAAACCCAGAAATTGCTTCAAGTGGTAGCATTCACTATTGTTACTGGTGTTGGAGTAACCAGCCCCCAAATGGCCACCAGTGAGCCACCTCTGGATAATTATGCCTTGGTATAATCCTCTCCTCCTGAGTGTAAGCTAGGCAAAGTGGCTCACATCTAATGAATAGACTATGGAAGAAGTAATGGTGAATCACTTCCAAGATTAGGTTATAAATGACTGCAGGTTCCAGTGCAGGCAGTCTTTCTGTCTGTCTCATCAGTCACTATGGAGGAAGCCAGATGACATGTCATAGCCAACATGTGAAAAGAGCCCACATGGTGAGGACCACATCTCTGTCCAACAGATAGCAGGATCCAAAGCTTGCCAACACGTCCTAATTGGGCTTTGAAGCAGAGCCTCCCCTAGTCAAACCTTTTGACAGCTCCAGCCAACAGTTTGAAACCTCACAAAAATCTGATCTTGAACAACCCAGTTAAACTTCTCTCATATTTCTACCCTTAGAAATTGTAAGACTATCACTGACTTTTGTTTTAAGCTGTGGATTTGTTATGTAGCAATGGCTAACTTAAACAATATTATCATTCTTGAAGTTGTTTATGAAGTACAATTGAAAAATCGTATTTTAAAGAGTCTTTCCAAGGGTTTTCAAGTATTGAAATTTATTCTTACGTATATACACAATCTTTATTTTTTTTACTTTTCACAAAGGGATGTACGAGTAATTTAATGGCATATTTTAAAAAATCTCTATTTCTCCACAGCTAAAATAGATTTTGGTAAAAATCACTTCACTGTAAGGATAACTAACAAAATAGAGCAGGACAAGGCCAGAGGGAGTATGTGAAAATAGTCAAAGCAATTTCAGAGGGAAATTCTACCTCTGCAGAAGACATATCCCTTGCAGCAATAAACGACATAATGTAATGAATGGAATCATTCATAAACAGTTCAATTCTCATGTGTTAACCTTGACCATCCAAGGTTGTTTGATCAAAATAAAACATACTAAAACTTTCAACAATGAGAGAAGAGGGGCAAATGTTTCATCACTTTTATATGTGTTGTGGTATTCCAATGAAGAAAGTGAGAGGGGTAAAAATTATTATGGTTTGTTAGGGGAACTATTAAGAATTAAGCTACGTGTGGGTGAATAGTGACAGATGGGTTGGATAGGAAAGTCTAAACCAGATTATGAAAGGTAGTTTTTAATGAGTAATTTCAACTGTAATAAGAAACTATTTTAGGATTTCGACCAATAAAGTACTGTGATAATAATGATGTTTTGTTAACACTCCATTAATATGGTATAGGATGGTAGATGTTGTCTAGCAGAGCACAGTAAATTCCTTGGAGACTCTTGTATCTCCTATGAATAGTGTGTGTTTCTGGTTGGGCATACAGTGGACAATATATTCTTGCTGTATGTTATTAAAATTCATGGAATCTAGCAGTCCATGAGCAAACATCAAAGGAAATGATAGTCCTTTTTGGTATCAACATTGATTCTTTTCTTGTTCATTTGTGTCATAAGATTACATTTATATCTTTTACGTTAGTTTAGGTGATGAAATTTATGGAAGATTGTGTGTGTGTGTGTGTGTGTGTGTGTATAATACTATAGATAGTCATACTCAGCATAGGGAAGAAAGACTTTGTATTCAAACAGACCTGGATACAAACTTGCCTGTACCACTTACCAGCTTTTAAGTTATTTACACCAAGCCTTTATTTCTAAAAGCGCTATCTGGGGTGATTACGTCTACCTTAAAAGATTTTTGTATGAAGAGTCTGGGCCATAATGGGTACCCCATGAATGTTGCTATTATCCTTTAGTAAATGAAGCAACTGCTTCCCATTAATTAGGTTCTTTGCAATCAAGACATAATTAAAAGGAAAAGAAATCTCACAATTAGGGATTTACATCCCTTGCCTTTTTTTGAGTCAATATTTCTAATACATTTTTAAGTGTTCCTGTTTGCTGGAAGAAATTTCCAAGACTACAGTGAAGTTATTATACAAATTTATTTCCTTAGAATCTGTAAAAATTATGAAACATAAGTGCTTTATTCATTGCTCTACTTACAAACCACACACACACACACACACACACACACACACGTATTTCACAAGACATTTAGGTTATGGTTCCCATCCAAGTCATGTATCCTAGAAAGAAAACATTCCTCAGAACATTTGAAATTCTTAACCACGTTGCCAGCAGAATAGTCTGCCAACTCCTAAGCGAAAACCCAGGCCTTTCAAATATTTGTTTACTAAATAAAAATAAGACAAGATATTTTGCTGCACCTACACTGAAATAATTTAAATATGAATTTTAGTTACAGAATATGTGGAATAAACCACAGACGAATGTAAAGTATATCTATCATTAAAAAAAGAAACGTCCTTTAATTTTCATTTCCATTTTTATCTTGCTATTTCAGTTCTGCCTCTCTAAATCCAAACTAAAGAAAGCAGATAAGGAAGACACTTAGGTTACATCATATCCTTTTGCAAGATGCTGAAATATGTTTTAAAATTTGCTGTGTGAATACTAGGCCATGCATGAATCATCTGATTTTATTGGTATGTGCCATGTACACGTCTATTTTAAAGTCCACTACTTTACTAAAATATTTTGATAAACTGGCTCAGTTAATCCTCGCTAATTTTGACTGCACAAATAATTACTGAATTTGTGATTTTGCATATTATTTTTTAAATTCATACATTAAGGATAATTTATCAAGCCAAACTTTACATGTATTACATTGATTCTTAGAAAACAAATATGAGCTCAAGTTACTGCTGAAATGAGAATTGCAGAAAGGCAAACACATTTGTCTTTTCTTATTAGCATCAATAGCTTTAATCAAGCTGGGAAATCTTATTTAAAATAAATAACTCTTTGTCAGAAATTCCTGAGTTGTTGATTTCAAGCTCTGGGTAATCACTCGATAGGCCAACAGTAAATTAATGCCAAGTGTTCCACTGTCAAGTATAAGGTTCACAGTATGCTAAAAAAGAAATATATATATACAATTTTTGTTTGTCTATGAATTTTTATACATATATGTGAAACCTACTCTAAAAAATACATCATTATATTAAGGTACTAAGGTTATAATTTTTTTATATTTTGTATACTCATTTTGGTCTAGTTTTGCTATTGTATATCTTTATGAAAAAATACATGCTTGGGAGAGTATGGAAAGAGGGTTGCTTTAGAGAAAAACTAAAAATAAAAACTCTAAAATATTAATAGAAAAAACAACCTTTTCTTTTCTTTTTTTTAATATTTTTTGGCAAAACAGGCTCTTCCAGAAAAGAGCTTCACTTAGGGAACACAGGGAAATGATCAGGAAATCTGAATGTGTCAAGATAAAGTTATCACACTTCTTTACTATACTTGCTGTTGTTTATGTATTAATGTTTTATAAAAACAAATTTGTTTATAAGTTTTTAATCTCTGTACAAACACTTGAATATAGAGGGTTGTTTTCATTAGCTTTTGCTTTGTTTTCTAAAAACAGGAAATTGTTTATACCTAGGCCATCAGGTCTCTAATATAAAAAAATGAATTAGGTGGCAATGAACTGAAAATAGCAAAATTTGGAAAACAACTAAAATTCTATCTTCCCTCAACTTTTAAATTCTATTACTAATTTAATCTCCTACTTGCAGAAAATAAGCAGTTTACTTGAATATAGGTTAGTTGCTTCTATGTATGTAAATATATCCAGGTGCAGAGAATCATGTTACATGGGTTTACTCTGAGGGCCATACACACCTACTCTAGTAACTCAATACACAACTATAACATCTGTAACATCTTTTCACTTGATTTCTGGTTAATTCTCTCTTGCTACTTCCTTGATATTGGAATTTGTACATCCCTTCTGTGAGGGTCTCTATTCTAGTCCTCAAGAGCTGGGAATTTAAACCCAATCATTCTCCAACATTTATTCTTCTTTAGGAGGTGGAAATGAACCAGAAAACCTATCTAAGTCTGTTTATGTGCCCAAATGAGTCTGACCACCATCCAGATCTTTAGGATCCCTCCTTCCACAGCCTATAAATACTTTCCCAGTATTTTCTTGGGGATCCATAGTCATGATTGGTTTTACTAAGTATAGAGAGGAGGTCTATCAATGTGATTAGAAGATCTTTTTTTGCTAATCATTGCTAATCAAAATAAGGCTCCTCCCTTCCCATAGAGACAGGAAGATGAGGACTCTATCTTGCTTGATGATTACATTCCAAAGAATGGCTCCCAAATCCCAGAGAAAGACATTCCTAGGTTGTAAAACTGTCAAGAGTCTGCGATAATATGTACATCTGAAAGTAACAAAGAAAGGATTTATATTTGAAAGTTTCCTATAGTAAATGTTTTAAGAAAAGGGAAGTCTGGAGCTTATGGTCAGGAAAAAAACCTGTCTAAAGTTTAGTCAAGCTGTAGGGAAAATTAGGGCCATCTAAGATATAAGCTACCAAATGCATCTTAAATTCAATTGCTGTGTAAGTTACCCTTTATTTATGCTTTAATCAGAATTGTTTCTTTAGTGTAGGATCAGAAGTTTTTTCAATGTAAAATAAAAAAAGTTTCTGGTGTCCAAATGTGTATGCTTAGAAAGCAGGAATTTTGTGAACAAAATACACTAATTGTTTTGCTAATTATTCCTCTCATATGCAATTGTGCAAGCATGTACTGGCTTCCAACTTTATGAAGGATTCAAAAGGCTGATAGGAAACAGAGGCCGTTCTCCGCAGCATGCAGGTAAAGACTGACCTTGAGCTTGCAGCTGGAATGCTATTTAGAAAGGCCATACCTTTTCCAGTTCTGTGTCTTTGCATGACAGTAAGCTCAATGCCCTTCCTCAAAAAGAGCCAACCCATCTCCTTGTTATGAGCCAGCCCTTATGTATAACAGCTTCGTATCAGTGGTGTTACAGTATGTCTTCAAGCAGTTTTCTTGTAGGGTAAGCTCACATCAGCAAAGTGCTTGAAAGATATAGCAGAATGCATATGGGAACTACAATCTAGATGTGTTGGTACAAGCAAATGTATGAAACATTTTATAAACTTTTGTACCATTTCCTGCTAATTATTCATTATTCATTTAAGCGCAAGATTTGCAGAGAAAAGCCAATGTAAGGTACTATGTGAAAATAATGTGAAATATTTCTATATGAAATTTATATGGACAGCCTTTAAAAATTATAACCTTGAAAGTTCTAATCAAAATCCATGTTAAGTTTTCTGTTTTTGGAAATAATGAGAGTAAAATATGAAATGATCTTTACATGGAATTTGGTGATTTAGGGGTTATGGCCAACAGTAATGTAATAATGTAATAATGGTTGTTGGTCATAACCCCTAAATTCAAAAAATGATTTCAAATCATTATATCACTCTCACATACTTCCATTGCTCATTTCAACTCCTGTTTTCTGTTCCCTTCATCACTACCTTAGCCCTCATCACCTAATTCTTTGTCTACTGAAGCAGTCTTCTAACTGCTTTCTTTGCCATCAATCATTTCATATTGCATCATACTCCAATCATATTTGCATACTGAGGCCAAATTACTGTACAGCAATATCATTTCAATGTCAGACTTTCATAGTACTGTGTTATCTCCTACATAATAATCACACTCAAACCTAGCATTCAAAACTCTCCAAAACTTGAGCCCAGTATATTTCTCAACTCTGTCACTCACATATGTTTGCATAGTAACCATGTTTAACCAGTTGGTGCACTAGTTTTGGTAAAGTCAGAACTGATATTTAGATTCCTGTTCTGGCACATAACAGCCTTTTTACTTACTGCGATCCAGTGTACTGGAGTTTCAATTTCTTTTCATGTCATTTAGTATCTACCTCAAAAGTTTGTTGTAAGGTTTGTTGATTACAGGAATACTCGCAGTGGTAGAAGTAGTTATTGTTATTGTTACTGAAATTACCACTCTTTGCAGTAAACTATATTCTAGAAACTATGCAAAATATTTTATATACTTGATGGTGTTTAACCTACTAACAACCCTATAATAGGTGATGTCACACCCACTTTACCAATGAAGAAACTGAATTGCAGAGAGGTTAGTAGTTTACTAAATTGTATACAGTCAGTAGTTGAGTCAGGACTTTAAATACGGTATGTCTTTTATTTTTGATATATATGTAAGGTATGCAAAGTAATGATTCCGTATATAAACACTCACACAAACACACTGGGAAGTGATTACCACAATCATGTTAGTTAACGCATTGTTCATCTCACATAGTCACCATTTTTCTTTTTCTGGTGACAAGAACACTTGAGATCTACTCTGTTAGAAAATTTCAAGTATAAAATACAATATTGTCAACTATAACCATCATGTTATACGCTAGACCCTCATAATTTATTTATCTTATAACTGACAGTTTGTACCCCAGTATGTCTTACAGGACTTAAGTAGGGCAAAAATAATTCCATAATCACTTTCAATACTTTGCTAATGCATTCATGTTTTGGGGAAGAAGTTGTGTAGTTTCTCAGATACTTTAAGAGGATTATGAACTCAAAGGAGCTCAGAGATACCGAACTACTCTCAGTTCCTAAATGAAGAACAAAGGCTTGGGTGATTTATCTTTAGAGCTCCAGGCACTCATATTTTCTGACCCAAGTAGAAAAATAATTATATGCTATGATAAATTGTTTATCAATAGCTCAATAATTCTGCATATATTTCCTTGCACATAGTAGATAATTGAAAATTTTTAAAAGAGTTTTTGTCATATATTTGTTGCTGGTCTGGAAGTAGTGGCACATATTACCAGGATTGCCATATAAATAATAATTTGTATTATTATTTTGGAAATAAAAATAATATGGCAATTCAGATCAGTTCCTAAAAAGTGGCTTTGCAATTTATTATGTGATTACTTTTTTTTAAAGCAGTCAGTGAAGTTGATCTCTTTTGCACTAGCTGCAGAGAGAGGCAAGTAGGCCTCCAGAATCATCCTGACCAATCAAACTGAGCTATCCAGGGAAAAAGTGTTGCACAGATAAATCACACAAAAATAAATAACATGAAACATAACTGAGAATGTTCTTAGAATCTTAACTGAGCTCAATCGGAAACAAAAAGGGCTTTGTTTTTAGCATGGTGCAATTAACTATATCCAATCTTGCTTTTCTTCAGCAAGACTTTTATGAATTAAGTAAAGACAGGTCTAATTCATTAAATGCAGATATCATATTCAAACTCTAGCCCAAAGGAATAAAAAGTATAGTTTGGCCTTGATTATTCAAATATTTTCCTAGGTTTTCTACTTTACCTGACTAACGTATACGTAGGTTGTTTTAATTATATTGATTTAATCTAAAATATTTGTTTAATTAAATACTATAAATGTTTGGCACTTACATATTTCTGAAAATACTTTTTCTGATTTTGGAAGACCTGTTAAATGGCAATTTGTTTTCCTCATATTTTAAGTGCACAGTGTTTAACTGTGCCTTATTAGACATGCTTTAAACCACATCCAAACAGATAATTCTAACATTCCCAGCAAACCTCTTTAATTGCTGAATAAATATTTTGAAATATAATTTAAAAAGTGAAGTTCTGTGTACTATACTTATTTCTTCTAATTGTAGCAATACTGTTTTTTTTTCTAATTTTGTAAAAAAAAAAAAAATCTCCAGGACTTTCAGACTTAATTAAAAGTAAGAAGCAATGAAAATGATAAAAGCTCTTTGAGCAGCCAAATTGGACTGAGGAATTTTTATGGACTGAATTGTGTTCATAAAAATTTTGTGGTTAAAGCCACAAAATTCACAGGTTGAAGCTTTAACCCTCCAATCTGATAGTATTTGGAGATCAGGCCTTTGAGAGATAATTAGGGTTGGATGAGGTCACCAGAATAAGGTCCAGTTAATGAGATTAGTTTACTTATAAGAAGAAACACCAGCAAGCTTCCTTTTTCTCTCTGTTTACGAAGTGAGTATGCACAGAGAAGCTGGGCATTGAAGAAGTCAGGAAGAGAGCCCTCGCCAGAACCTGACCATGCTGGTGCCCTGAGCTCAGATTTCTGGCCTCCAGAACTATGAGAAAGTACATTTTGGTTGTTTAAGCCACGCAGTATGTGGTATTTTGTTATGGCATCCAGGACAGACTAAAACACTTCCTAAGTTTTAAAATATTAAGTTTATTATTAGTTCAGTGGAAAAAAGAAATACTGTTATTACAGATGCCTACAAAGAGCTCCTGTGCAGCAGCTGTGTTCTTTGAAGGTGGCTTGACAGGGTGGCCATCGTCTCCTAGGATGCTCAGTAGAGCCTTGAAAAGATGTTTAGGGCTACGGAAAAAGTGGAGAAGTGCGTTTTCTTAGCACACTAAGTTCTTGGTTGTGGACCTGGACTATATGGGGGCTTACATAAGTTTCTGCTATTTACTCTGTAACTTTGGTCAAGTTCCATTGTCAATGAAAGTCATAGTTTCTCAGTCTGTAGAATGGTAATAATAATAAAACCTAATTAATATGGCAGAGAGTAGATGAACTAACACATTAAGTACCTAGTACTCTACTTGGCACGTATGACTATTAACTGATATTTCATTCTATCACTTGCATAACAGATTATAAAAACTATTTTTTTAATTCTGCAAGTGTTGGGGCATAATAATAGTCCTGTGTACAACAAAAGACTTCAAAGGTCTGAGCATATATAAAAATAAATTGGTTTGTCATCAAATAAATCTCAATAAAATGTATCTGACACACGTAAATGCTACTCGCAAGTGCATTGCAAGAAATTTACTCATCAATGCTAAGTAAAAATGATTGCAATAAACATTTTTCATAGTCAAACTATGTCTGACTCAATTGGGGAAAAGCATTTAGAGAAAGGACTGAGGGATGGTTCTAGAGTTTGAGGCACTAGGGGAGCAGCCCAGCCTAGGTGGAATGTTGAGGGCAGGGATGGTGGGCAGGGAGAAGGCAAGAGAGAGCACTTTGAGATACTGGAGGCTCCATGGAAGAGCAGTAGTGTCAGAAAGAGATGCGTGAAAATCCACCCAAGATCAGCTTCTCTCAGCTTCTGTATTGCAAAGCTATGACCTAACTCTTTTTAGGTGACCTGTGCCCCCAGGATGTAAATACCAACTCTGCCTCTTATGGGCTGGCTGACTGAGCAAGTTCCATAGCCTCTGAGAGCTTTACTGGTAAAGCAGGAGTAATGATGTTTAGGTCATGATGTTTCAGTAACAAGTTCAGTGACATTTATAGTTCATAATAGATGCTGAATAAATAGTATTTTATGTTATTTTTTCAGACCCGTCTGTCAGACTTCTCTGGTTCTCTGGCAGGAACCACGTTTTCCTGACCACCAAGAGAGTGGCCCTCTTTTCAGCGAAGTGCAAAGAGAGTAATAGCATAGGTACAACAAAAGTATCAAGTTTTTCAGATTTGAAAAAACACAGGAGACAAGAAAATAGATGATACATCTACCTCTGGAAATTTTCAATCACAGACGTTCCTTCAGACCAAGAGTTATACCAAGCTTTTTGGGTTTTGTAGAGGGGGTTGGAATGGACAATATTTTAATCCCTTGTTTATTTCAGAAGTGCTGTATAAACACTCACATGCTTCAAAGTAGCTTCCTTTCTACTGTTCAGTTTTTTCTTAGAATCACCTCTTAATCCTAACCAAATGGAGAGGAGATAGAGTGCTAAAATACCCCACAGCATTTATCTATTGCTAAATAAAAAATTACCCCAAAATCCAGCAACTTAAAACAACAATTTATTATCTCACATGGTTCTGAAGGTTAGAAATCCAGGAGCAGCTTAGCCAGGTGGTTCTGGCTAGAGTTATTTCATGGATATCCATGTTGGCCGGGGCTGCACTCATATGAAGGGGTTGGAAAATTCACTTCCAAGCTAACTCATATGGCTGTAGAGGAGGCAGGGGTGGGGGGAGGAGGGGAGAGAGAGAGAGAGATAAGATGGAAGTCATGGATGTATCGTATGACCTCGCCTTAGAAGTCAAATACCATCACTTCTGCCATATTTTGCTGTGGCAAACTGATAAAACCCTGATACAATGTGAGTGTGAGATCAGGAGGTGAGGATCACTGTTGTCATCTCGGAGGCTGGCTCCCACATATCTCTTTAGCTTCTCAACTAGAGAAACCAACTGTACACATAGTCTGATAGGGCTGCAGGTTGAGAAGACCTATTCCATCCTATCTATCCACTAAGCACTGGAGAAATTTCTACTAATCACATGTTTGGTGATGATTTCTGATTTTTATTTCTAGATATGGACTGTACTATTTTAAGTATTTATATATTTAAAATTAGAAATCTGTTCAAATTTATTCTGTCAGTCTTTTAACCTACAAGTGAATATTAAGAGCATCAGAAGTTTTCAGGGCAATTATGGTATGTGTTACAATCAAGTTATATATGAAAGGCCAAGTATACACAGATGTAGAGGGACAGAATTGACCTGGGAATTTGGAGAAGGCTTCATGGAGGAGATGACTTTGATTTTTCTTTTAAAATATTAACAAGATCTTGCACAATTGACAGAGGCAAGATAGAAGATATATATTAGGAAAAAAAATGCTGAGTTTCAACAAGTTTTAGAAGACAGCATGCAAAGATAAACTTTGCAAAGCTACAACACTAGGGGAAACTGTAATTCATTGAAACATACATATTTGATAAAAGTGTAAGCAAGGCAAAATATACCAAAATACATTTAACAAAAATGTAAGCAGTGCAATGAGAAATTCAGAACTCCGGGTAGTGATGACCTCTTGAAGGAATGGAAGAGCCAAAGTTTTGGGATCACAGAAACATCAGAGAGAGATTCAGTGATGCTGGTGATATCCAAATATTTTAGTAGGATTATAAATGTTCCATAACAATTTGTATGTATAAAATATTACATGATCATTTTTTAACATTCAGGATATGTCAGCGGAGAAGACAGTATCTGAAAATGCATGGAAGGGTGAAGGAACTTGGAATAAAATATAGACATAATTATGACAAAGAAATGACAAATAATTCATTATCCTTCATAATATAGTTTAATATTCTAACATTGTATTGGAGTATACAAAGGAAAGGAGATTATGGATACAATTGAAAGCAACGAACTCAAAACTCAAAATCTTGCAAAAGAAGCAAGTACTATTTCTGTATTAAGAACCAAGAGACTGATTTCTCCTTTGTTGCCTGCTTGGTGATAAAATCAAGGCATATTACAATTAAGGATTTTGAATAATGTGAATTAATGATAAGTTACAGCAGCAGTTATTATTTTCATCATTTGGAAAGAGGTCCAGTGCATTTTAATTGTCTGAAGCTTGTCATGTGCCAACAACTTTTGTTCCTAGTGGAATTCAAATCACAGGGCAGTACTTTATTGAACAACTTACCCTTTTAAACTATTGTGAAGCTGCAAGTAAGGTTTAATTACATTATTGCCAATCATCTGAAGAATGGTAATTACTTGGAGCCCTTGGCCAATGTTTCTGATTAAAAGTGCTGTAGAGTACTCGACAGGTCGTAAGTTCATATCCTGGTTCTATTAATTTTCTTCTAAAGCCTTACTTTATTCCTGAGACAAGGAATGACTCCACCCTTGGAAACGATGCTTAGGAAAATATGAATGATCTGAAGCGAACAGATACATGAAACAGAATGGCTTTGGCTGTTATGACCTGTTTGCTATTATGTCTGTGTTGTTTTTGTCTTTTTGTATTCCTCTTTCTAGCCAAAAACGGAAAAAAAAAAAAAAAACTGAGAGCAAGAGACTATTTTCTTGTGAGAGGTTTGAAGTACCTTTAATAATTCAGCTAGGCTCCTAGCCAAAATTTTAGTTTTGACTGAAAGCAATATTTATCTGCATAAGAGTAAGACTGACTTCCTATGTGTTTAGGAACACAGCAGGGTCTGTTTTTTCTAGTGAAGGGGACCTGATATGCAAGGAGGAGGGGATGAAGTTTGGAATTTTTTTTTTCCCTGTAAAGATTAAAACAAGATATAATCCCTGTAAGTCTACATTGGGACTGTCTGACCAAGAAGTTGCATCAGTTTTGCTAAAAGAAGGCCAGGAGTTTCTGAAGCTATTTTCTGAGTCAGCACTGTCTTCTGACTGAGTTCATGTGTGACTAGGCTGTTCATGGTGAACTTGAATACCAATTCCTGAGTTTTCTGCTGTTCGTTAGACTGCCTGGGCTTCTTTTGCTCCTTTGTCTGCTTGATAAATCTTTGTTTTGCCATTCAGTCTGCTCTTGGTGAAAATATCCTTTCACTTAGCCCATTGATAGCATACTCCAGCCAAAATTGACCCATGTTTTCTGGGTGTGGGCATGCTCCGAAGCTATCCTTCTTCCACTTAACATGTTATTTAGGGTAGCAGTAAGCCACATGGTTATCAGATTTGTATTTTAACTAAGGTGTCTCTGATTTGAAATTACAAAGATGTTCATTTTAGCATTGGGATTAGATGTTCCATATCTAAAAATGAATATAGCTTCTTTTCTTTCCAATGATCCTCTCACCTGTGAGTGCCCCCTAAGGCACAATCCTTAGTAGTCTTCTCCCTAAATTACATACTTCCAAACACTGTCATAGTTATGTAACTCTTCATGAATAACTTCCTCCTTCCTTCTGTTTTCTTTTTTTTCTTCCTCCTATGACTATGATGTTCCCTAGACAACCCCCAGTAACCATGCTCTATTAGTATTTTTAATCAGGTAGACCACAGGAAGTACTGTCAGTGGCTCATTTTTGCTATGCTAATGTCATATGAAGAGTCAGTCTCATGATCTCATCTATTCCTCTGTGACAGACTACTCCAGAGTAGAAAAAATGTTGGTTTTTCGCCTGGCTTTTGGGTTCAAAAAATAGTCTTCTGAAGGCAATTCTTATAGTACATTATAAAAGTGGTTGGAAAGGAGTTTTCATAGAAATGATGCTTGAAATTATTAAATATTTGCATTTGTGGCAAGTATTCATGTGAAATATTAGCCTTCATGTTCAATCACATTAAACTTTTCACTTAGAAACATAACCCTTAGAAATGTAACAGCCCCAGCTATTTGATACACCACGTTGTCCAAGTAAATTTTTAGCATTAAAAATATAGATGTAAGACCACCTTTTTCTCCCATAATGCATATGGTTATGATGATCCAGGACTGAACAAAATGTAGAAGTCATCAACGGGGTTGATTGCATAAAATCACACCAAATATCTCTGCAGAGTTTTTACTCAATAGATTTCACTGTACAAGTTTACCACAGGTGGAAATTTTCAGTGATAAACAGCAGCTCTTAAGATAAATGTATTTTGTTCAGATTACATATGAAAAGATTAGAATTGGTATTTATAGAGCTAGGACTATAATTCTAGTTAGTATGACTAATAGCCTATAGATTTTATTTTACATTATTGTGTTTCTTTATTCTATGCTAGCAAAAAAATAAAGCTTTAGTCTAGGAGTCAAAATATCTTGAGTCCCAATCTCAGCTCTTTGCTGTTCCTGACAAGACTTGTCATCTTCATGCCTTAATTTACTCATCTTTGTAAAAGTAAGGACAGTATCTGCCCTATATTTTTTACTAAGTTGTTAGAATCATATTAAATGTGAGACATATAAAAGTAAGATGTTTCACGTTATGTGTTTCATAATTAGAAGAGTATTTTGACAGGAGTACTATCAGTTTCCAATGCTGCTGCTCTTCAACTTTTATTCTTTGTTCTTCCCTTTTGGATTCTAAATCTCTGTGACTTTATCACCGCCACCTCTTCCCTTGACCCTTTTTTGAAAAAAGGTTATTGGATTTTTGCCAGTAGGAAAGCCAGTGATGAAACCATACAAATAGTTGAAGGAAAGAGTACCTCCTATTTTTCTTGGGTAAAATGTTGATAATACCAAATTGTCCTTTTCAATTCTGTATTTGGATATTAGTTACAAAAACTTATTTTCTTCTTGTTCACACAGGAAATGACTTATTTCTTGTAGCAGTCCATGAACTGGGACATGCTCTGGGATTGGAGCATTCCAATGACCCCACTGCCATCATGGCTCCATTTTACCAGTACATGGAAACAGACAACTTCAAACTACCTAATGATGATTTACAGGGCATCCAGAAGATATATGGTAGGTTACTACTGTTTCAATTTGCTTAATCCGATAGTGAAGTCCAGAATTTCTGCTGTGTTTTCTTCTTTGAGATAGATGCTCTAAGTATAACACAGATGACTACAGAAAAAGTATGTAGCTGGCCTACTGGCAAAATTATTCTATCAACTGAATTTTGTTGGCAAAGGTCCCAGGTATCTTAATGTATAGATTATGGGAACATGTTAAGCACTGATGAAATTTTCTTACTTACTGAGTTTGGTTGAAAAACCTGCAGTTACGGCAAAGTTCTAATAAACTTTAGTTTTTAAAATTCAGGTAAAAATATGTAATAAATGAATGTAACAAAAAAAAACAAGGAAAAATATAAGACTTTCATAAATAAAATGCTGAGACTTTTCTACAAACTGACAGATTGACTCATAGTTTGTGAGATTTGATGTTAGGTATTTCCTAGACAAAACACTTTTGAAGGCCCACAAAATACCCTTATGTGATAGATGCAAGAAATTGACCCCAAAGTCATATAATGATTTATTGACCTAGAGTAAGAGTTAACAAACAAGGGAGTGAAATTAACAAGTGGTGAAGTTTATTAATACAGAGTACAAAACAAATTTTTAGTATAGTAATGTCATTTTTATTCACTCAATGAATGCAAATTAAGAGAAAAGGGGAAAGACTATTATGCATATTTACTATAATCGTAACTTCCTCATACAACCATTGACCTTTATAAAGACATTTATTTCACACATAGTTGCAAAGAACTTGACATTTATAATTTACATATAGCAAATATGCTTTATACTAAATTAATGAAGTGAAGCTTTTGTTTTTATGATACAAAGACAAATGTGTGCTATCTGTATGTTAATATCCAGTATCCAGAAGATAGATGTCTTTTGCATTTTTAAGCAGCATAGTTTAAGTTCACTAATTCGTTTTTGCATTCATTAGTTTTTTTTTAATTTTAATAACTCAGTGGTAAGTATTCTCTCAGGGGTAAAATAGATTTGTAAAAAAAGGTCAGTTTTTGTGCTGCTCTTTAGTTTGCTGGGATACCAAGAAGAGAGAAATGTCTGACTCAGTGCTAAATATCTCTTATGTTGAATTGAGCTATCCTATTTCTAAGTGTGTGTCATCAGAAATTCTTCTTAAGTGGTTCACTGAAAGAAGTCTCTTTCTCATGACCTCATGAATTAGTAGTCTAGACTGAAGGTCTGCAAAAGAATATTCTTCCCATACCTAAATATTAAGTGCAAACAGCTTTACATTTCTTTTTAAAAACATGAATCTCTTGAGAATGATGCTTTACATCTGTACCAAATTACATGTGTAAACTTTGGCTTGATTTAGAAGCCTCTTTTGAGAAATACTTCTTCACATTAATATTTTACTGGTGATATTTTAATCAATAGGTATTTTAGATTCACGACTTAGAGGAAACACTCTTCCAGCAATTTGTCAAAATATTTCATTAGAAGAAAACAGTGAAAATCAATAAAAGAATATCAAATAGTTTTGACACATTGGATAGAATAAACTTTGCTTAGTTAACGTTTATCTTTTGGAAATATTTGAATAGAATCATTATCTA
Organism: Homo sapiens; assembly: GCF_000001405.40. Lineage (NCBI taxonomy): Eukaryota > Metazoa > Chordata > Mammalia > Primates > Hominidae > Homo > Homo sapiens. The sequence goes on along the minus strand of NC_000008.11, from coordinate 88,117,117 downwards.
TCGAAATCTAGGATTAACTTTGTTGGAGCTTACTTACATGGCTCCAGTATTCCTTTTCATTTATTTATTATTTATATACCACCTACTTCCAAAAAAGATCTGAAGGCAGCTTTCCCAAAAATAACTGTGGTGAAGCTATGAAAAATATTATTAAAAATTAACAAAGAAAACCTAGCTACCTGGATCCAGAAGCTAGCATGATAAGGACGGTTTCAGATAGGCTTGGCAATGCTTTTTTGGGTAAGATATTTTGTTTTTTTCAGAAAATATACGATCTTAAAGACCTCTTAGTTCAGTTAGTCTGTGCCTTCTGCTGATAAGTGATTGTTCTCTGTAGCATATTTTCCAGCTCTATTCCAGTTTTAAGTGAGCCAAGCACTGTCCTCATATTTTCAAAAGGTCCACCTGACAAGATTCCTCCACCTACAAGACCTCTACCGACAGTGCCCCCACACCGCTCTATTCCTCCGGCTGACCCAAGGAAAAATGACAGGCCAAAACCTCCTCGGCCTCCAACCGGCAGACCCTCCTATCCCGGAGCCAAACCCAACATCTGTGATGGGAACTTTAACACTCTAGCTATTCTTCGTCGTGAGATGTTTGTTTTCAAGGTAGGAGACTGTGATTTTTTTTTTTTTAACAGTAGATCAAGTGTCTAGTGTTGCTTTAGAAAACAAGTTCTCATTCATTCTAACACTACCTTCCCAGCCCTCTCACAGTTAGAAAGTTCAAAAAAAGCATTTTAAAAAATAAATGCACAAATGGGCTTAAATGTCTAGCAGAAGATTGCTGTAACGTTCTATTTTGGGAATGCATTCGTGTCAGCAGAAGCTAAAATGCCTAAAATGTGAGGGTAAAAAAAATGCTGCATGTTATGAAGAGATAAAATAGCATAATTTGAATCATGAATAGGAACTAATAGGGATGATTTGCTTGGGAGCTTAGGCACTTCCAGGCATACTGCAGCTATTGTATCTTTGGTTTACATATCTTTATGAGATCCCTGTAATTTCATTTGACTACTAAAGCATTGTTTTACAGGAAGAGCATTGATCATTTTGTTTGGGGTCCACGGGTAGCCATTTGAGTTAAATCTCCTCTATGAAGCTATCATTTTGACTTTACATATGAATGTTATTGTTTTGATATTGTTAGGCAGTTATATCTAACTAATTTATATTATTTTTTTAAAAGGCTACAAGCTGAAACTAATTTTACATTTGCAAAAATACTTTTAATGTTGGGGTCTCAGAAAATAACACTAATAAACAGTATATCAAAAGTAAATTATGTGATATTGGAAGGTGAATATAATACTGAAAAATAGTTTTCCCCTCAGTATTTGTAAGCCAGTCTTAAAGATTAAGAAAGTAAGTTTGTATGTTGGCAGTAGAGTATTAAAAGAGCCACATTTTGCCAATATTATTTATTTTAAAATAAAACAATGTGCTGTCAGTTTTGGTGGACATAAATCAATAAATAATCCAATGCTGTTCTACTTACATACTGTCTATGTAATTTTCTGTCCACCAGAAGCTATCATTTAAAAATACAGATTTCGTATAATTTTAACTAGATAAAATACTCTATTTTCTTTTTTGAAAAATAAGATCTGGATTCGATATAATATGCATAAAAGCATCATGCTTTCCAGGAAAAAAATCAATGTGTTTCTTCAAGCACATGAATAGATTTTTGAATTCTATAACTGCCCTGCAATACGTAATTTGATATCGCCATTCTATTTCAAGTAGTTTAATAAACTTAGATTCAAAGAGTAAAGAAAATCTTACTTTTGATACTCATTGTGTTACTCTGTGTTACTCATATTGTTACTCATTGTGGCTAAGCCCACAGCAACTAGTTGAAATGAACTCAAAGTGCAATCTTTTGTTTATTCTAAAAGACACCTGATGAAAACTGAAGGGTTGGCAGAATTTCAACATTGCAGGCTTTATACCTTGATACCATAATAATAACACCAAAACATCAACCTTATCTGAGAATATGATGTGAAATTGACTCTGGGTACATTATTTTTTCATTATTCCTGTCTATCTAAGTAGGTTGCTGATTTCAGAGGAGCCTGGTGTCTTCATATCTAGTGATCGCTTTCAACAGCCTCTTTGCTCTGCACATTGTAAAAGTTTAGTAAGTGCTGTTGACTAACAAAATAAGGTCCTGTGATCACTGGTTCCTGAAATCAGGAACTGATAAAAAGTACATGGATCAGACTCTCAAGTAGAATGCAATAGCTGCTATTTCCAATATCAAAACAGGTATATAAAAAATATAACTAAGGCCTGCTTCCTTAAACTCTGAGGTTATCTTGAATTCCTTTATCAAAATTCCTGACAGGACAGAGTTTCTAAAATCTGCCCAATTTTCATTTTGTCAATAATTCCAAGAATTATTGCTTTCTTTCTAAGAATAATTTCTCTGGAAGATAACATCTTCTAATAGGCATTTTGTTCTTTGTAATATCCATTTGCCTAGAGAACGTTTTGTCACATAATTTCATACTTTTTGTTTTTATCTCATCTTTGATAAAATGTGTCTGTGTGTCCAGTGTACTTTCCTAGGCATCAAGAATGTGTGAATGGAAACTAGCATCCTGTCTGCACAGCTCATATTTCAGGAATGAAGACAAACTTGAACATTAATACTTTTAATACGTAAGAGTAAAAGTAATGACACTGAAACAAAGATAAAGTACTGAAGTCTAATCAAACAGGAAATTTTACTGAGATTGGAGTTGTAATGAATTTTGAGACAAAATTTCTAGGCATGTTAAAGAAGTGGGTGGTACAGCAATAAGTTTGCGTATGGAGGGAGAAAAAACAGACATGTTACTATCTAGTATAAAGTGATAATCTTATAATTCAGACATATGCAACATTGGATAGATGTAAAGAAAGCATGATTGAATGATATCTGGCTCTTAGCTAATAGTTGTCACAGATTGGATAACCATTATGTGTCTCTGACCTCATAAAAACACTGAAAGATGGGTAACATTCTGTTTTACAAATTTAAAAAATGAAAGTCAGAAAAGTTTTTTTGAAACACTTCTGAGAGGTAGTCAGTAGCTGAACACAGATCTACTTGATTCCAAAACCTATGTTTTCCCCACTAAACTTTTTACTTTGTTACCTGAAATAATTGAGAAAAGTTTCAAAAGAAAAGTAGACTTTCAACTATATTTTGAAATGGTAAGTATTCAAGAAATATTTATTGCACTCATACTGTAGGCTAGATATTATTTTAGGCACTGGCTATGTAGCAGTGAACAAAATAGGCTACACTTGGGTTTCTTGCAAATTACATTCTAGTCTTCAAGGTGGACACGTGGGTGAAAGGCTTCATACAGATGTTCCACTTGTGAATGTCACAGAAGGATATGAGAACACTTACATAGGACAGAGCCTGGAATTCTGTTTTTCAGTGCCAATGACTGCTTATTGGTCTCCTAATTTCTCCTCTATACTTACTTAGTCTAGACTGCCTTTACTTCTAAATTAATGTCATTACCCCATATCTGATCTTTCTGCCGTTTCAACATTTCTTCAATATACACATCATTATTTTTCATATTTTGCTCCTTATTGACTGTCTCTTCAAATATTTTTAGTATTGCTCATTGTTTGATCTCACTCTTATTAATAAAAGTTGATTTTCTACTTTCGTTTATTACAAACTCTACACAATTTAGAAGCGTCTTCATCTCCTCAACCCTTGCCCATCAACACTTATTTTCTCCTAAATTTTAATGTCTGGGGGTAGCTTCTTGAGTCCTGCCTATCCAAATATTCCCTCCTTAGCATCTTCCTGATGTCCCATCTTCTCTGGTTGATTCTCTCTAGTGATTTTTATATTTATTCTCTATATTCAGTTAGTGTGTTATTAATTTCTGTCTTCTGTAATTATTTCTTATTGAAATGTGTTCCTCAACAAGATTTTTACTTCTCCAGAGCAGAAGGTGGTTCACGTGACCTTCATAGTGCTCAGTGCTAATGAATAGGGATGTCATTGTAAGAAATGCATAATCAAACTGTGACCAATATTATTTTTATACGATGATAGTCAGCCTAAATGAAATCCCTGAAGCATTTTATTTTGGTAAGTTGTTATTCCTTGCCCAAAGATTTCAATGAGTATTATTTACGTAAATTCTGTATGTGTGATTTTTAAGCCAAAAATAAAAAAATCTAGATGTAAGCAAAAGGTAATATCATAAGGTAATTTTGTTTTCTTGTAAGAAGCCTTTCTTTATAATAGGACTTTCAGCGTAATGCTTTTTGGTTGTGAGCTTCTTCTCAGAGGATTTGATTTACATTGTACTTTCCAGGCATCCATTTATTTAAAGTGAGTTCACCTAGATATGTGTTTCTGTAGGAGGTGGGATATGTATCTACATACATACATACACACAGACACACACACACACACACCCTTCTGTCCTTATGCATGAAAAATTTAAGCCATTCAGCTTTATAATCCTTAGAGAATGTAAACCACCTAATCCAAGGAAATGAGATTCAAAACAAAATGCCAAAGAAGAGAGAAACAAAATAGCAATAACAAAAGAAGCTTTGTCCTTATCCTAGAAAAGGTGATTTTAATACTACTCCTTGAAGAGTGTAAGCTGTTGTAACTAAGCTGACAACAGCAAGATCTGATTGTTCAAATGAATACTCTCAAAGCACCTTTGGACTACAAGATAAGAACATTGAATATTTTAGTTATTTTGTTGTGTAAAAAAAGCAGAAGGCAAGAATTAGCCAAAGTTGTACAGAACATATTTCAGTACACAGTATTTCACTATGTATGAATGAATGCATATAGTGGTAACTATGTTCTTTTGAAGCTGGAAATAGGAAAAATTGTATACAGCACCAGGAGTTCCTTTAGTGTCAAAAAAAAAAAAAAAGGATAGTTGCCTTTCATTACTGACCAGTTCTTTAAGAGGAGTAAGCAAAGGCTAGTACTTTACACTAGAACTAGAAAGGTTAATTTGAAGAGGCAAAGCTGTCGTGGAACAGTATTCAAAGAAGTATAGTAAATGTCTTTCCAGTTAATCTAGAAGAGCAAGTCTCATGACTCTGAGTCAGGAAAGAATTTCATCATTTACCCAAAAAAAGTCAAGCCAAAGCAGATATCATTTGTTTTTTTCCTTTGTCTAATTCTTATCTGTTCATTTATCACACACTGTTTATTCTTAGATGTGACCATCTTCATTTACGACCACTTTCTTAATTCTACTGAAGAATCATAGTTCAAGTAAATATGGAGTATGGCTCAATTTCATTTGCCAAGGTGGTTTTGTTTCATAAACATCACATAACATCTTAATTATTGTAGTATCCCCCAGATTGGTTTTTTTGCTTCCTCCTTTGCTGCCTCCTTTCAGTCTGTTGTCAATACTGCATACTGAATGACATTGTAAAACAATGCATCAAATCATACCACCGCACTGCTAAAAACTCTTCAATAACTGACTTGAATAAAAGCCAAAGTTATTTCAGTTGCTCACAAGGCTACATGATCGGCCCATTTCCCCATACCTCTCTGATCTTACCTCCTCTATCTTATTTTGCTCATTTTTACTCACAGAACTCCAGCCACACTTCTCCTCCCAGTTGTTTCTGGAACATTTCAAACACTCGTGGCTCTACAGGCCTTTCCCTGTCAGTACCAAATATTCGCTTATTTTCCAGATTTCTACTGCAGTATGTAGAGCAGCAGAAGGCTTTCATCAGTCTTTATTTCTGTCCAGACTGTCGTTTCACAGGTCTGCATTGGTCTAGATATATGAAAAGGAACTGCAATATGTGTAGAATTTCAAAAACGTTAACTATGGATTATATATATTTTGGCATCTTGTAACCCCATATAGTGGGATGGATTTTTCTCTTACCCTTAGAAAAATTCTCTCTCAACTCTCAATTTAGTGGTACAACTTATTCCTGTTGCATAGTTGTATGTCTTTCTTTACATTTGGATAAGATCATCCTTAAACTCTTTGACATTAAAGATAGACTTCGAGTCAGATCCCATTTGCTGTATGCTCCACACAGAGACTGTAGCTATCTGATTCTATGCTGAATTGCACAGTGTCCTGAACATAGTAGACAAATATTTGCTAAGTATATCTGATCTTACTTTCCTCATTTGTATAATGGCTAATAAACTCCATCACAGATGTATTGTAAGCTCAGGAAATGGTAGCTTTTATGTAGCAAAGCAGACTTAGCATTTTTAACTTTTCATCATATTAATTAACTCAAATTCTGATACTATTTGAAATTATTTTTAAAATAACATTTAGCTGAATAAAAATTATAGTATATGGCCATAATTCTCATGATATAAAGGAGGTGAGTGAAACAGTTTGTTGTTATTATTCATATCATATCACTTTAGTCAATGGAATGATTAAAAACTATTTTGTTGGCAGAGAGTCCGAAAAGTGTTTTACAAACAAAACAATACTTACAGAAATCACACAGCACAGTGTAATCGAAAATTACTTTCAGTCACAGCTTAATTCCATACTGCCAGGAAGTGTCCTGATAATATTAATAGCATGTTGTAATTGGGTCTAGATTCACATAAGACCAAAGGGAGCAATCGTCAAGACATTGAAAGCAGAGAATTAAATAAAGTTTTCCTGTAGTACAAAATCATAGCCTTTTAAATATTTTAGTACACATTTTAGGGAGCAACTGGAATTATATGTAATACTGCATTTTAATGTCCACATTAATTTATTTTTAAAATATTTGTAATTGCAATTATGCTTTAAAATTTCTCCTTGAAATCTTTAAATGTTTTAATTGACATTTCCTGGCTTCTTAGTTATTAAAGGCAAGTATTAGTCAGTAAGAATGGACTCAGTTACCTGAGTTTCCAATTTTCTTCTCAGTCACTTTGTTTTTGGGTGAGTTTAAATATTTTGAGCATATATTTGGATACTTGTTTTGGATTCAATAAAATTATTTTCAGTGGTATAAAGCAATGTTTAATATATGCTTTATTTGGAATTTTGGATATATTTTATTATGTACATTTTATTTTGGTAAAATTCCAAATAAGGCATATACAAAATATACATATTTTGGAATTTAGGATATATTTTATTATGTACATTTTATTTTGGTATAAATTTAGAATATAGGCAAGACAATTCCCTATAATCATGCAAAAATGTTTTCTGAAATTATATTAATTGTGGTTCAATTTAAAAACCCTTTTACTCCATAGCAATATTATCCAAGTCTTTTCCATGTTAAAAATGTCTGTTTTTCTGTGTTTTATATATGTTATAATTTATCTTTTTTATATTGACATTTTTGCATAGAAAGTGCTTATATTCACAATTCATACTTCAAAATGCTTTTACATTAATTCAAGATAAATAAGCAAAGTTTCGTTTCAAGATGTATAGTGCACATGGAAAGTATTTTATTTTAGGAACTTTGAAAAAGTAACACTTTTCTGATTTTTTCTTTCAAATTTGGCATTTGTGAATGTGCCACTGTTGACCTCCTATATTTCTCTAAAGCAAAAATTAGACTTTATTCTTGGTATTATTCCCTTTTTAAACTTTTAGTTAACTATGTTGTAATTATCATTGTGCTTTGTGGATTATGTGAAGTTATTTAAACATTCACCCAGGTCTTCACAATCTCTTAAAAGCATTTATTTATTTTATCTTTCACAAGACGGTCTTACAAGTATAAATCTTTAAAATAAAATAAGTGTGAAAGCTGTAATTATTTGCAAATTATGTGATAGTCTACCTGAAAAAGTCCATGAAAGTCAACAGAAAAAATTAAAACTATTAACACTGTTAAGAAAGACTCCCTAAACCACAGAAAAAAATAAAATGTAACTTATCTAATAACTATAAAGACTATATAAATGAAAATATTTTTGACACAAATGAATAACTCATTGGATTACACTTAACTAGAAGAACCTGGCACATTCATAACATTCAATAAATATATATTTAATAAACAATCTTTTTACTTCTAACTCTGTCTTCTCTGCATTTTAACCTTCATGAGAGAAGTTCTTGATTGTCTTGTTCTTCTATTCCCAATGCTTAGAAGAGTATTTACAATTAGCACTTCATAATCATTTCTCAATTAAGTGGATCTAATATACAGTATCTATAAACAAAAGCAACAACAGACTTTACAACACACAACTTTACTTTACAATAGACAACTTTAATGATGGAAATCTAAAAGAATTGATAAATGGAGAGATTTACCAAGCTTGAATGGAAAAAACTTAATATTGGAAAAGCATTACTCTCCCACATTATTCTACAAAGCAAAAATTATTCCAATCATAACTTCAATGGAATTAGGGAATGGAAACCTTACACTTTAAGATTCTAACTTACATGTAAAAGGACAGTAATTGACAGTTTTATGAATAGTGTTATGGACAGGATAGTAATTGTAAGTCTTATGCCAAACTTTCAATCCCAGCGCTATCAATCACCACTCCCTGCATACCACAATTGATTTTTCAGTCCTCAGTTTTTCAGGATGGATGCTGCACCTCCAGATATTCCATATTACATAAAGAAGAAAAAAGGTTAAAATTGAAACATATAGTAACCATTGTCAGGGAAAATAGACAAATGCTTAGTGTCCTTACTATGGCTGGGCTATGTTACCCTCCTAGATGAAAAGATGCCTGGGTGAGCAGGAATGTTAAATTGTGCAAATTGCTCTCTCAGACAACATCAAGAATTTATTAGCAGGAAAAAAAGAGGGAGTAGATATTGGTTAGATAGCTAGCCGTTTCTCCAACACTTTCTAAAGCTTATTTCTTTATGAAGAGAGTTGCTGATTTTTATGTGTTAATTGTGTGACCAGTGAACTATAGAATTCTTCATTATTTTTAATATTTTTTCACCTGGCATTCAGGAATGTTTTTCAGTTTAAATCTTTATACTTCATCTAGAATTTACTTTGGTATAAGGTATAAACAGGGATTTTAATTTTTGTCCAAAATATTAGCCTAGCTTTATCCTATTTTTTATTATTGATAAAAGTTTCATATTCCACCCACATATATTGGAATAATAATATAGATAACACCTATTAAGTACCTAAGATGATTTTTCTATATGCTTTACATGGATTATTATATTTATATTTGACATCATATGAGAAAGAGAGACATTAAAGTTAATTAGTTTTCATATATCAAGCTATGGACAGCTTATCTCTGCATTTCTTGTTTTTATTCTTAATAGTTTTTAGTTTTACTCAACAAGTGTATTTATGTTTTTTGTTAAATGCAGATGAATTTCTCCTAATTAATACCAAAATATATAAAAAGAAACAATCTCAACACAATAGCAATATAAAATAAAACATCTAGGGCTACACTTGTAAAGAAATGTGCAGAACTTCCATGAATAAAAGTTAGAACTTTATTGTAGCACCAAAATACGATTTTGATAAATAGAAAGATGTATCCTATTCTTGATTAAAAGATTCACTCTAATAAAAATTTTGACTCTTTGTATCCATCCTTAAATTCAGTCTGATTCCACTACTCAGGAGAAAATATAACATGAAATATTCAAAACCTTAAAGAATAACAAAATACATAATTTTAAGCATAAAAATAGAGAAGTAATGAAAAGAATTTCCATGTATTTGAATGAAATATACAGTATTGTAAAAAATTACTTTCCCCTGATTATTCTAAAAATTAAAAGTAATTCCACTGAAAGTCCCCAGACTTGAGTAAATGAAAATTATGATATTCATTTATAAGAAGACTTGATAAAATTAAAATGGCTAATAAAAATAGCACCTTAGTTTTTAACCAGGTAATATTAAAGATTATATAGAAAAATGTAAATGTATAAAAATACAAAAGACTGTACTACTGGATTTTAAAACTTACTGTTATGCAAATTTATTTAAAATTGGATGACATTTAGAGACTGCTAGATGGGACAAATGAACAGAATAGAGTCAGGGAAAAAAATCTAAGTAAATTCCCAGGTGGATCAACTATTTAAATGGAAATATTAAACCATAAAAGTACTAGAAGAAAACTTGCAAAATCTTTTGTATTTTGATTATGTGTATATATACTTTGAAATTGAGTTGTTTCTAAATAAGGTACAGGATTAAAAAGCTATTCATAATACCTTGATAGATTTAATAACATTTAATATAGACATTTCTACATGGCTGAAAATATTTATGAATCAACTTGAAAAGCAATACACATGTAGGAAGTGTTACTTTTAAAAATTATAATGGGCTTATAAATGAAAAAAAGAAAATACACCCAGTTGAAAAATTACATGAAGATAAAGAGATTCATATGCATTTTAAGGAATAATAAGTAACTCATACATACTTATAGAAGTATATGCAAATTAAAAATACAGTGAGTTTTTTTTAAATTCATTATTCTGACAAAAGTCAAAGGTTAATAGTATCTTACATTTGTGAAAATGTGGGGAACTAGCACTGTCATTCTGTTAATGTGAGTATACATTTTTACTACCTTTCAGAAAAATGTTTGATCATCAGGAATCTTTGCCTGGGAAAGGTTTTTTGAAGATTTACTCTCAAAAGCACTCAAAGGCTGTGTACATAAACAGTCATTTCAGCATTTGTTGACAGAAAACTGGAAACAATGTAAATGTCCAGCAAGAGGAACTTAGCCTTAGACATAGCCTAGCCAATGTAATACAATGTTGCTATTTTTAAAGAATGAGGTTGAATCTCCAAGATACATATTTTTAAAGCGAGGTGCAGAGCAATTTTTAAACCATGCCATTTAAGAGGGAGAAGTTGGGGAACACATACTTATACCCAGATTCCTATGTATACCCAGATACACACTCATACCCAGATACAAATTATCCCTAAAAGGGATACAAGAAACTGAAAACACTGAGTGTCTCTGGGGTGGTGATGTATGTAGCCAGAGGTAGGAGAGAAAGTGAAATCTACAATTTAGGTGATTTTAATCTGTAACTATAAATACATATATATATATATATATATATACATAACGTGTAAATATATATACACGTATATATATGCATGTGTGTGTATATGTATTTGCATATATACAAATAGATTTATAAATAAAAAATTCTCAAAGGACTAATACTGTAATGTTAAGAACAGTTACCTCTGGATGATAAAATTAAAGATTATTTTTAATATTTTATTCTTTTTTGTCATGCAGTTTTATTTTTCACTGAACATTTAATCAAGGAAAATTTGTTGTTTTTAATTTTGTCTTTAATAGCAGAGATTTAATGATGCATCTGTGTCTTTAATCTTTCTTTTGTCTAGAATACTATTGTTGGCATTAATAGAAACACTTTTACATATTCTAGAATTAGGCTCTTCCCCTTGAAAACAAGAATGATTTTGAGAATCTGAAAAGTGTTTTCTTAAGTATTCACTTTTCCCCTCTACCATGAATGAGAGAAGTGACAGGGAGATGGTGGGGCAACCAATTTTCCATAGAACTTATTTGCTTGACATTTGGTTCCAAATTTTTCTGTTTCCATCACTATGCTTCTTACACTACTTTGCAGTTTCAGAACATTATATTGTGTTTGTTTACATGTCTATTTTAAAGAAACTGTAGATAGTATGAATAGCAAATGAGTCCAATTTTAAAGGTGATTTTGAATTTAAACTACAGCAATACTATGCGTTACAACAAACAGGAGAATGTGCATAGTTTTCCAATTACTAACCCCATATATGATAATTCATCCACAAAATTAATAAAGTAAAAATTAAAATGAACAAAGATATCTACTGCACCTTTTTGGCCAGTAGGAAAAAATTTTTCAAGCAAACCCAGATTATCCAGTAATATGGTAGTGGTATAGCAAATAACAATAGTCATGAGTTGCCTAATGATAGCTAAGGTAAAAAAAAAAAAAAGATGAGATAAAAGATAAAAAATGGTACACCTATGTAGTGCACTTGCCATGAGTGGAGCCTGCAGACTGGAAATTCCTTTGGATGCATCAGTGAGTAAATGATGACTGAATGTGAAGGCCTAGGATATTCCTGTACACTACTGTCGACTTCATAAATATTTTATACTTAGGCTACACTAAATTTATAATTTTTAAAATAATGAATTAACCTTAGCTTACTGTAACTTCTTTACTTCTATAAGCTTTTTTATTGAAAATGTTTTGTGTTTTTTGGATTTTTTTTTTCTTTTTAAACTGTTTTGTTAAAAAACTAAGACACAAACACTCACATTAGCTTAGGCCTACATAGTGTCAGGATTATCCTCATCACTGTCTTCTACCTCCACATCTTGTCCCCTTCAGTGGAATACCTCCCGAAGGACCTTTCTGAGGCTGTTTTATAGTTAACTTTTTCTTTTATAAGTAGTTCACTCTGAAATAATGATAAAACGTGTAATATGGTAGGTATATAAAAATTATTAACATATTTATTATTATCAAGTGTTACGTACTGCATTTCATTGTATGTGCTATAATTTTACATGACTGGCAGCGCAATAGGTTTGTTGACACCAGCATCACCATAAACACATGAGTAATGCATTGCACTATGACGTTATGATGGCTACATCATCACTAGGCAATTGGAATTTTTTAGCCTCATTATAACCACCTGTCTTGTAGGTGGTACATCATTAACTGAAGCATTATTATGCACTGGCTGTACACCAACTCAATGGAATAGAATGAAAATCATTTGAAACATTAATTATGAAGAATATATGAAACAATGAGACATGATTATCATGTATAAACAAAATATTAAAATATTAGATTTTATGTCATGAATTTTATTATTAAAATACATGCATTGACAAGGCATAGAAAAGATAGACAAATCTTGGAGTGAAGGAACTGTGAGTAGATTTTTAAAATATGTACTATTGTAATAATGTTATATATATGTTTAGTAGCTCAAAATACAGTGATATAAAAGAAGCTTTATAAATGTGAAGACTGTAATATATTAAGTGATGGTGAAGCCATACTAATTTTTAAAATAAAATAGGCAAAACCTTTTAAAATATTCATTGGAATTTTTCTTTAGACTGACTAAATGTCCTTGGACAATATTATGATGACAAGTTTCAATAATATAATTTAACCTGGCTAGCAAAGGTGTCCAATTAGGTAAGAATCTGTGCCCACTGTGCATTAATCTCAAGTGGAAATAGCCTTATGTAAATCAAGCTAACCACTTATTTTGTTTATGTAACAGTTTTGCTGTTTTGTAGGTACTATGGTGAGAATTGATTCTGTTCATTATAGAAATACTTTAAAATCATGCAGAGTGACAAGGTATTTGGCAATTAATTCAGAGAGTTTTGTTAAATTATATCATGTGAGAGCTGTCATATAGCAAAGTTTGTCAGCTCAACAAACACTAATAAATTATTAGCCATAAAAGGCAGTTAGCACAGAGCCTGGGACAAAACAGATCTCAAGGAAATTCAGCAACTGAAGTTATGGTTGTAGAAGTTGATGATGGTTGTGTTATTATTACTACTACTATTAGTATTGTGCAAAGCACTATATTGACCTGAAAGTGATTGCAAAGGAGTCTATGACAACGTTCCTTACTCTCAGGAAGCTTATAACTACTGTAATCTTTTATTCATTCGCTTTTATTCTTTAAATTAAGGAAGTTTTATCCAGCTACCAAGTAGTAGCTAGACATTAGGAATAAAATGATGACCAAGCCACTCTTATTCTTTCCCTCAGGAAGAAAATAGTTTAGCAAAGTACCAGTAACTAGATCATCACAATGCATTGTTATGTTCTGTAATACACGAATGTACAAAGTACAGTGGGAGCACTTAGGAGGACCACATATATCGGGAAAGAGTTTTTGTGAAGGGATATAATCTGCATGTGCGGGTGTAAAGTTAGCCAGGACTGGAGGTACGAAGGGATATGGTGCACTGGGAAAGGAATGTAGCTTACTATAGAAATCAAGGCAAGGAGATTGAGAAATGAAGATGGAAAGTCTCAAACAGAGCTGCTTCATAAAGAATATTATATGCCATGTTGGGAACTTGAAGCTTTATTCCACTGGCCAGGTTAACTGGCCAACAGAATAGACTAAGAATGACTTGGTGGGAACAGAATGTAGGGGACCGAGCTAATGAGAAGTGTTGAGCAAAAGACAGTTACTGGGGGTGGAACTGGTAAGAAGAGTCCCATTCCCAAAAGGCAAGAGTGAAGACAACTAGCAAAAAAGAGATTTGGGCAAGTGGACTATGGTATTATAAAATATATATTTGGTCTTGGACCCTGACATACAATTTTTAAACGCCTTGGAGTCTTCAAAGTGATATCTTTTTTTATGCGAATGAGTTGACTGACAGCTGGCAGCCCCTACCTAGGTAGTTTCAGGATGGGGGCTGGCCACTGGAAAGAGGGAGACAAGAGTAGAGGGTTAAGACTTTCAACCCCACTCCTTAACCTCAGGGGAGGGGAGAGGGACTGAAGGTTAATTTCATGGCCAGTGGTTGAATCAATCATGCTTACATAATGAAGCCACCATAAAAACCAAAATGGACAGGGTTTGGAGAGCTTCTAAATAGCAGAACACATGGAGGTTCCTGAAGGGTGGCATGCCCAGGGAGGAAATAGAAGCTCTGCCCCACTCCCCCCATACCTCAGTCTGTGCACTCCTCATCTTTGTCATATCCTTTGTAATAAACTGGTAAATGTATGTGTTTCTCTGAGTTCTGTGTGACACATCTGTAAATTAATCAAACCCAAAGGGGATCGGATAGTTGAGACCTAACTTGAGGCCAGTTGGTCAGAAGTTCTGTGGGTCCAGAGTTGCCACTGCTTGTCTGAAGAGGGAGGGAGGCAGTTTTGGGGACTTAGTCCCCAACCTTGGATTGAAGGACACTCAGCTGATATCCACTGCAGAATTGATCACACACTTGCTGGTAGGGACAAAGCTCCACATATTTTGGGGTCACAGAAAACACAGTCCATGTTGACTGTTGTGTTGATATGAGAGCAGAAGAAAAACAGTTTCAGTCTTTTCTCATAAGGACAAAAGAGCAGCTCTAAGAATTGTAACACTATGAATGAGTGACTAGACACTGAATCACAGGAAGCCAAGACTGGATGTTTTTAATGAGGCTCATCTTCAAATGTCAGAGGGAGTTCAAATTATGAAGAGAATCAGAGACAGCCAGATAGCAGGGATATGTCCTATCTGGAACTGGATGAGAAATACTAGAATATAGGGACTTCTGTAAAAAGAAGCTATAATGTTTTCCTTTTCTTTGTACAAATATTATTTACTGAAACTTGACTCAAAAGAATGGTACATCATATTCTTAATCTGTCCAATCAAAGGGCAGCAAGCATTTTTATGGAGAATTAAATGGAGCTATTGTTAAACCAAGGCTCTTTGCCCCTCACCTAGAGTGGTTGCTGAGTCTCTGCATTCTTTGGGCTGCGGTGCTTACCAGTGAAGTGTAGTTATTTGTAGCAGTTAACTGGTCAGGTCATTAGGCAAAGACTTGATATCCTTGAGCTGAAGCCCAAAGGAGCTGATATAAGAGCTGGCCATTCATGTGCCATTGACACATAAACCTCCTTATTCATAATCCTGAAATCTCTTGAATAGAGATAGCCTTTTCCAAGCAGCTGCATTTGCAGTTACTATTAGAAATGCTGAAGTTTATTGATTCCTGAAACTTTTTCATGTAACATTATAATTAGTATGTGGAGGAATGTAGTTTCTGATGTATAGTCATATTCAATGTATCTATTTATTTTATGAATCTGTATTGAGGACCTGTGGTGTTTAAGAAAATATACTACCTTATGGTAAAAGCAGAAAAGCCTAGGTTTAGGACACCTGTATGACTCCACTGTTGAGCCTGAGTTTTTTCATCTGTATAATGAGAATCTTTTTTTAATTTTTATTTTATTTTTTAAATTATACTTTAAGTTCTAGGGTACATGTGCACAACGTGCAGGTTTGTTACATTTGTATACATGTGCCATGTTGGTGTGTTGCACCCATTAACTTGTCATCGTTAGGTATATCCCCTAATGCTATCCCTCCCCCCTCCCCTCACCCCACAACAGGCCCCGGTGTGTGATGTTCCCCTTCCTGTGTCCAAGTGTTCTCATGGTTCAATTCCCACCTATGAGTGAGAACATGCGGTGTTTGGTTTTTTGTTCTTGCAATAGTTTGCTGAGAATGATACTTTCCAGCTTCATCCATGTCCCTACAAAGGACATGAACTCATCCTTCTTTATGGCTGCATAGTATTCCATGGTGTATATGTGCCACATTTTCTTAATCCAGTCTATCATTGATGGACATTCGGGTTGGTTCCAAGTCTTTGCTATTGTGAATAGTGCCACAATAAACATACATGTGCAGGTGTCTTTATAGCAGCATGATTTATAATCCTTTGGGTATATACCCAGTAATGGGATGGCTGGGTAAAATGGTGTTTCTGTTTCTAGATCCTTGAGGAATCACCACACTGTCTTCCACAATGGTTGAACTAGTTTACAGTCCCATCAACAGTGTAAAAGTGTTTCTATTTCTCTATATCCTCTCCAGCACCTGTTGTTTCCTGACTTTTTAATGATCGCCATTCTAACTGGTGTGAGATGGTATCTCATTGTGGTTTTGATTTGCATTTCTCTGATGACCAGTGATGATGAGCATTTTTTCATGTGTCTGTTGGCTGCATAGGTGTGTTCTTTTGAGAGTCATCTGTTCATATCCTTTGCCCACTTTTTGATGGGGTTGTTTGTTTTTTTCTTGTAAATTTGTGTGAGTTCTTTGTAGATTCTGGATATTAAAGACTTAAATGTTAGACCTAAAGCTATATAAACCCTAGAAGAAAACCTAGGCAATACCATTCAGGACATAGGCATGGCTAAGGACTTCATGTCTAAAACACCAAAAGCAATGGCAACAAAAGCCAAAATTGACAAATGGGATCTAATTAAACTAAAGAGCTTCTGCACAGCAGAAGAAACTACCATCAGAGTGAACAGGCAACCTACAGAATGGGAGAAAATTTTTGCAATCTACTCATCTGACAAAGGGCTGATATTCTGTATGAGGAGAATCTTTGTAGCTGCCTCAGTACCACTCAGTACCACTGCCCTAAAGAGCTTACAGTCCAGTGTGGCAAATAGACATTAATCAACTAATCAGAAGACAAATAAAATTCTACCTATATAAAATGCAAAGTAAAGAAGGCAGGAGGTATAACAAGAGCATATAAATTGTTTCATTTTCATTTTTAAAACATGGTCATTAAAATCGGGAAATGCTTTTCTGAGGAAGAGATACTTTAACTAATGAGGTATCCCTGTTTTTTGTTTTTTGTTTTTTTAAATAAGAGAAACAACATATTACAGGGGAAAAAATCTGGACTAAAAGTCAGGATACGTGGCTTTTAGATCCAGACTGTTTTACCTTGATGAGAATTTCAGTTATTGGACTATAAATTTCTAGTCAAATAAGGAAAATAATAATAGTTGTGCTACCCATCTCATCATGAGGCAAGATATTTAAAGCATTTTAAATGTTTCAAAATAGCTGAACTGATGTTAGACATTGTCATCATTGGTATACATTTTAGGACGAATTTTTTGAAATGTATGATACTTTTATGTCACTTTTATAGTTTTAAATTGTATTAAGTCACTATATATTATATTAGAGACTTCAGCTGTCTTAAAAACCAAAAGGTTCTAGACTGTAAAGTTTAAAAATAATTATCAGAAGTGATATGGGACCTGAAAAATATGACAAATTTTAATCAAGGCTGGGAAATAAAATTTTAGTAAAAATTTTAAAATGTTTCCCATTTTCCCCAATCTCTTTGGCTTTTATTTAAATAATTCTGTTTTTCATAATATAAAAAAATTCTTATATTCTTTTTAGAACGTACATAGAATTTGAATATATGAAATTTAGAACATGTACATAAAATTTGAATCTATATGTTAGATTTTCTAAAAATAATTCCTTATACATATATCACTTATTTCAACTTATCACTTATTTCTAAGGAAAAAAATGGTTTTATCATAATATAGGAAAATTTATTTTGCTATAATTATGGCAGTTTAGGCAAATAACTCAGTGTAAAAAAATCTACATATGTATCATTCATAGAATGGGAACAAAATAGTGATCATATAGTTTTATCAACATATAAAAATTTTTGCAAGTTTAGCCATAATTTTGTTTACATACAGGCTTTTATACTTCTTTTGGCTTTTCTTACATACTTACAAAATTAATTTTCATAATATTATACTTGTATTTTCTTTGATAGGTGTCAGATGAGAGCCGGGTGTTCACAATAGACAATGAAGTTGTTTTCTACTTTGCTTTTTCTCTTCTTAAAAGTCAATGAATGTTATGAATTTCCAACTGTGTAATTAGTTTCATTTATTCCTTTAATCTGTAGTAGTAATATTTACTCTTGAAATAAGTATTTGTTATGTTATAAAGAATTGGCCATGCCCTAAAGGAAGCCTAGCTTTTGCCCTCTGATATGTGGAGTTAACCTATGTCATACTTGATACAGTCTGTTTGTTTAGGGAAGGGGCTGATGACACTGGATCATAGGGTAGGGACTGGCCACACCAGAAATACCAACCATGTGATTTAAAGTGATTCACATGGTATAAGTAGACCTAGACGCTGAGCCCACCCATGTGGGCAACCAGTCAATCAATCCTGCCTACATAATGAATACTCAATAAAAACTCTGGACACTGAAACTCAGATGAGCACCCATAGTTGGCAGTAGCCCATGGATGTCATCAAACATTGATACTAGTGTAGTAATACATCCTGAGGACAATGGAAGCTTCTCACACTTAGTCCAATGTGTCTGTCCCTTTTGCTGATATTTTATCTGTACCCTTTCCCTGTAATAAAACATATCGATGAGCATAATAGTTTTCAGTGAGTTCTTTGGGTCATTCCAGGAAATTATCAAGTCTGAATTTCAGGAATCTCTCAAACTTGCAGTTGGTGTCAGAGTGAGGGTGTCCTTGTGTGGACTCTTCCCTCTGACTCTAGTTGGACCCTGACTCCTCGCCGTTGGTGTCAAAAGTCTTGGGCAGGACCTGGCAATCTGGAGTAGTGTGCCCTTAAGCTCACAGTTTGTCTAACTCCAGGTAATTCCATTATCCAAATTCCTCAAATTTCTTCAACTCAGTGACACATTTTTTAGTAAAATTTATTCTTTGAAAAATTAAGTATAACTATTAAGGCCTCCTTCAATCTTTAACAAACTGAATTGTAATTCTTTAACAAACTGAATTATGAACTTTGTCATAATTGATTTTCATTTGCAGGTTGGAAGGCTGGGTTGATGGGGAGGTCCTGCATCCCAAGTCCCATTCTTTTGATGTTTTCATTCTTTTTTTTTTTTTTTTTTTTTTGAGACAGGGTTTTGCTCTGGCTCTCAGGTTGGAGTGCAGTGGTGTGATCATGGCTCACTGCAATCTCCACGTCCCAGGCTCAAGTGACCCTCCCACCTGAGTCTACCAAGTAACCAAGACTACAGGCATATACCCTGACACTCGGCTAATTTTTGTATTTTTTGTAGAGACAGTGTTTTGCCATGTTGTCTAAGCTGCTCCCGAACTCCTGGGCACAAGTCATCTGATCACCTCAGCCTCCCAAAGTTAGTATTTGGGGATTAGAGGCATGAGCCACTGCACCTAGCCTCCATTCTTAATAGAATGTTTAAGCAGCATGAATCTGTACATAGAAAAGATCCTTGGCAAATTATATACTGAGGATCAATATAGTTAATATCCTGGTTCAACCAAAAAAAATAGTTTTTCTTACAGATAACTTAAATTTAAACTGAAATCATAAAACATTTTCCCTAATTGAGTTTATGAAAACTCTTACCAAAGTTATAAGGACTTTCCAATAGAGATCAATAAAAGGGATATTACAGGTGACATCGAATATTTTAAAATCTGCCACGTGAAGGAGCCCATTCTGTGCATGTGCAGAGGTAGAACTAAAACCTACAGTGGAAAAGCAGATTTTGCCCTAGGAATGTCTTTTCTTTCAATGAAATTGTCACTACAGAGCCATATCCTCAAATGTTAGAGATTGAGAGAAATCTGTCTACAGGATATATAATAAATATGATCACTTACAGTGTTTTAAATGCTAGAATGTATAACGTTAGGGTGTTTTCTCGCGTTTCCAATCATGGATGAGTCTGGCTGGAACCTTTAAAAAATTAAAATACACCCTCCTATAGCTATATATTTAGATAATATTTGCCAGAAGAGGGTGTGACTTTCCTATGAGGGTTGCATATTTAACAAATTCCTTCAGTCCCCATATTGCCTGTTGGGAAGACTTCTAATCAATCTTCCTGACAGGGACTGGCTTTAGACATAACACTCAGTCCAACAGTAAATTACATACCTAAGGCCTCAGATGAAAGACTAGGAACCTAAATTTCTTGTTTTCAAAGTAGTTGTATTTCTCTTGTTTATTTTTAAAACACGAAAGACAAAAAAAAATGGCAGTGATCCTTTGAAGAATTTTAGAAGCAGGAAATACAGTCCTCAACTTTGTTCAAAATAATGCCATTGCCATCAGCATTCAAATTTGAAATAGGGACACTGAAGTTATGATTAGCCAATGTATCCAAGTAAGACTTTTTAAGTTTTAAAAAATTAGTTATTAAAATATCATCACAGGTCTGAAGATATATTATCTAAAACTCTGAAGGCCAGCCAGTTTTAAAATATATCTTCCATAATAATCTCATAGGATCTAGGGAAATAACTCATAATCAAACCCATTAATATTCTTTCAATGAAACTTATAAATATTATTAACAACTGGTATAGTCTCTAAAATATTCTCACATCGTTGATATCATATTGTCTGCCAAATAAGTTTGTACCAAAATCAATAAACAACGTTCTTCTTTCAAGCTCTCTGGGTTTTAGAACTGTGGATTAGGGATTGTAGATCTGTACAATGAATATTGCACAACAGTGTAAACAGACAACATTGTCACTACTTTTTTCCTTTACCAATATTTCAGGAATCTTGTGAGGTATAAATAGTAAAATATAGTTTTGAGCTTAAAGTTTGAACAAGTTACAGTTGGCTTTCTTATACACTCTCTTATTCACTACTCCATTTCCAATGCCTAGCATAGCGCCTAGCTTTTGGAGGTGGAAAATAGTTATTTATTAAATGAATTCATTCTACGTAATCAGTGATTTGGGAAGTCTTTTGAATGCTCAGCAAATAACTTGATGAGGTTATTCAGGAAGGTACTGTCAGGGACACTCTTACATTGTCAAAGGCTCATTAGATAATCAGGCATGGATTCAGGTGGAAGAGCTGTACTTGGTTTTGAAGCGTATTATTTATGAGAGCAAAAACTCACTTTACAAAACAATATTCCCTAATGAATCAGGTGGTATTGTTCATCTTTCAAATATCTATAAATAAAATAGGTGCTCCTTGTGAATTTTCTAATAGGTATAAGCAGAGTTGGAAACTTGTCAGTTCCCCCATTTTTACTACAACTTTGTGCCTGAACTGAAAGAGGCATTCAGATATCCTTTCCCCATGGTACGGATGGGGAAGTAAGACATGAGAGTTATGCATCTTACCCTAATGCATAGAAGACCAAAGTCAGAGATCGGAGTCAAAACCAGAATCCAGGACTCTTAGTACTTTCTAACATGCCATTTCTATTTAGGTTGCTGGTGGAAAAAAAAAATTAAAGAACAACAACAAAAACACACACACATTTCAGTCTACCTGTAGTTATAATAAACTTGCAAAAATTTAAGTCAAATTTCAAGGCAACATTGATAGATGGTTTAAAAAAAAAAGTCTTTTAGCAAATTATTGACTTCTTTTCCTCCATATCACTAAGCATTGCCAGTAGTAAAATATTAATGTACTGTAAAATCTGTAGAGCGGTGCCTTGTATTTTTATACCTAATCAACTCTGTCTATAATTTTGTAACCATGTGGCCCACCCTGAATTACAGTTGCAAGCTATATGCATTAATAATATGGAAACTACTGTGAATGAAATAAGCCTTTGAAAGTGGTTAGGAAGGCCAAAGAAAGAAAACTGAAATCCTTTTGACAAGCAGTTTCTGAAGCTCTGACGTCCCTTTAAAGGCCTTTTTCATGTTGGCATATAGACAGGCTTTACATAACACACAGAGTAAAACCTATTAACTGTAGTACAAGGGGCTAACAGTTTTTCATGAGACCTGGAAAGAAAATGGACAAATTTTCCTACTACTGACATTTCAGTTTGAAATTATATTTTTGAATTTTTGGCTGGAGAAAACAGACATAACTTCTTTTGAGATGTATTACTGGTGTGTATCTGCCTCTTGAATTTCCTTGATAGCTACGTATTGCAAATCATAAATATTTTATAAAATATTTTATAAACTATAAATATAAAGAGTTTTTTTAGCCCTAGATCTTTGCAACAAAAACTAAAGACTAGACAGAACATAGCACAAGGGAGAAAGATACTGTTTCTTTTGTGTACTTCATGTTTATAATTATGGTCAGTAAACAGTTTTAAAAATAAAGCAATAGCCCATCTTATTTAGTGTTAAAAAGGTTGTTAATTTGAAAATCAGTGAACAATATCACTAGTTAATCTTTTTATCACTCTTCTAATTACTATCAATAATTTCAAATATTTATAATTTCTTTATAAGTTAGTCTATATATAATTTTGGTAGTTATATTTATCAGTGGAATCTATGGTTATCTAACATTTATCTCTTACTTGTTAAGGATTCTGTTGGGTTATATGGAAGAAACCATCATAGAATATTTCAGGGCTAAAGCATGTTTGGAAAAAAAGAAATGAATATAATTATCCCACATTAAAAATACACTATCGTACTTTCCCAAGAACTCACAATATGTAGTTATGTTATATGTAAAATAAAGAGTTCTTTCTGTTATTTCCAGTAATACACTCTGCCTTGGTCTAAGCCCAAGACAGACCCGCCTTATACTAAATAAATATTATGGCATTTCATATTAATGTGAGAATTCAATGTGGGTGTTGGGCCAATTCTGATATAGCATGTAGAGATTGTTTCCTTGAAATTCTCTAGTTATACTCTTCAAACATGAAACATTTATAGTGTCATTGAAATTGCTAGTATATACATAGAAATAAAGGGAGGAAAATATCATTTAAGATTGTGTTTGATGTTCAACCATAACCCAGACACTCCTGAAACAGGGTATAACATGTCAGCATTTGTAATTCACCTACCTAAGTAAAGCCTAAAATGACCTCCTGTGCTATTAAAAATGCTGCTTGAGGGTTATTTTAAAATATCATCCATCATTTATGTAATTATTATCTTAATTTTAAAATTTTATTTATAAAGAAGTACAAAGAACAGCTAAAATCTGGATACCAAACAACATTAAGGTAGTGTAAATCAGAATTGCTTTCTATTTTAAGATGTTAAACATAGCCAGGAAGGTGGCTGGCCAGTTCATTCAGTACTCAGGGTCACTGTGTATCAAGATCTAGTCTTTAGGTTTATGGACCAGGCTGTCTCAGTGATTCGCGCTTAAAAGGAATCACTGAACAAACAAAAATCACAAAAGACTGGTTATGGTTGATCGATGGGCCAAAGTGGCAACTTATCAATTTATAGTGAGAATTTTAATTCTCACAGAAAATATGAATTAATTATACTCAAGAAGATTCTGCATTATAAGCCACATTATAATCAAAAGTCGGCTTCTGAAGCACTTAGACAATGTTAATTGCATCCCTAGAGCAATCATTTTTTGATAGCCTGATACTCCCAGTGTTTTGCTAGCATGTAGTTGATATTGTACATTGTTACATGTGTTAAGTTTTCAGGACATACAGTCCCCTGGGTAGTATTAAAGTCCCCCTGACCAAAATCTGCTTTTTTATATCCTTTTTTTCTTAAACAATAAACAGTCTGCATTGCCCATTGCAAAACCTCCGTTTATACTGGATTTCCTTAGAATATTTGGAAATATTTAAGAAGAATTAAATACCTTTGTTATTCTTCCACAGATTTGCATGCATCCCAGTTTCACCAAGAGATACTCACTACCAATTGAGTGGGTTACAGATACAGATGGTCAGTCTCATCCATTAAAGGCTAACTTTTTACTTAACTTTCATGATGGTATACTTACACATACAATATGAAACTTTGTAGTTACTATATCTCGATATAAAACTTGGTAAATATTAATGGCAAAGATCAAATTGGGAAAGAAAAGTCAATGTATTTTTTAATTTAAAAATGCCTTTATATTTCAAAAAAGCACATTTCTGCTTTGAATAACTTTAATCTTCATTTCTTATTTAATGCATTTTTTGATTTATTTATGCAATAAATATTTATAAGGTGCCTGCCTTTGCCTGGCAGACTTTTAGTATCAGGGAATACCACAATGAGCACCACAAAATCCCTCTCCTAAGGTGAGCTTTATTTGGGAGAAAGAAAGGACAGTCAAAAATCACATAAATATACATAAGTACTTGAGACATTAACAAATTCAAAGGTGAAAATTAAACAGGGTAATGTGATAGATGCTAAGAGTTGAGATATGTGGAAAGGAAGATACTGTAGTTTCCGAAGGATCTTTTCTGAAGTGGTGACATTTTAGCTGAGGTTTAAACAGATAAAGGAACGAGCAATGCAAAGATAAAAGGAAAGAACATTCCAATTAGACCTGTAGCTAAATAACGTTTTTCATCAGATTCTAAAAAGAAAAAACAAAATTCTGGAAGTTATAGCCATAGAGCCTATACCTGTGATACTGTGATACCACAATTAGCATTTCAGCTGACTACACCAGTAGAGTTGTAGAAACACTGCAAATTTTTTATCAGTAGTTACAGTGTTTCGGCTGAAGACTGACTCTAGAAACACTAATGCCTTAGAATTATGTCACTCAACATTTTCTCATAGTCTTGGATCACTGCTGCATTTTTGAATTTATTTTCTTAGCCATACAGGAGTCTTAAGTATGAGAAAAAAATCATAACATTGATCAAATGCTAAAATGTTATTTTCTAGAGCAAGGCTATTCAATAGAGCTTGCTGCAATGATGAAGGTACTCTGCGTGCTACCCAGTATGATAGCCACAAGTCAAAAGGCTGCTATTAAGCACTTGAAGTGTGGCTAGTGCAACTAAGGAAGTAATTTTTAAATTAGATTTAGTTAACTTAAATTTAAGTAGCTACACATGGCTAGTGGCTATCATATTGACAGCACAAATCTAGAGAATTAATTTTTAGTAATTATCAGTGTTTGGGGACGTATTAATTGATTACTTCTTTTAAAAATTTAAGTTATACCTTTGGACTACTAATAAGAGGTAAACTAGAATCTATCTCTTAATTGGAAATACATTGATTAAGAGAATATCTTAAACCTGTGTGTGTGTGAGTGTGTGTGTTTGTGTGTGTAAATGAATTAGTCACCTTTTCATTTGTTTTTCCTGTGGCATACGCTAAAATACTGTTCCTTCCTCTGTGGCTTAGGAGATAATGGTGCAACACTCTATACCCAGAAGAAATGAACCAGAACAATATACAGAATGCTGTTGAATGGAAGAGCATTAACCTCCATTCCCTTAATGTGTTTGTCCTCACGGTCACAATTTCTACTGTATCTGACTAGTAAGAAATAGTTATAACAGAATCTGACTAAGGAAGAAAAAATCTGCAGGGATCTTTTGGGGGAAAATAGGTATTATTGGTCTTATATGAAAAAAATATTCAACAAGAATGAATGATAGTGTTAAAATATTGCAAAACAGGAGATGATCTGTATTCTTTATTGGTCTTTGGGAGTAGGAGAAAATCTGATTTTTTAATCATATGAGTGACTTCTGTTTAATGATTGATGATTTAATTATGGTGATTGAATCTTAAAAACACTCTTCAGAAAACAGCTATGAAGATAACGTTCACTAAGCCCCCAAATTAAGTTACTGTAGGTCAAAAAAGCATTTTGAAGGATCAATAGGAAAGAGAAAGAAAAGACTTTCCCCCTTCCAGGATTTTCCAGACACAATATTGACTACTTTTATTAGTGTAGCTTGGCAAATTGAACTCAAATATATATGCTTATATTCATGAGGATAATAGTAACAGTGTTATTTTTCTATACATTGGATCACATGAGACATATCCAGACCACAAAAGCTATTTCAGTATTACCTAGGCCCACCTTTACTTGTTTTCGTTGTTCAGCTTCAGCTTTGGAATTAAATGGAACAATGTCTATTTTGTAAAGCTCTTTAAGATATATATTGTGTAGACACATCTTTAGTTGTAATCAGTAATATTAAAGTAATTTTTTTAATTAAAATTTTAAAAATTGTCAAAGAATTGACAATTTTTAGTCATGCATTTGAGCACCAATCAGAGGAAAGATGAACTTGATGGACCAGGTATTACCAACTCACTCATTTTGTGCGTAACTCACTGACTCAGTTTTCCTTTCAGAAAGTAACTGTCTGATTGTAGCTCAACACAAAAATACTTGAGCCATAAATATCTAACATTAAAAATGTTTCAGTACAAAATAGTTTTCTTTAATTTTCCACAGGAAGAATAATTATAAAATTAAAGCAAAATGATTCATTCCTTTAATATCATTCCTTTAAATATTATTCCCTTTCAGTTCAATTGAAATAGTATTTGCTTTACACAATAATCAATAACCAAGTTTTCAGGACTAGATGTGTGGCATAAAGTAAGATTCATCTATATTCATGATGTTTATAAAACTAATTACCATTGTAACTTCTTTCTCAACCCCACAATAAAAATCAAGAAACACTGAAAAATTCTAAAACCTTGCAAAAAATTGGAATATATTTCTCCCTTCATATATAAGCAGAAGACAGGGAGAAAAAATTAATTTGCTCAACTAAATAAGCTTGTTTCCTCTCCTCGCTTCCACATTATTTTGACTACTCATGAAGGAATACAGGGAAAATTACATATTCTCAATTACATTTGAACTTTTCACTGTTATCTCCCAACATAATATACATGTGATTGAGCAAAAAGGAATTTTTCCACATATATAAATGTGTTTCATGATCTAACCTTTTCTTTCTTAATGCTTGGAACCTAATCTGATTTTTTTTTAATTATCTGCAGTATGGTTTTGTTCACTTAGCAATCTCAGTCTGGGAGGTGTGTTTTATTATTTAACATTTACTTCTCTACCTAACTCAAGTGCTTTATTTTCTCTACTTGTTGCAGTAGTGGACTTCCCTCCTGAAATCCCTAGTGCTTTCTTTTCTAACCCCAAGTGAACGTCTTCCCCTTAGACATAGCACAATGCTGCACAGCCTGTCAGACCCTTCTGAATCCCCATGTATTATTACTTCATTTCCTCTTCTTTTTAGTCCCTCATTTCCTGTTTTCTTATATACATTCTACTTCAATGATCATGTCATTGGATGCCCCATCAAGCTGTTGCCTTTCCATTTCATATCACATTGTGTAGTTGCTTTTAGAATTGCCATTCCTTCCCTTCAGTTACCACTCTATCCTCTTGGAGCATGCATCCCCACAACATCCTACCTGAATGCCTCCTGGTCATCAAATCTTATTTCCCCTTTTACCAAGAAGATATGTCCTCCTGTTCACCATAATCTTCAGCCTTATGAAGCATAGATTATTTTGTGCTTTCCTTTTGTGTGATACGTATTAACTTCCTTTAAGGGTTTTAAGAAAAACCCGTAAAGTTTTTCTATGAAAGCCCAGTCAACTTCATCCTTCCTTGCCTTAAAAGGCTTCTCAAGTTATTCTTAATGTATGGATCTTCCAGCCTAGTGAAAGAGACATATCATCTCTTTTATGCCAAAATGACACCTGGTACTATGTTCAGCTTGTATACATTCACAAAGTTTCAAATTTTATACACCAATTTTGTTTTATTTATCTTTTGTCTTTAGATTCCCAGTTGCTCAGAATGATTTTCAAAAATTATTTGATCACATCGACATAATTGTTCAAGGCTTCATTATTTTGCTGAATGATTAGGAAACTTACTGACTTATTTTTATTTTTTAGAACTTTCTCCAATTGCTTTTGTATTCAACAGTAATTCATGGGTAAAACCCATAAAAATGACCCAGTAGCACAGTGTTTTCCATTCGTTAATGATTGTGATCATCTGACTTCCCTCAAGACTGCCTTAGAACTTGATCACTATTTTACTCCACAGCAAGTTGTGTGTTGAGGACTTACCTTGAGTGTAAAGAAGGGCAGTTACCTTTTGAACTCTTTATTTAAGTAAATAAACCACAGCCACACAGGGACAGCGAAAGGAATGCTTTCAAGAGCATATTAGCATAAAGCAATTAGGTAATGGTAATGAGGATTAGTCTCCCCTGTTATGGCAACAGCTGTTCCTGAACTCCA
This sequence comes from Homo sapiens, assembly GCF_000001405.40. NCBI lineage: Eukaryota > Metazoa > Chordata > Mammalia > Primates > Hominidae > Homo > Homo sapiens. The sequence goes on along the minus strand of NC_000008.11, from coordinate 88,088,571 downwards.
AAACAAAGTCACTTAGGAATCTTTCAGGGGTGTTTTGCTTTGTAATTTCTTGGGAATTCTCTGCCCTGTCTACCCTTATCTCTTAGGAGCAAATCTCTCATTCAGCCTGGTCTCATTCAGATTAAGTCAAACACTTAATTTGTTGACAAGTAACTTTGTGTTCCTTTGAAAGAAAAAAAGTCTTTCCCTATGGCACATTCCCTCCTGGGCAAACCCCCCTGCCTGCTTCCCTCCCACTTAGGCCTCTACACTTGCTCAGGGCTTTTAAGTAGAGTCTATTGACTATTTCTTTTCTCTCTCTCTGTCTCTCTATATATAGATATCTATAGATATCTATATATATCTATAGGGGCTTAACACAACCATTTGCTCACCATTTTGTGGGTCAGGAATACAGGGAAGGCTCAGCTGAACACTCACTGGGGTCTAGTACATGATCGCAGTCAGACGTCTTCTGTACTTACAGTCAGCAGATATCTATTATATATAGATATATAGATATCTATTATATATAGATATAATAGATATCTATATATCTATATATATAATATAGATACACATTCTTTTATATAGAGATAGATATAGATATATATGTATGTACATTTTTTTGTTTGTTTGGTTTTTTTGGAGACAGGACCTCACTCTGTTACCCTAGGCTGTAGCGCAGTACCACAATCACGGCTCACTGCAGCCTCAACCTGCCAGGTTTAAGCAATTCTCCCATCACAGCCTTCCAAGTAGCTGGGACCTCAGGCATGCAACCACCATGCCCAGCTATTTTTTTGTTTTTTGTAGAGACAGGATCTCACTATGTTGTCCCAGCTGGTCTTGAACTCCTGGGCTCAAGTGATTCTCCTGCCTTGGCCTCCCAAAGTGCTGGAATTACAGGAGTGAGCCACTGCACTGGGCCTCAATATCATATTCCTAATGCTGACGGCCTGCTCCACTTTCTGTGTTCTTTCAGGCTAGTGAAATTCCTCTCGTGTGGTATGGTGAATTCTGGTGAGAAAGAACATGTCTGATTGAAGACCAAGCTGAAAATATACTCCCTAGCTCTAGCTCAACCCTTTCCCTCTTCCTATGTCATATCATGAAACATCTCCTTTTCCCACCCTACTCAGCATGCCTATGCCATGGCACACTGGCCACTATTACGAGAACTAAGGTATGCTGTGAGAATAAGCAGGACAGTCGGCTAAAAAGCAAGAAGTCTTTGGGGGAATAGGAGGCATAGTTTAAAGTAAGTATCCCCAGAGGAGGTGAAGCCTAGATTGTACCTTAAAGAAAGAGAGAGAAAGCAAAGTATGATGATGATGCTTATGGGAAAGAGTATACATATGACTGGCACATTGGCCAGCCTACTTAGACCATTGGATGTAAATTATAATTTAAGTGATTTATAATCTAAGTAGGCTTGCTAATTTAGGACTATAGGCCAGTTTAGGACTATAGGAGCAGGAAAGAGAGCCTAAGAAAGAGTTTCTGGGAGTTCTGGGAGGACACCTAAGAATTTCTGTGAAGACACCTAAACAGAATATTGACCAAGTTTTCCTAAATTCCTGGCCAAGCAAAAGATTTGCTGATCTCTCTCTGTCTCTGTTTTTCTCTCCCTATCTTTGAACATTCATTCAACAAATTGTGCTGGGAACTGTTCCAGGGTTAAGGGGTACAGTCTTTTAATAAGACAGATGAGGCACATACTCTGATGGAAAGCAAGTGAACAAATAAACAAGGTAATTTCAGAGAACAATGGATATTGTGAAGAAAATATAACATGATGCTTTGATAGAAAGAGATTGAAGAGACAACTTTAGCTTGGGTGGTGAAAAAACTAAATTGAATACATTGTCTATGTACCTTGGGTAGAAATGGCCCTATACTCAACAAGAACCTGGATTTTATTGTATGTAAGACATCTTTCTTTAGTTTGAAAATAAAAGGATGGTAATTCTTGATAGGTGTGCTAATAATACACTGTTTTCCCAGCTCATAATATTCACTAAAGGGTAGTTCCCATTTTATAGAGACAGCAAGAATAGCATTTTACACAGCATTTTGAAATTAGCTGTCTGCCTCTCCTCCTCCGTAGATTGAATATACATTCTCAAAGAGTTCATATTTTTGAATCCAGAACTGTTAGTACAATGGAAGGAAGAAAACCTTTTACATGTTTCAACACTTAATAGAGCACCTTGCTAATACGATCTTCAGATCTCAAAGGAGGAGAACAAAAATCAGAATATCATACAGCAGTAATGTGTGGTGCATTCTTATCTGGAATTTGTGACTACTTTCCCTAACTGCAGTACATCGATGGTAAACTTTTTAGTGATTGTTCTTTTCTTCATCATACCCATCCCCCAGTGATTTCTGAACAAGAGTAGATTAAAGAAGAAACAGGAAAAAGATATAAATACCTAAAAAGAAAAGAGTGTCAGCACACACCCATCTTTCACTTACTCCCCAGCTCGCTCTTTCTATGCTAGAGCTGAACTACATTTTTGGTGTAGCAACACTTTTTTATGATTTATTGTTTATGTATAGAAATTGGATAAAAATTAATATATTATTGTCTTCATGAATGAGTATGCATTTTTAAGTTTTAAAGTTAGTATTCTCTAAGTTAGAATTTAAAATGAATACTAATTAATAAAAAGGGGGTCCATATCTGCTACATCACTAAACTCTTCAGTGTTGAGATTTTTCCCTATAAATTAATATAAAAGTGAATATTTAACATTTTTAGACTATAAATGTTAACACATAAACTTAGCACAAGTAGTAAACAAAGTAATCTGAATATATCAACTCCCTTTTCTTTTGAAACACAAATAAACATTTTATTAAAATAGTTTACATTTTTTAATCCAAATGGTAACTATGACATTCTTCCTTGAAAATAAAGACATTAAGGGAAATTTCAGAATTGTGAATTTAGAAATTATTTAGAAGAATCACTTGTTAATATTTCACTTCCTTCCTCTACTATAATAAAGTCTACATTTTGAGCATTTTTCAAAAATACTGGCAGTACCCAAAGTGATTTGACCTATTGAGATGTACTGCTGCATCATTTCTCACAGAATTACATCTGGTCAATCTTAAGTGATGAGCCCTGAAAACCGTGCCTGCAAAATCATTGCAGACATTCACGACTGTCTTAGTGAAAAAGTGTATTCTAATGGTTGCTTTGAACAGGTTTTCCCCTAACATTTATATACCAAAAACCAGCTTGTGTCAGCTCTTGTTATAAAATATTGAAAACTTCCCAGAATGGCATTATCTTTGCCAGACACATCTATTAAGCCTCCCTTAATAGTTTTTCTTCTTCAAGTTATGACTTTACTTTTTCTTTTCCAATGTTGAAAAAGTAATACAGTTAATTAAGTGTAAATGTCCTTGCTCTCTTTTTAAACACTACAGTACCTTTTACAATTATCTGTAAACAGTAAACCTGAGAACAAAATTTAGTGTGAAATTAAATTAATGAATTTATAATGTTTGCATGGTATCACAATATGTGATCTTACATTTCCAGTCCACATATGTTACAGTCAAATGAAGCATATATTACCCTTAGTTACATGCCACAAAACATATTTTTGTTTCTTTTTTAATGAACAAAGATGTTGGTTGCAGCCTTTTTTATAGTAGCAAATCTAAATGGCTAGTCAATGGAGGTTTAATAAACTTACATTCACTAGTTAGAATAGTATTTACCCATCACAAATATTTACAAAGATTCCATAATAATATTTTTTCATAATGTAGTTACCTATGTATTTTCCAGATTTTTAATGAGTATTTTTTTAACTTTTTACTAAGAAATTTTTCACAAATACAGAAAAGTTGCAAGAATAAACATGGTCACACCTAATATTTAGATTTCACAACTATTAGTGTTTTGCTTATATTTTCTTCATGTGTATGTATGTATGCAAATGCAGTACACATGTGCAAGTGTTTGGCGAAACAAAGTTGTAGGTATCATGAAATTTCATCTTTAAATACGGGATCCAATGACTATCTATGTGTTGCTTTTGACTATGTCTTTTTAGATCTTTTATTGGGCTCTTTTTTTTCCAGCCTCTTTTCTTTTTTTTTCCTCCTTTTTCTTCTTGCTGAGACCAAGCCAAGTTTATAGTCTTATAAACTATCTCACATTTTAGGATGTGTTTGATTGCTTGTCTTAAGTTATTCCTCTCTTAAATGTGAAGAAGTTAAGTCTGAAGGCCCAATTAGATTTGGCCTAACAAAAACTTGGCCTAACAAGTTTTGCTTCTACGTGATTGTACATCATAGACTTTGTGATTTTCAAATGCCTAGCTATTTGTGTTGCATCACATTATGAGCATATATCAAGATGTCCACTATCACTGATGCAATCCTTGATGCTTAGGGTGGCAACTGACATAACTTTGCCTTGGAAAGGTATACTTTTGCTATTAAAATTAGCATATATACACACAAGTGCATGAAAAATTGGTGAGATTTTAATAACATTGGTAAATGGGATCATTCTCACTTTTCTGGTTTTGAAATTGTACTGTAGTTAGGCAAGCGTTACCATTGGGGGAAAAGTAGGGAAGGGAAAATGAATCTGTTTGTGTTATTTCTTATAATTGCATGTGAATCTGCAGTTACCACAACATGAAAATTTTTGTTTTGTTCTTTGCTTACTTTGCAGGCTGTTTTTTAGTAATAGGTAAATATCTTCTTTCTCAATAATAGATGGAATGTAGTCAAATTCAGTGATGGTTCTTGCTTGAACCAGTTATTTAATTGGGAGTTGCAAAATGATTTTTCTCTTTCTGTTTTCCCTTCTGCATTAGGCATTCTTCTCTAAAAAGCTAACTCTCATGAACTAGAGATGAACTACATTTTTTCTTCTAAAAAGGCAGCACAGATGTTTAACTCTTTCTTATAGTTAATTCTTTCCCTTTGATTACCAATTTTCAGTGAAAAGAGTTTTTACACTAGCCAGTTGCAATAGTAATGATTACTACTCTCGAACTCTTAAATTTATTCATTCTGTATATTATACCCAATTGCAGCCATTTTTCCTTTTGATTCCCACTTTAATCCCAAATTTACCCTTTGCTTAAGCTGCTCCCATGCTTTGGCTTGCTTCCATTAGTCTTGAGTAATTTCTTGCTTTGTCGCAATTGTTCCAGGCTTACCTTGTAATTAGCCTATCTTGAGCCCAGACTCAACTATTCTCCAAGAAGCCCTGATTCCTTCTAATAGGTGCTCTATGTAATACCCATCACTGGAATATTATGGCTTTTATGTCTTTTGAGCCAACAAAATTAAGAAATTGTGAAAATTTCCTAAAAATTTAGAAAAAATTAGAAAATTCTGTTTGTGTATGTGTTTAAATCATGAATTATTTTCATTCTAATTTCTAATCCAAATGTAACATTAATTAACATACTTATATCTCTTTTTTTACTCTGAAACTCTTTGTTCTAATAACATTAACATATTAACTTTTGTCTTATAATAGTTTTAAATTTATAATACCAGAAATCCTTTTAACCATAAAATTATTGAATGAAGATTAATATTTATTTGAAGTTTCTTTTGTGGTCTATTTCCCACTAATGTACAATCAGAGTACTGGGTTCCAAAGTCATATGATATATTTATTTTCTCCATGTGGGTATGTTTCCAATTTCTTATACAGATGAATTTAGGGATTTATTTTTAGCACATGCTTTTTTTGCCTTTGATTTTAATTTTTTTTATTTTTAACAATTCAACCTGACACAAAATTTAATAAAAATAAAAAAAAATAAAACATGCACATAGTCTGAGAAATCTGTCCTGCATTTCCACACTTTTAGTATGCTTCACCCATTTTTATTACTCAGTAACTACTTTTATATTAGTTTCTGTGCTATCTGTTTAGTAAGGACAACATAAGCAATATCTATATTTTATCTATATTTATAGCTATGCCTATAAAACAATGTTAATATAGATAAATTTTCCCATCCTCTTTTACACAGAAGATAGAATACATTTGCTATCAAAAATGACATCACAATGAGAAACCTTGCAAAAATTTACTTCTATTATAGTATATCATATGATTTTGTAATGTATTGCATCTTTTTATTTGGGAGGTTGTATCTTAATTTGAAGTGGATTGACAGAGAAGAGATTACTGGGTCAAAAGACAAATATGTATGTCATGCTATTAGATGTTGCCATATTGATTTCCACAGGCATCATGCCATTTTGCACTCCTACCAGAAATAAATACGGATGCCCATTCCTACAAGCCGTGAGATCAAAGCAATCTGATAATGTATGGTATATCAAAATAGTTTCAGTTTGCATTTTACTTATGAGTGAAGTTGAGTATCTTTCCCTACATTTATAAACTGTGTGTGTGTGTGTCTGTGTGTGCGTGTGCGTTTGTATAAACTGTTCACGTCTTTTACTGGTTTTTCTATAAGGTTTGGGGGTTTGTTTCCTTGATTTTTAAGAGTTCTTTATACATTAGATTAATTGACCATTTGTGAGCTGGGATACACATATTTTCTCCATGTTTTCATAGCTTTTTACTTTGTTAGCAGCCTTGTTGGTTCTCGAAAACATTTATTTTTCAAATTTATTGGTCACAACCAATGTTTTTATATAATATGGTTGTTTTTTAAGAAAAACAGCTACTGTATACATGCTTATAAATCCAACAGCTTAAACTTCCTGAGTTCCTTTCACTTCATCATTCTGAGCAACAAATGCTTTTGTCACCTTTTCAACAGAATCTAGTAATACATTTTAAAATTTGAGCTGTTTATAAAAAAAACTGTTTTTACTACAATATATGTAAGTATTATCTTTCTATTAAATATATTTTATTGTTGGAAATATTAGGTGACATTCAAATATTTACATAAAATACCCTAAAAATGCATAAATTTAACCTAATCATTGGTATTAGCCATCATCATCAATCTTTTCTTTTAATTCTTTTTAGAGATGGGGGTCTCACTGTATTGCCCAGGCTGGTATGGAACTTCTAGGCTCAGGTGATCCTCCTCCATCAGCCTCCCAAGTAGCTGGGATTACAGGCACAAGCCAGACCATCATCAATTTTTATTTCAATAAGTGCAGTAATTATGGCTGTGATTGGGAGATATAGAGTCTAACATAGGGTGTTATTAAAAAACTTTAAGTAAGAAATTTTCTGAGAAATTCTGATAGTTTGCTTTTTCTCCATGCTTTTGAAGTATGACTAAAAGAATGAGTCAGTTCAGTGGTGAAAGTAACAGCTATTTAATAGCAGTTTTCTCCAAAGTACACTTTTCCTCCCCTGAACTCCAACTGAAGCTCCCCATTTATTCTTCTTGTCCCTTCAGAAGGGCAGTGTTCTGAAATTGGTAAACCTTTTGACGTCTGTCTTAGGCTTAGTGTTCGTTGCTGGCTCTTCCATTCTGCCCAGATGTACATAGCTACCTGTTCACTGCTGCCTTCCAAACTCCACTCACCTATGAGACTGCCTGATGAGCCTCGCTACCAAGGTTTACCCCACAGTGGAGAGCATCCAGCAGAGTGCCTCTGAAATCTCATACTGCTTGCAAAGAGGTAGAACCAAAGCAGGCCTACCACGGAATGGAAAACCAAGACCACCATTTCTTTCTCTGCCTTTTAAGCATTCATATAAATCACGTTCCTCCTTATTATGTATATAGCTGCCACATTTTTGTCTTTCTTTCGGTATTGTTGCATACCCAATTTTTTTCTTAGGAAACAGCTTAATTTTCAACACCAGTTTCCCCAGACACTCTCCACGCCCACATCAGAAGCCTTCAAAACACAACACATGGCCAGGCGCGGTGGCTCACGCCTATAATCCCAGCACTTTGGGAGGCCAAGGTGGGTGGATCACTTGAGGTCAGGAGTTCAAGACCAGCCTGGCCAACGTGGTGAAACCTCATCTCTACTAAAAATACAAAAATTAGCTGGGCGTGGTGGCAGATGCCTGTAGTTCCAGCTACTCAGGAGGCTGACTCAGGAAAATTGCTTGAACCCGGGAGGTGGAGGTTGCAGTGAGCCGAGATCATGCCACTGCACTCCACCCTGGGCAACAGAGCAAGACTCTGTCTCAAAATAAATAAATAAATATATACATAAATAAATAAAACAACACATGATTGCTTGTGAGCAAACGTGTATTTATACACATAAATGTTTTTCTAATTTTTTCCACAGCTAATGATTTCCCTTGGTTAGAATGTCATCTTAATAAATAGGGTTAATACTCAAACTAAACAGCTACCTTGTTTTGAACAATCTCAGATATATATACTCATCCTATGACAGTTTGGTGAAAAAAATTGGGAGATCTGTCTAGTAAATGTGTTGTACTCCTGCAGTACACCAGACACAGTTCACCATGCTGGTAATCCAGCGATAAGGAAAATACGCACTGCCCCATTCTTGTGGAGCATATCATACAGTGGAGTAGGTGGAAGAAATGACGTCACAAATACCATGATGCAGTAACATATGTGTAAGTGCTGTGAAGTCAAAGTGCAGAGTACCATGAGATAGTACAAGAATGTCTTAGTTCATCAGGATGTGCTATACCAGAACACCGTAAACTAGGCACTTTGCAAATGGCAGAAAATTACTCTTCACATTTCTGGAGACTGGGAAGTCTAAGGTCAAGGCACCAGCTGATTCTATGTAAGGTGAGGACCCACTTTTCATAAATGGCACCTGTTAGCTGTGTTCTCACACAGTGGAGGGGGCAGTGCAGCTCTCTAGGGCCTCTTTTATAAGGGCAATAATCTCATTTATTTGGGTTCTGCCTTCCAGACATAATCATTCCCAAAGGCTCCACCTCCTAATACTTTGGGGCTTAGGATTTCAACATAAGAATTTGAAGGGACACAAACATTCAGATCATAGCATAGTGTTATGTAATTTCAGTCAGAGGGCAGCCAAGCCCTCTTTACGGAATAACATTTCAGCTGAGAATTAATGGATGATTTGTGATTCAAATTGATGGAAAAGGAAGAACATTTAAAGTACAGTTGTCCCCTCTTACCCATGGAGGATATGTTCCAGGACCCCCAGTGGATGCCTCAAACTGCAGATAGTACCAGACCATACACTATGTTCTTACCTATACATACACAAACCTATGATAAAGTTTAACTTATAAAGTAGGCACAGTACGAGATTAACAATAATGAAATAGAACAATTACAACAATATACTGTGATAAAAGTTTTGCGTATATGGTCTCTCTCTCAAAATACCTTATTATGCTGGACTTATCTATTTTTGGACTAGGGTTGACCACAGGTAACTGAAACTGTGGAAAGCGAAACCACAGAAACAGAGGGCCTACTGTAGGGCAAACTGCCTGCAAGGTGTCTTAAGGAAGAAAAGAGCTTTCCTCTGTCAAGCAGCTGAAAGGAAGCTGATATAACTGGAGCAATATGAACACAAGAGAGACTGCTGGGAGCTGCGTAGGAGCTGGAGGCAGGAGTCCAGGTTTGAGTTTCATTCTAGATGCAGTAGGAGGCAAAGCAGAGGCTTTGCATTGGCATTGCAGTCATCTCAGTGAAATACAGTGGCAGCTTGGACTCGGATGGTGACAGTGGTGATGGTGAGAAATAAAGAGATTTGAGATGCTGTTTCAGAAAGGAGGAAGACTAGATAGAGCAGGACCAAGGTGGCTTGGCAGAGGAGGGCCCAAAGAACAACTGGTGACTGCTAGAAATGTTCAGTGTGAACATGTGACACATTTGTAGATTTATGGAAAGTTGTTGGTATGAATAAATGAATCTGTGTATCAGAAGAGAAGTAAAAGTAGATCAGTTCTACTGATTAGGTTTTTTTGTTTTTTGTTTTGTTTTGTTTTTTTCTGAGACGGAGTCTCTCTCTATCACCCAGGCTGGCGGAGTGCAGTGGCACAATCTCGGCCCACTGCAGCCTCCGCCTCCTGGGTTCAAGCAATTCTCCTGACTCAGCTGATTCATTTTTTAAAAGGATCCTGAAAACAGCAATTTCTACTGATAGTAGATCATTAACATCATAATTTCATATTCAGACAGTAGGCCTTTTCCATATAGTTCTCAGCAAACAAATATGCCTATCACGAGCCAGAATTTTAAAGGATATAAAAGAATAATAAACAGAATTTCCCCGTATGTTACTGCTCCATGGTGTACACTATGTGAATTTATCTCTGTGAACTAAATGATCTGTCTGGGTTCTATGCTACATGGAAAATAAATCTACATGTAAGACCATAAGTGCTTGTATCTTAAGTGAAATATTGGTGTTTAAGTAGGAATTCCAGTTTGGTAATGTATAAGTACTGTTTTTTTCACAACTTGACTTTGCAGATAGGCTAGTTATGGTTATTATTTCCCCTTCCACCTCCTTCTATAAGGGCCAAACCAAAGAAAGAGAGGGAGAAGGAGAGGGAGAGGAGAAAGAGACAGGAAGAGGGAGAGAGAAGAAAACAAAGAGGGAGGGAGAGAGGGAAGGAGGAAGGAAGGAAGGAGGTAAGAAGCTTGAGGCAACATACAAATAGCAGATTTAGAGATCCATAAGGGTTATTCATCTTTCTTTCCCTCCCCATCTAAAACAAAAACCAAACTTATGTTGTTTAGAAGGGTGAAACCAAATGTATTTTTTTCTTTATGGTTCAAAGACCTTTAAGTATCATACTTTTCTAGAAAGCAGAATATGTGCTAAACATATACCTTTTCAAATAGAATTTTTATGTTTGTGTGACCCCTTCATAACTTTTATAATTTTTCAGTAAGAAAACATCTTAACTACAACAGGGAAAAAAACTGAGATGTAATTTTAAAACAGTGTCTTCTAAAGGATCATTACTTTTACTTTGCTCTTTTCTCTTCACATTTTGTTTTCTTTAAAGAAATTTATTGTGCACCTATTATGTGTAAGGTCCTTTTCTGGAAATAGGGGACTGTATCTAAACAAAAGACCGACATTCTTGCCATCAGAGAGCTTATATATTTAGTGGAGAGAGAATGAACAATAAATTAGTAAAACAAGTATTGTATAAAATGACTATAAATGCAGTGAAGGAAAATACAACAGGAAAGGGAGGTGAGGAGATCCAGCAGACCTGTGTGAGTGCAGTGAGGAACTTCAGTTCTAGATAGCATGGTCAGGGAATGTCTCACTTATAAGGAAAATTTGCACAGAGACCTAGATAGCATTTTAAGTATCTTTTCTCTATGAATTGTTCACAAACCCTATTTCTGAAATGGCAGTCTATAGTAACCATGACATGAGTTTACATCCACTGTGACAGATGCTTTCTAAATTATTTGTACCACTGCTGTCTGCTAAACTGAGGATAAGTTGAATAGAGGCACAACCTGAATATCTGTAATTTATATGACTCTCTGCCAAGGCTGCTGTCAACAAAAACCAGTGGAATTCATCTGCAGTTTCACATGACCTTCTGAATTTTTGCAAATTGACTATGCTTATCTCGAGACAGAACTTTTACTTCTCCCCTTATTAGTGGCAAGTTGGGGTTGTATTCCTATCTGCAGACTGCAACATGTGTCTGTCCAGTAAAGCCACTGGCCCGGCTCCATATGTGGTGAGATTATAGCAATGGGAAGGGCTTTTGTGGGAAAAACTGGAATGTAGTCCAGGTTTTTTCACCAGATTTCCTCCCATTCTTCAGCTTGGAGAGCTTTCTGTTTCATATATAGTCATGGTCAGTTATTTCTTTATCAGAATCCATTTGTTTATTCATTTCTACTAATTATTTTGGCATATACATTACAATAACTTAAGAATACTTTATTTGGAGATTGGCAAGGTTTTAACACCCAGTTAGAAGCCCTTGTTATATCTAGACAAAAATTCTGTTTTTTCTTTTAAGTGATTAGAATATCACCGACATATTTTATTTGCAGTGAACTCTTGATTTTCATGCCCCTGTATATTTATCTGAATCAATCTTTATATGAAATTGTATTTGAAAATCTACTGCATATGGATCAAAACATTATTAATCCAGGCCACCTAGCACCATGAAAATTATCAAGAAAAGGAGAAAAACATTTTTTACAAATTGGTTGGAATGAGATACGTGGCTGGGACTGTAGTATAGCTGACATCCAAAGAGGAAACAATGAACAAGAGACAAAACTGTAAACAGGAATATGAAGAGGGAAAGTAGATAACTCGTTTCAATATAATTTTAACAATAATAACAACCAAAAATGTTGGTACTAGTCTGTGCCAGGTTCTCAGAAAGTTCTTTGTATCTTATACAGTAATCATGCTATAAATTAGGTATTCGTTTGTACTAACTCAGTGACTAGTATATTGACCAAGGTGACACAGTTGTTAGGCGACAGAACAAGAATTGCATATGAGCTTAGAGTCGTTAATTAAGCTATTTCCTCCTTTTAAAAAAAATAACAGAAGTTGGTAGAGAAGACAGTGCATGATAACTACAACAAAGTTCAACTATTAAAGGCTCTTAAGACAGTTCATATTCGGACTCATTTGGGTGAAAGAAAGTTCATTGTTATCATATTAACTGAAGTCCAAGAATCCTCAGTAGATTTTGTGTGTGTGTGTGTGTGTGTGTGTGTGTGTGTGTGTATGAATATATGAGTAATTGATAAATCCTAGAAAGTTTGGTCAGGCTAACATATTGTTGGCCAAAAGCATGAGAAGGTCCTAAAATAAATCACTTATATAATATGTAAGTTGTGTGAAAAGAGCAAGAAAGAAAGCAGAGAATTAAAATGGAAGTATTTTTGTGATATATACTTGTCTAAATAGTGGATATACTTAACTTCCAAGTGAAATATTGCTTATACATACAGAAATTTAAAATAAAGTGAAATTTTAATTGTATTAAAATCAATTTTTAAAATACACCTAGTTTTTAAATGTTAAAACACTGAGTAGCCTTTCATTTATTTCAAATTTTCAATGGAAAACTACTTAGTGTCATCAGATGTATCCTTTTTTGGGTTTGAAGGGTTTGTTTTTGTTTTTGGGTTTTTTTGCCCTTAGTAAGTATTATGGTGAAACATATTGTGTGTAGGCCAATTATTAATTAAACAACTTTATAGAAACCTGCTATGGGTCAAGCCATGTGTTCTTCACTAGAGGTAAGAATGAATAGACACTTTTCATATAAAATGACTTGTGCTATGATTGGATGAAGTACATGGTATTACTAGAGCAGATAGGAAAGGCAATTAATCCAGACTAGAATCCTCTGCGATGATTTATTTTTTTCAAAATAATTTTGCCTATTTTTCTTGCATAAAGTTATCAGCCAAAAATACATTTAATGATGAAAGAGGGCTCTACTTTATAACTATATGAGACAATAGGCATAACAGGGGCGTACAGACAGGTGTGGACTCTCTATTTCATCCTCAACATGGTAGGTGTGGAGATTTTGCATATATTTAAAAACGTTAGGAAGCATGCATGGCCCTAACGCTGCTCTCACATTCAAGAAGCTGACATATCCACAAATCTGGCAGGGACTTCTCTGTGCTACCTCCATCTAGAAAGCCCTAGAGAAAATGTAAAATGACAAGATTCAGTATGTTGACATTATGTTTTAAATCACACTGTATGGCTTAGACATTAAGGAGTTTACTACAAAAATTTTTGTGATCATTGCGGTCAAGTTGTTTAGCTCTTTCTCTGACTGATTTAATGTAAGACAATAAATAAGGAAACCAGCTTGATTTCAAAAGCGTCCAGCCATTGCGCCGTGAAATGCCAGGGAGGCCTACGTGTTTGTTGAGAGATGCCTTTGCTTGGTTTGCAGGACCAGTGGTTTTGGCGAGTGAGAAACAACAGGGTGATGGATGGATACCCAATGCAAATTACTTACTTCTGGCGGGGCTTGCCTCCTAGTATCGATGCAGTTTATGAAAATAGCGACGGGAATTTTGTGTTCTTTAAAGGTAAGGATGTTTTCCATATCTGGCTATGTTGTATTTTAATCATTTTGTATAGGACCCTGTGGTGCACACAAAAGTGATGAAATGAGATTACATAGCCTATGGATTTAATGAAATAAACTATGTTAACTAGAAATATAAATGAAGATAATTTTCATTTTTTATTTTATTTGTTCTCATACGGTATTCTCATGTCAGATTTAAGAGATATTCTTTCTCTTAGAACTTTTAGATTTGACTTAAAAGTACTAAAAAAAAGATTAATAGATATATAGCCATTTCTGCACTGACTAAAGGTTTGTTTGTTTGTTTGGAGTATTTGGAGTTGCTTGCTGGTTTTAGGTAATAAAATCTATTACACTCCTATTTTCATACATAATCTCTGAAATTTTACTTGATGTAATCAGTTTATGTAAATAGATTCTAGTAAACTAAGAACTGAAGTCAAGGAATTCTTAGAATTATCCAATTATCAGTATCATGAAATGTATTGTCTGTTATTTATCTGAGTGCCAAATTTTAATCTCACAAGTACTACCAACTGCCTGGCAAGCAAAAGTGAAATTACCTGATGAAGTGAACTTAGGCAACTGCCTATTATTTTATTCTCAAAACTAGTTAATATTCAAAACCACAAATCTTATATCTGTGAAAGAAAACACAGGGACAAGAGGCAGATTGAGTTGGAGGACTGAGGGAATTGTGAAGAGAATGTATTTGAGCTGAAGCTGAGGAGAACTAGAGTGTAAAACTTTATGGTTGAACATATTACCCAAGAGCCTAAAGGCCTGAAAATAAGCTTATACAGGAATAGAGATTGAAGAAAGGAAAAGGGGGATCTTAATCCCTCAAAAAGCAATTATTCCCAGAATCAAACTAAAATAATGCTATGGTGCTTACAATAGCAATTGGTGAGGGTAATGAAAACATGGAATTTGGGAAACACTTGTAATATTTAAAGTGAGGCTCAAACTACCTATATCAAATGAAAGTATATACCTGGGCTTTATCTTTACAGATTGTTCCTCAAGAAAAGAGACAGTTTAGTCCATTAGCTGTAAGAACATGATAATTTTATGGCCATGTTGCCAACCTTGAACACTTACTAGCTGTATCAGCTGAACAAGCTACTCAATTCTCTTTCCCTCAGTTTCCTAATCTGAAAAATGGAGTTTGTATTATTCCCCATCTCAAAATGATTTTAAGGACTAAATTAATTACTACATGTAAAGTGCCTGGCATGTATAAGCCCTCAATAAATGCCAGCTATTCCTGCTGCTGCTAGTAAGATTGCTATTAATTTTCTTGCCCTCCTGCTGTCTATAATAAGCATATAAAAAAGTGGCGGTGCACCGCACCACAGTGGACAAAGCAAGGATACCACCTAAAGGCTGTGAATTTTAGTGACATGATATTGGAGGGAAATTCCCCTCTCCTACACCCTTCCTGCGTCCCATGAGTAGTAGCAACAAAAAGAAGGGCAGGTTAAGTTCCGACTAGCCTTCCACTTGGGGACCGTCCCAGGAGGCCCTGTCTCCTCACAGGACCAGTAGTGCTCTCTGACAAAACTGCCTGAGGCGAAACTGCCACAGTCATAAATTCGTGTTCTGACAGCTCTTTATGGCCTCGGGGCCTTCTCACTTTTATTCGCTTTGCCGCTCCTCACTCTCTTGTGGCATGGCTAGCTCCTTTTCATCTTTCAACAGCCAGCATAAAAGGCATGTCCTCCAGTGGCCTCCCTGCCCACCCTATGTAAGTAGTACCTTCTAACTTGCACAAAGCATTTGTAAAAGAATTGAAATTACCCACAGCATTCAAATAGAAATTTCATGAGAGATGGAACTTGTTTATATTTTCCTGCGTATCATTTTATTTTCAGTTCCTAAAAGTGTTGGGTGCATAGTAGGTGCTCAATAAACATTTCAATTAAAGCAACATCACTGAATCCTGATTTGACTCAGTATGGTGTTTCTTATGGTGTGGTGCTTACAACAGCAATAATTTCGTTTTTGTCCCAGACTTCTCTAACCACCAGAATGTTGTGCTTGTCAGTGGTCTCTTCTGGTACATTGTCAACCTCAGGAAATGCCTACTCTAATAAATTTTGTCACTTTGAGGACCCTGCTGTGGCAACTCTTTCCTCCAGTTTACTCTTACCCTCAAATAAACCCTCTCAAAGCCCAGCTATGACCTGTAGCTCTCCCGCTCAATAAAGCATTGATTATGGAGAAAGAGTCAGAAGTTCTGGGTGTTCCCAGTGAGATCACACTCTTCCCTAGACTCTACCTCATGACTGGCAGGAGAGGAGTGAGAGTCCTAGCACCCTGGGCTTCTGAAGTGAAATGACCCCCTCCACCACCCTCACCACAACAATCACAATCAAAATATTTCTCCTTGACTCTCTCTCTTTATAGCCCTTATCACCCTCAAAAGACCAGATAACCACATCATTCCTCATCCCACGTGGTCACCCCATTTTGCTCTATGGGCCATGAGGTAATCTCTGCCCCTTTGCTGACAGCTGATCCCCTTCCCTGCATAACTTGTGCACGTACCATCTGACAAACCATATATTTTAATTGTTATCTGTATCCTTCCCACTAGAATATCAATCCCATAAAGGCAAGGTATTTTTTTTTTATTTTACACTGTTTTATCCCCAATATCTTAAACTGGGCTTTGACAGACTTTTTCTGTAATGACAAAATAGTGAATATTTTAGGCTTTGCAGCCCATATGGTCTCTATTATATACCTTTCTTTGTTTTTTGTGTGTGTTGTGTTCTAACTTTAAAAATGTAAAAACTATTCTTAGATCATGGGCCATACAGAAGCAGGCTATGGTCATAGTTTGTTGTCTTAAACAATACCTGGAATATAGTAAACACTCAATAAAGATTGATCGAATGAACCAAGAATAAGATTCAAGCCCCAACCTGTACTTATAGCCATGTACAAGTTGGTGTCAACCTATACCAGCCATATTAGACTGTGATTTACATTACTAGTGATTTAGATGTTATTCTTCTTTAATTTGCTCTTTTATTTAGCCTCTTTGCCTTACATTATTTATCTTTGTTTTCTTCTTCTCTCTCTACAGAAATCATCTTTTATGTTTTTTTTTCTTCTTCCAATCTGTGCTAGACAATTATTATATATTTGAGAAGCTTTGTCTTTTATTCCCCTATTTAACTAAAGTCCATGTTTGGATATAAATGTATTTAACTCTGTATTTCCTAAAGGTACTTAGGTATTAATTATACCTAAAGGTATTAACCTTGTTTTCATTTTACATAAGAATTTGAAGATGTGGATTCAACTATATGTATAAATGAATGTTTAGTTATAAAGTATAACTATTGTGTTAGTGATATAAACATAAACATAACATGTCCTATTTATTCAAACTTTTATAAATCTTAAGAAGAATGAGAAGCCATTAGATACAATTAAAAATTTATATTTTGGTGTAATTTAGATATTTTTTGAACTAGGGCAAAATTATATGTGCACATGTATATCATATGAAGTGGGAGTTGTCAGTATATAAATTATGAAAACATAAAACTTGTCCTTTATATGTGTGTCCAATTCTACATTCTGAACATAATCTTACTGCTTTTTAGTATGTTAAAGTATGGTAGATCAGAATATAATGTAATATATTACATAATAGTGCACTATAATGGTAGATTCTGCTTCCAGCCAAGAAGTAATAATGGGGATCAGATTTATCTTTCCTTCTGAAAACAAGGAAAAAATTGACAAATTATATTAAAAAATGATTTTCAAAGACACTGGGTATCAAGAAACAGAGGACATTGAATCCTGAGAGTCAGGAAATAAAGGGAGGTGAGCCCTGAAGTTACCATAGCTTCCCATCTGAATAATTTACAGGCTGCGGCACAACGTAGGGGAACCAAGGCAGAGCTCAGAAGACTTTCTCAGTTGAAGATACAGAGCTGAGAGTTCAGGGAGAACAAGGTAGCTTCAGTGCACAGGAGAAAGTAACATAGAGGAGAGAGCTACACAAGATGGCCCAGAGATGAGCAGATGGACCCCCATACGTATTGGAAAGAGTATTGGTCAGCTCATGTCTATAAGGAAACTACTCAAATCTAGAAAAGGAACCAATCAGTGGGAACAAAAGGAGCAGTGCCTGACACTCACGGAGGGCCATAGTACCGGCTGCCCCCAACCACCTGTTCATAGGCTTTGGATAGAGTATTGAAAAGGGCCTTACCTCAGTAGTGGGGAATAATTATCCTAGAAATATCCCTGCTTGAATTCCACTTAACAAATCTTCAAAGTAAGACCTGAAGCAATCAAATGGTTTCCAAATAAGAGTCCTAGAACAAAGCTCAAGAATATTTATAGGGATACAGAGATACTGACCCAACAAGGTAAAATTCACAGTATCTTGCATACCCCAAAAGATCAGGAACAAGACAAAGATGTTTATATCAGGTCTGTTCAACACTGTAACAAGTTTTATCTAGTGAAATAAATAAAAATATTTTAGATTGGAAAGAAATAATGCTGTATTTATAGACAATCTGATTGATATAAAACAGAAGTAAAACTGTATCCATGGAGATAATTGTCTATGTAGAAAGAGATAGGATTGCAGTCAATCAAAAAGCTTCCAGAATTGGTAAGTGTGTCTCTCAAAGTTACAAAATCTAAGAACATTAGTAAACATTTAATTGTATTTCTGTATATTTTCAAGAACTGTAAAGGGTCTGAGATTTTATCTTATTTGTAAGCTAATAAAAGCCTATTAGCCTGCCTTATGCTTATGGATGTTGACAGAAGACATGAGATTCCTGAGTTAGAGAAAAGGATGGAAATCAAAAGCAGTAGCCATAGTATAGTCATCTGAACTTGTTCCCTAAACCCCACACTTTAAAAGTGTGATACTAAAAGGAGTTGACACCTTACATGAAATTAGTCTCATTGCAAGAAAGGAACAATGAATTAAAGTACCTAAATTTTCTATAATTAGCAATAAGCCTGCCTAAATTTTTCACTGAAAGGAGATACTTTCTTCATCATACTGGACAGTAAACAAACCTTTCCTTTGCAGTGAAGGGAGACACTCTATCTATAATCCAAGATGGTTGGCTCTACAAATACCATTGGAAATGGATTCTAGAACAAAGGCAGTCAGTGCCTGTGCTCTCAAGACAAACTGAAAAGCACAAGACCTATGAAGAATTATCTTCCATCACATACTAACAAAGAACAATCAGGAATTGAAAATTTAAAATAAAAGGCCATTTACAATTGCATTCGTAAACACCAAATACCGAGGGATCAATCTGCAAAAAAATGTGCATGACCTCTACATTGAAAACAACAAAACACTACTAAATGAAAGTAAAGAGGCCTAAATAGCTGGACAGATATGCCTCATTCATGGGTCAGAGGGTTCAGTATTATTACAATGACATTTATCACCAGATTTATGTTGACATTCAGTGCAATCCCGATCGAAATACTTGCAGGCACTTTTGTAGTAATGGTCAAGCTGATTCTAAAATTCATATATACAGATACAAAGAGCCTAGTATAGACAAAACCACTTTGGAAATGCTACTTGATTTTGGCCGGGTAAGGTGGCTCACGCCTGTGATCCCAGTACTTTGGGAGGGGGAGGCAAGTGGATCACTCGAGGTCAGGAG
Source organism: Homo sapiens (assembly GCF_000001405.40). Classification (NCBI taxonomy): domain Eukaryota; kingdom Metazoa; phylum Chordata; class Mammalia; order Primates; family Hominidae; genus Homo; species Homo sapiens. The sequence continues at coordinate 88,068,924 of NC_000008.11, read as the reverse complement.
TTCAAGACCAGCCTGGCCAACATGGTGAAATCCCAGCTCTACTAAAAATATAAAAATTAGCCAGGCTTGGTGGCAGGCTTCTGCAATCCCAGCCACTCGGGAGGCTGAGACAAGAGAATCTCTTGATCCCGGGAGGCAGAGGTTGCAGTAAGCCAAGATCATGTCCCTGCACTCCAGCCTGGGTGATAGAGCAAGACTCTGTCTCAAAAAAACAAAGAAAGAAAAAAGAAAATACTACTTGATTTCAAGTCTTATTTTAAAGCTATAATAATCAAGACTCAAAACATATATGGACAAGTAATTTTTGACAAAGATACATGTAAAAAAACAAAACAAAACAAACCTCCAATTCACATCCTGTACTATACGAAAATATGGTCCTAACCTAAATGTAAAGGCTGAATCTATAAAACTCCTAGATAAAACATAGGATACAAAAGTTTGTGACCTTAATCTGTGCAAAAATTTCTTAGATATCATGCAAAATCATAATCTATAAAAGAAAAATTGATATATCAGACAATTTAAAAATTCTACCCTTCAAAGACACTTTTAAGTGAATAAAAAGCCTCAGTTAGAGTACATTATTTGCAAGCCAAGTATATGATGAAGGATTTTTATTCACAATATATAAAGAACACTCAAAACTCAATAAAAAGAAAACAAACAACTCAATAAAAATGAACAGAGTATTGAACAAAAGCTTTACCAAGAATCATAGATGGATGTCAAATGAGCTCATGAAAAGATGCTTTACATTATTAGTCATTAGGGAAATGTAAATTAAAACCACAATGAAATACCACTACACACCTGATAGAATGGCTAACACATAAATGACTGACCATACCAAGTATTGGCAGGATTATGAAGGAACTGTAACTGTCATATATTGCTAATAGAAAGTAAAATTGTATACTCTGGAAAACATTTTGGCAGTTTTCTTTAAAAGTAAAATACACAGCTACTGTATAATCCAGCCATTTTACCCTTGGTATTTTCCCAAGAAAAATGAAAACTTATGTGTAATCAAAGACCTCTACATGAATATTCAAAGCAGCTATATTTGTGATAACACAAAACTGGAAATAATTCAGATACTCTCAACAGGTAAATGAGTAAACTGCGATATATCCATAAAATGGAAGACTATTCAGCAATAAAAAGGAATGAAGTACTGATTCACATTACAATATGGATGAAGCTCAAAATAATTTTGCTGTGAAATAATTCAGACAAAACAAGAGTACATACTGTATTATAACATTTGTATTAAATTTTAGAAAATACAAACTGATCTATAGTGATAAAAAGTGCCTCATTGGTTCCCTGGGGACAGGCAAGAGTTGGGTGTGAAGAAAACTTCTCAGAATGATGAAATGTTCATTTTCTTGATTATGTCAATACTTTGATAGCTATGTACATATGTCAAAACTTAATAAATTATACACATTAAATTTATTGAATGTCAGTTATACCACAATAAGACTGTTTTTTTAACAAGAAGCTTTACTAAGTGCATAAGTTTATGTTGGAATCAATTACGAAATATTTCATACATTTAAATATACTGATGACATAGGTAGTACAATTTGATTCCTTCGTTGTTCCAGAGCATGTTGATTATGAATATCCAAATTAATACTATTTCAGTTTTAGTTTCTTAGTTGAGCCCGTTGATAATCAAGTGCAATGTACCCTCATAGCTGAGATGCATTCATTCCCCAGCAACTTTCCCCTCTACGTTAAAGTTTTAGTATTTTGACAATAGTAGAAAGAACATTTAATTAGACAATAGTAGAAAGAACATTTAATTAAGTTTTAGTAAATAACTCATCCACTTACTGAAGAAATATTATAAATATTCTATGATCTCAATTTAATTTTAGATGCTATAACTTATAATGATTATAAAGTATTCTCTACTAAGTGGTCATCTTGGAAATAACTACCAAAAAAATTTTGATGCCCACATTTTGAATAATTTTGTCACTGTTATTTTATATTCTTTATCTGTATTTTATTTTTGCTCTGTAATTTCTCATCTTATTTTTGTTTGTTTTTAATTTATGTTTTCTCTTTGTATCACATTTTGCATCAGATCCCTCAAATTTTTGTGAAATGATTATCGGTACAAGTAAGTGGACAAGTATTTTAGATACTTTTTCTTTCAACCTCGCATGTGTAGACATGTGTGGGGTGGGTTTTTTTTGCTGCTGTTTTTGTTTTTTTAAAGAAGCCAGTGTATAATGTCTCCCTTCACTGATTAAGTTGCTTGCTGTTGAGTGAGAGTGTAGATGTACAAACCCACAGGGCTTTCTTACTGAAAGTCAGCCATTTGGTGTATGTGACTATCAGTTAGCACCATTTACAGTTGTGATGCCTGAATAGACCTATTTATTCCTCTATTTGATATTTAGTAAGTAACACTGAGTCGTTCTCCTTTATGCTCATAAGGTGTTTGTTTTTTATTTAGAGAGACCCAGAAATAGAAAATGTATCACACCTCGAGGAAGTAATATGTTTTTTTTTCCCAGCAACTGAATGTACTCCACACTTTGTGCTAGTTAGCTATCTTTCCATCACTCAGGTATATCCCATATAAAGAGTAACATTTTGTAAGCATAATCAAGCCAGGTGTACATTCTCAATTACTAGGCATGTTAAGACTGAATGGTTATGAGATAATAGTATCAAAAAAGCTGTCTTAAAAATTGAGCTGGTGCAATCTCTTTCAAGAATTGGAAACAAATTTTAAAACAAAGATGCTAGTGTTGTCAGAATCAGTAACAGTCAAAATAAAATCAAGTAGCTGAAAGGTTGTCTCAAAATTCAAACTGTTGCTATGACTTAATAACTTTAAGCAGTACTTATTACCCTGGTTGGCAGTTTCATTTCAAGAGACACAAATCACTTGTGGAATAGAAACTAAAATATATGAGGCAGAAAAGAGGACGGCAGTAAAATTTGGGAATAAAAATGGCATACACAAGATGTGTATCAAAAGAGAGGAGTTGTCTAAAATACTCGGTGCTGGAAAATGGCAAAGAAAAGAACTGTTTGTTAAGAAATGGTTTATATGACTTTAATTGTTATTTTATTTCAAATGAGTCCTCATAAACAGGCAATTTCTTTATGCTGCTCACAAATTCTTTTTCTTGAAAGGTTTAGGGAGTATTCATGAAGTTCATTTGAGGTCGAAATACATTGTTTCTTACATAGTACAATAAATAGGTAACGTAAAAGAAACATTTTCTATAAATAGGTGAGTACAATGATTATTTATTTCTTTATAGGATGTAACAGAAGATTGATGTATAAAAAGTTATACTAGATTAAGGAATTTATATTTAGTAGTCTTGGTATATGTGAAAATAGATTTAGACCAAGCAAATAGTGCTATTTTTTGAATTATAAATATTTATGGAATTTTAGTATTAATATTTTATGTTGAAATGATCATCTAAAACATAGGTCCAAATGTTTAATATTTGAAACTCTAATTGCTAATATACCTCTACTTATTAAAATGATTCAAAAACTCCATAGTATAGTTTTATTATGTCTATTTTCATTTATATTTAAAGCTGCAATATTTTCCTGTCAATATTACTTGTGTATCTAAAAGTTTTCCTTATTTTCAAAAACTGTTATAACATCACTTTGTTTGTTGTGCCCTGTAGAGTTCCCCAGAAAGCAGACACTGAGACCAAGTTAGGAGGTTGAGAGGTTTGTCAGGGAAGAAGGTAAATATGTGAAAGATTAAAGGGGACAAGGCAGGATTAGCAGCAGGTGACAAAGTCTTGGTGAACCCGATGCCAAGCTTCACATCAAAGAATGCCTCTTAGAGGACTCACATGCAGAGCAAAAATGGCCAGGCTTTAGTACTCTGCTGTGATCAGTCTTTGGTGGGAGGCTGCTGAAGAAGAGTGTAGCCTTGGCCCAACTGATGCATCAGACCCAAAGGCACTCAGCTGATGATAGTTTCTTTCTCTAAGGAAGTCCTGAGCTGCACACCTCAGCGGCAACCACACTTGCACAAGCATTCAAAATTCTCTGCTTGCTAGATAATATTGTGGAATCTGGAAAACAAAATGCTACTAACAAAAAGTCATATGACCTCAAGAGTTGGGCATTTATTCAAGTTTCCTGAGCAACCTATCTATAAACAATATAGAAATTAAAACATACTCCAAATATTGAGCCCAAATAGAGATTAGTGTTACTTGTTTATTATTGGTATCATTTATTTATTTGAGTAGGTGATAAGCAAATTTGATCAGTGAAATACTGTGTTATAACCATTTATTGGGACAGCCTGAGGCACCTACAGTGTGAGTGTATTTGATCTCTCATTATTTCCCGAATTCCAAGCGAGCATTAAGTTAGCATCCTATGTACAAATTATGAAAGGAAAGCTCAGATTCATGACTTGCCCAGGATCTTACAGCTGGTTATTGGTAGAGCTGTCACCCCCTAGTTCTGACTTCAAAGCTATTGAATGCCCCATTAAATAACATAATCTAACAAATAAAATATTGATTATTTATAAAAATGTTTTAAATTCCCTGATGTTTTCTCAAAGAATATATAAATGGTGAACAGTAATCAGCCCAATAAACAATATTTACTGACTATTCTATGCACAGACTTCTGTGTTATGAAGAAAATCAAACCGTTAAGGAATTTGTTTTCTAATCTTTCCTGTAAAAAACTACATAGTAAATACTTTCTGCTTTGTGCACCATGTGGACTCTGTCATTAACTACTGAACTCTTTCATTGCAAGGTAAAAGCAGCCATACACAATATGTAAATAAATAGGTGTGGCTGTTTGCTGGTAAAGTGTGATTTACAAGAACAGGTGGCAGCTAGTGGTCCTCCTTCACTGACCACTGCTGTAATAGAAGACACAAAATATAAATGTATGAATAGTTTTGAGGAGACAAAAATACAGTTGATTTTTTTTAATTTCCTTAGTAATAAGGCACAAAGGATATCTGACTACTCAGGATACAGTGAACAAGCATGAGCCGAATACAGTGGGTTAATTGATAAACACTCCCATTAAAAATGTTAGGTGATGAGTTGATAAAGGAGGGAAGAAGCAGGGAATCATTAGCAATTCTGAAAGCCAGAGTGTGAACTTGTTCTGTTCTGAGAGTCAATTTTGCATAGTAAGATAAGCACTGAATCAAGAGGCCTGGACCGCAGTAAAAACCCATTAGCACCTGGCGGTGTGGCTTTAGACACACCACTTCTTTGACCTGTAAAATAAATGAATGCGTTAGGCTGGATTATCAGCCACTTTTCTGATCCGGTACATCTGAACAATATAATGCACTCCTATCATTAACAGTGGCTCAGTTCAAGGGAGTCAAAAAGCAGGTAGAAATCTTAACCTCCAGAGTAAGCATTGTCCTTCTGAAAAAAAAAAAAAAAAGGTTATTAGGTACTGCATGTTTCCTGATAGGAACAGCATTTAATTTAAAAATTCTTTTTGGGATTATTTGTTGACTGTCTATTTTCTCTGCTAGTCTGTTCCACAAAGACAGGAACTTTTTGTGTTGCCTTCATCAGTGTTTCTGCAGCTCCTGGTTGACTGACAGACTATAATAGGCTCATAATAAACAGACATTGAATAGGAGAATAGACGGATGAATAGATGGAATAGATGGATGATTGAATGTCATCCATCCATTGAATAGATGGATGGATAGATGAATATCATTGAAAAATCACTGCAATAGATGATCTATAAAGTCCTCTCCAACTCTAAACATTTTTAAAGCTATTCTATTTATAAAACCTTTTGGCCTTTAGTTCTAACTTGTTGATATTTTCCTCTGCATTCTGCCAAGTACAATGTCAGTAAGAACTAGTTTTTTCCACTTGCTCCAGAATATGTCAACCTCATATGAAATCCAGGGAATACTTACATTCTGCCAAAAAGGCAATATTTTCCTTGAGACCCAGACTGTCTGATGGTAGGGTAGTTAAAAAACCACCTGTCATATGTACAGTAAAAAAAGTCAAATATGAATCTTACATACTTAACTGAAAAACTGAAAAGTAGAAACAAAGTCATTTACGTTTTTTCTTCTTTTTTAATTTTTTTTATTATACTTTAAGTTGTAGGGTACATGTGCACAACATGCAGGTTTGTTACATATGTATACTTGTGCCATGTTGGTGTGCTGCACCCATTAACTCGTCATTTACATTAGGTATATCTCCTAATGCTATCCCTCCCCACTCCCCCCACCCCACAACAGGCCCCGGTGTGTGATGTTCCCCTTCCTGTGTCCAAGTGTTCTCATTGTTCAATTCCCACCTATGAGTGAGAACAAGCAGTGTTTGGTTTTTTGTCCTTGCGATAGTTTGCTGAGAATGATGGTTTCCAGCTTCATCCACGTCCCTACAAAGGACATGAACTCATCCTTTTTTATGGCTGCATAGTATTCCATGGTGTATATGTGCCACATTTTCTTAATCCAGTCTGTCATTGTTGGACATTTGGGTTGGTTCCAAGTCTTTGCTATTGTGAATAGTGCCACAATAAACATACGTGTGCATATGTCTTTATAGCAGCATGATTTATAATCCTTTGAGTATATGCCCAATAATGGGATGGCTGGGTCAAATGGTATTTCTAGTTCTAGATCCTTGAGGAATCGCCACACTGTCTTCCACAATGGTTGAACTAGTTTACAGTAACTAGTTCAACCATTTCAGTTTTTTCATATGAAAATCTTAACTCATCAAGATACAAAAGGAATTGTATAATTGTATTTTCTCAATAAACACTCAGAAAATTAAATGTTATCACTCATAATTATTATTGAGTTATTTCCATGAATTCTATGCCACAGATACTCAGCAGGCAAGGTGGTATTTCTTAATTTTGTGAGAATAACTGCTGGAATTCTGTCATGCAACTTTATAGCAAATGTTTACTGATAAGCTCTCTATTTTGCTTTGTTTTCATAAAGGGAATATAAGTACATTTTTCCTAGCAGGTTAAGAAAAAAAAAAAAGCTGATTGAGCTGTTTTATACAAAGGACTTGATCATTAAAAAGTGAAAGACTGATTATTTCTCCCTTTTGTGTATGGAAAATACTAGACCAACAGTACAGGAAAGTATTTTCAATGCATAGTTTTTATAAACAGCAACAATAACAGTTTTTTAAGTAGAATAATAACAATTTCCTATAAGAACTGTAATTCCTTTTCTTTTTTCACACATTATCCTCTACTGAGACACCGGGACTACATATAAACTAAGCTTCTGTGAACCATTTCTCCTGCTCCATGCACCAGGGCATCCTGGTTATTGATGAGCCTAGTGTCATCACTAAAAAAAGCCTGGAAGAAATTATCATGCAAATGATAAGCAAATTTAGGAGCTGCAAAAGGAAGTGATCAAAAGCATACTAGAATGCTTCTGCTTGAAAGGGACAACCAACTGAGTTGAGCTGACACAAGATGTACCCTAAATAGCTAGCATGAGAGGCATTGAAACTGCATACTCCTTCCTAATTAAAAAGGAGATGAAAGGAAAGGGTGCAATAAGTCACTGAGGTATAGGCCAACAGAAGAGGCCTTTCTTTCTCTTTCTTCTATTGTTTTAAGACTTTCTATTTTAATGCCACAGGGATTTGACTAAAATATAGAGCATGCTGTGAAACAGCTTTCTGGATTTTCCAACTCACTGACTCTGGCAAGGAAGTGATCTGGGCCTTTAGGATGAGGGGTGTGTGTGTGTGTGTGTGTGTGTGTGTGTGTGTGTGTGTGTGTATAATATTCAGATTATACAAGGGCTCGGGGTAAGTTTGCATTTTTATGACCATATTTCCCAACACTTGGTTAAATATAATCACTTAAATAAATGATTTTTCAGCACAATACCAAGGCATGCCTTATATTTTCCCACTCTTGCTAGTGGTTGTAAAATTTTTCTTTCTTGCTGTACTAACAAGATTCCAAACTAATGCCCTCAATGTTATTTATGTAGCCTTTATTGTGCCTTTTGTTAGATTTTTGATCCTATATTTGAGTAGCCATGTAATATTAAACATGGTTCTTTGCATCAGTAACTATTTATTTATTAAGCACCTACTTTCCAAACACTATACATGAGGTGCTACACGAAAATAATGTGTTCGATGTAGTGTTTTTCCTCAAGTTATTCACACCCTAGAGTGGGTGGCAGGCTTGTGATTCATCAAGGTACAATGTACTAAGTAATAAGATGAAGGTAAATGCCGGTAATTTGGCAATGTAAGGTGCCCATCATACTCAGATAGGAAATGCTTTTCAGAGAAATCGTGCTAAGCTAAGTTTTGAAAGTGTCATCCTAGTTTTCCATAAATGGAGATAAGTGGAATGTAGATGAGATAAGACACCCGTACTGAAAGGAACCTTGAAATGACATATAATGAATTTGGGTTTTATCCTGAATGCAATAAGAAACCACTGAAATTTTTAAACAAAAGAGAGGCAAAAATCAAGTATGCATTTTCAAGAAATCCCTTTCTTGACTTTGTGGAGGATAGATAAAAAGGAGACTGGCTGGAGACAGGAAAACGAGAAAGGAAACTGTTGAAATAACATAAGCTAGGAAATACACAGGTTTCTCTTAAGTCTCATGGCTGGAAGACAGCATGGTACCATTGGCTAAAGCTAGGATTCTGGCCAACAGGCTTGGGCTCAGATGTACCTAACCACTTACATGATATTTGATTGTTCACAATTTTACGTTGAACAGTCTCATTCAGTTAAAAGAAAAATAAACCCAGTAAGGTTAATTGAGCTTATGGGGAACTTATGGTAAGGAGTGGGTGTGTAACAGAAACTCAGACAGCCAGGAACTTGCTACACTTGCCTGCTGGCCCCTCTCCCATTCATAGCTTTGCTCCTTGTATCACTTTTTTTTTTTTTATCTCTTCTCATTCTCTTTTCTCTTTCAGTCCATCTCTTTTATTCAATTTCTGCCTCCTCTTAATATCTGCTTCCTCTGGCCATCTTGGCTTCTCAGGCTTCGTATTATATAAAAATAGTCAATTTCCCCTGCTTAGAGGGAAAATCTCTCGGTGTTCTCTGGGTCATCTTCCCAAGAGAGAGACATGGATGGTTCTGCTTATCTCTGCTTATCAGATGAAGCCATGTCTCCATAGCTTACTCTGCAGCACAGCATTTTGACTGGCTCTAGTCTTACAGTGATAGTATTACCTTTAGAAGGGACGATGGAAGGGATGATATAAAGGACCATTGGTAAAAAGAACAGCCTTCAAAGGACAGTTATAAGTGAGAGTTAGGAATTGAAATCAGCTGAATGTAATGATCCATTAAATATGGAAAATGAGGAACAAGGATGTTTCTGATGTCAGCCACGAATAACTAGTATTCCATCTACCCAAAGAGGGAAAATAAGAAAGGTATTCAGATGAGTTCAAATTTGGACTTTGTAGAAAATCCCATCAGATAACTATAGATACTAGTTGGCTTTCAAGAGATATTTGGATCAGAGATAGTCATTTATGACTACACTTTTTTCTTTTTGCCTTCTGATGTTTTCTTTTACTTTTGTCTTTAACACTGCCTCTTCTTTCTCCTGATGTGCCTCCTCTTCCCTCTTCCTTTATGTGATCTTTTCTAATGATCATGGATTTCTAGAAGTCCAGTTCTGGTTACTCTTTATCTTCTGTGTATACTCATCCCAGGATAATCTCAACACATCCTAAATTTATAAATGCCACATATATGCTTGTGTCTTACAAACTTATTTTCAAACTGACATACCTGGTTGCCTACATGACTTCTTTATGTAGATATCTCATTGACATCTCAGACTCTTGATTTAAACTTCCAACAGCCCATTCACCTTTAGTCTTGTCTTACTAAATAACACTGTTATTCACTTATCTACACAAGCCAGAACTTGAAGATCATTCTTAATATTATCTTTATTTTATTTCCCTTGGCAATGCCTATCAATTCCATCTCCAAAATATGTCCTGACTTTATTTTATCCTTTCCATCTCTATTTCTGCTGTGTTGGTCCAAACCACTGTCAAAGAACTTTTTGATTTAACTGTTCAATGACTTCCTATTTCATTTAGAATAAAGTTCAACTCCTACAGGGGTTACATGATCCTCACCTCTATCATTATACACTCCTATCACACTCTATTCTAGCTGCACAATAAGCTTCTTCCCATTATGGCATTTATTCTTTATGTTTCTTTTACCTCAAACAATCTTCAGTGGTCTGGCTCCTTTGAATTATATGTCACAGTTGAATAAAGAGATCTCTCCTGCATCTAATACAAAGTAGCCCCAAATCCCATCACTGTCACCTTAATATCCTTTTTTCTTTCTCCATTTGTATAGCACTTTGCTTTCTGAAGTTTTAATTTATTCATCTGTTTGATTCATACTCACTCACTGATATCTAAGCTTCATGAGATAGAGATGTTGACCTTCTGGTTCACTTCTCTATCAGTAGTGCCTACAACAGTGCCTGGTACATGTACTAAGTAATTATTGAGTGAATGATTCAATTAATTCTTGCCAAAGACTCTTGATGGGTCATCTTATTTTCATTCTTCCCTTTATAATCCATTTGTCTCCAAAAATCATTTTAAAATATAAAACCAATCACAACCCAACACAAACTTAATCTCCTTGATGGCCTCCAGTACACTCTAAGTAAGATTCCAACTCATTATGTTGATTTGCAAAGATTTTATACTTGCTTATTACAAATTACTGATCTTCTTTCAATTTGTTGATCATCCCAGACTGTCCTCTGCTCTGAATGCACTTCCCAATATTCTTTGCATATTTATTACCTTCTCTTTCTTTAGATTTTGGTGTATTTCTTCAGAGAGGTCTTCCCTGACCTTTTTACTTAAAGTAAGTTCCCTTTATTTTTTTCCTCAACCTCTGTTTTTTGTTTTCAAGCCTTCAGTAGTTTTTCAATTACTGAAGTTATATATGTGTATATTTGGTTTTCATCTGCTTCTTCTGCTGTCATGTAGGATGATCAGGGTAGCGATCAGGTTTCTTATCCTCTGTGGTATCCTTAGTACCTGGCATGATACTTGGGATGCTTGAAGATACTCAATAAATGTTGTTTTAACTTAAATGGTATCAAATGGTAGTAGAAGCTCTTGGAGTAAATGAGATTACCCATGGTTACAAACTAGAAACTCCTAACTAAATTTAGCCTAAAGATGTGTGGTTTTTGTTTGCTTATTTTGTGTTGAGAGCACGTTTTTAAAATTTTTTGAAGACCCTTAGGTATTACATGAAAGCTACGGTTTATCATAGTCCTTATCTGTGGGTGGTTTTGAAATATTGTAGAAAGGACGTTGGGACACCTTACTTTGCCAGATATTAACCCCAGGAGGTGCTAGAGATCCAAGACAATGCTGGATTGTAGAATGTTTCAGAAGCCCCAGGAGAAGAGGACTTGGGGAAGGAGGGAAATACAATTTTAGGGTAATGGGTGTTTACTGACTTTTATGGAAATATCTTAATATTAGTGGAGATACTGCACTACTACTATCATCCCTAACCTGGCCCCTGTAGTTATTTGAGTTTGTGGCCCTTCCTTATTTAGGATAAGAAGAGGAGAGCAGAGAACAGAGTCCTAGGAAACAATAACATTCAAGGGCTGAGTAAAATACAATAAGCCCAGAAAGGAGCAGCTAGAGAACAAACAAAACAAAAGAAAATGGTTTTCTCACAGCTCAGAGAGGAAAGTACTTAAGGTGGTCAATAGTGTCAATAGATAAGGGTGGAAAATTTTTTAGTTGGAGGGCATTGGTGACTCCAGAACAAAAAGCTTCAGTGGACTGAAACTTGATAGGCATACCAGAAAGGGAAGTGGTGGGCACAGTCAGCCAGGGGCACAGGGAGGGCATGAGGATATGTGCTGTCTGTAGAGAATTGTCAAACAGCAATAAAACTGACTAAAGCCTGTCTGCTTTTGTCTGCTTTTTAGTATCATCATGCCATGCTCCAGCAATTCCAAACATGGTTAAGGTTAAAATTTTCCTCCCCTCAGTTACCACTCTTAAAGACATGAATAGAGTTAACAGTTATAAGAGGGCATGAGGTCAAGGGAGGATGAATGTATAAGACTAGGGAGACTTGTGAACATTTACATAATCAGAGAAAAGGACCAGCCCAGAGGAGGTGTTTCAGTCAAGTAGAAGTTATAATCACTAAGCCAATCTGAGGGCATACCCGTTGCTCAAAATACAGGAATGATTTAGCCTTGAAAAAGACGTAGGACCTCTAATTCTTAGGGGAAGAATCCTTCATCCTTGACTCAGAATTGTTTCTTTATGGCAAAGTTATAGATCTATTTTATTTTTTAAATTCACTCACAAATTTTGGTTATATTATTATATTAATAAAGTATTCATTATATCCACTTCTGAATGATATTTCAAAGATAACATTAATATTCCAGATGGGACAACTAATAACTTATTTCAAGTATTTAATATAATATATATTTAGTATAATTTTAAATGTATAATATGTATTTAATATAATTTTAAATGTGTTAATAGATATATTCTAATTATGACATTAAATTAATATATTCTACATTTACACTTATTCCATACAGGTAACAAATATTGGGTGTTCAAGGATACAACTCTTCAACCTGGTTACCCTCATGACTTGATAACCCTTGGAAGTGGAATTCCCCCTCATGGTATTGATTCAGCCATTTGGTGGGAGGACGTCGGGAAAACCTATTTCTTCAAGGGAGACAGGTCAGTATACACTTCTCATGAGAAAAACAGTTAATTAACCAATGTTTAGAAAATCAGCATTTCTAGTCTATCAGAGGCATCAGCTGTTGAAGAATCCTGGTGGATTTAACACAGGAGTTAATGCAATTAAAAATTGTTTTACATTTCAAATAATATTTAAGATAAATCTTTCTCTAATATATTCAGCTAATGTGACTTTCTTATGAATGTGTATACCTAGCATATGTTTTTTTTCATTTCCCCATAATTGTAACATGCCCATAATGCTATGTAAGCAGTGTATATATGTATCCTTGCAATGCATCTTTTGGGGAATTTTACTTACTTTGTTTAGAAAAAAAATACTTTCAAGCACAGGATTTTTGTGTTTTCACACTCAAAGTTAAATTTTTATACTTTGTGTACAATAAATTGTGAAGACTTCCAAATAATTTCAGTTTAGTCACAGATTCTATTTCTTAAGAAGCTACCATAGTCAAACTATCACTGGGCTAATTACTTTTAGCTTGAAGTATAATATTTTTTCCCAACTATTTTACTCTCTTATTTTTTTCCTTTTGTGATATTGCTAACAGTGTTCACAAAATGAGAGAGAATTGTTACTTTAAAACTTACAGTAAGGCTGGGCGTGTTGGCTCATGCCTGTAATCCCAGCATTTTGCGAGGCCAAGGTGGGTGGATCACTTGAGCTCAGGAGTTCGAGACCAGCCTGGCCAACATGGCGAAACCCCGTCTCTACTAAAAATATAAAAATTAGCCAGGCGTTTTGGCACATGCTTGTAATTCCAGCTACTTGGGAGGCTGAGGCATGAGAATCACTTGAACCAGGGAGGCAAAGGCTGCAGTGAGCTGAGATTGTGTCACTGTACTCCAGTCTGGACAACAGAGTGCGACCCTGTCTCAAAAACAAAAAAATAAAATAAAAAAACCCTTACAGTAGCTTTTAGGCAGATATAGCCCTAGCCCTGCCCATTTGTTAACAGATATTACAAATGGAATATATGTAAGTTGAAGCCTATATTTGTATTAATTTAAATAAATATTTAAAAATATAAAAAATCAAATTTTAATTAAATTATTACTAGCTAGCTCACAATGAGAAATTCATAAGTAGTCTTCATTGTTTGTAGGATGACTTAAGTCTGCCATTATACTTCCATTTATGAGTAAATTTTTAAGAAAATACACACATACAAAATACAGGCTTTAATGTCCAACATGCCAGTATTGAGTTTGCCATATTATCTTAGCATAGAATAACCCTATGCAATGTCTCCAACTTTAGGAGAAAAGTAAGTAAGGCTACAAACTTTGTTTATTCGGAAATTTACAATTTTTAATTCCAAATGGTTTCAAACATTAAGCTTTATGTGAGAACAAAAAGTTGCTATAATTGGCTTCCATGAATAAGAATGTACACTTTTAAATTTATCCTTTTACTAACTGTATATGCAATATTCCTATATTTTTCCATAGCAAAATGCTCATAGATTTTAATTCGTTATAATAAAGCTAGGCTGTGCTATAATGTTTCTTACTAAATCACAAATTTAAAAGATCTATCAAACAAAAATTTGATCAAAGGAGAAGATGCTACTTAAAGCCCCAAAAAGTGTAATGACTCTCAACAGGATGTCCATGTAATAGACTATGAAAGAGGAAGAACTGTATTGCCACTGCATAGTGGCCACTAATGAAAGTAAATCTGCAGACTTATAACATATTCTTTAAAATGGTATAACTCTTAAGGTTGTTAAATTCACCAGCTGATTTTAATTGCTTGAATGTACCCATGCAGAACTCGGTACTATACGGAGTTGCACTTTTTTCTTTTTCTCAAAAAAGGGCAAAAATGAAAGGCTGAGGAGACACTTTGGAGAAGTTAGCTACTAGGGGACAGAAAATGGAAGCTTAACTTTCATGTAACAGCTTAATTAGAGTTTCATAGATAATAATAAAAATGCCCATTTCATTATCAGATAGCTCTTTTTCCCACAAATGTAGGGATTACATTTAAAATGTTTTCATTCTAAAAATTTATTACTTATTGGAACATTTAAGTTTCAGGATTAAACGTGAACTACCTTAAATTTGTGAAATCAGTGGAGGTTAGATGCCAAAAGTATAGAAGAATAAAGACTATAGAAAATGGGAAAAGGGTTTTTTAGATCATTTACTCCCCGCTTGAAAAGCTACATGCCAAATATAGAAAATATATAGAAATGCCTTTATTACTTTTAAGCTCTATTTAAATGACTATGGTTTTATAGGTTTAAAAAAACTGAAAGCAGGGTTTCAATTAATTTCCATGTGTGTGATCTTATGTAAGATGTCATGAGTTATAGATGTTTTATAAACAGATTACTCCATAGTCATATAATTATATATTTCCAGAGTGAACAGCAGTTATCAATATATTTATTCTAGATTTAAAACTTAGACGGAAAAGACATTAAACTCTCTATCTGAAACAAAAACACAACAATTTAGTTGTCACTTTTATATGAGAATTTATGTTTTATTATTTCTCCCCTCTTCTCCCACTGCCATTTTTCTGCTTATAAAAAAGAAAAAAAGTTATGTCAGCAGTTTTCTATTTCTCTAAGGCTAAGAGCAAAAAGGATTTTAGTGAGTCTCTAGAGCCGCTGTAAAAAATTCAAGTCCTTAAAGAGATCAGGTGAATAACGGCTGTAATACTAGGTAAAGCAGTATATCCAAGTTGCGCAATAGCGAATGATGAGTACTGCGGTAAGGTGGAAAGTGCAAAAACTCCAGAAAAGCATTCAAAATCAAGATCACTTAAAATAATCTACTAGGCAAACACAGCACATCTTTAAATTAGATGCTGCCATATGTCAGCCCTACATGTTGTTCACTTCCTACCAAAATCTAGATACCCTCAATTACAGCCCAAGAGTACCCTTCCCTCTCCACCAAACTGCCTGTGACAGTATGAACATGAGGCAGCACATTCTATTCTCAGTAGCTCTAGTGCCTGCTTCCTTAAGATTTCTGCACCTGTCCTACCCTAGCACTCATTTCATTCATTCAAAAATGCATTTTGAAGCACAAAGTATGTGACATGTGCTAGGTAATGAAGATGGAGTAGTAGAAAGACCACAGAGCTCCTAGTTTCATGGCACTTAGACTGTGTTGGGGGAGACAAATAATAAACAGTAAACAAATAAATGACCCTGATAATTTTCACAGTGAGAAATGAGACTCCTGGTGGTAAGGACAGGTTGGGACTTAGGGTTGACTTGGGAGAAGGCCTCACTTGTTAAGGGGACACTTGAGTGGGGACTTGAGTAGGAAGAAGTTTCAGCCATAGAAAGCTGTTCAGGACAATGTGTTGCAGGTGGATGCTATAGTCATGCAAAGGCAATAATGTAGGAAAGAAGTTGGATTGTTCAAAAACAGTGTTGCTAGAGCATAATGGTTAAGTGGTGGAAGAAGTCAAACTGGTTGATAGGGACCAGATTTCACAGGGCCCTGTAGCCCATGGCAAACAGTTTGAATTTTATTCTAAGTACAAGGAAGAGGCATTGGAGGGTTTTCAACAGGAAAGTGACATGATCTTCTGTGTATTCACACAGATTGTGCTGGCTTCTATGTGAAGAATGGGCTCCAAGAGTGGAGGCGTGGAGGGTAACTGGGAGACCATTGAAGGAGTGCAGGAAGACATGATGGTAGCAGTGGAGATGGAGCAAAGTGGGTGGGTGCAGGATACATTTTGAGTATGATAACAAGTTGTCCTCAGGGCTTGGATTTTAGGGGAGGAACAAAATAAATCAGGGCAACTTCTAGGCTTTTCACTCAAGTAATTAAGCAGATAGCACCTTATCTGGAGATAAGGCAGACACAGAAAGGAATATTGGGGGAAGGGGATTAAGAGATTGAAATGTCCATGCTTGACTGAGGTGCCTATTTATACACCAAGTGAAGAAGTCAAGTAGGTGGTTGGATAATTGAGTTTGCATCTTAATGGAAAGTTTAGTTGGAGGCACAGATCTCAGAGTTATTGACATATAAATGGTATTGAAAGCAGGAGTCCATGTGAAATCTTCTAAGTATAGAGATAGCTAAAGAGAGTAGATGAAATGACGGTTCTTTAAATAAATCTGTAAATTCAGATTAAAATATCTAGTGTTGTACTATTTCATATACAGCATGGAACTCAGTCCCTCAGATTCCTACTTGCCCTTTTGTTAATACACTACAATTTGGTACTTGGATATGTTTTGATCTTCATAACATTTAGCTTAAAATGCTATGTTTCTAAGTCATCTCTCAACATCTCACAAACATATCTAAGACTCTATTGCCATATTTCATAAGAAGCTTAGCTGTTGAGAATTTTAAGGTATTTTCAAATAAAAATAACAAAATGTAGACCTACTTTATTTTCTTAATTATTATCGTCACTAACAGTCAAATAGAAAAATACGTTTATTTCTTCCAGCTTAAGTGTTATGTTTACAAAGTAATTTTTTGATGTATATGTTTTTGAGTCGTTCAAAAATACAGCAAAAACTGATATATTGATATTTTCTATTCTGTTGCATTTTTAAGACTGATTCTGAGGAATGGGACTTTGGGGCATTGATTAAGACTGCTAATCTCCAAAAAATTATCTGATTAAAGTCAAAATTTTACAGTAGAGATAACTGATGAATCAGAAGAAAGAGCTATGAGGTTCATTTATAATAGCTTTCATCACTTATTGACCCTCCCACACAAAATTTCAATGTTTTCCATGAAAATATCTACATTTTAAACCCCCCAAATGGTTGATGTACACAGTGTTCCGATCTGAATATGCTAATTTACTTCTCAATGCATCTATAAGCTTATTTTTCAGGGGGAAGAACTCAGTGGGATGAGATTTTTTTGTTCATGTTGACATAAGCTCAAATATGTTGGAAATTAAAATATAAAGCAATATTTATGAGTAAGCCTCAGCACCTTTTATAAGACAGCACTAAATATAGATAATTCTAATTGCATTCTAGTTTACTGGAAATATTTCAAAGCTGACACAAAGCAGACAACCTTTGGGTTTGAGCCTATGTTGAGTTTTTCTAAAATTGTAAAATGATCCTAAATTATTGTTTTGCATTATCTGCTAGGAGAGGGAAAAATGCATTTATGTTGACAAATTCATACCCGAATTATGTTCCTACAAAAGAGTGTAATAAAATTTACATTCCATTAACATTTTCCTGAAATGAGATCTCTCTGAATCCTATGAGTCTGGCATATAATATAGGTGCACAGAAAAGCATCAGTGGGTGAATGAATCTATGAATGAACAGACTAAGCAAGAAAGGAAAGCTATACCCAAACAATGAACACCAGTTGTTTGAACGACAGCATTGAGAGAATAAGAACCACAGGCAGATACTAGCAGTAACATTTGAATTTCAATTCTACCACATTCAAACACAGTAAATGTGACTAAGTCAATTGTCTTTGAATAATATGATACCCAATGCTCTGTCATTGCTTAAATTGAGTGACAATTCATACTAAATCTATGGTTAGGACATTATTATAGAGAACATTGTAATATGTGATATAAAAGACTTGAGGGATTTAAGCACAACAATATATGTATATAAATTTACTTTATAGCTACAAAATGCTACATGACGTGTAGTTATTTCTACATGAAAAGCAACTACTTCTCAGAAAACTAATCTGGTTGCTAGGTATGTATTAATGTTACTTAAATCACATGCAGGATGTGATCCCATTGTCCTCAGGATTTTAAGTTATTCCAAATTTTATTTATTATTATTATTTGAGATGAAGTCTC
Organism: Homo sapiens; assembly: GCF_000001405.40. Taxonomy (NCBI): domain Eukaryota; kingdom Metazoa; phylum Chordata; class Mammalia; order Primates; family Hominidae; genus Homo; species Homo sapiens. Next base: position 88,050,309 of record NC_000008.11, on the reverse strand, counting down.
TCTCTGTTGCCCAAGCCGGAGTGCAGTGGCACTATCTCGGCTCGCTGCAACCTTCGCCTCCTGGGTTCAAGCGATTCTCCTGCCTCAGCCTCCCGACTAGCTGGGATTACAGGCGACTGCCACCACGCCCAGATAATTTTTGTATTTTTTAGTAGAGACGGAGTTTCGCCATGTTGGCCAGGCTGGTCTTGAACTCCTCACCTCAGGTAATCCACCCGCATTGGCCTCCCAAAGTGGTGGAATTACAGGTGTGAGCCACCATGCCTGGCCTATTATTATTATTTTGTGACAAGGTCTCATTCTGTTGCCCTTGCTGGAGTGCAGTGGCACAATCACAGCTCACTGCAGCCTCAACCTCCTGGGCTCAACAGATCCTCCCACCTCAGCCTCCTGAGTAGCTGGAACTAAAGGTGTGCACCACCATGCCCAGCTAGTTTTTTGAGTTTTTGGTAAAGACAGGGTTTCACCATGTTGCCTAGGCTGTTCTCAAACTCGTGGGCTCAAGCAATCCATCCATCTTGGCCTCCCAAAGTGCTGGGATTACAGGTGTGAGTCACCACACCTGGCCCTAGTCCAAATTTTAAGTTAGAATTTAAAAGCTCACTTTAAGTTATAGTTTATGTCATCTAAAAGTGCCATGTATTGTTAAAATATGTCATTATTTATTCTATTATGAGAGGAAACCCTGTCAAGTAAACCGACGCTGCATCTATTGTAAGGGCATTCTGATGTTGAGAGATGTAAAATGTGAAAAAGTGTTTCTTAGGATCCATGAAATAGGTATTTGACTGTTTCTCTGCAAGACACTTTGTTTGCTCAAGTGTGGAAAGCAGTTAACATATATATTAAATAACTATTGTAAACCCCACTGAGATATTTACCTGAGAGAAGAGATCTTTAGATTATGAGCAAATCTCAGCTGCATTAACCATTCATCACAGAATGTTCTGTGGGAGAAGAATATTCAGAAATGATGTTTAATTTAAATATTTAAATTTAAAAGTAAATGTTTCCATGAACAAAATGTGAAAGAAAATTTATTTTAGAATTGGTGGCATGATACACTAATGATTCCACTTCATTGTCCTCTTCAGAAAGATGCAGTCCAGGCACGATTCTTTCAGCTCAGTGCTTCTCCATGAAGCTATTTCTGATCTGTTCGTCAGATCTGTTCTCATCTTCGATGTGATGAGAACCTGCAACAAATACCTGTGACAGTTTCCCTTTTGGTGTAAACTCCTCTTTGGGCATTACTTCTTAGTACACTTCCTGAAACAATCTTTTTCCCATTTCTATGTGCACGTTGAAGATGGAGGAAGATGGAGGAATTCCAGATGTTACTCAAGTGAGGTTTCTAGGAATTTATAGGAAAGCCTTTTGCACAGGACCCCAGAGCTCTGTTAGGTAAAGAATCCTCCATAGGCCTGGCAGAGGCATATCCAAACTAGAAAATACTTATTTTTTTCTAATTTCAGATAAAATGGCTAAGTCAAAGATAATTTTTTTAAATGTATCATTTCCCAAATATGTGTTGGCAAAACACTAGCTTTAGTAGATCACCATAGATGTTTAGTGGGGGGAAAAGCATTGTCAAATAAAATTGGGAAACGTATTTGGTGGCATCAAAATAAACTTGGAAACTGCCTTTATGGTGAAATAGCAGATACTTTTGAAATCAGACAAACATGGTTATATTTCTACCTATCATTCATTGTCCTCCAAGAATTCTCCTCTCTCAAATGGGGACAGTGATGACTATCTCATAGGTTTGTTGTGATTAAATAAAATAATGCATAGAGCAATAGGGCTGCCCGAAATAGGTGATATCACTGTGAACTCCCAGTGATTTTACCCTATTTTGTCAATCTTTGTGACCATTCAAAATATAAACTTATTTTACTCCTAAAATACATGGACAATAATGAGTGATCCAAAGTAGGGATGTTCACAATTTGTTCCTTGGAAGTCTAGGGGTTCTGTGAAAGTGGCTCACGGACTAGCCTGTGAAGGGATGAGAGTCTGAGAGTTCTAACTCTTGGTGAGCTTTGCTTTTACTTGTATTAATGTCTATACACTGAGTACTCCAATCAAGACCAGCCCTAATGTCTATACTCACATTCCCAGTTTCCTCATCAACAGGTCCACTTTGAAGTCTGAATTTAAAGTAGTTAACACCAAAGTCATGGTTCCTCAATCCTTCTCAGCTTACCTTCCCTTACTTCCTTACCTTACTGAATGACAACATACTTCTTCCAGATAATCGGGCTTAAAATTCTTGAGTCATGCTCAGCTTCCTTCTCTTTCACATCCCACATCTAATCCATGAATAAGTCCTTTGGCTCTTCCTTTAAAATATATCCCAAATGCCTTGATTTATCATCAGTCCTATAGCTATTGACTCCCTAGTCCAAGGATTATTGCAGTGACATCCCGACTGGCATTCCTACTTCTGCCTTATCTCCTTCAAACTCTTTTACTCATAGCAGCCAGTGTATTCTTTTCAACACTTAGCCATAAGTTTAAGCTTCTCTGTTCAAAATATATATGATTTCTCATCTCTCTTAGAGTAAAGCCAAAGGCTCGCTGTAGTGTAAATGCTTGTCTAATCTTAGGTTCTGGTTCTTACTCTCACCATGTCTCCACATTACTAACTCAATTCCAGTCACCCCAGCCTCCTTGTAGACACAGGTACTCCAGCATGTGCCTGCCACAGGAATTTTCAATTCCTAGTTTCTCTGCCTGGAATGTTCTTCTCCCAAAGACTGCATGTATTGCTCCTCACTTTTCTCTGCTCAGATGTCAACTTATCAGACAGGACCTCTCAGTCCACCAATTTAACATGACTTCAGATACTCCTAGATAACTCTTATCTGCTTTGCTTTTTTCATAGTTGTTATCACCTCCTATCATAGTATGTATTTATTGATAAATTGGTTTATTGCCCATCCTCACATATCCTATAATGTGAGATCAATGAGAGCCACAGCATATCTGTGTTGTCCAACGTTGTATCTCTAGCCCTATAATAACGCCAGGAACATAATATATATTCACTAAATATGTACCGAATGAATAAATAAATCAAGATTCTGCTTAAGATTATTTCAAAAAAATGTTCTGCTTCCTAAGAAAGGTTTTTTAAAAACTCATGAAAACCTCTGATATATATATGCAGGTTGGTGATGTCCTTATGAACTATAAATATACTTAGCTAGCACTTTTTATTCACTTTAGCATACTGAATAAGAACTTATTTTTAACACAGGCAGGATATGGACAATAAGATGCCCATTTTTAATATATGCAGGAGAAGAAACAGAATAAATGCCTTATGCCCATTGTATTTTCAGTTATTTAAATAAGAGCTTGCCAGTTGGAGTTCTGTAAATCATTAACAGGTGCACAGGTAACAAAGTCAAGCACACAGCAAAGGTCTAATAAATGTCAGCTATTATTGTTTGTATGCATAATCTTTCCCTATATGTGTGTTATTGTGTTTGTTGTTGTTGTTTTTATCCTTTGTAGATATTGGAGATATAGTGAAGAAATGAAAACAATGGACCCTGGCTATCCCAAGCCAATCACAGTCTGGAAAGGGATCCCTGAATCTCCTCAGGGAGCATTTGTACACAAAGAAAATGGTATGCAACATGTGCTTTCTACATTTCATAAGTTTGCTATCTTAGTAACACATTAGGCTTTTTCACTCTGCTAAATTAAGCCATTGGAAAGTGCTATACTAGAGCTATGTAATACTGTATTTCTATTTATATGAACTTTTTTTCCTAGATTTACATATCATATTATGCTGTAGACATTTTTTAACCTCAACTTAGTTTATAAAAAAGTCATTAGAAAAAAGACAAGTAATAGTTTAATATGGAAGTTGTGTATACCTTTGAGGTAATTTTACCTATATTTCTATTAAAATTCCTGTAAAGATAATAATAACAAAAATACATGGGACAGAACCGGTCACAAGGAAGATAGAGGTGCCACTCGAGGTATTATATCTGGTAATAATGCATGTTGAGAATTATAATTTTGTATCTATTCTTTAGCTTAGAGGAAGAGTCCAGCAAGCAAGGAAGATTCCAGCTCAATATGGTGAGAATAGAGTGGATGTATGATGGTATAATAACAGGAAAAAAATCCAAGAGCTGTCCCCTTTACTTGCTATCCCAGGATTTCACATTCAGCTAGATCCTGAGTGGAAAATTAGCCAAGCTGGGGATAATCCATACTCCCCTATCTGTTGGCATATATGAAATGTAAACATATCTCTTCCCATCCAGGGATTAGTAAATAGGAATAAATCATAATAATAATTTGAAATTGAATTTATATGCAATATTTCAGAACAAAGGAAAAGAAAATGACATTCTGAAATACAGAGAAAAATATTTACCTCATCAAATTATTTTCAATAGGAAGCATAAGAAAATAGTATATTATGTAGTCCTCAATAACATGAAAAGTCTGTGACATATGCTCAACATAAGCAAAAATAGGCATCTCTTGCAAGACAAACAAGTGCATCTAGGGGCAGGGAAGAGAAAGCAAGGTTAATGAAAGAGTCAGGGGAAAATGAAAAATCATACTACCACTGAAAACTGTGATTGACCTTAAGTGTATTGCAAGATTAAGAAAACTCTACACTGGCAGGGCGTGGGGGCTCACACCTGGGAGGCTGAGGTGGGTAGATTACCTGAGTTTGGGACCAGCCTGGCCACAATGATGACACCCCCATCTCTACTAAAAATATAAAAAAATAAGCAAGGCATGGTGGCATGTACCTGTAGTCCCAGCTATTCAGGAGCCTGAGGCAGGAGGATTGCTTGAACCCAGAAGAAGGAGGTTGCAGTGAGCTGAGATCATGCCCCTGCACTCCAGGCTGGGTGACAGAGCCAGTCTCTGTCTAAAAAACAAACAAACAAACAAACAAAAAGATAAGAAAAAGAAAGAAAGAAAAAGAAAACTCTATACTAGTATAAACTTGAAGGAACTTAGAATCAGGATAAATTAATACCAATCAGAAAAATCAAAGTACATGTACTGTTTTTTGAGCATTGCTATATGTATAATGATATGCTACTACATTCTGTGTGATAGTGTCCCACAAGTGGAACACTGTAGGCAGAGGCAAAGTCAAAAAGAACCTTGAAGTCCTGATCATAGTACTTGCTGAGAAAAATAATTTTTGTGTATTCAATTGGCTCAGAAAATTAAAAGACCAAGTTAAGATATTACTTGTATGTGACAGAAGCAGAAATCCATAGGACAGTGAGACTAAGATTAAAACATAACTCTCTGAGATAAAAGGGAAAGGAATAAGAGAGTAAAGGAAGTCATGATAAAGTCACATTGGAGGCAGTAAAATCAGATTAATAATGTGCCTCAAAACTTAAGAAGCTATACAGCTAAGAAGGACAAAGAAATGAAAAAATGTGAAAGATGATCACATCAGTTTATTTATCCACATGTGTTAAATAGCAACTTCTTACTAATAAACGTGTAAGAGTAAAAAATAGAACACAGAGGCACTGCTCTCAGGGAACATCTACTAAGCTATATAATAGTACCAGCTGTGGAAAATTATGTCTCATTACACTTTTAGGATGAAACAATAGACAAGTCCAATGATGTTCAGTCAAACATAAAAGGATCATCAAAACACAGCCTCGTTAATTTATTTTCTAGAATTTCTCAAAACAATGAAAATTTAGTTAAGAATTCACCAGAAGTTATTCTTCATAAGCATGTATACAAAAATACATGTCAAAGCTGCTTTTAAAAGGAAAAAAATACAAATACCTAAATATTTATTCAACCAACTGACCTTTCATAAATGAAAAAACCTAGGTTGTTGAGCAAGATGAATTTTGCAGGATCAAGGTTTGACATACTTCCATTACCAAGTATTACTTCTATTTTAGGCTACTTCCTTTCAAATGCTTACACTGTCTATCTCCTAGTAACTAGACATTTGTTTTCTGAGACAGGGTCTCATCTCACTATGGTGCCCAGGCTGGTCTATAACTCCTGTATGATGCCCAGCCTGGTGTTGAACTCCTGGGCTCAAGCAATCCTCTTGCCTCGGCCTCCCAAAGTGCTGGGATTACAGGCATGAGCCTCCACAACAAGCCTAGACTTCTTATTTGTAACAAGTGTATTCAGTAACTGCAATTCTACTCCTATATGTGGAGTGTGTTACTATAAAATGTGCCCTACAGAACTGTGTTGTATGTAAATAGAAACTTCTTAACTTTTGTGTAATGCTTAGTAGCTCTATAGTAATGAGCTTTAGCCAAAAATTAAAGATGAGGACACATCCAGCTGTTGGTTTCCAGTTTATAGATATAAGAAGTACATTCACCTATTTTGAAGGTCTGTTTAATTCTAGATCAATGCCGTTATTCATCTATGATCATCTAATGTACTGTTATTTGGCAGGCCCTCAACATTTCTTCATCCAAGCTTGTTGAGTAATTATATTGAATTTCATTAACGTGATCAAATACCAACTCTCGGCTGAAAAACTTGTATCTACATACACCTGTTTTCACTTGGCAAGTTGCTCTCATTGCAAAACTGTCCTTCAAAACTAAAAGCAGCAGTAGGTGTTCATGGCATTGAACAGAACGATTTCCAGAATGAAGTGACCTGAAGTAATCATCTGCCCTATCTGAAATTTCTTGAGAGATGTCAGAGTTCTTCATTCAAAAATGATACCTATCTATCACACCCTTGGATGTTTAACCTAGGAGTATTTGATAAAAGATAGGCGATCTCCGAGGTCGGGAGTTTGAGACTAGCCTGACCAACATGGAGAAACCCTGTCTCTACTAAAAATACAAAATTAGCTAGGCATGGTGGCATATGCCTGTAATCCCAGCTACTCAGGAGGCTGAAGCAGGAGAATCGCTTGAACCCAGGAGGCGGAGGTTGCTGTGAGCCAAGATCGGGCCATTGCACTCCACCCTGGGCAGCAAGAGCGAAACTCCATCTAAAAAACAAAGACAGGAGATGTGTAAAGGACCCAGTCTTAAAAAATTATTAAGTGTACAGTCTCTAGATCTAGATCAAGGTTTAAATCTTGTGTTCACCAGAACATGAGCATGTTATTTTGTCTCTGATCCTCAATATCGTGGGCTTAAAAGAAAGGATAATTAATTCTACCTGATAGAGTATTTGTGAGGATTTAAAGACAGGTCATCTACTAAACTTTAACCCAATGCTTCTTCCATAATAAGTCCTCAATAAAACAGGAAAAAATATTACCTTCATTAACGATTATAAACTATGAATTTTGCCTTGTATCAAAAATAGGTAACTCCCAAAATATAGTTTTAAGTAATTATAGCATTAAAACATTTCTTGATTTTTTGAATTTTATCTCAAAGGACAAATTAAGTCAAAGTATTATAGTCACACAGAAACTTGACATGAATGAGCTGTGGACAGAAAGAAAAAACTGGATATGTGCCCAACAAAAACATAAAATTTGGAGAATAGACCTAAGAAAAATGTCCATATTTGTAGTTTAATCATCAGGAGCTTAAAAGTCTATTGTATGCATTCATAATGTTTTAGAAAATAAATTGCATGTATTGCTGAGTTACTTGAGCCTCCCACATCCCACCTCCTCCCCATGAAATATAAGGTACTAGGAAGTATTAAAAATAGAATTGTAGATTTATGTTGTATTTTATTCTTAAAATAATGAATAATGGCTTTAGTAGTTCTCTAAAATATAGCTAGGTGACACAAATTAAACATATTTTTAATAAAGTAAAATAAAGAGGACAAAAGGAGAAGGAACAAAATGTTTATGACCTAGAGCCAGAAATGAGGTTAGAGTACCGAATACTATGAATACGTCTTTACTTGTTAAGATTCCTTGCAGGCAAATGAAAGCCCCTCCAGTTTTATGATTTCATTGTATTATGATTTCTCATGCAAATTACAAAAGGAAGCCTGTTGTTTAGAAGGAGCACAGATTCCTGATACTAAGATGATTAGAAATTTCCCTTGAGGTGTTTCATAGAGAAGCGACTTTATCATATATTGAACAATGTTCCCAGTAACAGCCTGAGGGTAAACAGTGTTTCAGTTTATAAGGCTGTTTCAGCATCTTTCAATATAGGTTGGTACTATCACACTAATATGTAATTTTGTAACAGCAATCCTGTAAGCGAGCAAAAAGATAAGGTTCTCTTTTCTAGCTTGGACTAGGAGTAGACTGCATAGCATGGTCTTTGAACAGTCCTCTGTAAATGATATTTCTCTCTCTGGACTGAGCTTTCCATAGGCATTAGATGGCATCATTCCTGGAGCACAGCAGCCACAGCCATCTTAACAGACAGCTGAGCTGAAAATAGTGTTTTCTTCCTATGAAAATTAAAGGGCCTTAAAATACATCTCTTAAGACATAGCCTATTTTAGTAACATTTCTCTACATATACACTGTCACAAATAAGTGGTACCTGTGTGTGTGTATGTTTTTCCCCCTAGGCTTTACGTATTTCTACAAAGGAAAGGAGTATTGGAAATTCAACAACCAGATACTCAAGGTAGAACCTGGATATCCAAGATCCATCCTCAAGGATTTTATGGGCTGTGATGGACCAACAGACAGAGTTAAAGAAGGACACAGCCCACCAGATGATGTAGACATTGTCATCAAACTGGACAACACAGCCAGCACTGTGAAAGCCATAGCTATTGTCATTCCCTGCATCTTGGCCTTATGCCTCCTTGTATTGGTTTACACTGTGTTCCAGTTCAAGAGGAAAGGAACACCCCGCCACATACTGTACTGTAAACGCTCTATGCAAGAGTGGGTGTGATGTAGGGTTTTTTCTTCTTTCTTTCTTTTGCAGGAGTTTGTGGTAACTTGAGATTCAAGACAAGAGCTGTTATGCTGTTTCCTAGCTAGGAGCAGGCTTGTGGCAGCCTGATTCGGGGCTGACCTTTCAAACCCAGAGGGTTGCTGGTCCTGCACATGAGTGGAAATACACTCATGGGGAAGCTTCCATGATGCACAGTATCTGCTGTTCTTCAGTCCTTTGTCTTTCTTTGTCATTCAGTTCTAGGCCTTTCCTCTGCACGCTCAATGCCCAGTAAAATTTCAGGATTAACTAAAGAAGAGGAGAAAAAGAAGAAAAGATTCTTCTTAAAAGTTTCTAATGTTATTTTCCTTCTGAAGTCTGAGCCCATTTCTGGGGGGAGAAAAAAAAAGCAAATCAGAAAACCCACGGTTTTTCTTTTTTTCTTTTTTTCTTTTTTTCTTTTTTTGCTTTAAAACAAAGGGAAAAAAGAGTTTAAACAAAAAACCCACAATTGAACTTCCAGGAAAGTGTGAAGACCCAAAACAGCTTTGTCTCCAAAGAAGATAGCTCTCTGACTGCTTTGGATAGTCTCCTACGCACCATTTTGTCAGGTGGGAGATTTGGAATACACATGCAGGACGTTAGACTGTTGGGACAGCCATTTTCCAACAACCAAGGGGCCAAAATATCTGCAATATAGTAACAGCCTTAATAATACATCCATTTTTCGTTTTATACAGCTGTTCTCAGCTATGTCCTCAGTGTTTCATCGCATTTATATTCATAGCTATTTTCAAACACGACCTTTTAATTGTTTTTGAAGTATTTCTAAACCCCTTCTTTCCACCTTACTCCTCCATCATTGTGATAATCTTCCCAAGTTGTATTAGGCCATTGCCCCAGGCCTTCCATGGGTCTGTCAGGAATATTCGTTACAAAGCAGAGCAAGAAGCAGTATGTCTCTGAAGTGGATTACAGTGGCAGTTATTTTACAAGGATTTGTGACACTAGTAACATACCCGTGTAACCCTTTGAGAACTATCAGACCAGCTTTCAGAGTCTTAGGATTGTCGGTCTTGCGATCTGATAAATTATAGAACTGGGCAATGGTAAAAACAGTCACAAGTTCAAGAAGTTCAGGTTTTTAAAACAGATATCCTATAATGTCATATAATTTTTAAATGATTTACAAGACTACATAAATGTGTTTATAACAAACAGAAATGATGTTACTTGCCAAAATTTTTCTGGCAAATAAAAAAGGTATTTTATTAAGATTCTCATAAATCTGAAATTTTATTTGAAAAACTGATAATAGCCTAAGTCTTCTTTTCTTTTTTTTAGGCATACTGAATTTCTGTTTTAAAATCCATTGCATGAAAATTCAATTTGCCTTGGTATATGCAGTTAGCATTGCCATTTTAAAAATGAATTAAAACGGTGACTCTGAAGTTGCATGAATATCCTCCAGTGCATTACCTATTGCATGTCCACCATAGTTCTCAAAGGGTTAGTGTGGCTTCTGGCATTTAGCCGTCCATTTGATCACTGACAGAGCCAAGAGACCACCAAAGCATTTCATTGTTGAGTGTAATTTGTCCTAACAGCAGTATTGTCATTTTCATGTGACCTGCAGAGCAGGTTTGTATCAATATTTTTTTCCTAGAGAAAAGTCAGCAACTGACAGACCTCTTTATTGATTTTTAGGAGCTGCTTCTTGCAGTGAAAGGCTTTACAGCCACTGGGCTGTGAACTTATTAGAGATGGTCAGAATGAATGCACCCCATGAGTCAGACATTGGCTTTGTGTGAAAGCCAGCTTTGAGGGGATTAGCTTTTGAAACAATGAACAGCTTGCCTTGAACTTGATTATTGATCTATTGACTGTCATTAACAACAACTTAAACATTGTCTTCTGTGAAAATTTTCCTTGAAGAGTCCTGTTCTATGTCTTTGCCCTTTGACCTTTAACTTGCAAACTGGCACAAACTGAAGGAAATCTGGTGTTGCTTCTCCATTGGATTAGTTGTTCTCTAAAACCTAGTAAGCATGAGCTGTTTCCTTAGAGTGGAGAGAGTGGTGATGGCAGATCTGCAGATGGACACTTTGCTCTTTACATGCACACTCTGAAAATGCCCTATAGGTAGAAGTGAATTTTAATTTCATTTTAATATAATTTCAAGTCTAAATTCATCATTTTAGTACAAATTACAAAAACTATAGGAAAAAAAAAACCTCAAATACTTGAATGGCCAGTGTGGCTTTTATATAAAGCAGGAATTTTATACTAGTAAAAATTTCTTACTCATTTGCTAATACACATTTCCAGATGATTTTTAATGAGTGTAGGTATACATTCTTATTTGGAAATGGATAGTTTGGCTGCCTTGAATTTATATTTATACTCAACGTAGCATGAAAATTAGAATGCCTTTTGGTTAAACTACATGTTTATGATTTGGTTGGGGAAAATATTTTATAATTGTGGGTGGCATGCTGCAAAGCCTTGCAGATTGTTATTTCTTACAACCTGAGCGTATATAGTATGAGCCTAAGAAAAAAGAAGAGTAAGAAAAGAAGAATGGCTTTACAGTAAAATATCATACAATGCAGACAATATTTTAAGAGGATATTGGAGATTATGTACGCAAGGGCCAAGAAAGCAAGAAATGAGAACCAGAGTCAGCCCTGTAGCTTTACTTCAGTGCTTCCATTCTAGATGATGCTGATATTATAAAGAGTTAGTCACTGCTGCTAAGCATGGAGGACTATATACATAAGCTCGTTTATACAGTGTTTGCTTGTGGGAGGGTTTAATCCTTTTAGGGCCTTGATGTCAAGAAAAAAATAACTGGAAACTATATTTTGCTAAAGATAGAAATGAGGAACTGTGTCATTTTGGGACATGTGCAAATCATTGAGGAACTCCATCACCCTGCATTGAAAATTGATTTTTTTTTCCTCTAAAATGAGAAAGAAACTGAATAAGCAATCTGTTGCCTCTTTACTCATTCATCACAATATCCTGATTCGTCATAAGGCTATCAGTATATAAGGGCTAGAAAATAATCATAGCATTAAGAAGGAAGGAGTCTATCATTATGCTTGAATTCTGGCAAATGTCATGAATAAGGGTTGGGTCATATTTACTTTAATATGAGACAAGATTTATGTGATAAGCAAAGGCATATAAGGCTGCTCTTTTGAACAGAACATTTCAGTTATCAGGCTGTACTATTACAAGAGATAAGAAGACAATAAGGACAATGTAATCACAAACAGTGGGATTCCATTTGTTTATTGTACACCAGCTACTTTGTGGGTATGGTTCCTGACTCCTCTTCTACATGAGGTTTGGGAAAAAAGTCTCAAACCAAATGGAACAGTGAAAGGGAAAGTAATTCATCTAGCACATAAGAATAGTGATTCAAAACCAATGCAGAATAAATTTCCATGGGTCAATAACATAAGGTGTCAGTTCAGTGTTACTAGAGATATGCAAGGCATAAAATATTTTCATCACCCCATCACTAATAACATGAAAAGCTCAGACATAGGATTTCCCAAATTGAAATGAAAACACATTCATGCCTGCAAAAATAATTCTCCTTCTGCTTCATTTCTCATTACTTTATCTAATATAAACACAAATGTAAACAAGGTAATGGTCTTCATGTAAAATGACCATATAGTTAAGAATTTTAGTAAAATATTGTTGTTCTGTGTATTATTAAACAAATGCAATGAAGTATTAAAATAGCTGATCAGTTTGAATTTCCTGTAAAGCAGTAATTCCGCATCAGAATTGTAGATAAGGTTGTGAATTTATTGACTCATTTCAGAACAGTGTCTGTTGACATGGCAGTCAGAGCAGGTGAATACAGATGCTCTTTCTGATTGCAAAGGTTATAGAGCTAAATTAGACAGCATTATGTGATACTAGCAAAGACAACTTCTGTTATAAATCAGAGGGCAAGGCTTTTCTGAATCGATGTGATAAATTACTAAGTAATGATTACCAAAAATAATTACTAAGTAATAAAAGATACAGACTGGTTTACTGAAATAAGCAAGTGTTACATTTAATAATTACCTATAATCTTTTTTTGTTAACACATAAGCAAGTGTTACCTTTAATAATTACCTATAATCTTTTTTTGTTAACACATAATTTGGCCATTTCATATACTGTGTACCTATTTTCATTCCCTCTCTGTGGGTCATTAAAAAACACAATGTGGTGGATAAGAACATTGTCCAAACTTCACTGCTAGTTCCAATACATAGATGATGGTGTGTAAACTGGATTGTAGGGGTAGTCATATTTGCAAGTTCTACATGTTATGCTAATATATCTAGTATGGTACACATACACGCCCACACTTTGTGGATCTTACAGTGGAATAAATAGTGTGTCCATATTAACTAAACTCAAAGTGCTATCTGAAGAGGAATGGATGTTATAAGCAGACAGACAGACTGAGTTAAACTGAGTCATGAAAAAATATATATTTTAAAGTTTTTGGAATCATTTCCAGAAACTAATAAAGGGAATTATTTACTGGTAGTATTGAGTCTGTGAGATTGTAGTATATACTGAAACAATCTTCTGGATGGTGGTAAGGTCTTTTTTAGCAAACACAGTAAAGAGCTTATTTCATTTCTGATGCTTTCAAGGGCATATTCCAAAGTATCACAGATGTCAAATAGAATATGCTATATAAACCAAAAATGTGCATTTCAGATGACCTATTACAGCAATCTCAGCCAATATGTAATATCACAAAATGTGTCAAGTCAATCATATAAGAGGATCTAATCATTCGGCTGTATTTCATGTACCTTCATGTTGTTGATATATTGTGACCACAGGAAATAGGTGCCAGAGCATATGCAGTTAAGTTACAGGCTCCACGTTGCCTAGGAGGGAATCATAACTACATCAGAAAATTTTTAACAGTTATATCTTAAAAATTAGAATTTTATGTAATAAATAAAGCGGCAACCAGGAATAGCAACGCAACAAATATGAAAGCTAATTATTATATTTAGCTTTCATATTTATATAATATGATGGAAATGGAGGAGGAAAAATGAGTCTTTTGTTAAATATAAAGACAAACTATAACACTCCTTGATAATACAACTGGAAATTTTACTTTAGCAAGCATAAAATAGTGGAGGAAAAAAATCCAACTTCAAGCTCTTTGCACTAGTGATGATTATGTGATATATCAATGTAATATTTAGCCAGTGGTCATTAGATGTTACTGTGCTTAAACACATCTGATACTCATGCATTGCCTTACAGGCTAAAAATGTAAGAGGTAGGTGTTCAGTAACCTCAAGTTGGAAAGATATATAATGTTAGAATCCCCTGAGACAAGCCATTTCCCTGAAATAGAAATTTACCTCAATACTCATGTAATCTAAGACACTTGGCGTAGTAGCAAAGAAGTTGCCTTCATGTTCTAGTCTCATCTAATTGTGACCTTTGTCTTTCATGTACTTCTGAAATCATTTTCCACTTTTTCCACTGGTGTGATTTTGAAACAATTCTGAAATATTTCAGGTAAGATTAATAACATCCAATTACAAATATATGTTTCAATATTTTATACGTATGTCTACTTTGAAAGTTAAACCAATAGTATAGAAAGCCTAAGAATGAACACTGATTGGACATACTCACAGAAATTAAGGGAAAAACACATATTGTAAAATTCCTGTCAATGTTTGAGTAGAATACAGAAGTACATAGCAGTCTTCAATTTTTAAACACAATTATGGGCTTATAACTGGACGTGACATGCATCATTTATTAGAACAATATTATTTATTTATACTAAGTAAGGATATAAGATCACAGAAGCTTAGTGTTATAACGGAGACTTCACAGACATTCATAACTAATGTTTTCTAAGGCAAATAAGGGCATAAACCAGAACTCATGGTCAGTGCAGAGTAAGTATAAAAAGTTATGTATGAAAGACATTTATTTATAGAGATTTCTGAGGATTCTATGCCTTTTCAACTTAAAGATGAGTGTGTCTTAGAATTTGTTTTATGCATCATTGGACTGGGGATGATATTCAAATGTGCACTCAGCGTGTCCTCACATTAAAGGGCACATTGAACAGTATAGGAAAATACATCATAAACTAGAATGTTGTACAGATTCATATAACTTTCCCATGTGCTCTGCTGTAGAGCTGAATTTATATGCCCTTAAAAAGGGATAAGAATCAATTAAATATAAATACGGAAATATACTTATGTTAGGTCACTTAGCTTCAGAGCAAGATGTCATTAACCTTTATTTCACAGAGAAAAACTGGAAGAAAAGAATGGTGAACAAGAATAAAATGATAAACTTTTTGGCTTATAGAGATGTTTCTTGGGAATTTTTTCCACTTGTTTTTATACATGAAAAAAATATCAGTCACAATACAGACATTTCTGTAGTATTTGGTCTGTGGGTAAACTGGATCCCAGGCAGAATACTTTTTGACACAGGCCTTTTTATACATGCTTTATATATGATGAAGCTTTGGTGAGATGTGACTGCATGGTAGGATGCATTTTCCTAGGATAGGATATGGTGCTGCTTGTACTTGCCACCTTTTATATGAATGTATGTCGCTACATTGGCCTGTCTTGCCAAGACATGGTTGAATGAAGCCTGGTGTGAGCTGTCTATTTGAAAAGTCACTAGGATGCATGTTTCATTTGCCGTTACATAATGCCAATTTGAACCTGTTTCCTCTATATATTAACAATCCAATTGTTAAGATAAAATATACTTTGCTTGAATGAATGATTTTGGTAGTAATATGAGCGTTATCCTTAAATCAATGTTACAATTTTTGCTATTACTGAAATACCGTCACAGAGGCCACATTATTGGCTGTCTATACCATTGCCTGAGTAAAATTAGGTTTTTAGGTCTTTTTGGCATTTACTTCTTTTACAGCTGATGTGGAATCAATTATTCCTTTATATGTTCATAAGTACAAAATTTCACTATCTTAATTACTTCCAAACAAACAATTTCCAAGCAAGGGTATGTGTGCCTGGTTTTTCTGCTCCTCCAATTCTAAGATCGTTATTTGTTTGCCTTCTGTTTCTCACCCAAAAATACAGATGGTTGGGAAAGATACATCTTATTGAGTTGTCCTATGCAGTCTCTGTCTATATTTGCATTTCTTTCTATTCCTATCTTGCCTTTTTTTTTTTTTTTTACACAGATTTGGTTTTCCCTTCCCTTTGTGAAAACCAGAATTGAGCAGCATTGTACATCAGAGATGGTACCCAGGAAATGTCTTTGTTCCTCAGTATTTTTCGTCAAAACTTCCATGCAAAGACAGTCCCAGCAAAGTTGACATACATCCCAACCTCTCTCATTGGCTTTTCTAACTTTTTATAGAGCTATTCCCCTGAGAAAAGTGAAATGCTGAGTATGATGGGTATTGCCTGTTGATAGGATAGCTAAGGAAATTTGCTTTTGGAGAATGTATCTTAAATAATTATACAGGAAAGTAGTCACAGTATAGTGTTCTGTTTAAGGTACATCATGGGTACATAAATGCCTAAAACCTTCATCCTTTGGTCTATTTCTCTGTAAGTGTAAATTACATATATATTAGAAAGAGAGATAGAATCAAAGAATTAGGGGTGTTACAGAGGCAGCTTTTTGCTGCCTTGGTTTTGACTGTATCAGCATTTCTATTGCAGACCTCTATTTTCAGGGGTTTTAGAGACTCGACCATAAAAATTTGTTTCAGGCTTAAAAGTTTTGAAAGATTTTTTTAGGTATCTGATTTTAAACAAATAGATCTTGTTTTTATATTATAGGAGGGAAATAAATGGAGTTTACTAGTTCAATTTTGCGCTAATATAACTTTTAATAAACTTAACTTTTTAAACAAAAACATAAAATCTAATTAGTTCATAGTTGGTTGATGCTTTTTTAAAAGAATCAATTATTGACCTTGAGAAACTTGCCTGCTTCATCAGTATAGTAACCTATCTTTAAGATATTTTAAAACGTGTATACCTTTATTAACATTATCTTGATTCCAGCGGTGGATCAGTATGATAATGCAGATTTATGACATCCATATAAGCTATCTGGTAATATAGATTTAGGAATATATAGTATATATGATACATATATATATATATATTTACTAGATAGATTAAGGAGAAAAAGCTCCCATAAACTTAGTTTGTCAAATAAATACCATATATTTAAAAAATGCACAGACATTTATCATTCAGAGTCAGAATGAGATTCAAGTAATTGCAAAGGGAAGTTGTCTCTTGGGTAAACAATACACATTTTATAGCTTCTTGTGAAACTAATTTTTTCCTTTCTATATTGTGGTTATGGGAAAGTAAAAGAATTAAAATTAATACAGACTTTATTTAAATAACATTAAACTGTGAAGCAGAGAGAAACGCCAGGAAATTAAATATTTAGGCCATTATCTTGTGGTTGTCTGACAATACTTCACCTTTCTTTTAATTCCCCATGATGTTTTCAATTATGGAGAGAGTATTAAAATCTAGATTTAAGTTTCTGCATTGTTCTCATTACACTCAACACTATTTCATTAAGTTCTTGATAATATGTAGTCTTCTGTGTGCAAGGAAAGAAATAAATAACACATTTATTTGCTGAATGAGTTTTAAGGTGTGCAAGTTGTAGTGATGTTTTTCCCACACAGGATTCTATACACTTATACCATCTTAAATCTGGCATTTTTTTTTTCAGATAGCTTCTACTGACAAACACAAAGCTTGTTTGTGTGCAAATATAAGGCTAAATAAATGGTGCTAAAGTGTATTATGACTGTCAGATAAAATCAGGCAAAATTTTGTGGTGCTTAAATTAATTTTTTCATTGATTTTATTGATCAGTGCATTGAACAGTGTTTATTATTCACAAGTTGTCTTTTATTAGTAAATCAAGGCCTCATAGCACATTGTTAAATAAAGTGGTTGACTAGTCTATGTAACAGCTCACCAAGCTACTATCTCTTTTAACTCCTTATAATGTTGCGTCATTAAAGGTCAAGGGGTCATGCTATTAATCTCATTGCTATAGACCATTAACATGACTGAACTTTTCCACAAAGTACTTATGTTTACAATGCTATAACCCTTTGACTGCTGCGGCAACCTTTAACCACACAAATGTCACAAGCTAGAATCATCAGCATGGTTCTTGCCATGGCAATCAAAGAGTTAAGGGCTGTGCAGTGATTTGTTTTGTATTTATTAATTTATATTTATTTTGTTTCCATTCAAGGAGGGGATTAGGGGTGGGGCAGTTTTTGTCTGCTGTAAGTGTCTTAACCTAGGGAAGGGTTAAATGGCTTTTTATACTATTGCATCTTCTGTATTTACCATCAATTCATTGTGTTGTAATTAAAAGAAACTGTCAATAAATAAGAGAACAGAAAAATGGTTCATAGACATTGTGGTTTTACTCAATGAATGATTTACACACATTTATGACCAATATGTAAGATATGATTTATAAGCAGTAGCCTTTACTATCTGTGTCTTTCTAATCCATATGAAACAGAAAATGAAAACTAATTTAGGGAAAAATCCTCAGTGCATTTACCTGAACTAGCAAGTATATTAAACTGGCCACATCAACTGGAGAAACTGTTTAGTTACTATATGCTTATAACTGTGATCAAATAATGGAGAAGAAAACTTCATTGCATCAAATATATTTCAGGCAAATGCCTGTGAACATAGGATATTTAAGGTTTCTACAAAGACTTGACAAAAATAAAAGACGACATTTTGAAGAGATGAATATAATTTATTTTTAAAGTTACACATCATAGTTATCTAGGCAAATTTAATCACAGGAATTAATTTTTATGTTAAGTCTTTGGCAAAATCCCGTATAAGAAATCCCCCCCCCTTTTTTTCTCTCTTTTAATAATAGGATTGGCTGAGCATGGTGGCTCATGCCTGTAATATCAGCACTGTGGGAATCCAAGGCAGGCAGATCACCTGAGGTCATGAATTCAAGACCAGCCTGGCCAACATGGTGAAAGCCCAACTCTACAAAAAAATACAAAAATTAGCCGGGCATGATGGCAGGTGCCTGTAATCTCAGCTACTCAGTAGGCTGAGGTGGGAGAATCGCTTGAACCAGGAGGTGGAGGTTGCAGTGAGCTGAGATCATGCCATTGCACTCCAGCCTGGGCAACAGAGCAAGACTCAATCTCCATTTTAAAAATTAAAAAAAAAAATAGAAAAAAATAGGATTATAGTAAAGGATGGCCATGAACTGAAGAACCCACTCACAGAAAGAAAGAGGAAGGACTAATATTTTCATAACTAACATATAAATAAATTACCTTGTACATAGGTTAAACTGTGAAACCACTTTCTGAGAATATCAAATAGTTGCATGTAATCGAGTGCTAAACCAAGAACTTTCTGAAGATCAGATCTAACGTGTATCAAAGGTCATCTGAATTTTAGGAAGTCATATTGGGAATAAAGCAAATGGGTTGTTCTCTTATGCAAAAATCAAGGTACACCTGTCCACCAAGGAATTAATCTTACAAATTTTAGTCCACACATGAAAGGGGAGCTGTGAAGCAGAGCAACTAAGAGGATTACAGAGATTTATTTGCCTGAAGTTATAAAAAGTAGACTAGAGGGTTAGAGAACCTTTGTGTTAAGTTGAGCTCTGAATCTAGAATGAATCCTGGGGAATTTGGAGATCTATCAGGAGTTTAAAGGAAGACTGCAGATAAGAGTTGTTGGCTTTTAGAACATGTCAGAGAACCTACAAGGGTGAGCCAACCAACAATATAGTTTACTTTTATTTGTAGAAGGCTTTAAAAAAAAACTTGATTTTCATAAAACTATTGAGACTATTAAACCATAAATATCTGAATCCAAGAATCAATCTCCTTTGTTTTTATTGTCAGAGAGAGAAGCTGGAAACATCCAATTGACTCAGTAGATAATTTATTTTTCTTTTGTATATGGATTTATTTAATATTAAAATACAATGTTATATGCAATATATTACATGATTTTGCCACTATCAAGGACTAAATTAGAATAACAACTTGTGGAGAAAAAGAAGAATACAAATAAGGATATAGATAATCTAGTAATACACCTAGCTCACTATAGGAATAGGTATTACTTATTGAGGTGGATTATAATGTTTGCATATTTTAATTTTTTAAAAAAAGTATTTGAATGGGCATAGCTTCAACCCAATTTCATGCATTCAGCCACCCTCTCAAATTAGTTACCCCAGTGTGCCACTGGCTCTCCCCTCCTACTGCTCCTCTTCCTTCCCCTCCTCCCTCTCTTCCCTTCTTTTCCCCTTTTCTTTCCTTCTCTCTTTCTCAATTGCACTATTTCTTGAAAGAAAAATTTACAATCCTTTTGTCTTTTCCACATCCTCATTCTTTCCTTTTTATAATTTTGTTGCACTCCTCACCACTTCACTAGACCTATTTCATGAAAGGTAAATTATATAGTCATCACTAAATTGAGTCTTTATTTCCTATCTTACTGGACTTCCTCATAGTATTTAATACTAATAATTACTCTGCCATTAATATTTGTTCTAGGCAACTCCTTGGTGGTAGGACTATTCATTTTTTCCTATGCTGGTAGAGTACCTAGCTCATAGTCTTCAATAAAATGTTGACTTCTAGACATTAGAGTTTAGGATTTTCCCCTCACCGTGTTAACTTTTTAAACTAATTCTTGTGAGTTTACATGACCCCACCACCACCACCACGTTCTTAACTTCCTTTATTATTTCTACACTCTTTCCTGGACCCTCGTTCACAGCCATGGCTTTAGCTTTATGACTATGATGTGCTGTGAAACTCAGATTCACAATTTCCACCCACTTGCTAGACAAATTGATTTGAATTTTTTTTAGCTTCCCAGATTCAATCTACTAAATTTCAAACTCACCACTATCCCTTCCCTCCCCTCGAAATTCCTCCTGAATTATCTAATCTATTTAATGGCACTAGATTCTCTTGTTTACCTATCGATTAAAACTTCACAAGTTCTTGGCCTTCTCCTTCCTTTGACGCATATGCCCCATTCGACATTTGCCTTATCTATGAATTCTGCTTCTAGTTCTACATGGTATTATTTGCGTCTGATTTTTCCTTGGCATTCTTACCCTATTTAGGGTTCATTATTTCTTGCTTTCTCAGTGGTCTTGTCTTATTCAATCTCTATTTTTCATCCTGTCTACACATTTCTGGCCAATCTTCTCAAATTAGAGTTCAAATCTTATCATTCCTCTTAAAATCTTAAACACAAAGATTTTATATGCAGAACCTTCAAAATCTATTCTCTACTTGTCTTTCAAGATTTTTCTCCCAGGGTATATAATTATATATTTTTATGCCTAAAGCCATCCAAATATCTGCCATCTCTTACCCATGTTCTTGCACATGCTGTCCTCTCTACTTTGAATTCCACCTTCCCCATCTTCCCTGACCTCACTAAACAGATAAAAACACCCCCACCTTTGAAACCTCATGTCATCTGTTTGCATTGTGTTTTGCTAGGATTCTCCTAGTATAGTTAATATTGTCTCCCTTTTCCTTCAGAAGTGTTCCAGTTTTATAAGTTATATGACCACACTCTTAGCCAACATTTTAGACAAAGATTATAATTTTATGTGAAATTTTAAAAATAATTTCTTGTTAATGTGTAAGCTTCTGTTGATTATATTCTTCTTACTGTTTTTCTTTTTCTCCTGCTGCAGCATGTAATGTGGTGCCTTACACAAAGAAGGAGCTAAAGACATGTTTATTGTACTAAACTAAATTGTGTTCTTTACTATAACTGGCATTACAGAAACTTTATTTTGCTTTGTTATATTCTCTAACCCATTTTCAAAGATATATGAATTAAGATATTTAAAAGCATTTGTGTTACAAGATCAAATATTTTAAGCACTTGACCTTGATTTTTTTCTAAGGCCTTATTTTTTCCAAAGCTCTTTAAATATTGCTTATTGCTCATTAAATCATAAAGAAAGCCTCAAGTTTAGACTAACCTTTTTTATATTAATCTTTTACTTCTTCTTTATTTTCTTTTTTTTTTTTGAGATAAGAGTCTTGCTCTGTTGCCCAGGCTGGAGTGCAATGGCACAATCTGGGCTCACTGCAACCTCCACCTCCCAGGTTCAAGGAATTCTCCTGCCTCAGCCTCCCGAGTAGCTGGGATTACAGACGCCCACCACTACGCCTGGCTAATTTTTGTATTTTTAGTAGAGATGGTGTTTCGCCATGTTGGCCAAGCTGGTCTTGAACTCCTGACCTCAGGTGATCCACCTGCCTCCCAAAGTGCACCCCGCCTTAATCTTTTACTTCTAATAATCATCTTTTAAACCAAGAGGAAATTTTTTAACAATAGCCAAGTAAAGTGGGAAACCTGTATGTTGGCAGATAGATCAATTATGAGAATTTAAAATAATCATACTTTCTCAAATCATACTTTCTCAAATCTGTGCATAGACATCAAAGAAATATTTATTAGTTTACTTACCATTAGGCAGTAAACAAATTCCCTTATAAAAGAGACATTATGAAAAGACTTTGAAATAGGAGTCATTTTGCTTATTCAGAGGAGAATGCAGCCCAAATTCTTGCAGGTCCAGTGTTGGTTCTACAGGACAGCATTTCAAACATGGTGTTTAATCTGGAGGAAACTAAAGATTGGTGAGGTATTCAAAAGGGAAAGAGCCAAGTCAAGAATAAAAGAGAGGATAAAGATAAACAGTTCAAGATCAGGAAAAGAGGCCATTTGTTAAAGTTACTTGTCACCTTGAACAGCTGTTATTGGACCACTATACTTACAATAATTTTCACCTAAGAACTCATTCTAGAGTTTACCTGGTGTGTGACATGCATCTAAGAGCTATCATCACATTTTCAGGTCAAATGATAGATCAGCCACAGGTATATAATTTCCTTCTCCCCAAAGCTCTACTAAAACTATAGAAAATCTATTTTATTTCTTTATTTTCAAAGACCTAGGAAAAGGAGATACAAGTGAGGAGACCATGGCAACATTTGGAAAGCTGAAAACAAGTGGACACCTGGTAACTGGCTTAGCAGAACCAAGGAAACCAAATCATAGAAACTGGGAGGGGCAAGCAGAGAGCAAACCCAACTCCATCACATATGTGTTGAATGCTGGGGGAATGGACACACCAAGCAGCTGCGGACATGAGGTGAATGGAGTTGACTAAAATAAGAAGAATTTAGAACTATAAGGAACAGTTAAATACTCCAGATCCTGTCCATGCCTCCCTGCCATTGATAACTCACTCTCCTTTTTCCAGCCCAAAACTCAAAAGTTTGGTCCATAGAAAGGGTAAAAAAAATCTCTGAATTGGGACTTTCTATACCAAAACAGAGGATTGGATGAATCCCCTGTTCTATAGTTCAATGCTGAATTCCAAGACCAATGCAGAATTCTTCCGCTGTCTCACCACAGGAACATCAGCACTGAGATTTTGGTTTTGTTTGTTTGTCTGCTTTTCTCTGTGTCAGAAAGTGGAACACTCTTCTCTGGTGAATCTGACAACTCAAGAGGAAACCTAATAAAATTTGGTACCCAGGGTTTTCTCCATAATGGCCAGCAGAATTATCCCTTATTAAATTTCATACTGACAGATCCCATCAATACAGTCAATGTTTCCAATCAGCTTTTTGTTTACTCCTGTTGAACAGCGTCAGATAATCAAGGGTTTCTAGGTATTTGAGGAAAGGCTTAAGCAGAGAGATAGAGACCAAAACAAATGCACAAAAACCATGAAGGAAACAGGTTATGCCTGAGGAAAAAACATGTAAAACTATCTTTAATATTCCATAAAGGAAAAAAAAATTTGCTTGAAAATTAAAAACATAGTAAGAACAACGAAGGACTTAATATAAAGTTTGGAGAGGTGACGTTAAATCTCTTGGAGAATACAGCAAAAAAAGAAAGATATGAAAAAACTACTAGAGCAAAATATTTGAAAATTAGAGGACAGATTTAAAAGTCTAGGAGGTACAACATTCAAATAATTGAGTTCCAGAAAAAGAGAACAGTGAAAATGAAGGAGAGAAATAATTATCATACAATTTGGTAAAATTTTCTGGAATTTAGACACTTGAGTTTCCAGGTTGAAAGAACCTAGAGATGTCAAGTATAATGGATGAAAATGGACACACAATAAGTCACAGTGAAAATTCAGATCATGAACAAGAAACAAAACACTGTATTAAGCTTTCAGAGAGAGGGTAGAAAATTCACTTACAAAGCATAACAAATTGAAATAGGCTTAGATTTTTCCAAAATAACACTGACAATTTGAGTATTATACAGTGTTGTCTTCAAATTTTTGAATGAAAATTATTTTTAATCTATAAGTCTATACACAAGCAAATATTCACTAAATGTAGAGTAGAATAAAGCCAGGCAAGTTCTCAAAAGTTTTTTACTCTCATGTTGCAGTTCTCAACTAAAAGATGTGTTTCACTAAACAATGAGAAATTCAAAAAAGGGAAATAGAATTTAGCAAAACAAAATAAACCGAATTTAAAAAAAAAAAGAAGGAGAAGAAAAAAAAAGCAGTAAAGGAATTATCTGACCAGAGTCCAAGAGTATGGTGAAGGGTACCTCCAAGATTACAACTGTGCACCAGGCATAAAAGATAACCAATTGAGATTGGAGCAGTATGATGAATAGATAAGCATGTTGAGGACTTTTAGCCTCATGACTTTGTCATCATGGCATGATTTTTAACCTACGATGATACTTCAGGATGTGCTTCATCAAAACAAGAAAATAAAATAAGAACACATAAGATCTAAGGAATAGCCAGGCGTGGTGGCTCACACCTGTAATCCCAGCACTTTGGGAAGCCGAGGCTTGTGGATCACCTGAGGTCAGGATGTTCAAGACCATCCTGACCAACGTGGAGAAACCCCGTCTCTACTAAAAATACAAAATTAGCCAGGGTGGTGGTGCATGCCTGTAATCCCAGCTACTCAGGAGGCTGAGGCAGGAGAATCGCTTGAACCCAGGAGGCGGAGGTTGCAGTGAGCCGAGATCATGCCATTGCACTCCAGCCTGGGCTACAAGAGCAAAACTCCATCTCAAAAAAAAAAAAAAAAAAAAAAAGGAATAGATAATTCATTTCTTGAGAAAAAAAATCCTAAAATAAAAGCAAAGGTAAGTCCTACATAGCAGACCTAGAGAATAACTAGTCCAAATAGGAGAATCAATGACTCCAGTATGGAAATTATACATATATGTATGTGTGTGTGAGTATAATTCATATGCACACAGAGTGAAACAATACACAAAGTAAAACCAATAAATTACGTGATGTGATTGGCCTTGTGGGAAACTGTACCTGGAGGTATTTGGAGTTTATAGAGACTTAACCAATTAGGTACCAATAAATGAAGCAAATGTAAAAACAAGGCATTTGTTAATTTAATAAATATTTTTAAATTCTAATAAAGATTCAATTTAATGCTCAGTTCCAGTTATAGTCAGGATAATGTATAAGCTGTATTTTTATTTAACAAACAATTATAATAAAGCAATCAAGAAAATAAGGGAGGGGAAGCAGAGGAGATGACATAGAAGACAGCTTAATCTTCATCTAACATTACAGGAAATCCAGAGATGATGTCTAATGTTGATTTAATGATAAATACTTGTGTATTACTTAGGAATTCTGACATGCTAAATGCCAAGAAAAAAAATCAGCCGAAAACATCAGAAGAGATTTTTGCGGAGGAAGACTATGTGAGTAGGGGCTGCAATTGGGAATGATTATATTTTATGGCATTGTTTTAGCATTATGCAATGTTTTAAATGGTGTAACTGTATTAATCCAATAGTAGAGAGTTTAAATCACAAAAGCAACCTGTGGTGAACACATCCAAAATTTTTACGGACATAGGAATGCTCTGACCATGACTCCACTGCTTTGCATCTGCCACTGGGCATTAATCAGACTCATTTGATCATGGTTTTTCTTTTCACCCACTTCCCAGCGTAGTCTTTGTCTTTTCCTCCCCATTGTCTGTTCATGTTTTATATAGCCTTTGTGGACTCCCACTTGGCAGAGAAAAAGAAGATTCATGAAAATCTTTGCAACTGCTTGTCAGGACACTTAGCCTCAGTGTTAGGGAGATATTTGGTCAGATGTTTTTGGATGATAAGAGCTTAGGGATGATAAATTTTTCCATTTTATTGAGTGTGAGAAATACTCTTCAAAGGAAAGGTTCAGTGCGGTAAGCAATGGTGAGTAAAATTAACTTAGAACAAGATACCAACAAGCTCTAGGTCATCTCCCCAACAAGAAAGTGAGGATCCTGAAGAAACAGGTGAGATTTAAGATCAGATAGAGAAAATTTTATATGCTTTAAAGAAATACTTGTAACAGTAACATGTTACCTGTTACTGTGAATTCATAAATTATCTTTTCCAAAAAATGATTATTGGTTCGTTTGTCTTCTCATTCAATATTAATTGAATATTTGCTACATTTCAAATATTTGCTAGAACAGGAGATAAGCTATGCAAAGTCAAGTAGGGGAATCAAATTTGTTTAAATTATCATACCTCATTGTAATTAGTATATTTATATAGCATATGATGCATAGCACAATGTACTATAATGTACAATATGATAACATGTATTGTAATGGGTATAAGATCATGAGAGATTCTCAATGGCAGTTCTAGTTAGGATTATCATAGAATACTTGATAAAGAAGGTAATGCATGAAAAAAAGTAGTAGATTAAGAGCTTAAAAGTAGGAAAGTATCATTTCAAGCAAAAAGTATAGCTTATGGGAAAGCATACAGGTGTGACAGCATAGCACATTTGGGAATTGAATTATTCCAGAACTAGAGTGCAATGTACATAAAGGAGAATTGTGAACATTAAATTCAAATATATAGGCAAGAGTTAGATCGTAAAGGGATTTGATGCCTCTTTATTCAGCCAACCCACCTGGTGATTCTGTAAGCTACCATCAGCCCTTTTAATGAATTTGTTTTTAGTTAAAGTCAGTCAGAGTTGGTTTCATGGCATGTGACTAACTCCGAACTGAAGTGGTTGTTGTCAGTAGCAACTTGGGGGAATAGAGGACTAAAAATTGTGTATCTCTCCTCGTTAGACATTGAATAGTGAAAATTCACCTCCTTTAAAGGGGTATATCTTGGACAGCTAATGGCACTTGGGAGCAAAACAGATAGCTAAATTATTATGTTTCATTACCTGGGATCAGGTACAATAGAAGGCAAGGCTTTAGAACACCCAGGCTCTGCTGCTATATAAGTGTATGAAAGACTTGAAGGTCTCAAAGACTATGAGCTGAAGGCATTATTTCTTTTTCTTTTTTTCTTTCTTTTTTTTTTTTGTTTTTGAGATAGGGTCTCACTCTGTTGCCCAGGCTGCAATGCAGTGGCATGATTGCTGTTCACTGAAGCCTCAACCTCTTGGAATCAAGTGATCCTCCCACCTCAGCCTCCTGAATAGCTGGGACTACAGGTGTGCACCACCACACCTGGTTAATTTTTGTATTTTTTGTAGAGGTGGGGTTTTGCCATGTTGCTCAGGCTGGTCTCAAGCTCCTGAGCTCAAGCAAACCACCTGCCTTAGCCTCCCAAAGTGCTGGGATTACAGGAATAAGCCAGTGCACCTAGCCCTGAAGACTTTCCTTGTAAGAACACATGAAAGATTTAAAAAGGAAAATTATAAGCTAAATTTGTAGTTTATTGGTTCAGGCATTGTATTAGTCTGTTCTCACACTGCTAATAAGGACATACCCCAAACTGGGTAATTTATATAGGAAAGACATTTAATTGACTCACAGTTCAGCGTGGCTGAGGAGGCCTCAGGAAACCTACAATCATGGCAGAAGGGGAAGCAAACATGTCCTTCACATGGCAGCAGCAAGGAGAAGTCCCCAGCAAAAGGGGGAAAAGCCCCTTATAAAATCCTCAGGTCTTGTGAGAACTCACTCACTATCACAAAAACAACATGAGGGTAACCACCCCCATGATCCAATTTCCTCCCACCAGGTCCCTCCCACCACATGTGGGGATTAGGGGAACTACAATTCAAGATGAGATTTGGGCGGGGACACAGCCAAACCGTATCAGCCATTTACTGAAAACTAGGGACTTTCTATGAATTTCTTAACTTTTGCAGCCACTGTTCTGAGAAAGCTAGAAACAAAACCCTCATTTGATGCAGTATGCTGCCACATTCCGATGTCTATTAATTCATAGTCTCATTAGATCTCTTACATAAACCCTAAAGGTTAGTATTGGGAAAGAATAGAACCTACTAATTAAAATGAAGGGATATTGGAGAACTTTTAGGATTCACATGACTTCTCAATTCACAGCCCACTGTGAGTTTAAATATCTCATTTTCCTAACCTGATGAGGTGGTTCCTGCCTTGTTGAAAGACTCTATAGCAACTTCTACAATAGAGTTACCCTGCAAAGACAAGTTAATAAAATCTTTGCCTTGTTCTTAACACATTTTAATGTCTCCAGATATAAAGCTAGAGTCATATTCCAATAGACCCTGAGAAGAAAGTAATTATGATGTCAAGCATTGAGGAAACAGCTTATATACCAAAAAACTACAAAATTTATGCCACCCAGGTTCTGCTACATATGGGAAAGTATTCTGAAGGTGCTAGACCAAGAAGGCAGAAACGCGTACTTTTAATTGGCAAAATTTACCAGTGTGAGTTTAACTACTACATATTCTGCAACAAATGAGCTAGATCAAACAGCACAGAATACGGTAAACCTGGAATCATTATTCGTTCAAATAATTGAAGATGAGATGCCAAAAATTTCTTGATAAAGAAGAAATCCAAAGACTAAATGAGATGGCAATGTTAGAATTCTGTATCCACATGTAGCTCACTCACATACACCTAGTCATATTCCATCATTCCCTATGATGAGGAGAAGAGCAACATCCACTTTGAAAAAGTATTTTAAAAGTTGCTGTCTACTAAATAGGGGTGCTAATGAGAGAAACTACTTTAAAAACAGCTTACTATCTCAATGAGGACAATAGATCCCAAGAATGGAAAGGCCCAAGTAGCAGTAGCTGTCATTGGCCACCAGGAGCAAGAGCAGTTTGGTTATGTTAGTGGATTTTGGAGGTAGCTATTTCATCATTAAAGCCCCTGAGACAAAAATAGAAGATAGCCCATAAATTCCTATCTGAATTGTACAACTGATTTAAAAAAATTAGGCCTTATAATCTAATTGAACAGAGGCCTGACTCAAATCACCTGTTTGGAGAGCTAGAGCTCCTTCCCAGTTCTCAGACCGGAATCGGTCCATAGACTCAGCATCTGTTGAAATTTGAAGAAAAACAATGCACCTAGTTACCCTGGAGGAAGAAATTTTTAATGTTATCACAATTATCTGTGACCGTTTCACGATGTAATTATGTTCTAAAATACGGTAAATATGCAGACTTTCCAGGAATATTTTGACAATGACTTTGCTCTCTCATTCTTAGAATCCTAAATAGCAACTTTGGTCTTATGGAGAGAGGTTTTGATTCAAGATAGTCCCACTTGGATCCCAACATACACTATGATTATTTCCCTAGTGAATTTTGAATATTACATTTAGCATCTGTTAGAACCTCTATCTCGGAGACCTAAGTGAAGAGTGATTACAATAAGCAGGACCAAACAGAAGCTCCAAGTGCTCCCTCTCAATAACAAAATTAAAACTACACCTCTGGAGTAAACGCACAGAAATTGCCTAGCACCATCATCGAAGATTTGAAAACTTCAATAATTGTGATTGGTATCACACCAATATTTAACTTTCCTCTTTAGCCAGTGGAAAATGTGAATGGGATTTGGAAAATGATGGTAGATTATCGTAATGATAACAGATGGTAATTTAAACTGCCACAGCTATTCCAGATGTGGATCTCTTTACTGAAATAATTTGTACAGTCTCTATTACCCAATGTGTAGCTACTGATCTGGCAGATGACTTCTTAATGTATTCCAATAGGTACAGACTATCAAATTCAGTTATCTCACTTAGCAAGGATAGCAGTACACCTTTACCACATTGGCACCATGTTATGTCAAATATGTGTGACAATTTAGTTTGAAGGTAAATTAATCTTTCTTTTTTTTTTTTTGAGACAGAGTTTTGCTCTTGTCTCCCAGTCTGGAGTGCAGTGGCGTGATCTTGGCTCACTGCAACCTCTGCCTCTCAGGTTCAAGTGATTCTCCTGCCTCAGCCTCCCGAGTAGCTGGGATTACAGGCACCCACCACCACAACCACCTATTTTTTTATTATTATTTTTAGTAGAAACGGGGTTTCACCATGTTGGCCAGGCTGGTTTCAAACTCCTGACCTCAGGCGATCCACCTGACTCGGCCTCCCAAAGTGCTGGGATTACAGGTGTGAGCCACTCCGCCTGGCCAAATTAACCATTCTTACTCTTACATAGAATTCATACTTAAAAACTGCACTGACGACAGCATGCCGATAGAAGCTAGATACGGTGAGCTAAGAGATACTGATGCATGCGTACCAAAAAATGGGAAATTAATGTTGTGAGAAAGTATGCTATATTCGAGGAAATGTCTATGTGTCTAATTGTTTAGAGTGTGTTAGAATATTTCCTCTAAATTTACAAATAAGTTGCTGCACTTCGCAGACACCACCATCAAAAGAGATGCACATGTAATACTTTGTGATGTGGTTCTTCAATCCGTTTACTCAATAATCCAAAAGACTGCTAGATTTCCTGAAGACTCAAAGAAAGAGAGAGATGTTTGTCCACAGTATCAACAATTTTCTATCTTGCTGTCATAACTCAGTGTATCTACTTAAACTGCATTTGGCAGATTCAACCAGCAGAAATCTGTAATACACAAAGTCTTCACAGTTCTGAAAAAAAATGTACAAAAATGTACTTTTCAGCAAGTAACTATTCTCAATTGAAAAATGATGGTTAACTTGCTACTGTGTCCTATGAGGTACTGAACCACAAACCATAAAGATACTCACACTTTTGATTAATTGAATATCTGATCTACCATGCCATAAAGTCAAGCATGCCAGTAGGACTCCATCAAGTGGAAGTGGTATATACCACATGAGGTCCAAGCAGGCCCTGAATGTACAAGTTGCATGAAGAAGCGGTACACATTCCCAATTCATCTTTACCTGCTGCCAGGTCACACTTCCCTTCAGCTGCAACAGTAACTGAGGAAGAAATTTTCCAACCTGTTTTACGGATTACTTGAGAGACTCACCAGCTGAAGGGGACTGTTGCAGTGAAATAGTCCAACTAAGAGGTGGCTCTGAAAGAGAGTGAAGAAAAGAAATTCTTCAAATGATAAATCTTGACGTTGCCTGGAGAGAGATGGTCAGAAGTAAGTGTCTGCACTGATGCATAGATGGTGGATAATTGTTTGGCCAGATGATCTGGGAGTTGAAAGGGACATGTCTGGAATCAAAGTAACCAATTTGCCAGTGGACATTCTTCATTGTCTCAGTTTTTAGAAATGGTGTAGTCTCTTTTCACAGCAATGCTTTCTCATAACTGAAATCAATATCAACTTAACTTATGGCATTGCTCATGGTTTGAACTTTCTGACTATAAAATATCATGATACTTTAGATGTAAGAACATTTTTTTTTTTTTGAAAGATACAAGAGGTGTAACATTGTCAGCTGGCTTGTTAGTAGATATCCTAGTATTTGAACTTGCAGCAAAGCTACCAAAGTGTTCTAACTAATGATAGCACTTTTTACTGAGAGGGACGGTGTGGCATAGTGGATAGATCCGAATAGAATTCCAATGAATCACTAACTAAATTTTGGGACCAGGCAAGTCATCTCCCTGACCTTCTTGTTTCCCATGTATAAAAGTAATTATTTTACAAATCCTTTTCTTTTCCAGGATTCTACAGATGACTGCAGTGAGGGAATTGTTAAAATGACAAAGTTTTATTTTTTTTTTAAAGTGTGTGTAGTAATGAAGCTCTTAGTACAATGCCTAAAATAAGGTGTTAACATGGCCATTCCTTTTTGGACTGTTTTTGGGTCAAATAGTTTCATCTTTTGGATTATGTATTTTAGGTATTGATTTCATGGCACGCTTTCTTAGAAACAGTACTGCAATGTTTCTTAAAGATGGACTGTATGTGGCCATACGGATTCCTGAGTTCTACACTCAACCTGATGAATTGAATTTAACAAACATGTCAAATATTTTTTATGGTTGGCCCAGGTGTGGAAACACAAACACTTACGATAGCCTGCTAATTGTTTCCTGAGGATGTTCTTTGCTCAGCCAACAAAAATGTTAACTTTGCTGGGAGCAGAAGTCATGTGACATAGTCCTTTTATTTCCCATAATGCATAGCTAACATGTGGGTACGAATAGATAGTGAGTGTATATATAATTGTTAGAGTGCCTTTAAATTAAAATGAACAAGGATTGCAGAATGAAATGCTGACCCAGAGTATATTTTCTTTAAAATAAGACTTTTTATAGATTTGACAGCTGGAAATGTTCCAGTTTGAAGTCGTTTGTGGCTGTGAATTATTCAGTATACTGACAGTGATATTTGATTTGAAACTCATTCATTCCTTCACTAGTCACGAGGCGAAACACCTCCTAAAGAGCATATTTAATTGCCCAGATGTTTGTGTGAAATTACTGCCATTAATCACAGTATTGATTATGCTTCTCCTGTTTTCCGGCAGTCTTCTATTTTTAAACAGTCCCCTGAAGTGACATAAGGAGGCATCCTTGTTATCAGTGACTTTCTAGTTTGCAGTGTAATTGATAGATGAAAAATTCATTGTGCACCATTTAAAGCTGCTGCTTGTGTTGAAAAGGTAGTTATTTTTGTCACTTCCTGTTTGCTACAAGGCCTGTTCTGTGCTGCAGATCCAACAACTGGGCCACTTTTTCTCCAGTCAGCATCTCCCTGCATACAGAACTGGCCTTAGGCAAAATTATCTACTAAGCTATGCTTTCAGGCTGTCTCCCATCTCGCTGACCAACACACCTCCTCACCCTGCCCCTACTTCCTGCCTTTCGTCCTGTAAGCTCCTGAACTGTGTTCAGTTTCCAAGACCTCGGCTATCGACTAACTTAGCTTACAATGCACAAGACTTTTGTCTCTTAGAAGTGTCTGCATTTTGATAAGAACTTTGAAAATCAATACTCATTCCATCTCAAAACTAAAACACATTAATGGAATAAAAAAAATTTTAAATCACTTTTTAAAAACTCTAGTACTTATTAAGAGCTTTCTATTCTTTAGGCCAAATAAATTATTTTTATTTTTGTGTAGGAGAGATTATCATTGTTAAGTGTGATATCTGGGCATAAGTTTTTTATCCTGTAAAATGGAAATTATTGAACTACATTATTCAAAGTCACTTTCAGCCACAAAATTACAAAGTCTTAAGCAGGTGGATAGCTTCCTTATAGGTCACATGGAACACGGTTATGCAGTCTATAAGAGAGCACTGACCAGCTTGTCTGTAACCTGGGCAGCAGAATCTTGATGGCATTTCACATTTGAATCTTTATAAAGGACTTCATAATGACAATAAAAAAAAATTAGTTGAGAGTGAGCAAAGCCCTTTCTGCAAGAAAGCATGTAGTGTTAATGAAAAGTTAACATAAGCAATTATTCAAATACACAAACCAAACACACACTTAAAACCAAAACGAAAAGACACCAGACTAGAAATAATTTTTAGTTTATCCTCATATTAACTTAAAAATCTCTTCTGTCTAAGGAGTTGGTGAAACTCAAAGTAAGATTTTGTTAGTTGTGCCCCACCCCCAACATTTGTAGGACATAGGCCAAAAGTACAAAAAAAGGCCAATATACCAAATCTCTAAATATTAAAAATAATGGCAAAAACTGCATTTATTTTTGCACCAACCTAATATTAAACATTATCAATCAAGCCCAGATAACATGTCTTGTCTTCTTCTACCTTGAAAAATTTACCTTCCTAACAACTTGGAAATTAGGATTGAATTTATAATTCTCAGACTTCTGTCCCTGACTTCTCAGATTTCCACCCCAGAGTGGAGTAGCATGAGGAGAACCAACACATGAAACCAGGCCTGTGACTGCCCCGTGTCTCTTTCTACCCCAGATCAATCCTGCACCTCAACGAGTCAAATTTCCAAGCTCCCTCTGCCAGACACCCACAGACATCTCTTGGCTACCCCTTTAGGCATCCCGATGACCCAGCAATTCACTCACAAAAGTATAGACCTATGCAAGCTCTGGACGCAGGCGCAGAGTTACTTGAGCAGAGAATTCTGGAGCCCCAGCTACTCTGGGCATGCGTGTGTGTCATCTTCAGGTGGGCATGTAGGCTCAGTCCTCGGAAACTCACACCTTATGAAGAGAAGTACGGCCAGAGGAATTCAAAAGGCAGGGGCTGAGGGCAGAGGTCCTATTGTCCAGGTCTAGGAGTAGAACTGGATATGGCTAAAGAAGTGTTCTGTTCTATAACTATTTGAATACTTGTACACTTTCGTTATTATGTTTCTATGTTGTCCACTAGCCCATTTTTTGGTTCTTCTCCTTCTGTAAAAGTTTATAGTGCCATCATAAATACTCTGCATATTTATAACTATTTCTTTTTCTACCTTCTATGTTATAGTTCTAGGGAATGCCTGATGCACAGAACCCTAATCTTTGCAAAATACGTACCACAAATAAGATATCAGAATAATTGTTATCTCTTTTGCTCAGTGTAGTAGTGGGAAGAGTTTATATAGAGTGCTCTAGCTTTAGAACGGGAAGAGAACGATGTGCTGTCTGTTAACTAAATTTCTCTACGCAGAAATCATTGGCCTTTACATTTTGTGTCTCACAATCAGATGGTCTTCCTCCCTTCTTTCTCTCTGGGGTTTTTCAAATTTAACAATTTCAAGGACATTTATGTGAATTACAGTTGACCACTGAACAACATGGGGGTTAGGGGCACTGACCACATGTGCAGTTGAAGATCTACATCTAACTTTTCACTCCCCAGAACTTAACCACTATGAGCTTACGATTGACTGGTAGCCTTACCAATTACATAAACAGTTTAACACAGTCAGAGAAAAGAAAATGTTGGGCCAGGCGCAGTGGCTCATACCTGTAATCCCAGCACTTTGGGAGGCCGAGGCAGAAGCATTACCTGAGGTCAGGAGTTCACGACCAGCCTGGCCAACATGGTGAAACCCCATCTCTACCAAAAATACAAAAAATTAGCCGAGCGTTGGTGGCAGGTGCCTGTAATCCCAGCTACTTGGGAGGCTGAGGCAGGAGAATCGCTTGAACCCAGAAGGCAGAGATTGCCCTGAACCGAGATCACACCATTGCACTCCAGCCTGGGCAACAAGAGCGAAACTCTGTCTCAAAGAAAAAAAAAAGAAAGAAAAGAAAAAAGAAAAGAAAAGGAGGCCAGACGCGGTGGCTCACGCCTGTAATCCCAGCACTTTGGGAGACTGAGGCGGGCGGATCACGAGGTCAGGAGATCAAGACCATGCCGGCTAATACGGTGAAACCCCGTCTCTACTTAAAATACAAAAAATTAGCCAGGCGCGGTGGCGGGCGCCTGAAGTCCCAGCTACTCAGGAGGCTGACGCAAGAGAATGGCGTGAACCTGGGAGGCGGAGCTTGCAGTGTGCCGAGATAGCACCACTGTAGTCCAGCCTGGGCGAAAAGAGCGAGACTCCGTCAAAAAAAAAAAAAAAAAAAGAAAAGGAAAGAAAAGAAAATGGTGTTAAGAAAATAACATTAAGTGGAACTGGATCACCCTAAAAGTCTTCATCTCTGTCACCCTCACTCGAAGCAGGTTGAAAAGGAAGGTTGAGGTTGGTCTTGCTGTATATTAGGATGGCAGAGGCAGAAGAAAATCCATGCAAAAGTGGACCTGCAGAGTTCTTACCTGTGTGTTTAAAGGTCAACTGTACATTTACAAGTTAAACAGTACTCTGAATCCCACTGTTAATGAAGTAATTTTTCAGGGCTCTATCTGCTCGATTATATCTGCTTAGTACAGAAATACATCTTTTTAATGAAAAATAATGAATGAATTGCATAGAGGACTAAAATATTTTCCGTATCTATATGAAGAAAAATGAAACTAATCTCTAACTTTTATCCGCAGTCAGAAATAGCTTATTTTAAAAATTAAATTTCTCAAAAATAGTTTTAAAATATTAATCAGAGTAAAAAAACGGATAAATTAGTATTAAAAATGGGTTGTTTATTTTTTAGGCTTTTAATTACAAATAAAACAGGAGGTATTTTGGCTTATATTGGCACAGTGCCATTATAAGTGGTATTATAATTATGTGTTGACACTTCAATCCTATGAACTTTGCTAAAAATAAAGATTGTCTATACTTTTCTAAACTGTCGATTTCTTCCTTTGGCAACCTTCTTTACTCAATTTCAGCTTGAACTTCTTGTACTCATAGTCTTTATCGCCCCAGATTTCTGGAAGGCTTGATAGTGTTGGACTCAAATATATACTTGTAACAGACTCCTAAGCAAATAAGGCTAATGGTTATAAAAGGCTTCTAAAATCTGGATGTAAATACTGAGTTGTGTTGATAATTTGCATGATTAGGGGAACACTGGGGAGGATTCCAGACATCTTAGAGCGCTTCTGAAGTCCTAAAAATAATTTGCATGTTTTGGAATGAAACTATGATGAATATTCTGTGCTCACTTTTGAGTCTCATGATGTTCTCAGGATTAAAAAAAAACAAAACAAAACACAGAAACGTGCAAATACTGCTTCATCCAGTTAGTCCAGTGAAAGTTGGTTGAAGCAGGTGTGAAAAAGAAATTCCAGTGTGTTGTAGATGGAATGAATATAGGAGAAATAATGTGATGTGTATTTATTTTAATTACATAGTTCACATTTTAGAGGAGAGCACATTTGGTCTACAGAAAGTCAGAAGAAGTCATCTAATTAATATATGGGTAAAGGATGCTCTGTAATATCACTTCAGAGTTGCTGGAAATAGGCTCAAGAGCAAATTCAATTCCTAACCTACTGACTATGACACTCATCAAGGTCAAGAAATGAATAAAAAATGATATTAAAAGCCTTTTTTTTAGACCTCGAAAATAACATGAACTGTAATTCTTTGTCAGATATGAGCATATAAAGTAAACTTTGTCTCAATTATCTCTTTATCTTCAGAAAGAATGAATCGTGATGTGGGGCATTAGAGTAGGGTAACTGATATTCAGGAAAGTGGAGTGAAGGGTGTATCTGTACAATGGATGGGGCTTGGGCAGTAAGTTTTATTCTAAGTGGTTTTGAATCTGGACTATTAGAGTCACAGAAATCTAAGATCAAGTTCAAGCTCTTTCACTGAATATGCTGGCAATTTTGGACAGAATAGACTGTGCCATGATGGCGTTACATTAGTTATCAGTATGAGTTAATGGTTTTTAACACTTATTTACAGATAGATGGATATGCAAATACATTTGGATATGGGTATATATACATGTATATATACATACATATTTTCTAGCTCTGTTGACTAACAGGACCTTTGATCAATGACCTACTAGTAGCAATGAGCAAAATTATACTACTCAAATTTTGGTATCTAAATACCATTATTTACTAAAACGAACCACAGTTCCTTGGGGAGAAGGCCGATTCCAGTACTGAAGCAGCGAAAGTACAAAAAGAACCTAGACTATCCTGCTGAACCAGAAAGTAAAGAAGTGCTCCAAGAAGGATGGGGTAATGTCAAAAAGGCAAAAGAGTTATCCTGAAGGAGCTCTGAGTGGTCAAATCTGAAACAATTTAAGTAGAAAAAAGAGAGATAATAATGGATTATAATACATCATCTGAAGGAAAAATTCATGGTTTCCTAGTGATGTAAATATATACATAAATATTTAAATGGAATAGAAGAGAACACACTTATAGTTGGGTGCTAGCCAGTAAATATAGAAGCATATATGAGTTAGAAAATCATCAGTGGGGCCAGGCACAGTGGCTCATGCCTGTAAGTAATCCCAGCACTTTGGGAGCCTGAAGTGGGAAGATCACAAGGTCAGGAGTTCGAGAACAGCTTGGCCAATATGGTGAAACCCCATCTCTACTAAAAATACAAAACTTAGCCAGGCGTGGTGGCGGGCACCTGTAGTCTCAGCTACTCGGGAGGCTGAGGCAGGAGAATCGCTTGAACCTGGGAGGTGGAGGTTGAAATGAGGCGAGATCACACCACAGCATTCCAGCCTGGTCAACAGAACAAGACTCTGTTTCAAAAAAAAGAAAGGAAAAAAAAAAAAGGAATCATCAATGGATTAAAAAAACAGAGGATTAAAGTTTGATGAGGTACAGGATATTTATATGGCCTCAGGTTATCTTCTTTACAAATTGCATATTGATCACAAAGGGGAAATAGTAGTTACTGAGTGGAGAAACCTGATGAATACCACAATAACAAAGGGATAACATTAAATCTACCAATATTGGAAAAATAGTGCATGCCTTTTGATAGGCACCAACGATAAAATGTATCATGGTTTTCCTGTCAAACATAACCTGAACCTAATGATGAGGAAACACCAGACAGGAACTCTTCTACAAAATAATTGGTTTGTACCCTTTAATAATTTCAGGGTCAACAAAAACAAAGGCTAAGGAATTCTTTCCAATTAAAGGAGACTACACAGACATGACAACTAATTGAAATATCTGACTGTGAACTAAGAAAGTAATAGCTAGAAAGTGTTTTATTAAGACAGTTGACAAAATTTGAATATGAGCTATAAATTTCAAAAACATTTTACTTCAATGTTAAATTTCCTAATTTTGATAATTTGTCAAAGAAAATATGTAAGAGAATATACTTTTACTAAAGAAATACACAATGAAGTATTTAAGAGTAAAGGGTTGGCCAGGCATGGTAGCTCACACCTGTAATCCCAGCACTTTGGGAGGCCAAGGCAGGCAGATCACCTGAGGTCAGGAGTTCAAGACCAGCCTGGCCAACATGCTGAAACCCCGTCTCTACTAAAAATACAAAAAATTAGCCAGGCATGTTGGCAGGCGCAGGTAATCCCAGCTACTTGGGAGGATGAGGCAGGAGAATCACTTGAACATGGGAGGCAGAGGTTGCAGTGAGCTGAGATTGTGCCATTGCACCCCAGCCTGGGTGACAGTGTGACACTCCGTCTCAAAAAAAAAAAAAAAAACAGTAAAAGATCATGATGAGAGCATCAGGATGCAGCCAAATGCCTAGGCAGATAGGGGCAGGTCCCCAGTGAAACTCCATCTCCAAGCCAAAGACAGTTTAAAGCCTGAAAGCCAAGCTACAAGTTAAATCCTCGGACGAGATTGAGAACTTGTCTTCCTGTTTGGCCTGCTTTCCTCTGATTGATCCCCACCTTTCACCTATTTTACACATACCTACCCTTTTCTAATTGGTTTTCTACTGTTGTGCCCACCTTTGAGTGGTGTATTCACTTTAACCATTTTTGCATACTGACAAACCAATCAACACGCACTCCCCGTTCTGAGTCCAAAAAAGGCCCCAGACCCAGCCACATGGGGGACTTCAGGTAGGGTGACCACCCCCGTGTCCCCTCTCCACTATAACCTGTTTCATTACTCAATAAAATTATTCTCCTCACCCTTCAATGGTCAGCACATCCTCATTCTTCTTGGGCACAGGACAAGAACTCAGGAACCAGTGCACAAGCTAGACTTGGCAAGCTGATTGGGCAGGGCACATCCTGTGGCAGGTAACATCACCAGCCAGAGGTCCCCAACTGGTAAGGAGACAAAGAAAAATCCTGCATCAATGATGTTTCCACCTAACTGTCAAAGGGTTCAGAGAGAGAGAAAAAAGGAAATCAGAGAATTAATAAAGCAAATTGGACAAAATGTAAGCAACTTTTGAATCTTGATTAAGGCTGTATAGCAGTTCCTTATATTATTCTTGAAATGTTTCTGTAAATCTAGAATTATATTAAAATGTAAAGAGAATAAAAGAAGGAAGGATGGAGGAAAGTTGGCCGCAGCCTTGAAATTGAATGAATTCCTTTTGTCTTGGTGGTTTGTAATGTCTAGAGTGAAGGGATAAGGGATGAATGGGTGGGACTTTCACATCACAACCATCTGAATTTACCCATGTGAAGCTGGCTGTCATATTTAGTGGTTTTCTGCTGCTCTCCTATTCTTGACTTCTGGCCCTGAAAATATAATAAAATAATAAAATACAGATTACTTCTTGGGTCACCAAGCAAATGCTAAATTGTCCTGAGGTGACTGGCATATTCTTACTATTTTCTACTCTCTTTATTGATTGGAGTGTATTTCTTTGCTGTGAAATAATGTCTCTGTATGTTATCAAGAACAGCATAAAGACAGACTCCAGAGCTAAAATGGCTATAAAATATCTCTACCCACTGCTAATTTAGCAACTGCCAATTTTCAGACTTGCTGTATGACGTGTTAGTTGAAACAATAACTATTAATTTAAGAAGGAAAATTTCCTTTCACTGTTGAGAAAATTAAGTGGTGATCTTTCAAACATTATAAGATGGAAAGGATGTAATGGAACAAAACTCCCAATGGCCTTTGAAAGTCTAAATTGGAAAATGCATTCTCAATGTAATTTTAATTAAAGCAATTGAATTTAAGCAGTTGAGATAAACAAGAAATTGGAAGCCTTAAACCTTAATTTATCACTTTGATGGGGTAGATTATGGAAATTGTATTTTAAATATAGGTCTCTGTTGGTTTGAGCTACAAGAACTCCATCAGATAGTATGCTGCAAGGCACACTCCTGGTCTTTCATTTAATTGTCTTCTTGCCTAGTTGATTAAATAAAGATTAGCATTTATTATCTTCACAGCATTTTACAAGCTTCACCAAATGAAGCTAAACAGCCTTTCTATGAGGTGGGCAAGCCCATTGCTTTACTCTTGTTTATAGATACATAAATCAGAGAAGACTCAAGGTCTCAAGTATTACAGTAAAAAGGAAAAGTAGAAAGTCACACATCTTAACCTTACCTAGGTTTTTGAATCATGTCTAGTATGTTCAATCTATTGTTCACAAAAACTTTAGATCATTTCACAGTCGTTGGCTTATATGATACTTTTGACGAAATTAAACCTTGTTAAATTTCTCTCTTTTCAACAGCTCACAGAAGGAAGGGATT
The DNA here is from genome assembly GCF_000001405.40 of Homo sapiens. Taxonomy (NCBI): domain Eukaryota; kingdom Metazoa; phylum Chordata; class Mammalia; order Primates; family Hominidae; genus Homo; species Homo sapiens. Next base: position 88,009,167 of record NC_000008.11, on the reverse strand, counting down.
CTTTTGTTTCTTATTCTTAGTTTCCTATTGCTACCATAACAAGTTACCACAAAGAGTGACTTAAAAAACACAAATTTATTATCTTACAGTTCTGGAAGTCAGAATCCTAAAACCAAGGTATCAGGAATGTCTCCTTCTGAAGGCTTTAAGGCAGAACCTGTTTGCTGTGGTTTGAATGTGTCCCCTCCAAAATTCAGGTGTTGCTTATGTGACAGTACAGCTGACCCTTGAACAACATGGATTTGAACTGTGCAGATGTACTTATACACAGATTTTCTTCTGCTACTGCCACCCCTGAAACAGCCAGACCAACCCCTCCTCTACTTCCACCTCTTCATCAGATTACTCAACATGAAGACAAGGAGGATGAAGACCTTCATGATAATCCACTTCCACTGAATGAATAGTAAATACATTTTTCCCTTCCTAATGATTGATTTTCCTAATAACGTATTCTTTTCTCTAGCCTTCCTTATTATAAGAATATAGTATACAATTCATATAACATACAAAATATATGTTAATCTGTTTATGTTATCCAGTCAATAGTAGGCTATTTGTAGTAAAGTTTTAGGGGAGTCAAAAGTTATACCTAGATTTTTGACCGTGCAGGGGGTTAGTGCCTCTAAGTTTTGTGGTGTTCAAAGGTCAATTGTATTAAGATGAGGGGCTTTTAGGAGGCGATTAGGCCATCAGGGCTCCTCCCTTGTTAATTGGATTAAGGTCTTTTTAAAAGGGGGTTACACAGAGTTCAGCTAGTTTTGCTGTCTTCTGCTCTTCTACCTTGTGAGGACACAAGGTTAGTCCTCGCTTGTCCTTTTCCTTTCTGCTGTATAAGGATACAGCAAGAAGATCCTCACCCAATGCCAGTGCCTGATCTTGGTCTTCTCAGTCTCTAGAACTGTGAACACATACATTTCTATTCTCCCTATATTACCCAGTCTCAAGTATCCTGTTATAGCAGCACAAATGCACTGAGATACTGTTTCCTTGCTTTTGCCAGCTTCTAAAGGCAACCTTCATTCTTTGGCTCAGGGCGCCTTCCTGTCTTTAAAGCCAGCAGCCTAACATGGTCACATCTCTTTTACTGACTCTAGCCTTACTGACTGCCTGTTATAAGAACCCTACTGAGTATTATCTGGTACACTGGGATAATTCAGAATAATCTCCTCTATCTCAAGATCATTACCTTGATCAACTCTGAAAATTCTCTTTTGCTGTAAAAGGTAAACTAACCACAAGTCTACGGATTAGAGTGTAGATGTCTTTGGGTAGACATTATTCAGCCCACCACACTTCTCAAAACTTATGTAGGGAGGAAGAAAACTGATATGCACTATTTCTTCCCATTTTCAGTCTTCAGATGATGTGATGACTGAGACTAATGGTAGATGCTAAGGACACACCTCAGTCAGAATGGGGAAGTAGGAAGGGAATATGATGCAGTCCATCAGAGCAGGGATTTTGTCATGGAAAGATGTGGGTTCTAATCTGATACTTACTAGTGAGCAAGCCTGAGAGAGAGGTCAAGTCTCTAGTTGATGAATGAGCAAGCAAGTTAAAACAACAAAAAGGCACCATACTCACATCAATTCTTCAGATCTTCCCGACTTGATTTTTCAAGACTTTATTCCATACCACTTCCTGAAATTCCTTTTCCACAGGCCTAAGAAACTTCCTGTTGACATTCTACATAAAACCTAATGAAAAGTCACCATACTGGAGAGTGTACCCAGAGGAAAAAGCCATACTTCTTTTCTCTCTCCTTCCTCCCCTCCCAACTGAGCCTTCTAGTACTAGTCCTGACTTGGCTGCTTACCAGTAGAGAGACATTAGATAAGCTACACAATTCCCTGAACCTCAATTTTCCTATTCCTAAGATGGACACAATAATCTTTACCTCATAGAGTTTTACGGGCTTTAAGAGAGTTATGCAGGAAGATAACCTGGCACATGTTTAATAGTGGTTTATTTAGTATGTGGGTTTTTTTTTAATTAACAAACAAAACTGAATCCAAAACCCCTGGTGTCCATTCCTCTCAAGAAACTTCCCAAATTCTGTTTTAAGCAAATACATTTAGGCTGTTCAGCTTGACAGCATGAGCAGCATATGACAACAGAACTGACATGTGTAAAGACATAAAGATCTTCTTCCTTAATAAATAACCATATTTTGAGATCCTATGCTAGGCACAGTTCTCAAGGTGCATAACAGTTTGGAGAAGTGAAGTCATTACAACATAACATGGAAAGTGTTGTGATAGAGGTATGAATAAATTAGTGATAGAAGCATAGAGCAGACACCTCCTCCATCTCTATCTTCTTTCTCTCTGTGCAATAAAGTGGTGAAAATGAATTGTGCTTCCCCACAAATGATGCCAATAGGCAAGTAAATATACTTGATAAAGGACTTGCATTGTTTGTTTTTAAGGCCCTGGGCAGATAAGAAGGTGCTGTTTTTCAGGCAAGACTAGAGAAACTACAGGTAAAATATCAGTCCACAACATCAGCACAAAACCCTTTTTTATGCAGCCAAATGAGATCTACATCCTGGCTGATTGCCTGTGAAAACAGCAGCATTTTGTTAAACTAATTACATTGTTTTCTTGTAAAGAATAGTCTGGGTGTTATCTGATTTCCTTTCTAAATGATAGTCCCTGTTCTTACCAAATTGCTTCATTCAGTAGTTTACTATGTAGTGGAAACTATAGGGATACTGGTCTCTTGTAGTTAAGCCCTTTGTTCTTAATTTCCTCTGCAACCTCCACCCAGTTCCTTTCCACCATATTCCACCAACCTAAACTCTAAATATCCCATCTGTCTAAACTCCAAGCAGTCTACATCTCTCACAAAATATCAGTCAAGAAAGTGAAGGTCAGAGGAAAAAAAAATGTACAGTGTGTGTATTGGATGCTTGCTTTCTTGTTCCAAGTGTTAATTCACTATAGAGAGACTGGACCCTACTCACTTCCATATTCTATCAGTGCAGACTAGAATGTGATTTATAGACTTGTATTACTTTAGTAAAATTACACTGAAATGGAACAACTCAGGTGTTCTCTAGAGTTGTTTATAATAGGATTTTATCTTTATTAGAAAGAAAATAGCTCCAGTTCCAGCTGCTCTTGCTTTGGAGGTTAAGCTACAAAAATTCACTTTTCATCTGTAGAATGTGAAAAGTTTAGTATGACAGCTGACCTCACATAGTTAAATGCTATTTCATGTTATTTAGTTTAAAATTTCTCTCTTAAGGCTAGGCACAGATAAGAATGGACACAGGTGCTGAATGGCATATTTTCAGTTCTGATGGAATGGACTTTGTCAACAAAGTTAGAAAGTGAAAGAAGAAATGAAGAACAACTAAGAAAACTTATTTGAATGAAATCTAAAGAATATAGCCTGGTGTTTTCATGAGCTTTGCCAAAAGTGTGAATGAAAATAATAATAATTGATTCTGTCAGCAAAACTATTTCTTTTTATACTATACAAAATAAAACAGGAATGAAAGGAAAATCATAACAAAATGAAAATGCAATATTTGTGCTTTTCCCAAGTTTCCTTCACTATGGCTATCTCTCAAAATGAAAAGGAAAGAAACACAGCCTTAGGTGCTAATCAACTTTCTTGACTTCTGGCGACATAACCTGAGAGGTTTTGTCTCAGGTTCATTGAATCGTAGCTAGCTGTCCATGGAGTCATCAACATATTTCTTGTGATAAAATGTACATCTAATTCTAGGACTCCTCATTTGTGAACTAGACCATGATTTCAATGCTTTATGCAAGCAGATGTATTAAAGTTGCTTATGTACCAGCAGTTCGGACCATTTCCCACAAAAGTCATACAATGACGTATTTTATCATTAAACAAGGGAAATGGTGTTCAGCAAGTGCACTGAGACTGCAAAGTGTGGAATTGGGAATTTGTTAGCTCAGCTGGACAAGGCTATTGGCTATCAAGAAGGCAGGATACAGGCAGCCATCACTCAAAGCCGGGCACACCTTCAGCTGGTTCGTAGGCTTATAATACATTTATACATTTTAAGCTGTAATGTTTTCATTATTTTTCCTGGCATGGTTAATTTCAAACCTCATCTATTTTCTCACCACTTCATACAGCACGCTGAAACTTGCCAAAATTTCTTTCTCTAATATAGACATCCTGGAATAGGGAGGTAACTAGACACTGCATCAAGTTTGGAAGCTCTCAGCTAACCTAAGAGAGCAGGCTTTCACTATTCCTCTACAGTAGTAATTGTCCATTTAGTATAAAGTGTGATGTGTACAAAGTGTACTTGTGTGTGTGTGTGTGTGTGTGTGTGTGTGTGTGTGTGATATAGGCCATCTCTTTTAGTCTGATACTGGGGCCATCAACACTGAAGTATATTAGATAATGGAAGAAATTATCCAGAAAGAGTCAAAATCATATTAGAAAATTAAATACTTAGGTAATCAACAAATAATAATTTATGATCATTTTAGCTTATGATGATAAATAGTCTCATAGTAAGTACTGTGTTCAAAGCTCTGTAAAAGGCTGTGGAAAACAGCAAATAACTGAAGCATCTGATTTTGAAATTTTTTTTTTTTTTTTTGAGATAGAGTTTCACTCCTGTTGCCCAGGCTAGAGAGCAATGGCGCGATCTTGACTCACTGCAACTTCTGCCTCCCAGGTTCAAGCACTTCTCCTGCCTCAGCCTCCTGAGTAGCTGAGATTACAGGCATGCACCCCCATGCTGGGCTAATTTTGTATTTTCTATTTTTAATGTTGGCAGTCTGGTCTTGAACTCCCGACCTCATGACATCTGCCTGCCTCAGCCTCCCTTCAATTGTATTTATTCTTTCTGTTGAACATGTCTATTACTTTGAAGATTTTACTACTATAAATATTAACATCATGACCACCATTGCACAGAACTTGTAGGCTTCTCTGATTATTTATATAAGATAAATTTATAGGTGCTAAATTTCTGGGAAACATACGCATAAAACCAAATTTGCTTTTCAGAAAGCTCATTCAATTCCTGCACTAGCCTGTGAGTGCCAGTGCATGACACTCTTTTAAATTAACATTGTTATTTAATGTATATACCAGCTAATTTTATGAATGAAAATATCATTATTTTTATAATTTATCATTGTGAGATTGACCTTTCATTGAAAAACATCTCTAAATCCAGAAACTCCTCTATCCAGATGATTGTTGGGAATTCTAGCTTGCCTGTTGTCCAGAAAGCAGGTTGGTTAGAGGGGCTGTTTTCAAATCCTGATCTGTAGGAAAATTGAAGGCAGAACTCATTTTGGGTTTATTTCTGTTCATTTATTTATTTATTTATCACAAAATATTTATTTATTTAGTGCTTACCATGTAACAAGCAGTATTCTAAGCTTTAGTGATTAGCATTGGACAAAGCAATTCCCTGCTCTCATGCAGCTTTCTTCCTGCAGGGAGAAAAATCAATAATAATTTTTTAAAATAGCAAAAACACCAACTTGTAGATATATACTGTTATAAAAAATTTAAGATGCACCAGCATATAGATTCCATGAAAACAGAGTTTTTGACTGTTTTTGTTGAATGCGTTGGCCCTAATACATACAATGATGCCTGAAATCCTGAAACATGGTAGGTCTGTAGTGAGTGTTTGGTGAATGACATTAGAAGTAAATAAAAAGTGGGTTAAGGAGATCGAGAATGTTTGCTGGGGACAGGAGTGCCACTTACTGTAGGGTGGTTAGAGAGGTTCTTTGCCAACTAACCTAAGTGAGCAGATACCTTGGCCTCTAAGAGAACTGATAAAGAGTCATGGGGTGCTGTGGAGCCAAAGAGAAAGAGAATAGTAGGCAGTGCATTGTTGGCAGCAGGGGAAGGGGTGGGAGATGGGACTATGTAAGGTCTCTGGCATTTGGTCTGAGTGAGATGAAATTCCACTGAAGAGTTTTGAACAAAGGATCTAACTTGTGTATTGAGAGGATCTCTCTTAATCTTTCAGATTCTAGAGGCAGAGGACCAAAGCAAAGGAATCACTTAAAGGAGACTGTTGCAATAAACCATGCAGAGGTGATGAAGGCTTGGGACAGAGTGTTAGCAGTGGAGATAGCAAAAGTGGTCAAATTCGGGATATAGTTTAAGGATAGAGCTAACAAAATTTGCTGCTTTGTAGAATCTGGTCTAAGAAAGACTGAAGTCAAGTGTGATTTCAAGGATTCTGCCTGAACAACTGGAAAAATGTAGTTGACTTTCATTGGAAAAAAATATGATAAGAAAAAAAAATAAACACAGATTTAGGATACGTTTTTGGATATGCTTAACTTTGTTTTAATAACTTTGTTAAGAAATAAGTAGTATTTAGTGTTATTGAAAATGTTTTAGACAAGCCGCCTAAAGTTCTCCACTTTAGGTGGATAATGTGTAAAAAAACAAAATGAATTTATTTTGAATTATGCAGTGTCATACATAACATATATAAAAACCTATTTCACCAAAATTAAGAGCAGGAAGGAACACTGCCTTTAGAGTGCTCAAAGTTAGTATCGTATAATGGGTAGAGGGACAGTCTTTACTATGCAATAGAAAATGGAGCAGCTTTAGGCAGCTTAAAGGCCCTAGGGTTAAAAGTTTGGCAGATGTCTTAGTCTGTCCAGGCCACTATAACAAAAATACCAAAAACCAAATGGCTTGTAAACAACAGAAATGCATTTTTCACAGTTCTGGAGGCTGAGAAGCCTTAAATCAAGGCAGATGCATTGTCTGGTGAGGAGGACCTACTTTCTGGCTCACAAATAGTGCCTTCTCACTGTGTCTGCATGTGGTGGAACAAGGGATCTCTCTGGGGGTCTCTCTTATGAGGGCACTAATTGCATTCATGAGGGACACGAACATTCTGATCACAGCAACAAGTTTTGCTTGCTACACATGTCAGTACCTTAAAGGATACTCAATTGTTCACCGTCAGCATCTAACAAGAGGGCTCTTTGTGAGCTCACATAAAATAATGTCTTGAGTTATTACTGCTAATCTAACTTTGTTTTTGATCTACAGACAGGTAAGTGCTTGGAGATACCAGTTATACAGTTTTTCACTGCTGAAACTTATATATGAATAACTTCAATTCTTATTCTAAATTAGTGCAGTCAATAGAAATTGAATATATGAGTATCTTTAGACTGTGCAATAATTTCACTTTGCATTTCATGGATAAATTTAATCCTTAAGAAATAATTTATAACTATTCTGCAAAATATTCAAAACAACCTTCAATGCTTTCTTGTAATGATGAAGATGTGGGGATAATTACCCAGAGAGAAAGTCCTATGTCTCAACAACCTTAGGCATCTATGTTATGATATTAGAGATCTTTCTCTATGTTTCTTGTACCACCACCAACTCTTTTAAGTAAAAGAAGCAGAATGAACAGACACAGTGAAGGGTATCGGAAATCACTGTAGGGTAATATTTTGTGGAAACATGGAAGAAAAATATAATGCAGTAGGAAAGATATGTAGCTTCCTCCAATGCTAAGGGTACTGGTCAAACTCAATAAACATAAGGTATTAATGAGAATATTGGTTACAAACTCCCCTCCCCCCAGCAACACACACACTTTTCAGGATTTTCTTGTAGTAAATTACTAACTGAATCATTGAAGCATTCTCAAAAAAAAATAGTAAATTTGATTTTGAAAAAATGTACCCAAAATTAATTCTGAAGCTCACAGAGTCATCCTATTTTGTGGCTCACAATAAAGGCTTTCCCTCTGATTTTTCTCTATTAATTCAGAATCCCTCAGGGACCTAAAGTCAGGAAGCCTTCTGCATGCATCATAAATTTTCTAGTGACACATTTAACCCAACTTCCTCTGTTGGAGCCTAGTGTATTAACAAACAACTCTGACTTCCTAGAACACACACCTTTATTGAGTTTCAAAATGACCGTTTTCAGGCCGACTGGAACACAAAACAAAGCTCTCCTTTTACTAAGGGCCCATTGAAGGCCACTTTGATTCTTCCATCAACATTGGGAACTGCCAGAAAAATTTCATTTTTTCCTGTGCCTGTTGGCAGTAGGAGAGAGGTTCTAATGAATCCATTGTCAGCAAACATAACTTTCTTGGATTGCAGAACACGACATGACAAATCCGTTGCACTTTCAGTCTATGGATGTGAATGTGTCAGTGTTCTTCCTCTCCTGAAACTTTGCCAATTAGGAAGCAGATTCTCCTATTCTGTATTTCAAAGCCTTATTCACACACTGACATTAGTGTTACAATTTCAGTAATGGACCTTAAAAAAGAATTACAGCTAAATAGTTCTAATTTCAATTATGAACGACATTGTATAGAATGAATGCTCAGACAGATGCTTCAGACTCCAACTAAATGCACTATGTCCTAATTGCTTTTCAATCTTTCGATTTAAGTCCAATGAACACTTCAGTCCTGTTGCTTCGCTCTCTCTGAGAAGGTAAACACCAGGCTTTAATGGGCTGTGCTAATAATAACTACTCAAAGCAGTTAAACAAAACTCCAATTCTTTTCAAGACTGGCAATGAAAAAAGGTTCTAAAAGGAAGGACTGTAAGTATATGAGATTAATGCTAAACTTGAAAAAAGTTTTAAGAACTTTTATAAACCTGCTAAAAGATAGGTCAGAAAATTTCTAGTGAAATTTGTGTTTTAATACAAGGAAAAAATATTACATATATAAAAATTCCAGTACCAGCCAATATTTGGTGAAAAATGAAATTTTAAGTAGACTACAAAGACTCGCCTTTTATTTCTTCCCATTCTTAGATCCTTATCAATGAATGGTCATAACAGGTTCAGAAAATTTCTTTAAAAATCTGTTTTATGTAAATGGTTGATATATTTTAATCTCACAGAACATAATTTAAAAAATACTTTTCCACACCTCTATCTAGCCTCCCATTTCTAAATATAAATCAAAAATGGGTTTGTCAGAAGCAGTTGGCAGCAGAAAGCGGGATGCAGCATGTGGCTAGCTGTGCAGCAATAACTCCTTGCTTTCTGGGAATTCTAAGGGAGAACTGAGGCATGAGGCCAGAGTAGAGATTAGGACAATAATTTCAAAGTTAGAGAAGACATTCGATAAATACTCAGTGATCCCTATCCTCTCTGAAATGTTTAATTTGACATGCAAATGAAATATATTCATGGCCATAAAACATTTAGGCACTCAATAAATGTTTGCTGAATACATTTATCAAGCGAAAATGAAAAATGCAGAATTCATTACTTTATAATTATACATTCATAAGTCAGTGTATGTTTACAGAGTGCTCCCCAGTCCTAGTCTTCATTGTAGAGCAAAATAACTAGAATTGGATTAGCATTAGCCATAATGATTCTCAGCTGAACAGCACTTTACAACTTTTCCACATATTATTTCATTTTGAGATGTTAAATGCCTTGTACAACACCACTCCACAGCCAGCCGAAAGCAGTGCCCATTCTGTGCATACCCCGGGTGTGATGAGTTCACCGTGTAATTTTGCCTCATCAGTGCCTGCATAATGATCAAGAGGAAGCCCCTAAAAGAGTAAGCTGAGTGCACCCATTTATGGGATCCTACCAAGCAGTATGATTGTGGAGTCCATTCATTTACTGTAACAAGATTCTAGGATGCTCTAATTTTCCAGCTTTTATCACTTCAAAATTTCTATTGAAAATTCCAAATTACGGCTCTCAGAAACACACAATAAAATGAAAAATTCATATCCAAAAAGCTTCTGTCCCCATTTGGTTCAAGAAACTCTACTTCCCTTGACCTTCAATTTGTCCAATTTATAGGAGCAGACTAAGCATTTCTTTTTTTTCTAAATATTTAAAATTATCTCATTTTCTTAAATAACATGAAATTGTTTTAAATTATTTTTGTGTGCCCTAAGAAATGTGATAAGGTAGAAGAAATCTGAACCAATATGTTCTCAGTGAATAAAACTCATTGCCATTATATAGTGATTGACATTAAGTAAACATAAAGCACAAGCGATATACTCTATGTGTAACAATAATAACAAAACAAAACTATCTTTAGGCTGGATATTGATAAATGGGAGTTTTAATTGCTGAGAATTTGAGTTCACTATTTCCAGTTACTTTCACATAAGTACTAATTTCATTATTACAAACAAGCTCTAAAGTTATACAATATAATACTCAGGAAAATTGAGACTCAAAGCTTCTTTAAAAAAAAGTACAGGATAGCGTAGCATATAATACAATAGCCTTTAGTGTCAAACTAACACGATCTTAGTATTAAAACTTGCCAAACCTCATTTCCCTGTCTACAAATTGGAGATAACAATAGTACCTACGTCATCAAGTCGTGAGAATTAAATAAGAGTATTTGTATAAGGTGGTTGGCACAGTGCTTGACACATGATAAGTATACAATGAATGTTAGCTATATTTTATGAATAATTTTAATAATGTATCTAGGGATGCTGGCCAAGAGGTTTCGGAGCTGATTCAATGTTAGTTTTGTCTGAGTCCAAAAATCTGTGCTCCTAGCAATTACACTCTATTGCTTTGCACCGTCTGTAAAATGAAAGTGTTCAAAATGGATCACATGATCTTATTCTGAAATATTGTGATTCAGAGATATAAAGATTTCTGTTATTTCCTTATATTAATTAATCCATATAAAGGTGTATTACTGCTATCATGGCATAATGATCACAATTATGATAACAAACTCAGTCTTTGAATGATAATTAAGTATCATTTCTCACTAAGAATAAGTTTCCAAATGTTAAAAATTTGTTCTAAAATGAGGAACACTTACGTTTAGCTTGGGGTACTTTATTTATAATAATGTAAGTTTGAAATTGAAAAGAAATTTCAGGTTCTTTGAATTCTATAAACATAAAAAGAATGAAACATCATCTCGAATAACTGCACATAAAGGTCAAAATTAGGTTCCTCCCACAGTGGAGTTTCTTTAAAAAAAGTTATAACTTCGAACCGCCAGTCATAAGCAATTTGTAGGTTAACATTTTCTTTCTTTTTTTGTGTGTGTGAAAGAAATTGGAGATTCTAACAAAGGAATTTATTTACTTTGAGTTTTAAAGTCGTAAAATCATTGAAAAACCTCAATTAGACTGGCTTAAGTGAAACTACCCTGATTTTGAAGAATCCTTTTGCATCATCCATTTCAAGTGTGCAATTTTATGTGGAGGTACAGAACATCAAAGGGAAGACTAAGTAAAGGTTGTGACTATATGTGGCTGCGCCCTAAATAGATGCTTCACATAAAGAAGTTGGCTCAGCTCATAGCATGTTATTTAAGAATGACTAAATTTTATTTCTGGAAAAAGGAGATTTGAAAACATTGTTCGTGTTTTGGGAAAAATAAGATTTCTTCCACTTCACTAAGTTCTCATTAGTATATATCCATGACATACTTTACTTTCATATTAAATACACACATGAGATATTCACAGCCATGATGTGATCTTCAGAGAGTGCTTAGTAACACACCTACATACAAATAATTGTTTATTATGTTCAAATGTGTGTTTACATTTACATATATATGTGTGTATGCATATATGTATGTACACATATTTAGAATGTTTTGACATCAAACCTTGATAGACACATATCAATCATTTACTATAAAAAGAGCCCACACTCTAAAGCTAACTGAACATCTATCACATCTGAAAAATCTGCTACAAAAGAAGCACATGATTACCTTACATAAATTGGTCTTGACAAAAAAATGTCTTACAAAATGGCTGTCATTTCATTCATAGATAACATTCTCAGGAAGTGAAGTCCTCTCTTTAAGTCTCGTCTCCTTTGCAAATTTTTAGTCTTTATATCAGTTGTGCTTTTCCCCGAGAGTTATTGTTTATTGGTCTTTGTTGTCCTTTAGAAAATGAAGGGAAAGCAAATATTTTCTTTGATGATTGATTTACAGAGATGAGGAAGAATATATAAAGCTGCTCTGAGTCTCATTTGTAGTATAATGCCTATCTGTGAGAAGAAACCAGCATTGTGTGCTCTATCCAAGTAAAACTGAGAAGGAAGCTTTTAGTCAAAGAAATAGGAAAGATAAAGAGTTTAAGAGATATCAAGTTCATCTTTCTTTGTCAAAATAAGACAGAAATCAGCAGAAATTGGCTGGGCACAGTGGCTCATGTCTGTAATTCCAGCACTTTGGGAGGCCGAGGCAGGTGGATCACCTGAGGTCAGGAGTTTGAGATCAGCCTGGCCAACATGGTGAAACCCCATTTCTACTAAAAATACAAAAATTAACTGGGCATGGTGGTGTGTGCCTGTAATCCCAGCAACTCAGAAAGCTGAGGCAGGAGACATGCTTGAACCTGGGAGGCAGAGGTTGCAGTGAGCCGAGATTGCGCCTCCAGCCTGGGTGACAAGAGCGAAACTCCGTTCCCCCTGCCAAAAAAAATTAGACATAAATCAAAATATTTCCAATTATAATAAAATGAAGTTCTATTCTTTGCCACCTCCACCTCATGGCCACTCCATATGTCAATTATCCTGGGATAAAGAAGGACCAGAAATCCTTCAACTAGAGCCTGACCCAGTGGGAACATTTCATCTACATCCCAGTCATCCAAGACATGGGGATCACCTGCTCCTACTCTGGACCATGCTAAGTAAATGCTCTTCTTGGAAGATCAGACTTTGCATTCTCTGTTGGGCATCTGACCATCAGGGAGAAGTATGTGAATGAAGGTCAGTGTGGTCCAGCAGCAGGCACATACTGACCATCACCCAGAGAAAGATGGCTTTCTGAACTGCTAGTGGAAAGAATAGAAAGGAGTTGATTTTGTGCTTCTACCTAGTCTGCTATGGCTCCTGACTACACTCCTCCTATTCATAATGTGAGCTAAACAGAACTTCAGGTAGCTCTATACACTGTATTTCTTGTTCACTATAAAATCATGTGCTATTGATTATATGAATTTTTTCTATCTTTTGATCTCTAAAACTGTAATGGTATTAAGATATATCAGTTAATCTGATGTTAAAGTCACAAAATATCTTCATAGCACATCAAGTTTAACAATATTGACAATGAAACAATGTAAATATAGGACAAGACCACCATTATAGGATACCTACAGGTCCCTAGTATGGTGCCCATACACTGGTCTAAAGGGGCATCAGAGGAAACAAGACATTGAGCATTATTATCTGGAAAAACATTGTTATTCTACTCTAAATGTCACGTAGAATCTCAACTTTCTACAAGGTTTTCTTATATACTAGAATGTCCGCTCTGGCTGACAGAAAAATGAAGACAGTCAACACAACATTTAAATTATAAAGATATACTGCTCCTACCATGCATTCATTGTGATCTTAAGCTTACTTGTCTCAAAAACTTGTCCTGGTCACTCTGCTTTTTTTGGCTGGGTAATTCATTCCTCTCCCACGCTACTGTGACTTCTATCCTGGTATGAGCCAGTTAGCATCAACAAAGGCTTAATTAGATGATCTTCGTGTAAAGTCACAATCATACTTATGGACAGATTTTTCCACTTCTGAGAAAAGAATGATACTATACTATGATCCATGAGATTAAACAAGAATATGTGTTTATTTTCAGGGAACAGGTAAGCTATGAAAGAAAAAAATCCAGATTGATGATTAGTTAATTTAATTAAATTTATCTACATCCACTGGACTTTTTTTTAAATTTTTATTTTCCTGAAGTACTACATAATTGTCAATGGACTTTCGTTTTTTTTTTTTTTTTAATTGTTGTTGTTTGTTTGTTTTTTGAGATGGAGTCTCGCTCTGTCACCCAGGCTGGAGTGCAATCTCATGATCTTGGCTCACTGCAACCTCCGCCTCCTGGGTTCAAGTGATTCTCCTGCCTCAGCCTCCCAAGTAGCTGGGATTATAGACACGTGCCACCATGCTCAGTTAATTTTTGTATTTTTAGTAGTGACGGGGTTTCACCATGTTGGTCAGGCTGGTCTCGAACTCCTGATCTCCTGATCTGCCCACCTTGGCCTCCCAAACTGCTGGGATTACAGGCGTGAGCCACTGCCCCCGGCCTCATTGTTTTTTGTTTGCTTGTTTGTTTTTGCTTTGAGATGGAGTCTGGCTCTGTTGCCCAGGCTGGAGTGCAGTGGAGTGATCTCGGCTCACTGCAACCTCCGCCTCCTGGGTTCCAGTGATCCTCCTGCCTCAGCCTCCTGGGTAGCTGGGACTACAGGCGCCCACCACCATGCCCGGCTAATTTTGTATTTTTAGTAGAGACGGAGTTTCGTCATGTTGGCCAGGTTGGTCTTGAACTCCTGACCTCAGGTGATCCACCCGCCTCCACTTCCCAAAGTGCTGGGATTACAGGCGTGAGCCAACATGTCCGACCAGACTTTCATTGTTTTAGTCATACTCTTTTGTCCAGTATATTTTTAATTTAAAAAATATGCAAAATCCCATTAAGAGTGATCAGCTGGGCAAAGTTTGCCGGCCCAAATAAGGCTTCAAAATATGACCATAGTTTTACATGTATTGTGGTGGAATTAACTGATACAATCAGTTACAGACAGTAGTAATACCAACTAATTAGGGGATATTAAATAAGAAACCACAGATTGAAGCTTTTTTACTTGAGTTCTTGAACTGTCTAAATGATGAGAGGAGGTATGGCAGAGGTATTTGTGGGTCACTGTCATCAAACTCTACTTACTTCGATTTTTTTATGGAGGTGATTTTAAGCAGAATCATTGAAGATACAAGTAATTTTTATGATGTAGAAGGACAAATTCTTAAGTAAGCTGAGACAAGGTGAATAGATTAAAACACACACACACAAACACACACACACAAACAGGAAATTAGAGAAGGGGGCCATCATGAGACTTCTCAATACCTGTGCCTGAACCCTTAGTCAGGCAGTGAACCTTTGAGTATAAGGCTCAGTAGACAATTTTAAACAGGCCTTAGAAAGACATAATCTCCCCCAGAGAGTTTATCTCAACTAATAGGCTTTTTAATTTCAGAACATCTCAGAAAAAGTAAAGGTTGAAGACCTCTCTTCAGATATCAGATTAAATGGAGAGATTGCTATCCTAGAGTTGGAGAAAACCCTAAAAATGATTTCTAGAAGCTATTATAGAGGCTTTAGGCTCTGACTAGGTGCCCAGGACTGACTTTTGTGAAATATTAAAGAATGGGTTTTCTTGAGGTTTCAGAAAACTTGGTATGAGCTCAGGGAAAATTTTTCAATCCGTGTGGTTACTGAGATGTGTTAGAGGATCAATGATTACCAAAATAGTAGAGAAAAGTAAGAGGAAAAGATTAGGCTGCATGGAAGATACAATTCCATGAGCTACAGTGAAGGAATATGTACAAATTTGCCACATTTGAGTGCAACAACGAGGGCCAGCTGCAAAATTCTATGTTTTTAGACCTAATTCTGATGGAAAAGAAAGCTGAGGAAGAATTTAGGGAAGACTGTGTTTTAGATTCCCTTAGGAAAATTAACATCTTTTTATAACGAATTCAGGTGGATCCTTACTTTTGGGATATTTTAGTGAGCTTCTTGGAATTGTGTGCATCTGATTATAAGCAAAATATTTTAATAGTTTATTTATTTGAAGGAACAAGGGAAAAGCCTCACTTAAAATAGCTTTTAAAAAATAGTTTGATTTAGGTATTAGATATAAAAGTTTTTGAAATAATAGAGAATGTATTTATTTTAATATGTATGTTTTGTCCTCTAAGTCTGAGAGGTGGATCATGTTGGTAAGTGAGCAAGTGATGTAACTATAGAAATCTCTTGCAGTTTTTTTTGATTAGTGCATCCTCCAAGATAGAATATGGTATAAAAAAGATATTGCCTCCAATTCTCCTGTGTTTTGTATGTTACATATTCAAGACTACATGGAATAAATGCGCATTGTAAGAACATGCAAAATGGTACTAAATTTTGCACATGGTATGTGGAATATGGAAGGCTAGATATCAATAACTGCTTTTTAAACAATGCTTTTTAAAATTTTTGACAACACTTAAAATGAAAATGTTAAAAGAACAAAAAAACCCACCTCTTTAGCATTGTAATATTGCTTTTGCTTTTATTGTTTCAAGGTAATCTTTAGTTACCTTCCTTACCCACGTACATATTTTATTTTATTTTATTATGTATTATTATTATTATTATTATCTGAGTCGGAGTCTTGCTCTGTCTCCCAGGCTGGAGTGTGGTGGAGCGATCTTGGCTCACTGCAACCTCCACCTCCTGGGTTCAAGTGATTCTACTGCCTCAGCTTCCCTAGTAGCTGAGATTACAGGTAGCCACCACAATGCCCAGCTAATTTTTGTATTTTTAATAAAGGTGGGGTTTTGCCATGATGGCTAGGCTGGTCTCAAACTCCTGGCCTCAGGTGATCCACCCACCTCGGCCTCCCAAAGTGCTGGGATTACAGGCGTGAGCCACCACACCCGGCCCCAGATACATATTTTAAACAGTACCTTATATTTTTAAAGTCTTTACATCTTCAGTAAGTCAGTGTAGATGTACTTTCCTGATCAATTTTTTGTTGCTAAATCGTTTGTCTCTTTTCCCACCCTTGACATTACAAAAGAAGAAGAGGAGAAGGAGTAGGAAGAGGAGGAGGAGGGGGGAGAGGGAGGAGGCAGAAGAGGGAAAAAACTTATAGTTTATGTCTTCTTAAACTTTTTTCTTTTTTTGAATAAATCTTCCTTTGAATTAATGACTTGGAATTAAGTTACTGGTCAACAATTTTAGATTTGTTGTTTCTTGTCATGTCTGCCCAGGGAGATATTATACACTTAGTGTCCGGTATATTTTACTCATATACAGATATTTTAGACTATTTTAGATCAAAGTATGCTTGATGTTTAAATGGAAATATTAACAGCAAGTCTCAGTAGCTGTCATTTCTGAACATAAGCTGAAATTAACCTCCATTGATTAAGTCAGTATATTTAGAAGAGTGACCACATCAGATAAATTAGAGCAGTTTCCCCCACCCTCCAAACCAGGTGATCTAGTCAAGAGTAGGCTTTGGAATTAGACAAACTAGGGTCACATCCAGATGTGTGCACCTATGTGGTTTTCCTCTTCCTCATTAAGAATAAAAGGATAACAGTATGTATGTCCTATGGCTGTGGTTAGAATGCCATGAAATGAGGGCAAAATAATTGAGAGCAGCGACTGACGTGGAGCAGGGGCTTCATAAACGGAAGACCTTTGTGCTCTTCCTGGAGATCATGGAAATTTATTTAGGGTCAAACTGAAATCCAGTATGCATTGATTTCTGGGATTATAAAGTACTTAGTTGGCCCGTATTATATAGATAACAAGCGTGTTCAAGAGAGTTACATTTCTCTGATTATCTAATGGTTTGTTACCAATTCCTGATTTACTTTTGTAAAAGAGATGAGACAGTGTGTGCAGTTATGAACTAACGAGTGCAGGCATGAGTTTAATCATATTGTTTCTTTGTATCTGACACTTATCCATACTTTTGTGCACAGGTGGGTGTCTAAGCCCCTGTAAAACAATGTGCATTTTCTGGACAAATAGTCTTATTGCTCAAATTAAAGAAAAAAAAGAGCTCCAAATATTTGCAGTTTTATGTTTGACAAAGAAGCCAAAAATATTTGCCAGTTTGAAGAGTGTGCTATGCTTTGAGTGGAAAGTGCTAATTAGAAAACTGTTAGGTTATTTGAATGTGGAAAAACACAGACTGACCCCTACGAAAGGGTCACAGTTTAAAAAGGACTTGCATGATTTGCCTTTGAAGAAAGCACATTTATTTCTCTGGTACCTAGAGTCACAGAAGTAGGCCTAGGAAGAAAGAGAAAACTAGTAATGGCAAAGGATATCAGACATCAAACAAATATACACATTTGTACTGGAGTATATCGTTTTCCCTGTTCTCAAAATAGCTGAAATAGTATCATTAGGAACTTAATCTCTCCTGGGTAGAACACTGGCATCGCCTCACAAGATCATTTCCTGAAGGTTTGAGGAAAGCTCAAGCTTTATGATGTCATGGGCAGTTGAGGAGACCATTTTTTCTTTTCTAGCATAAAAATCATCATTTGAAAATATTTTAAATTTTTGTTAAATCAAAGATGGGCTCTATGAACATCCTAGTCACAAAGACAACTGTTAAGATTGTCAGAAATTCTAGATGTTTCATGCTGCCTAACCATTGCACAGCATTTATGCTTGTCTCTTTTTATCCTGTTGCCTTCACATTTCTTGCCCTATCATTATGTATGTTAAGAATTTTTTAAAAGAGAGAAAAATCACATAAACTTCACATTTCCTCAAAGATTGGAAAGAGGAAACAACCAACCAATTAACAGTACCCCAATATTAAATCACACCAAGAACCTTCACTATACAACCCATAGAATTGGTAAAAGGGTTTGTTTAACTTCCCAGATTTTTTAATTATGTGAACGCAAAGAAGACAATTAAATACCTTGTAACACATTTTGTTCAGGCAAAGTATCTGTGATTCACACACACCTGACTTTTCATTTGGACAACTGAGGGCACCCACGAAGTTTCACAGCTCATAAAGAGAGCAATCAGAGGATGCAAAGAAAAAAAGTTAAAAGGATGTAACTCAAAATTTTATTTTTCTCTATTGCCTATATATTTCTTTTAATTTTTTCAAAAAACTCACTGGAATCATCAAGCTTAACTGGACAAGGGTTAAGAATGGAATATGTAGTCACATACATGAAGACATCTTTTAGCCTCCCTCTTTTGATGCCCTTCAACTATCAATGTGACAAAAGTAGGGAGTACGTATCTGAGAAGCCCAGAAAAAGAAATAAAAATGTGAAAACAGTTTATACATTACATTAGATTAAGCAGGATAGCAGGATAAGCATTGAAACATAATTGTGTCACCATAAAGCCTTTTGAAAACTGACAATCCTTCAGTGAAAGTAATAAAGCATTCAAATACTTGAATGTAATCATAACCCCTATCATGGAGAGAGTTCCACTAGGCAGTGCTAGTACCTGATTTCTCCTGCCCCCACTGCCACAGCTGTAAGAGGCATTCGAACCTGAGCAACTCCATTTTGAGAGAGGGCTAGAAATAATGAGATTGAGAGCTGCTAGGCGGCATTCTCAGAAAGTGAGGCATTCCTAGCTTCTAGATGTTTACAGTTAACGGAACAAATTAATAATGTTTGCTAAACAGACCCAGACTTGGGAGTGTCCAGATATCCTGATATCTGGAGAACAAAGGTACTCCTAATTTTCCTTTAAAGATAATAATATCGATTCTTGTAAAATATAGTAATTAAGAAAATTAATCCTTTATCACAAACCCATGTAGCAGAACACATCTCCCCATACATACAAGCATGGTGCCTAGGGTGGATGCGTTCCTCCTCTTACTTTCAGGAACATCCTACTCTGTCTATGGAGTAGCTGTCCTTTCACCACCTTACTTTCTTAATAAATTTGCTTTTGCTTTGCACTGTGGACTTGCCCTGAGTTCTTTCTTGCACGAGATCCAAGAACCCTCTCTTGGGGTCTTGATCGGGGGACCCCTTCCCTGTAACATGGCCTATTCCACAGTCTCTGGCACCTATAAGTAACAAAGATGTGGCCGGGCGTGGTGGCTTACACCTGTAATCCCAGCACTTTGGGAGGCCAAGGCAGGCAGATCACCTGAGGTCAGGAGTTCAAGACCAACCTAGCCAACATCGGGAAACCCCATCTCTACTAAAAACACAGAAAATTAGCCGGGTTTGGTGATGCACGCCTGTAGTTCCAGCTACTCAGGAGGCTGAGGCAGGAGAATCGCTTGAACCTGGGAGGCAGAAGTTGCAGTGAGCCAAGACCGCAGCCCTACCATGCTCCAGTCTGGGCGACAAGAGCAAAACTCGGTCTCAAAATAAATAAATAAATAAAACTAAAGATGTAGCAAATATGTCACAGATGGAATATGATCAGGACTTCAGTCACCTCTACAAATCTGCTCAAGCTGAGGGGCTTTTCCTTCAGCACTGTTTGTTTCCTAATCTCATCCTGCTTGAAGCCTCAAAATAAGTTGAACTATCCTGCTCCAATATATTTTTCAGTTCCTTGGTTCCATATACTGACATATCACCAGCTACCCTGAGAGTCCACATTACTTCAGAGCATTTAAATGTATTAAAGGACTCTTCTTTCATATGCAAAATTACCAGTTTTTTTTATGCCATGTTAATGAACTATCCCAAAGCAGCTTTCCAAAGAGGAAAATATGCTTTCAGAGAGTAGTTGATGCACTGAGCAGAATCTATTTAAAATCCACTCACAGAAGACTTTGAAAACATTAATCAGCTACATGATGATCTGGGTTTTTATATTTTAAACTTCAGAGCATCTGGGAAGTAGCCACTCTTTAATCATTTCTCAAAAGTCATACTGCTCTAGTGGAAAATGCAAGGTCCAGGGAGGGAAAATGGGTTTTAAGTTGCGGGCCAATGCCAGTGGATTGGTAATGGCTTTTGAAGTGCTGGGTGGAAAAGGATTCTGGGACCACGTGGAAGCTCTGAGCACAAAAGTATTGAAATTGCTTAGCAATGTCTGTCACACATTCTGGAAAAGGCCATGGCAGTTTATGTGCCACAGATATGTGTTCTCTTTATGCACGGTGGAGAAGGAAAGCCATAGCCAGATTCTAACCATGGAACTCTCATTTTAGAATTCTAAGCCTTTCAGTTTCTTTGTCACTAAATAAGGGAAGGATAATACCTGCAGCTCAGTTTTATTATGAAGACTGGAGGAGAACAAGTTTATGTTAAGAACTCCAACTTATTTTTAAGGAAGTGTTCAGTGACTTTTTAACAAGTTTTATTTTGAGAAGATTCTTTAGAATACAACCAAATATAGCCTTTTGTATATCCTTTCTGGTATGGAAAAAAGTTCTTTTTAATAATTAGTTAATAATAATAATAAAAATAATAATAAAAAATTAGTAAAGTTCTTTTTAATAATTAGCAACACAGAAAACAAATTAAATTATTATCACTTTAAAATATTTTAAGCACACAAAATCTGCTTAAAATTGCACCGCTGCATATATATTTCATAATAATGTCCCCATTATTTCAATTAGATCAAGAACTCAATTTGTGAAGTGTGAGTTTTTAAGATAACTTGACTAAATTAAATGCATCATTTTTACTAATATTTTATTTACTAATATTGTTAATTATATGTAATATTCGTAAATGTCCTGCTAAACATATTCATGAAATATCAGAAAATGTAAAATAACACTGAAATCTTTTCCAATATCCAAATTGTTCCACATCATGATGAGCAGTATACTTTATGATTTTTCTTATTTTTAAGTAGTATTTTCATTATTATGTATGTACAGGATAAGCAGAATTCAGAATTAAAAATCTATACTTCCCTTCAGATTTTTAAATTAATTCTTTAGTTGATATGTCTTAATGAATGACTATTGGCCCCGAACTTTGTTTCTAAATATTTGAACTGCATACTTGAATTAGGCAAGGGGATATCTTTGCTCAGTTTGCCGCCTCTGCATTCTGAGGACATCTTGCTAAATTCTCTCTTAAGTATCCTATAAAATTGATTTGTTTATTCATTGTAGTGGCAGCAGCTGGTAGATCTGAAAAGAGAGAGCAGTAATTAACAGTAGCAGTGGAAAGAAAATGACCACATTGCTTTTTTGCTAACAGACAAATGAGCCTACCAGAGAAAATACTGTGGTTCGAGGAGTTGGTGTAAGAAACCCAGGGGATATCAAGTAGCAATATAATTAGTTATAGTCACTGTCTATGCAAAGCTGAAATAATCAGTTGAAAAGTGAAAAATCGTTATCAGTAACTAACCCAGCTAGTTTGTCTACATGCTAGGAGGAAAAAAAAGGGATTGAGATTTTTTTCACACTGCTCAATTGATTCATGTTTGGAACATGATATTTATTATTGTTTTGTTCCTTGGGGCAAAGAATTAGAAAACCTCTACAGCAACTTTATAGGGGCAACAACGTTGTAAATTCACTCACTGTGTTGTTTGTTGATTGGTTAAGTGATTTAACATCGGGCAGGTTAACTTAGACCTCAGGAGAAATATTTTTACAACTAAATGAGAAAGACTTCCTTAGAGAGTTCCGTCTCACCTCAAGTTCATCAATTTTTAAATCATGCATTTCTTGTTTCTGCATGGCATAGAATTTCAAATACTGAAGGCAAATTAGAAAATGTAAATTGAACTCATAGGTAAAATAGAATTTCTTTTCAATTGAAGGCATAACTCTGCTTGACATACCATCTCTTTAGTTATCTGCTATCTTCCACGTGACTAAGTCACATTTTATTTATTTCTGCCTTCACTTAACTGCTTTATTAAGAAGAACACTTTCATATAGAGCTCCCTAAAATTTTCCACTGAAATATCAGCTGGGGAAATCTAGAGACACCAAAAAGCAGCCACCTAGAAGGCTTGAAATTGTTTCATGGTTTTTTATTTTATAAAATGATGAAAATTTTGCATTCTCCTCCTTGGGAATTTGTATTTGTCCAGTAGAAATATGTTTTTTAGTGATTTGCTGGGGAAGTTGGGATGCACACCCAGAATTTCCTACCTGGTGGCAGACCAATGTAAATTATGCTCACTCCCTCTAGATGCAGGGTGCTTTGGTTCAAATCTTGCTCCTCTTTGGGCTAGTGTTCTTGGCCAAGTTTCTTAGTTTCTCCATGCCTCCGTTTCGTTATCTCAAAAATAGGGGAGATACTTCTCGTAGATTCAATGTGAGAATTAAAAGCAAAAATATGGGTAAACTCCTTAGACAAGTGACTGAGCACATAATAAAAACTTGGTAAAATTTAGCTATTCTTTCTGTTGATTCTTACATGGAAGAACATTTAGCTGAATTGCAAAGTATTAACTTCATATTGGGTTTAGTATCCTGTGTTCTCTTTTCTGTCTTATAAACTCTTATAAATATTAGTGTGTGACCACCTTTCAAAAGTCAACACGTTTGCCAAATATTCTGTTAAATAGCATGGATAACTAGAATGCCTCCAAAGAGAGAGTAAAACACAATCTTTTCTGGCTACTGTTGACATTTTAATAATTATAAAGTTCATACATTTTATGTTAGTTCAAATTTTGCTAGTTCAAAATAATTCAGTATAAAGCAGTAATAAAATTTTATGAATCAAATTTTCAAAAAATAATACAAATGCTTATTTTACTTTTTTCTTTGCGATATTAGTCTTAGATAAAGTAAGTCTTAAATAATATGAAGTCTTCAAGAATACATGCTTTCCATAAATATCTTATTGCCCTACTGCTTTTTTTTTATTCCTTTTGCTAAGAAGTCACGTTACTTGTTTAAATAACAGACTGAAAGGATTTCTAGTCAGTACTCTCTTTTGCTTAAAGAATTAAAAAAAATTTATTGACCAATATATGGCATACACACAAAAAACACACAGATCACAAGGCCACAGCTTGATGCATTTTTACAAATGTAACATGCCTTTTTAAATCAGCACACACATCCAGAATTAGAACATTCACATAACATTAGAAGCCTTCCTTATGCTCCCTGCCAATCACTGCCCACTGCAAAGATAACTTCTACATTAACTTCTAACATGAATCATTGATTAGCTTTGCTTATTTTTGAACTATATATAGGAGAGATACTCATTATGTATTACTCTGTCTTCAGTTTATATCATGGAGTATTTTACTAGAAATATTTTTCCATAGGAATATATATAGGACTACCTATTGGTTTTAAAACTAAGTACAGGCATACCTCATTTTTTTTGCACTTAATTTATTGTGCTTCGCTTTATTGCACTTGGCAAATATTGCATTTTTTTTTTTTTTTACAAATGGAAAGTTTGTGGCAACCCTGTCTTGAGCAAATCTGTTGACACCATTTTTTTTCTAACAGCATGTGTTAACTTTATGTCACTGTCACATTTTGGTTAATTCCTGCAATATTTCAAACTTTATTATTATTATAGCTATTATGATTATTTGTGACCAGTGATCTTTGATGTTACTATCGTAATTGTTGTGAGCACCATGGACTATGTCTGTATAAGACAGCCAACTTAATTGATAATTATTGTGTATATTTGAACTTCTCCATCAAGTAGCTGTTCCCCATCTCTCTCTGTCTCCTCAGGCCTCCTTATTCTGTGAGACACAACAATATTGAAATTAGGCCATTTAATAACCCTACCACGGCCTCTAAGTGTTCCAGTGAAAAGAGGAGTAGCATATCTGTCACTTTAAATGAAAAATTAGAAATGATTAGGCTTAGTGAGGAAGGAAGGCATGCTGAAAAGCAAGATAGGCCAAAAGTTAGGCTTCTTGCATCAGTTAGCCAAGTTGTGAATGCAAAGGAAAAGTTATTGAAAGATATTAAAAGTGCTACTACAGTGAACATATGAATGATAAGAATGTAAAACAGTCTTATTGCTGATATGGAGAGAGTTTGAGTGGTCTGGATAGAAGATCAAACCCACCACAACATTCCCTTAGGCCAAAGCATAATCCAGAGCAAGGAGTTAACTCTCTTCAGTACTATGAAGGCCGCTGAGAAGGCTGCAGAAGAAAAATTGGAAGCTAGCAGGGGTTGGTTTACAAGATTTAAAGAAAGAAGCCACAACCATGCCATAAAAATGCAAGGTGACGCAGCAAGTGCTGATCCAACCAAGATTACTGATGAAGATGGCTCCACTAAACAACAGATTTTCGATGTAGATGAGACGGCCCTCTGTTGGAAGAAGATGCTGTCTAGGACTAGCTACAGAGAAGTCAATGCCTGCCTTCAGAACTTCAAAATACAGGTTGGCTCTCTTGTTAGGGGTTAAGGCAGCTAGTGACTTTAAGTGGAATCCAATGCTCATATGCCATTTTAACTGTCCTAGGGCATTAAGAATGATGGGAAATCTATACTGTAAATAGAATAACAGAGCCTGGGTGACAGCACATCTGTTTACAGCATGGTTTACTGAATATTTTAGGTCCACTGTTGAGAACTACTGCTCAGAAAAAAAAAAAAGATTCCTTTCAAAGTATTACTGCTTATTGACAATGTGTCTGATCACTTAAGAGTTCTAATGGAGAGGTACAAGGAGGTTAAGGTTGTTGTCATCCCTTTAGCACAACACCCATTTGCAGTCCACGGATCAAGAAGTAATATTGACTTTTGTCTTGTTCTTTAAGCAATACATTTTGTAAGGCTATAAATGGCATAGACAGTGATTCCTATGATGGATCTAAGCAAAGTAAATTAAAAATTTTTTGGAAAAGATTCACCTTTCTAGATGCCATTAAGAACAGTCTTGATTCATGTGAGGAGGTCAAAATATTCACATTAACAGGAATTTGAAGTTTATTTCAACCATCATGAATGACTTTGAGGGGTTCAAAACTTCAGTGGAGGAGGTGACTGCAGATGTGGTAGAAATAGCAAGAAAACTAGAATTGGAAGTGGATCCTGAAGATGTGACTGAATTGCTGCAGTCTAATGATAAAATCTGAAGAAATAAGAAGCTGCTTCTTATGTATGAGCAAAGAAAGTGGTTTCTTGAGATCCAATCTATTCCTGGTAAAGATGCTGCAAACATTGTTGAAATGTCAACAAAGCCATTGAAATATTTAAGAAACTTAGTTTATAAAGCAGCAGCAGGGTTTGAGAGGATTAGCTCCAATTTTGAAAGAAGTTGTATTGTAGGTAATATGCAAGCAAACAGCATCACATGCTACAGAGAAATCTTTCATGAAAAGAATAGCCAATCCACATGGCAAACTTCATTGTCATCTTATTTTGAGCAATTGCCACCGCCTCCCCAACTTTCAGCAACCACCACCCGGATCAGTCAGCAGGCATGGACATTAAGGAAAGACCCTCCACAACTGAAAAGATTAGAAATCTTAGAAGGCGCACATGATTGTTTGCCTTTTTTAGCATTAAGTGTTTTTAATTAAGGTAAATACATTGTTTTTTAGACATAATGCTATTTTACACTTAATATAGAGTACAATATAGTGTAAACATAACTTTTATATGCACTGGGAAACAAAAACTGTATGACTTGCTTTATTACGATGTTTACTTTATTGCCGTGCTCTGGAAGCAAAACTGCGGTATCTCCAAGGTATGCCTATATTACATTCTTGCCATTTGCTACAGGCTATCTAAATACATTTTACGGATAATATCCTTTAATTTTTATACTAATGTGAACAGCAAGTAGTACTATTACATGAATTTTATTGTTGTGAACTAGAAGGCTTAGAGTGGCAAATAATTTTCCTAGGATGTGTAAATATAACTGGTGGACTGGGAGTCTAAAGTCAGGTCTGTAACTTCAAAACCTGAACCCTCAGATGTTGCTATACCTCCCTACATTAGACATGCTGAGATCTCACCAAGGCTTGGCCAATCTGTGAGAGATATACTTGACTCTTGGGGGGAGTCAATTATTGTATTAATGAAAAGAATTAATAGTATAACAAGTATTTTATAATTCAGTAAAAAAAAGCTCATTTTTCTGCAGTTAAATAGACTGTTAATTACCACATGCTGGGTAATAGAATTTTGCAGATTTCAAAATCAGAAGTTATACAAATATGTCAAATATTCGGAAAAGTCATTCACTGCAGCTCCCTCCTCATCTTCCTAATAGTTGCTATAATTTGTATACCCAGCAAGTTTTAGAAAAAGTCAACATATAATAATAGCTTTATGTGTGTTTTGAAAACACAACAAACCTTCATCTTCCATTAAGTTAAGGGATTAAATAAAAATTTGATAGCAAGAATTAAAAATATATCAATATTAGAAAGCAATAAAAAGGAGGATCAGCTTCAAAGGATAATTCACATAACTTAAGCTTCTAATAAATACCTATTAAGAAATCCTAAGGCTGGGCGCTGTGGCTCACCCCTGTAATTCCAGCACTTTGGGAGGCCAAGGGGGGTGGATCACCTGAGGTCAGGAGTTTGAGACCAGCCTGGCCAACGTGGTGAAACACTGTCTGTATTAAAAAAAAAAAAAAAAAAAAAATAGCTAGATGTGGGGGTGGGCACCTGTAATTCCAGCTACTTGGCAGGCTGATGCAGCAGAATTGCTTGAACCCAGGAGGCGGAGGTTGCGGTGAACCAAGATCTCATCACTGCACTCCAGCCTGAGCAACAGAGCGAGACTCCATCCAAAAAAAAAAGAAAAAGAAAAAGAAATCTTAAGCAAAAGAAAGAAGACTATCATCTGGAACTTTTCTCAATTTTATTTTTCTATTTTCAGAAACTCCATTTCTAAATGTCATGGATCCTCCAAGTATGTAGTAGCTTTTTTAACTAAAGGAAACAAAACTAACTCTTCCGAAATGAGGGGTTCTTAAAATACAAAGGAACTTGTGAAGGATATGGACATAGTCCCTCCAAATCAAATTCTTCTCTTCTTCTTTAGTAATAGAATTCCAGGGTGAGCATATGACTTCCTAGCAACAACTACATTTCCCGGGGTCCCATGTAGCCAGTTCTGGCTTTGTTACTAATTCTTGGCCAATCATGTCTATGAAAGGAAAACATTTAAACCATTTCTCAGTCATGATTATAAAGGGGCACACCTTCCTTTTCTCCTTCCTCTATTGTGGCTCCAGTCGTGAGTCAGCTTGTGCTATGTGGATGAGGATAGTCCGCTAAGAAAGGCGGGGCAACACTCTGGAAAGAGCCTGGGTCTCTAATATTATAAAGTAGCCCTGGGCAGTCAATATCCTAACTGGTATTAAGAAAGAAAGAAAATTCTGTCTTATTTAAGTACTTTTATATTGGATCTCTGTTATAAACAGGCAACCTATATCTTAATTACTAAAAAATCTGGCACCTGAAAATAATGTCATCACATAACACAACTTGAAATAGGTAACATTTATTTTCTATAATCTAACCTGTCTGGAGGTGGACAGCAAAAACACAGATATTTCTGACTGGAAAGCTGGAATGCTGTTACAAAGTATTTGGTAAAATTGTCACTAATGATATCTTGGAAATCAGACTGACTATAACTCTAGGGAAAATAGTTGATAAAATGTATTGAATGCTATAGACATTGGCTTGTAGTGATTTTCTTCAACAAATCCTACAAAGGAAAAATGAACTCAGGCTATCACTAAACAGCTTGCAAGCATAAACTCAAATATGCATGACTAGGACAAGGGCCACTCTCTCTGCCTGCAGCCAGTAATCCAAGCTGGCTGGGTGACTGGTGCATAGGTGCCCTAAAAGTTAAAAAGCTAAAGCTGATTTTGTACTTTAAACTAAAACATTTATATGAGGTGGCTCTGAAGTTACTACGACATATAACCTCAAACTATTTCTCATACACCTCCCATTTAAGATTTTTAGGCCAGAGAAAGGCAGCTATCTTGAGGACAGACATCATATTAAGGGAATTGTCTTTCTCATGTAAACCTATATCTGGATTGCTCTAAGACAGTTTCCATTAAGTCAAGAAAGATGAGCAAGAAATATTTGGTGCTGGCTACATGCTCGTGGAATTTGTTGGAAACAAATACATTAGAAAGCTATTAAGTTTCTAGAGGGCTATATTGACAAAGGACTTCAATCCTGGATGCCAAAGGATGAGTGACCTAAGCAATGCCTGTGCCACCAGAAGTGCAACAGCAGACACATGACTATAAAAGCTGTTTGGCCGCCAAGAAGGGAAAACTCTCCATTGTTCACATCAAATGTGGTCATCAAGGATAACGAACAGGAAGGACCTTCCAGGGGAAAATGCAGGGACCTGTGGACAATGTGGAAGGTAATCCTCCAAGAAAACAGAACCAGGGGTTTGGAGATGAAACGGACAAAAACTTTACTCAGCTGTCAAGGCAGGAACATATTTGCAATTTCCAGCCAGTGGGATTTGATCATTATAATGAAAACAGAACTGCTATGTCTGTCCCATTCCTTCCTTCTCTGAATGTAATCCTTTAGAAAAATTATCTTGTTCTGACTCCACAGTTTTATACAAGTTATTTCATGTGTGTTTGTGAGTAGGAGGAGATTTGCATAACCTGTTTTTCGATTTAGAGGTCACCAGACCCCCAAAATGGATTTCTGGACCTCATGGTGGTGGCTATATATCACCAAGATCCTATGATTTGAGCTAAATCCAATAATTTAATGGAAATATTGAGTTTTATCTTTTGGACTGAAGATGATTATGATCTATGTGTACCAAAGTCTACGTGTACATGTGTACACAAGTACATATAGAGATAGATAGATGATCAAAGGGGCAGATAGCAGAAAGACTACTAGTCTCCCAATATTCTTACTCTTTCATAATGTCATTTTTATAAAAATCAAACTTTTTTCCCAAAGATTATATTTCCCAGTTTCCTTCGCAATTAAGCTTGGTGATTTCACTAAATTTACTGATGGTATGTGAGAAAGTAATCTGTGTTACTTCTAGGTAATAGCCTTAAAAGAAAAGGGTATGCCTTCCTTCTCCTGGCCCTTCATCCTGCTTCCTGAAATGTGAAGTTGGTGATGAGCCACCTTGGATCATGTAGACAAAGAAACTGCTCTGGGGATACTGAAACTATAAGCTAGAACAGGCCTCAGTTACCGGATGCTATATAAGCTCAGGACCACCAACTTGTCTGTAAGGAAAATAAACTAGTATCTTGTTTAATTCATTTTAATTTGGTGGTGTGCCAGAAAATACTGGTGTGCTGCAAGTGAGTTTCTAGTGTGCCAAGATACTGATTTCCTCAGCCCTTGGAATAGCTGGGTCAAGCCTAAAGCTGCTACAGCCCTTAGGTCAGTCCCTATCTTCTCAAAGAGGCAATTCTGCTTTCCCCTATTGATGTAGGTCATGACATTGGAAACATTGGAAAACACTGCCATAATTTATAGAGTCCTATTGTTTTAGGCCCCAATAGACTGCTGCACTAAAATGTCAAGAATGTCCCATTTAACAGCAGAATATACAACACGGAAATAACTAGGCTATGCAACGAGTGGCAAGCAGAATTTCCTTTTATAGTAATTTGATACGGCCTCTCATCCCTAGGCAGCTTGCAGCTTCAGACCCCATTCACTTGGTGCCTTCCTCCATTCATTCTGCTTATGAAAAGGATCCAGCAAGAGTGTGCCTAAGTGGAAAACAAGGAGGCGCAAGGGATCTGTGTACGTTGGTATCACTTTGTATGATTTATTGCCTGTGTTCTCAGCCTGGCTTTCTAGCTGAAGCAGTAGATCTACCAAGAGAAAGTAATCCCAGAAAATTCCAAGTTGTCATTTTTGTCTGTCTAAAACATGGGCACTAGCCTCGGTGGTCTGACCTAGCTATCCCTATTATTCTTTAAAGCAATTCTATAGTGGCTTAACCTTAAAGAAACAAGCCCTCAGGGCAAATATATCATGCTATTACATCATCAACAATTACAGATATGAAATCTGTTGTAAAAATATTTAATATAACTCCCTGGACCAAGCACATGAGAAAATTTCTGGTTGCCTTTTGAATTTATACAGGATCAGAGACTTCTGGATCAATCATAAACAAAACCGATTTAATGACTCTTTGCTTGGAACACTGAACGATTCACAGATGTTAAGAAGCATATGAAAAATGGGTTGGCAAACCAGATGATGAAGCCCTAGAGCCTCTACCCATCCAGTCATCTCCTCAGGGGAATTATAACTCAGAGTGTTACTTTCCCGACCACCCCCGACTTGCTAAGTCTTAGATGTCCAAATGCATCTATGACTAATGGCTTCTTTTCTGTTTGGAGTTTAATGTGAAACAGTTTGAAGAGGGCCACACCTTCCTTCCAGGCCCTTATTAAACATGAGAAAAAAATTAAGTGTTCCTTCCAACTGGGTTAAGTGGAAAGTAGAGCAGACAAGTAAGTTATCTTGTAACACATTAAGTAATGTTATAGGAGAGGGAGCCAGAAAGCTCCTTCTCTAGAGCTGTCCATCTGATGATCCTACCAATACTGTATATACTTTCTCTTCTAAATGAAATCTTAACTGTGGCTCTTGCTGTATGGATTTGGTATAAGAGAAGCCAGACATAGGCTGGCTACTGACCCAGGGTCTATGGCCTGGATTGGAAAGGATAAGATGGGTCAATTAGATCTGCTATCTTAAAAATCTGAGGGAAGAAATATGAAGCAAATGAATGAATTACTAGCAGGAATTGAATAAAGAAAGTCCTGATATTTATATCAGGCCACTTCTTTGCCTAGCAAGCTCTTTCTTGCCATGCTAGTTTCGGCATAAGCATGAATTTTTCAGGAAGATTTTTCTTCATCACTTAGAATGAATTTAATCTCCTTGCTTGGAGTGTAATGGATTTCTCGTTCCACTCATCATAATGACATTTTTAAGATCTGTTTTCTCTACCATACTGCAAATATGCAAGATTGCTCAAGCCAGAAACTGGGCTGGATATCATTCATGAATCCACCTTCTCCCTTACCCTCATGTCCATACTATCAGCAAGTCCAATAAATCTTACTTTCAAAATATCCTTCAAATCTCACTACTTTTTTTTCCCATCTCTATTACCAGCCCTTACCCAAATTCCCATCTTCTCTCCACTGGACAAGAACAGCCTCCAACAACTTAAGTGGTTTGCGATTTCTACTTTTACCCGCTTTCCAACCATTTTCCACAAAGTTAACTGAATGATCTCTATAAAATGTAATTTATCTCAAGCAACTTACTTGCCTAAAATGGTTCAGTGGCTTTCTATTGTGCTTAGAATAAAATCCAAACTCTGACACAGCCTATAAAGCATGCAGGATCTCCTGCCTACCCACCCCTGAAACCTCACCTCATGCCCCACCCCCTCACTCACTTTCGTTCACTTTCATGGCCTACTTTTCAGTTCTTAAAATATACCAAGCTCTATTTCACTTTAGGGCCATTCCCAGAGAATTCTTCCACCCAACCCCACTTTAGTTTGCAAAGACATTTCTTTAAAGGCTCTTCCCTCACTGCCAAGTCTATGTTAGCTTTTCCCATTACACTCTCTTAGAGGTACTTTCATAGTATTTGCCACATTTTGATATGTGTTTCTTTTTATAATGTCCTATCTCCTCTGGTGAACTGTCCAGTGTATGTGGGCAGGGACCAAATCTACTTGGTTTAGCATATAGTGTACTTTTGCACATAATAACTACCCAATAAATATATGCTGGATTAATTCAGATGTAAACAAAGAAAATTGCTTTTCTGAATGAGGGCAGATGTATGAAGAAAAGAGATAGATAATGCTCTTCAAAGGGGTAGAGAAAGCAGCTGATTCTCCAAGTTGCAATAATTTGTAAAAGTTTCAGTTTTGTACAACTCGTATCCTTTCAGAATGAAGAAAACAAATACAACAAACAAGCAAACAACCTCTGAGTAATAAGAGATAATACATGCTCCTTGAAATTACAAAAAAAACACTAGCAAGTAAGATATTATTCTGTTGAAGTGAGTGTTAACAGTGCTGAAAAAGGAAAGAATGTATATATTGAAACATAATAGTGTGGCATTCCAAGGGAGAAAGGAACACCACTGTTTTAAATAAGATTTTTTAAGATTGTTTTTATTCATTTGTTAGTTGCCAGGTTATTATCTGTCTCTCCCAGCTGAATGTGATCTTCCTGAAGGCAAGGCCTTTTTCTGTGCTATTCATAGCTGTACTTCCAGCACCCTTAAAAAAATAATGTTTTTGAAGAATATATAAAGAAAATGTGGATTTAAAAATTACCATTGCAGAGGATGATGCATATGCAGAGAAATACAAATAACATTTAGGAATTCATCATGTTAAATTATAAAGTATTTCCTCTTGGCGTTAGTTCTTTGCTTCTGGATAAACTTTTCTTAAAATGATGTATAGAAAACTGTTTAACAGGTGAAACTTGTAGACATCAACCTTGGGGAAGAGAAAGAATTGAACATCTACTATCCTAAATAGCAATTCTGCTGGAGCTATTGCAATGGAAACCTTGTATTTTGGGAAAGATGATGTAATCAAGGCTTTTTACCAAAAAGAAGATTACAGGATTGAGAAGGCAATTTCCTGGAATAGTACAACTTGCATTCATTCCTGTTTTTGACTTATACATTGAAAGAAAAATATCAGAAAAGTCTGAGAATATTAGTTCTCTAATTCAAATGACCTAAATTTTTGGCTGTCTTAAATCTGCACAGAGAATACCATTGTATCTGTGCAGCCAATTTAAGAAGGATGCCATATCCATGTTAAATGTTTCTGAAATAAATAGTTCTTCAAGTAATGCCTTCATTCACTTGTTCATTCAGCACATATCAATCACCAATATTTGATTGAGAAATTTCACACAAATGACTCCCTTTTTTTTTTTTTTTGAGACGGAATCTAGCTCTGCTGCCCAGGCTGGACTGCAGTGGCGCGATCTTGGCTCACTGCAAGCTCCGCCTCCTGGGTTCACGCCATTCTCCTGCCTCAGCCTCCGGAGTAGCTGGGACTACAGGCGCCAGCCACCATGCCCGGCTAATTTTTTCTATTTTTAGTAGAGACGGAGTTTCACCGTGTTAGCCAGGATGGTCTCAATCTCCTGACCTCGTGATCTGCCTGCCTCGGCCTCCCAAAGTGCTGGGATTACAGGCGTGAGCCACCGCGCCCGGCCTAGATCTTTAGTTCTCAAGCTTAGCTGCACATTAGATCTCCTGAGAGTAGTTATAAAATTATCTATACCTAGTTCCCACCAAAGGAGGGCCCATTCCAATTAGATTTGACTTTTGGGGAGATTAATGAATAGCTGGGTTGCTGGATGAATTTCTGTTATTTGTTAATGAGGCAGCCACCCCCCAACATTTTTTTTTTTAAGAGTCAGGCTATTGCTCTGTCACATACCCTGGAGCGCTGTGGCGTGATCATGACTCACTGCAGCATCTAATTCCTGGGCTCAAGCAATCCTCTTGCCTCAGCCTCTCGACTCGCTGGGACCATGGGTGCACACCACTGTGCCTGGCTCCAGTCCTCTCTCTTTAACTTCTCCTCTGAGCTAAACTAACATTCACTGAACCAACATCAGCATCTGCCATTTTCTCCACTTGAGGACATGATCACTAAGAGATTTTGTCTTCCTTACTTCTTTTCAATTAGCTGTGTTATCAGCTTTGTGCTTATTTAATTTGTAATATCCTTTTTAGTAGAGAATCAATAACAGTGTTTGTCACGTCTCCATATCCATCTGTTTCCTGTGATAGTGATAACTTGTTGTAAGCCATTGGTCCACTGGACACAGTCAATATAGGCTCTTCCTATAGAAAATCGTGAATAATTTCTAGTCAAACCCCACAATCACTTGCCTTACTGATAACATTTCACCTTGTGTTTCCACAGGTTAAAGTAGTCTAATGAATTAAATATTCCTTTGATTAAAAGACTAGTCTGCCAAATTAAGAATCTAACATTTTATAGAATTATACAATACAGTGACTATTTGGGGCCAGGATAAATAGACTTCTGAGGATATTTCTTCCTATATTATTGTTAAATTCCCCCTCAGGTCCATCATGTCAGGATTTATTTATTATAGTATATATCTCAAAAGTGATGAAACTTTCAGTAACTGTGCGATTTTCAGCTGAAGTGTTGCATGAAGACAGAAAGAGAGATCTTTTCCCCCCTGTGATGTGAGCAGTGATATTAGAATAGGTAGGAAGTGAGTAGAGTGTGTTAGAGAAGAGACAAGACAGGGGCTGCCAGGAAAGCCGTGTCAGCTCACGGTATTAATCTTGTTCTAAACGGCATTGAGCACGTGCCACGATCATTGGAACAAGCAACTTACGTGGAAGCCAAGGAGAGGAAGAGCAGGTGGCCGGCAGAGGAGTCTAGGCACTCACAAAGCTCCCCCTGTTTAGTGCCCAGCCTTGAAAAGCTGCCTTGCTCCCGGAACTCAGTGAATGAATCCCGGTGTGACTGACACACTGAGTATCAGAGGGTGTTTCTGAGTCACTATTAACATGTGCATGGAACCAGGAAATTTAAATGAATTGCTGTAATCTGTCCACCTTTGTACACCAGCTCAAAATGCCAGTCTGTTAAAAGTCGTCTGTTTTTTTACCAGTTGACTATTTTTGGATTAGATGGTTAAGGATGCACATTTGGCCAAGCAAATTAACAGGGCTTCAACAATTCACTGGTATAGTTGCTCTTCAGAGACAAAAAAAATTAAAGAAAGCAACTGTTAAACTGTAGTCATATTCAATCCTGGCATTTCCCCTTTTAGTTGAGACTCCTATTGAAAGCCAATTTACTAAGCAAATTGCGTGTGAGCTAGTAATAATATCCATTTACCATATTTTTATAGTATCAATTATTATTTTTTGTAACTTTACAAAATTCATGAATTGTCTCTACTAACTGATGTTTAGTTTCTTCTTTTTCTAGCAAAATCATAGATAACCTAGCAGTTATGGTGGGTGAATCAATACGTTTTCCAGAAACCAGAAATCTTTAAGTGAGCAGCTTAAAAAAATGCTGCATACACTGTGTGAACCCAGAAATGCTAGATGGTGCCTTTGCTTTCTATAGCATACCCTGTTCCTAAGTTTATTATACTGCTATGTTACATAGCTTTTGAGCAGGGTTTCTTGGCATATCAACACCTGCTTTGCAAGCAACACAAGCACACAAATGGCTCTGGTCTTTCATCTCTTTGCTTTACCTCTGAAACCTCCTGGGGCTGCCTAGTGGGAGTCCGTTTATAAAAAACAACCAAACATTCATAGCTGTTTAGAAAAACAAGCTGCAGGTTTAGAAATAGTTATTATTAAATTTGAAAAGTGGAAAGTGTTTAAGGGTTTGATACTACAGGGGAGGGACAGATTTCCCAGCTTGATTCAAGGTGACCCTCCTTGCTCTCACCCAAGATTTCTCTTTGAAAATGTGTTTTTTTCTTTTGAGCTATATCTCCAAAAGTTTATCAATGAAACATATTTTTGTTTGTACAGCTTCCTTCTCTTTCTGATGCAACCACAAATGAGGTTAAGGAGCCAAGACTCATTCATACGTTCACATGAATCAGTTCAATAAATGAATTTTTTTGTAATATCTAGTTGAAACCAACTCTTTGAAAGAATGGGGGCTTCTACTGATGTGAGAAAAGGAATAAAGGAGATCATTTGAAACACTAGAGGCTAGTGTTTGGGGAGGGACTTCTTCAGAAAGCTTTAGTGAGAGACCAGGCACAATGGCTCATGCCTGTAATCCCAGCACTTTGGGAGGACGAAGCGGGCAGACCACCGGAGGTCAGGAGCTAGAGACCAGCCTAGCCAACATGGTGAAACCCATCTCTACTAAAAATACAAAAAAATAGCTGGGCGTAGTTGCACACACTTGTAATCCCAGCTACTCGGGAGACTGAGGCTGGAGAATTGCTTGAACCCAGAGGGCGGAGGTTGCAGTGAGCCGAGATCACGCCACTGTACTCCAGCCTGGGCAACGGAGCAAGACTCCATCTGAAAAAAAAAAAAAATTTAGTGAGAGGCTTGAAGTAGCACCAGGGATCTGAATACTTACGAGTTGGGAAAATGGCATAAAGAAAGTTAGAAAGGGATTTTTTTTTAAATACAAAAAAAGCTCTTTTAAAAAAATTTACATGTACTTAAGTTGTCCTTCTTGTTAATAGTAAAGACATTTGTTGAAAGTCTAGCTCCAGAAGATATGTAGTAAAACATATATTAAAATGAATGGTGCTAAGTCATTGTGAGGATTACCGTGACAATAACAAATTTTATTATTGTTAGAGTGTGTCCGGAATTGGTGGGTTCTTGGTCTGACTTCAAGAATGAAGCCGCGGACCCTCGCGGTGAGTGTTACAGTTCTCAAAGGCAGCGTGTCCGGAGTTTGTTCCTTCTGATGTTCAGATGTGTACGGAGTTTCTTCCTTCTGGTGGGTTTGTGGTCTCGCTGGCTCAGGAGTGAAGCTGTGGACCTTCGAGGTGAGTGTTACAGCTCTCAAGGCGGCACGTCTGGAGTTGTTCGTTCCTCCCGGTGGGTTCGTGGTCTCGCTGGCTTCAGGAGTGAAGCTGCAGACCTTCGTGGCGAGTGTTACACCTCATAAAGGCAGTGTGGACCCAAAGAGTGAGCAGCAGGAAGATTTATTGCGAAAGACCACTGCTTCCACCTTTTGGAAGGCAACCAGCGGGTTGCCACTGCTGCTGGGGCAGCCTGCTTTTATTCTCTTATCTGGCACCACCCACATCCTGCTGATTGGTCCATTTTACAGAGAGCCCGAGTGGTCTGTTTTGACAGGGTGCTGATTGGTGCGTTTACAATCCCTGAGCTAGACACAAAGGTTCCCACCTCCCCACTAGATTAGCTGGATACAGAGTGTCCACACAAAGGTTCTCCAAGTCCCCACCAGAGCAGCTAGATACAGAGTGTGGATTGGTGCATTCACAAACCTTGAGTTAGACACAGGGTGCTGATTGGTGTGTTTACAAACCTTGAGCTAGATACAGAGTGCCGATTGGTGTATTTACAATCCCCTAACTCCAAGTCCCCACCAGACTCAGGAGCCCAGCTGGCTTCACCCAGTGGATCCCGCATCAGGGCCGCGGCGGAGCTGCCTGCCAGTCCCGTGCCGTGCGCCCGCACTCCTTAGCCCTTGGGTGGTCGATGGGACTGGGCACGGTGGAGCAGGGGGTGGCGCTCGTTGGGGAGGCTCGGGCCGCACAGGAGCCCACGGAGGCAGGAGGAGGCTCAGGCATGGCCGGCTGCAGGTCCCGAGCCCTGCCCCGCGGGAAGGCAGCTAAGGCCCCGCGAAAAATTGAGCACAGCAGCTGCTGGCCCAGGTGCTAAGCCTCTCACTGCCCGGGGCCGGCGGGCCGGCCGGTCCGCCGGCCAGCCACTCCGAGTGCGGGGCCCGCCGAGCCCACGCCCACCCGGAACTCGTGCTGGCCCGCAAGCACCGCGCGCAGCCCGGGTTCCCGCCCACGCCTCTCCTCCACACCTCCCAGCAAGCTGAGGGAGCCGGCTCTGGCCTTGGCCAGCCCAGAAAGGGGCTCAGCAGCGGCGGGCTGAAGTTCTCCTCAAGTGCCGCCAAAGTGGGAGCCCAGGCAGAGGAGGCGCCGAGAGCGAGCCAAGGCTGTGAGGACTGCCAGCACGCTGTCACCTCTCAAGAGTATGAGAGAAAAGGACTTCCAAGAACCCATTTCCACAGGTGAGCCTCCTGATGTTAGAACCTGGTTGTCTCTGCCTTACACATCAAACACTGGTTCTGGGTAGTTTACCAACTCTGTTCAGTTAACCTTCACAGTAACCACGTATGGTTCATATTATTCCACTCTTGCAGGAGACACAAGATCACAGGTGTAACTGGCCCAGTCTGATACAATGAGTAACACTGGACCTAAAATTGAGCATAATTCTGATGGTGGTGCACAACATTGTTTATGTGGGAAAATGTGACCTTACAAAACAACATTGGAAAATACAATCTCATCATATGGAAGATGGCCTGCAATGAAACTTTTTTTTTAAGAGTACTTTGAATCAACATTATATGTTTTACAACAACAAAATTGATCACTTATCTGGTTTTGATAAAGGCATTTGCAACAAAGAAATATGATTTGAAAGTTCATGTGCTGTTGTACAGGATGAGATGAGTAGAGCTCAGGTTCAACTTATACTTACCCACTAGGCCATGAGTTCAGAGGGTACCATTTTCTAATTTTCCTCTTCCCCCAAGATTATTAATTTTATTACATCTATAAACATTTTATTTTATTTTATTTTTTACTCAGAGGTAGTTCCTTTTTCTGTTTTTACAGAGACTAGTAGTGGTAGTTCTTTCCATGAAGCAGAATTCTCTTGAAAGCAGAACGATATGTCACTGTGATAGTACAGGGCCCAAAGTGAAAGTCAGTCAGACAGTGTCAACCAGATCTTAATAATTAAACAGAATTTTAAATTTTAAACATGACACTGCCTATTAAATCAGTTCCCTTCTTGAAATAGAAACTAATATGTACTCTCCAAAAGTCCTGCTGGGAATCAAGCATAAACACATCCATCTGATACAAAGTATCTTCCCTAGTGAGCTATCCAGGAAGAAAATAATGCTAGGAAAATAGTGCTACAAAAGAACATGGCTGATTAGCGTGTTTGGTAACAGTGACCATGAAATAGCTCTTTTAAATACATAGTATATAGAAAAACAAAAATGGGAAAAAGATGTGCTTTTGATAATTCAAGATATTTAGATAATTAAATAAAAAATTAAAGCCCTTTAAAAATAAGGGTGATATGAAGTAGAAAAATATTTAAGGAATAATTCTTCAGTATTTATTATTTTCCTTCAAGCTTGGGATACTTCTAAACCTTTTACACAAGAAATGAGTTAAAGATGTGGTTTCATGTATTTATGCAACTTTAATGCAGTTAATGCAAATCGATAATATTGCTATATTAAGATGATTGCATTTTAATCTAGATGGTTTTCTGGGTGTGAAAACTGTACGTAATTGTATTAGTAATATTAATGAGGTGTTTATGGATCTCTGGGTGGAATTTATGTTCTTACAAGGTAACCTTATGATCATTATTTCTATCACATCTATAAACATTTTCTCTATGTTAGCAATGAAAATCCTTTCCTTAAGTAATGAGAAATGGCAAAAACCAGAATATACAATACTCCTTACATAATAAGAAAAAGTATTTGAGCATCATAAAATGAATACAGAAAAATCTCAAAATACAAAATCCTAATTTATTTAAATAAAGTAAAATCTATTTTGTTTCAGTGGCCAGTAATGAACATTAAAGCTAATGAATAAAAACCCTCTGTGACTATTCAAGTGAAGACAAATCAACAATTAAGGGTGTAGAGGGGCAAAGTACATTTGAGACTGCCTTATTAATATTAATCTTAAAATGCATGAAAGTATCAGCACATTGTAAGAAACAGTATATGACATAAGTATTCAAGAAAAAGAAAAAATAATTGGGCTATATTTTTCTGCAAAAAATTTTATAAGTATAGATTTTAGGGAAGTGTAATTTACAGAAATGTTTGAATTATTCAGATCTTTTAAAATGGATTTTAGAGTAGGCACAGAAATGCAGTTATAGAAAAAATGTGTATATATAAATATAATGGGTTGAATTCAAGATTAATAAAATTGAATGTTTTGAATATGAATGTATACATATATACTATACATAGGTATGTGTGTATATATATATATATAAATATATATACGGATAGAGACAGATTTTGTTTTTGCTTTTGTTTTTCGGAGATCGCCAATACATTTCAATCTCACTCTGGCCTTGTTTGCTTGAAGAGTCATTCAGGGTTAGATCCTAGTTCCCTGTGTTAGCAGTGGAAGAGCCTGTATTACCCCGAGTTATCAGCAGCATATCTGTGCGGGTCCATAGCATCTTCAGTCCTTGCCTCCTCAGAAGATATAATTGGACTGAGGGGCATCAAGCAGAAAAAGAGACCAAGGCAAGTTTCAGAGCAGGAGTGGAAATTTATTTAAAAAGCTTTAGAACAGGCAAAAAAGGAAAATTCACTTGGAACAAACCCAAGCGGGGCGCCTGAAGGTCCAAGAGAGACGAGAAGACAGCAAAAAGGAGGCCTTGGTCCTAGGACTTTATAGGCTCATCTCTTTCCCATGAGTCTTCCCTTAGGTTGGGCATCCCGCATAGGCAGCGCTTTCCTTACCCTTGGGAAGTGAGCATATGCAGTGTGTTTGTGGCGTTATATTGCCATGTGAGGCTTTTTTCCCTTTTTCCAGTGGCATGTACCCCAAAGATCATAATTCGCCATTTTTGTCAATGTTTTTCCTCCCTGGGGTCTGCCTTTAATTAACCCTTTAATGTTAGGAGGTGTGGACCATCAGGAACTGGCCTCTCCCCTGGCACTGGCTACCAATTTATCACTTTTAGAGAGGAAATGCAGTAATTGCTGAACCATCACCTGACTTTGTAGTGGGCTGAGGGGAGAGCCCTCTCCTGCCCCTCTCATACCTGTAACACCTGGACTCACTAGCT
Organism: Homo sapiens; assembly: GCF_000001405.40. Taxonomy (NCBI): domain Eukaryota; kingdom Metazoa; phylum Chordata; class Mammalia; order Primates; family Hominidae; genus Homo; species Homo sapiens. Next base: position 87,968,087 of record NC_000008.11, on the reverse strand, counting down.
TCCAAATTGTAGCAAGTCACTTAACTCCTATAATCTTCAATTTCTTCATCTGGGAAATAAGACTCAGCTTATTAGGCTGTTGTGTTGATCCATTGAGGCAATGTCCATGAGTGCTCTAGATAGAAAGCAGAAATAAGAAATATTTATTTAAGTTCATTTAATAGAATTCCATCTAATATAAATTGAATCCTGTAAAAAGCTACAAATCCTATTCTTAGAGCTTTACAGTTTTGGATATTTCTAGCTCTCCATATGAAGTATACATGGTATATCTTTAAAAACAGAAACAAAAATCATTAAATTTGGTTAGACCCATCTGAAATCCCTTAGTCAGAAAGTGGTAGCTTTGATTAGATCCGATTCCAAAGCCCGTGCTGACCCCAACACAATGCAATGTAATGTTTACGAAGCATGATTCAAATAAAAATAATCTCTTTCATGAAGATATTCACTTTCAAATAGGCCCATTGGATTCTCTTAATAAGATATTTATTTTTAAAACAGCAAAGGGACCTCGCTGTAGGATAATTTCAGTAGTGGTGGTGTTAGATGTTATAATAGTGCTAGCAAAAGTGGTATCATTAGATTACATAGTGTATCTATGGTGCAGAAAAATGGCCTAAAATAAATTAGAATGGAATTACTTCGGAAAATTCTTGAGGGGTTGGGTGAAGAGGCAAAAACACTTACTTGAAATGTTGAAAAGGTGAGAAAAAATTACAGTGTAATCGTGCTGGAAGATAATGTTCAAATTGACTCTATTAGGATGTCCATGGAGTAGCATGAGAAATTTTTACCTCGGGATGTTTATTACGATAAGCCAACTGGTATAGCAAAGTGGACATGAGGCTTTTGAGTCAAGAGGTTATATTCTCGCTTCTGTGGGATTAATTGTGCTCATAGGGCAAATTTCTCAACTTCTCTGTCTTTCAGTGGTTTTCGCATCTGTAAGTTGAGGGAAGTGATAATATTTATCTATAGTTTTGTTGTGATGGTTAATTCAGTTTTTAGATGTAAAATGGTTGGAATAATAGCTAACACACAGAAACAGTTTCTGGAAAATAGTAAGCATTCAACCAATGTTTACTGCCCTTAGTTTTTATTGTAATTATTTAATTACGAGATTCTTGTGACAGTTACGTTTCTATATTATTTCTCCTTGTCATTTCACTCCTAAACCTGCTGCAGCCAGCCTTTTGTTATCAGCCCCCTAAACATTCTTCTTAGGTTTACTAATAAACTTCCAATCACAAAATTCAATAAAACTTTTTTAGTAATTTTCTTTTTTGACCTCTCTGTGGTATTTGCAATGTTGATTTTGTTTCTTCTGTTTGAAACCTTCTTTTTTCTTGAAAATCTATGAATAGATGTTATGAGTTTTCAGAACGTCATGTAATTGAATGAAACATTGTGTTCATGTCAAGCCCTTGGCAATGTGTCTGGCACATACACTATAGTGTTATAAGTGTTGTTGTATTCATTGATTTGTTATTATTATGGATATTTTTACGTGGAGTTTCCATACTTCTCATTATCTTCTCAAAGGTCATACTGATGTAATAGCAGATGTCACTCACATGTATTCCAGTATGTACTATACTGCTTGCCCGAAAGTAGCAGCTCATTATATATACATATATTGATTCAAAAAATAATCTACAAAAAATGCACACAGGATGTGGCAGCTTTATTTTTAATTGCCAAAATTTGGAAGCAACCAAGATGTCCTCAAGTAGTTCATGGATAAATACACTGTAGTGTATGTAGACAATGAAATACTATTCAGCACTAAAAATAATTTAGCCATCAGACCATGAAAGACATGGAGGAATCTTAAATGCATATTATCAAGCAAAAGAAGCCAATCTCAAAGGCTACCTATTTTACAATTCCAATTATATGACAGTCTGAAACAGGAGAAACTATGGAGAAAGTAAAAGATCAGTGGTTGGCAGAGGTTAGCAGGAAGGGAGGAACGAATAGAGAGAACACAGAGGAGTTTTAGGGCAGTGAAACTATTCTGTATGATACTATAGTGATGGATACATTATTCTGATTATTACAACTTGTCAAAATACAAAGAATGTACAACACCAAGAATGAACCCTAATGGAAAGTATGGATTTGGAATGGTAATGATATGTCAATGTAGGTTTCTCAAGTGTAAACAAGTGTACCCTCTGGTACTGGATGTCAATCAATAGTGGGGGAGGTGAGGTTGTGCATGTGTGAGGGTAAGGATTATAAGGGAACTTTCTGTACTTTGCACTCAATTTTGCTATGAACCTGAAACTGCTCTAAAAAATGAAAGTCTATTATACTTAAATAAATAAATAATCAACCCTTAAGAGGGGAAGGGCTGATCAGTGAAGATGTATTAGAGTGAGTGACATCTGAACCAGGCAGGGTTTGAAGCATGAATAAATAATGTCAGAGAGACAGCAGATAAAAATGCATCTCAGGTAGAGGGAAATAGCCTCTATAAATGTTTTGAGGTCTGAACAAGCATTTTGACTTCAGAAGGGAAATAGCGTAGGCAGATTAGTACTGCTAAAATATCCCTAATTTTTAAAAGTCTCTGTAATTTGTACATCTCTAATTTAATTTAATCTCCTTAAATCAGTTAGCATATTTTGATTTTTTTTTCTTATCATCTGAATATAGTCACCAACTTTCGCGTAAGGTAAAAATACTTTGACAGACTGACCTACTGACTGATTAACCTAAATGCTTCCAGCCTTGTTTGAGGAGAAGAGTCCTTTGGATGTGTTCATGAAAAAACAAGGATTCTCTTACTCAGACAGCTTCCTTTGTGTATCTGAAGAATGCGGTTAAATAGTGTATAATCCACTGAAAAGGATACTGTAGTTCACCAGAATGATATCCTGTGGTCTCAAAAGGAGATTTTATTCAGTTCCTATAGGACATAAAGTGTTTTCACAGGCTTTACAGGAAAGCACTGTTCGAGTTCGAACACTATTTCTTTCATCCCATAGAGGATAACATTTTTCAGCAAAAGAGTAGTTTACCTATCTTCTCTCACAATGGATAGAGGCCAGGACACTGAGAGATAGTATTTTAGTTGCCTTGGCTGTAAGTGGAACTAATTGTGAGTAAGATGCTTTTTAAAGTAAGGGTACCGAAGCACAACATAATGAATCATTTTTTTCTACAGACTACTTTTTGGTTATTCAGCTTTGTGAATGCAGCCATTGATGCTATCTTTGAGTTAGAGACACATTTTAAAACATGAAATAGTATGGAAAATTTGTAATACAGAGTTTGTGTGTGTGGTTGTGTTTTTAATGGTAAAAATCAAACCTTGAATAGGTTTTCATTCACTGTTTATTCATTGCTTCCTTCTTTCATAAAATGATTATTGAAAGACTACTATGTGTAAAGAATTAGGGAGGGGAGGTGCCTGAGGACCCCTTATATGGAATCGTCTCTCAAATGCTAATAATTAAGAGAGAGCTTAAGTATGGTGACTTTATGGTTGTTTTGTACATATGTGCGCGCATACTCACTGCATATCACATATATTACATATACATATTGACAGCACATTATATATTACAAAGTGTGTCAAGTTCATTTTTAAATTGCCAGACATGTCATTTCTTGCACTAATAGAGAAACAATTGTTCAGAGATTGGATGTTTTTGAATGCTCATCATCATTTGGAAACTACTAACAATGTAATTGATTCACTACTTTCTGTAAACAGCTTTATTTAAATAATAAATCACATATGCAAATAATTAAGATTTGCCATTTTTCATTGTTCTTTATCTTTCAAATAGTTATTGAATAAGAGTTGATAGAGCTCCATACAGATTAGAACAGATCCAGGACCAGACACAGTGGCACACACGTACAATCCCAGCACTTTCGGAGGCAGAGGTGGGTGATCACTTGATCGAGACCAGCTTGGGCAACATGGTAAGACCCCATCTCTACAGAAAATTTAAAAATAAGCTGGTTGTGGTGGCATGAGTTTGTAGTCCCAGCTACTTGGGAGGCTAAATAAGGAGGATCCCTTGAGCCTGGGAGGTCGAGGCTGTAGTGAGCTGTAATCATGCCACTGCATGCCAGCCTGAGTGACAGAGCGAGATCCTGTCTCAAAAAAAAAAAAAAAAAAAAAAGAAAAGAAAAAAGAAGGAAAAAGAAATAAAAAAGAAATAAAAGAACAGCTCTGGCTGAAAGTCTAAATGTTAGTTGACAAGTTTGTTTATATTTGTTGCTGCATACCTTGTTATGCTTTGTGGTCTCACAGTCTCAGTAAGATTCCTCCAATTTTAAAAATTATTCCTCATCATTAAGAATCTATTTCTTGTTAGATGGAAAAACAAATAAGAAATAAAAAGTGGTAAAAGGGACTACTGAACACTAAAATAGAGAATTTTCTCACTGCGATTATAATAATTATTTTTTTCTTTACAACTTTCAGAACCCAGATCAAGGGGTTATTTTTGTGAAAACTATGAAACAGTTACATAAATAATGCATTTCATTAGAGATCTTGATGGGGTCTTTCTTGTTTTGTTTGTCCTAGACATATATACTTACACATTACATCTTTTTTTAAAAAAAAGATAAAATTATATGTGGCTTTATGATCAATTTCAGTAACTAATAAACTTTTAATCTATTATAAAAAATTTACTTTTATTTCCTTTCAAGTAATGTCTGGAATAAATCATAATAACCAGTGAATTGAAGAACATCTGAAAATGATATCAACTTTGGGTATGCAAACATCATTTAATTTTAAATACTATAATATTTTACACTGTCCTTCTCACAGAAACTATTAAGTAGCAATTTCCCATCTGCATATGGTGGCAGGTCATCCAGATGGTACTGATGCTTACTCCAAAGCTGTCTTTGAACATCTGTTGTGTTGAGCATTAAAATGTTTTTCTTTTGATCAAAAATTGTTTTTCACCTTTGCTATAGCATGAAAAATCCCATGAAATTCATACTTAAAAGCAGAAAAGCTACTAGCATTTTCTTTTGAGGGGCAAAGAGAACAAATTGTGGATACAAAAATAAAGAAAAATGAAATATAAATTGGCATCTATGAATTTTATATAATTGTGAAAATATGACCCAAGATCAAGTTTATGCCTAGTTTTTTAAATGTTTGAATTGAATGCTTGGGTTGTAGTTAAGGGTGTGCTGGTAAAATGGCTTGCAGAAAAGGAAAGCTAGAACATCACCACCCTACAAAAAGAACAAAAAAAAGAAGCTCTGATTTTCCAATTATCATGGTATATATATTCCCACCGTGGCTGATTTGAAGTCACCAGTGCCTCAACAGCTTCTCACATAATTCCTGATTTTTAACAATTGGCTTTTGTGAGTCAGTAAAAGCAACTCCAGGGCATCAGGATTGTGTTCACAATAGATATGATACATACCCTTTTTTTTTTTATCATGGCTTTTATGAAGTCCAATTTGTTTTACTACGTAAACACAGATGTCTTGGTTTACTGACATTTTGAGTGGCCATTTTTAATTGCTGGGGAATCTGCTGTATGTAGGCAACACACACATATTTGAGCATTGAAATTACCAGTGTTCCTTCTCCTCAGTAAGAAAATCTATTTTCTTCTAATAACTTTTGTTACTTGTTTTGTTACATGAACACTGGAATGCTTGAAGTGAGGTTGAATTTGAAGAACATTATTTTAAAAAGCTGCAAAATAATGGGAGCAGTTGATTTCCGTAGTTTGTATTTTAATAGCATTTTTGAACTCTTAGTAAAATGTGACATCATTAGCTGAGCATGGTGGCTCACGCCTGTAATCACAGCCTTTGGGAGGCCAAAGCAGGAGAATTGCTTCAAGCCAGGAGTTTGAGAACAGGCTGAGCAATAAAGTGATAACCTGTATCTACAAAAAATTAGCAGGTACAGTGGCATGTGCCTGTAGTCTTAGCTACGTGGGAAGCTGCTGCAGAAGGATCACTTAAGCCCAGTAGTTCAAGGATGCAGTGAGCTACAATGGTGCCTTCAGCTTGGGTGACAGAGCCAGACTCTGTCTCTAAACAAAAGGACATCATTAAACTTAGGTTGTATCCATTATAAAGCCAGTAAAACACGTTGTTATTCTGCATTCCAAACTAGTAACATTTAACATTTTTTCAGTAGTTTTATACATGAGAATTTCCATTGTGTTGACTACCTCTTCTTATTGATTAATAAAATTACTTCAGTTGCATCCAATTTTGGATTTGGCCTCAATATTCTGCTATCTGCTCTCTGGTCAAAATCTGCTTTTCAGGTGCAATTTCAGTTTTTGGAAAGCCAAAAATAACCAAATGCCAACTTCAATAATATTTTCCTGGTAACCTTGAATTTGTGCATCATTGATATTAATGTGATTGCATAGGCTAACAACATACCTAAAAGCATGGTAGCACTGATATTAAGATGACTGTGTGCCATTTACATTAATTTTTAATATCTTAATATTCACTTTTTAATAGTGTTTAACATTCTAGATGTAATGTGGAGTGAAATTTTCTTTTGTGCTTTATATGGTAAAATTTTATCAGTCATATAGAATGTTAATTGTACCTAATATTTCAAGATTATGAAAAATTCTAGCTCTATGTATAGAAATAGTTGTGAAGAAACTTCAAAATAGTTAAAAGAGGGAAAAACATTAACAATTAATATAATTATTGCATGAGGATTATTAGCTCAATATTTTATTAAAACATTTTGAACCAGCACGTTTCTAAATATTAAATAATAATTTGAGGCAGAAAAATACAGATAAGGTTATAATATAATAATAATATTCATGGAATTGTTTGTATATTTATAACCTACATATCATTTAAACATTAAGCAATTGATAGCATTCATAATAAAAAAAAATTATCACAGACTTTAATTTTTAACTATTTAATTGCATTTAGGCCATAAGTCTTTCTGGAAGAAAAGTCCTGTTTGCGAATTCTTCAAGTATTATGAAGATGAATTAAAAGCTACTTAAAAATTACATGATGAATAAAAACTCCAAAATCATGAGTGACTACACCTATGGTAAATCATCTTCAGATGGAATGATACATATAAGACTATAAACAAAATAAAAAAGTATTAAAGAAAAAGAAGACCCCCTAAAACATATTTGTTCTTACAATTTTTTTAAAAAAAATAGACTTTGAAGAAAACTCTAGGAGGGAAGTTTCTTAGAAATTTGAATTTATAAAGGTTAGAAATCCGAACAAAATCTGGTTGAAATAATTGCTGTTGACTACCAACTCTTTTCAGTAGTTAAAAGTGAAGGATTGACTAGGCACAGTGGCTAAAGCCTATAATCCCAGCACTTTGGGAGGCTGAGGTAGGAGGATCATTTGAGCCCAAGAGTTAGAGACCACCCTGGGCAATATAGTGAGACCCCGTCTCTACAAAAAATAATAATTAAAAAAAATTTGCCAAGGTTGATGATATGTGCCTGTAGTCCCAGATACTCAGGAGGCTGAGGTTGGAAGATCGCTTGAGCCCAGGAAGTTGACCCTGCAGTGAGCCGTGTTCACGCAACTTCATTTCAGCAAAAAAAAAAAAAAAAAAAAGGTGGGATATTGTTGAGATTTGTCAAGGTGATTTTGTGCATTTATTTCACTAGTGTAGCTCTGTGACAGCTAGTGGACTATATTTGATATCTTGGTTATTTAAAAGATAACAAAAATCATATTATTTTGAAATGAAGTAATTATAACAATATGCATTGAACATTTCAGTGAGAGTTCAATCTCATCCCTGCATTGCAAGGAAGCTTGCTGTCTTTACATGAGAAAACAGGCTGGGAATCAGGGTGAACTTGCAATTGTAACAAGAATCTCTGGTGGAGGTCTCAAATACATACTTTAAAGTCAGAAATAAGGGATGAATTATAAAATCACTGGAAATGGGAATGGATCTTATTTAGAGATGTACTTCATTTTTCAGTCAGCATCTACCTGTTTGGCATACTTCCTAAAATTTGTAACTTAAATTTTATGGATTTCAACACTTCCCTGAGGAGATTGTTTCATGTGCCAGTTCATACACTTTTTTTCTAATATTCAAAACCAAATCCTCTTTTTAAAAAATTTATCTAAGCAATACTAAGTACTATTCAGGATTTAATGAGCCTGGTTTTCTCCCCTGTGGGATGGAAACGCTCGCCTGAATAAACACTCCCAGAGCAGCCAGGATTTATTCAGGGGAGGGAGTGAGGAAAGGAAGAAGCACAGCTTCTTTCCTGTGTTCACGCACAGCAGGATTCCATTTGGCCCCAGGAAGTAACTGTGCCTCATCCCTGAAGGGGCAGTGGGAGTTGGAGGAAAGGAAAAAAGCAGGAGGGAGAAGGAGCATGTACTATTTTCAGCAAACAGAGCAATAATTTGACCAATCCATGGGAAACTAGAAAAAAAGATCTGATGAACAAATTCTACATAAATATGATGTTCTAAATAAATAGAAATAATGCAATGTCAAAGAAATACGGTGTCAAGAACAACACAGTAACTACTCTACATCCAATTTTACTACTTAGTCCCTAAGTAGTTTTGGATAAATTACGTAATTTTCTTATCTGTAAAAATTCAAATAACCCTTCTGGAAGGTTGTTTTGAAGGTGAAATAAAGACAGGCTCCTCAATAACTGTTTTTTGCCCTTCAATCTTTCTCTCCACTTTTTTTTTTAGTAAAGTATAAAAACGAAAAATCAAAACACAGTGTTTAGAGCATTTTTCCATACTCTTACCTTGCAACTTATTTATTTCCTTATTGATACAATTTAATATTTATGTAATACACCTGGCCCTGGGGAATGGTTTTTAACACAAAAATAACTCTTTTAGTCCAGGACACAGACACACAAATAAACTCAATTTTAGTAAATGTAGCAAGCTTTAGAGTAGAGTATGTAGACTATGGAGTTGGTTCCAAATGAATACAGAGGAGAGGAAAGTTCTCTTCGAGGAAGTCAGAATTCCTGTTGTAGATAAGTATCTACTTCACAAAGTCAAGGAAGTGTCACACTTTAAATTAAGTTAAATGCTTCTCCAGCCTTTCTCCCTGTGGACTGAAGGAAAATCCTATCTTACTTGTTATTAGGTGGCCAGTTTCTTTCATTAGGGTTACAGAAAACTTCAATAGGCTCCTTTGCTACCCGTAAAAGGGGAACAGGTATTATCTATCATTGTCCAAACCCACATAATACTTTATGTAGCAATTTGGTGCTTCGAGGTAAGCTGAAAAAAGGGCCCTTTGAAAGATGCACATCCCAGTCCCTGGAACCTGTGTCACCTAATGTGACAAAGGGAACTTGCAGATGTGATTAAGTTATGGATTTGGAGATGGGGACAGTATCCTTATTATCCAGATGGGCTGTCAACGTAATCACAAGGGTACATACAGGAGAGTGATAAGCAAGTCAAAGAAGGAAGTAGCAGATGTGATGATGGAAGAAAGAATTTGGAGTGACTCCAGAGAGGGGTCGTGAACAAAGGAGTGCAGGCAGGCTCCAGAAGCTAAACAAGACAGGGAAACACATTCTCTCCTAGAGACTCCAGGAAGAACCTGTGCAGCAAACACCTTGACTCTAACCTAGTGAAACTGTTGTCAGACCTTTGGCTGCCAGAATGATAAGAGAATCAATTTGTGTTGTTTTAAGCACCAAGATTGTTGTAATGTTTACGGTAGCCATAGAAAATTAATTTTGCCAAGGGTAGGGGCCCTGGTACACACCACTCCAGAGAAAGGCATGAAGATCTCAGCTATTATATAATCAATCCACATTTTCTGCCCAGTTTACCTCTTAGGTAAATTTTTCCTCTGTGATTGCTACTAGCCATGGCCGATCATTTCAGCATAATTCTCTGGTAGGCATTTAGGAAAAAGGTTCCAAACTGGTGGATTGTGGGCTTCAGTTAGCATACAGGTTTGCTTTTCATCAGCATGTATTTGATTTTCTGTTTAAAATTCAGGAGATTTGCCATTAAATACAGATTTTTACCTTCTTTTCAAAAATCTGGAAATGTGGCATGCCCATGTGATCACCATTGTTTGGAGTTGTGTTCTTTAATGAGGTGTACGCTTGCCAGTTAGAAGGTACACTGATACTCCTTCACCCTGATTACTTGCATGGCTCATGTAGATATCTGAGTTTGTGATCAACACTTAATTCCTTAAAATCCAAGAAAGATAGTATTTTTGACTAACTACTGCTTGGGTCCTGGCAACTTAATCCTCCCTGAGGAAGGAGAGCAAAAACGATCTGGAGAGCTTGGAATGGAATGGGAATAAAAACTATGAAAAAAATCAACCAAGAAAAATAAGTAAATAAATTTCCTAAAAGCTTTGAAGAAACAGTGGCATTTCACTTGGTCTTAAAAGATGAAAAAAAAATAGGCTGGATGCACCATGGCTCACACCTGTAATCCCAGCACTTTGGGAGGCTGATACGGGCGGATCACCTGAGTTGGGAGTTCAAGACCGGCCTGACCAACATGGAGAAACCCCGTCTCTACTAAAAATACAAAAATTAGCTGAGCATGGTGGTGCATGCCTGTAATCCCAGCTACTCAGGAGGCTGAGGCAGGAGAATCGCTTGAACCCAGAAGGCAGAGGTTGCAGTGAGCCGAGATCATGCCAATTGCACTCCAACCTGGGCGACAAGAGCAAAAGTCTGTCTAAAAATAAATAAATAAATAAATAAATAAATAAATAAATAAATAAATAAATAAATGAAAAAATAAGAGTTAGTGACAGGATGGACTATGGCTTCCTCCACTGACTCGAATCCTGAGATTTCTTAGAAATAAGACAGATATTTGGAGCCAAAGAACAAAGTAAAGCCAGTCTGGAGGTCCTGAGAGGGGTAAGATTTATGATCTGGCAGGGGGACAGAAACAATAGCTCAGATGGTAGAGGACTAGTGGTAAGGATGAGTTTTGAAATAGGGGGAGGGGTAAGATTTTGAGTTGTGCTTGTATTAATTCATTCTCACACTGTTGTAAAGTACTGCCTGATATGGTTTGGCTGTGTCCCCACCAAAATCTCATCTTGAATTCCCACATGTTGTGGGAGGAACCTGGTGGAAAATAATTGAATCATGGGGGCAAGTCTTTCCTGTGCTGTTCTCATGATAGGAATAAGTCTCATGAGATCTGATGGTTTTAAAAAGAGGAATTCTCCTGAACAAGCTCTCCTCTCTTTGCCTGCTGCCATCCGTGTAAGACATGACTTGCTCCTCCTTGACTTCTGCCATGATTGTGAGGCTTCCCCAGCCATGTGGAAATATAAGTCCAGTTAAATCTCTTTCTTTTGTAAATTGCCCAATCTTGGGTATGTCTTTATTAGCAGTGAGAAAATGAACTAATACAGTAAATTGATATCAGGAGAGTGGGGTGTTGCTAAAAACATAACAAAAAATATGGATACGACTTTGGAACTGCGTAACAGGCAGAGGTTGGATCAGTTTGGGGGGCTTAGAAGAAGATAGGAAAATCTGGGAAAGTTTGGAACTCCCTAGAGACTTGTTAAATGGCTTTGGTGAAAATGTTGATAGCAATATAGACAATAAGTCCAGGCTGAGATGCTCTCAGATGGAAATGATGAGCTTGTCAGGAACTGGAGCAGAGGTGATTCTTGTTATGTTTTAGCAAAGGGACTGGCAGCATTTTGCCCTTGTCCTAGAGACTTGTGGAACTTTGAACTTGAAAGAGACGATTTAGGGTATCTGGCAGAAGAAATTTCTAAACAGCAAAGTGTTCAAGAGGTGACTTGGGTGCTGTTAAAGGCATTCAATTTTATAAAGGAAGCAGAGCATAAAAGTTTGGAAAATTTGCAGCCTGACAATGTGATAGACAAGAAAATCACATTTTCTGAGGAGAAATTCAAGCTGGCTGCAAAAATTTGCATAAGTAACCAGGGGCCAAATGTTAATTCCCAAGACAATGGGGAAACTATCTCCAGGGCGTGTCAGAGGTCTTCACAGCAGCCCCTCCCATCACAGGCCAGGAGGCCTAGGAGGAAAAAGTGTTTTTCTGGGCTGGGCCCAGGGTCCCCATTTTGTATGCAGCCTAGGAACTTGATGCCCTGTGTGCCAGCTGCTCTAGCCATGGTTGGAAGGGGCCAATGTACAGCTAGGGCCATGGTCAGATAGTGCAAATCCCAAACCTTGGTAGCTTCCACATGGTGTTGAGCCTGGGGGTGCACAGAAGTCAAGTACTGGGGTTTGTGAACCTCTGCCCATTTTTCAGAAGAGGTATGGAAATGCCTGGGTGCCCAGGCAGAAGTTAGGTGCAGGGTTGGGACCTTCATGGAAAAAATCTGCTATGGCAGCGTGGAAGGGAAATATGGGGTCAGAGCCCCCACACAGAGTCCCTACTGGGGCACTGCCTAGTGGCACTGTGAGAAGAGGGCCACTGTCCTCCAGAACCTAGAATGGTAGATCCAGTGACAGCTTGCACTGTGTGCCTGGAAAAGTCACAGAAACTCAATGCCAGCCCATGAAAGCAGCCAGGAGGGAGTCTGTACCCTGCAAAGCCACAGGGGCAGAGCTGCTCAAGACCATGGGGACCCACCTCTTGCATCAGCATGACCTAAATGTGAGACATGGAGTCAAAGGAGATCATTCTGGAGGTTTAAGATTTGACTGTCCCTCTGGATTTCGGACTTGCATTGTAGCCCCTTTGTTTTGGCCAATTTTTCCCATTTGGAATGGCTCTATTTACCCAATGCCTGTACCCTCATTGTATCTAGGAAGTAACTAACTTGCTTTTGATTTTACAGGCTCATAGGTGGAAGGGACTTGCCTTGTCTCAAGTAAGACATTGGACTGTGAACTTTTGAGTTAATGCTGAAAGGAATTAAGACTTTAGGTCAGGGGCAGTGGCTCACGCCTGTAATCCCAGCACTTTGGGAGGCCGAGGTGGGTGGATCACAAGGTCAGGAAATCAAGGCCATCCTGGCTAACACAGTGAAACCCTGTCTCTACTAAAAATACAAAAAATTAGCTGGGTGTGGTGGCAGGCACCTGTAGTCCCAGTTACTCGGGTGGCTGAGGCAGGAGAATGGCATGAACCCAGGAGGCAGAGTTTGCAGTGAGCTGAGATCGTGCCACTGCACTCAAGCCTGGGTGACAGAGTGAGACTCAGTCTCAACAACAACAAAAAAAGACTTTAGAGGGGTGTTGGGAAGGCATAATTGGTTTTGAAATGTGAGGACTTGAGATTTGGGTGGGACCAGGGGCAGAATGATATGGTTTGGCTGTGTCCCCACCCAAATCTCATCTTGAATTCCCACGTCTTGTGGGAGAGATCTGGTGGGAGGTAATTGAACCATGGGGTCAAGTCTTTCCCATGCTGTTCTCATGATAGTGAGTAAGTCTCATGAGATCAGATGGTTCTAAAAAGAGGAGTTCCCCTACATAAACTCTCTCTCTCTCGCCTGCTGCCATCCATGTAAGATGTGACTTGCCCCTCTTTGCCTTCTGCCATGATTATGAGGCTTCTCCAGCCATGTGGAACTGTAAGTCCAATTAAACCTCTTTCTTTTGTAAATTGCCCAGTCTCAGGTATCTCTTTATCAGCAGTGAGAAAATGAACTAATACACTGCCTGAGGCTGAGTAATTTATAAAGGAAAGAGATATAATTGGCTCACAGTTCAGCATGGTTGCAGAGACCTCAGGAAACTTACAATCATGGTGTAAGGCAAAGGGGAAACAAGGCACCTCCTTCACAAGGCTGCAGGAGGGATAATGAATGCAGGAGGAATTACCAAACACTTATAAAACCATCAGATCTCATGAGAAGTTACTATTATGAGAGCAGCATCGGGGAAACCTCCCCCTTGATCAAATTAACCTCCACCTGGTCTCTCCTTTGACACATGGGGATTATGGGAATTATAATTCAAGATGAGATTTGGGTGGGGACACAAAGCCTAACCATATCAGTGTTATTTCATTTCTATTGCCTGTCTTATCAGCAGTGTGAGATGGAATCTGATAAGGGGGATTAAGTTGGGGATTCATTTAGTTTGGACTGAATGGAGCATATGTGTCTGGTTTGTAGTCACTTCTCTGTACAGTTAAGTTATTTCTGGCAGTCGTTATATAAGAATGGCTAAATTAAAAAGCCAAGAATTGTTTCCAGATTTTTTGTAATATGCTGTAGGACACTTCTCATAGCTATAACTGTGCATTGTATCAGCTTTCTGAACTGGTGGGAAGAGCCACAAGGTTCAAGGAGTTGTAGAAAAAGTGTTATTGGTTAATCCTTCATGATACTACCCTGCACGACTACAACACTCTACAAGAATAGATATGGTAAATTCCAGAAAAGAGAAATCAATACACATTGTGGAATATATTAAGGAGGATCAGATAAAGTGCCTGCTGGGAGGGAGCTTTACAGCTAGGTCTGGAATGGTCCATACAGTTTCAAAACAATTAAAAATGTATTTAATTTAAAGTTAATGAAGTTAAGCTTTAGAACTTCTCACATGTATGGATCCCTTCTAAATATATAATTACTATTGTACCTAATTTTATATACATTTTCTTAAAAAGGCTTGCTTTAACCCCTCCCCCATCAATTCTGTGAATTTCAAACTCAAAAATCTAAATCCATGTAAGGACGGAAGGGCAATCTATAGGAAGGAATGTACAAAGACAAAGAGGTTGGAACATTTAGGCTCCGTTCAGGAAAATGAATTTAGTTGGGTTTAGCTGGACTGTGGCATATATGAGGATTAGTAGTGGAAGATAAACTTGGGAAGACAGGTCATTGCCAATCACAGATGACCTTGAATGACATGCTTTGGAATAAAGCTTTATTAAACAATTATACACTAAAGCAATGGTGCCTAACCAGGTTGCAGAAGGAAGGAGTAATTAAAATAATGAGGAATGCTTTTCCAAATGATACATCTCTGGGTCTCAACTGAGATGTATTAATCCTGAATGGTTCCTGAAAGCAGCAGGTTGGGGTGGGGTCTGGAAGTGAGGGTGACTTGCAAAGGGCTTTCAGTTTCTATAATGCCCCAGCCTTGTTCTTCCTTACACCTCATCCTCACTTTTATGTTCTATAGTTGAATACTGTCTAAATCTGGTTAATACTCAAAATCTTCAAGTGTGCTTTCAATAATATGAGTTTCTTGGTCTCATCACAGCCTCACTAAATTAGAATTGAAATCTCTGAGGGGTGAGGTAGAAAAACTTACCGTCTCCTGGTAATTATCCTTGTCAGCCAAGCTCAGTTCACATGCAACTGGGAGCCATTGAAGGCCTTTTGAGCAGGGGACTTTCAAGAACATAGCTGTATTTTATAAAAGGTATTCAGAGGCCTAGTGCAGTGGCTCACGCCTGTAATCCCAGCACTTTGGGAGGCTGAGGCAGGCGTATTACGAGGTCAGGAGATTGAGACCATCCTGGCTAACATGGTGAAACCCCTTCTCTACCAAAAATACAAAAAATTAGCCAGGAATGCTGGCGGGCGCCTGTAGTCCCAGCTACTCAGGAGGCTGAGGCAGGAGAATGGAGTAAACCCGGAAGGCAGAGCTTGCAGTGAGCCGAGATCACGCCACTGCACTCCAGCCTGGGCGACAGAGCGAGAACCGGTAAAAAAAAAAAAAAAAAATGGTATTCAGAAACACTTTTTTTCTAATAATAATCCTGTGAATGGCTGGAAACACTTTTTTTCTAATAATAATCCTGTGAATGGCCAGAAAACATACATTTTTCTTTCATTTCAAAGTTGGGGAAACTAAGGCTTAGAGACTCAAGTGATTTGTACATGATCAGAAGGCCAGTAACTAGTGTTTGGATTTCTATTTCCTAGTCCAATGCTCTTTCTGATATTTTACAATTATTTCTTGAACTACAAGTTATAAATTCCTTTATTAATAAAGGAATTCAATTGGTAGAGAAAAAAACCATAAAACCAAGTAAACAAATTCTTATTGACCTAATTGATTATTTCTCTTTGTTTCTACATGTACAGTTTGGTTAGAAATTGAATTTTTGAAAAAAAAAGTCGCTAGAAACAAAACAGAAACTCACAAATTCTTATTTATGTTCACAGAACTGCAGCTAGTCCATGCAGTAAGTAGGACAAGGGCATCCGTTCATGAGGGGAATGGTAGATTGCACGGTTGTGAGCATTCAGCGGGTTGGATTTCCATCTCTCCCAATGCCTGGTCAGCCACATTCCATTGTCCAGTGCACAGTGTGCCAACCATATGCAGCAAACCTGTAGCAAACAAAATGTGTAAAAGTCAAAGGTCAGGGAAACAACTGAAAGTGGTAGGACTTAAACCTGTGTAGGTGTAGCATTGTCTAAAATCTGAAATAAAAAAGATCAGTCATGTTTTTGAGGGTTCTCAAGTGTAAAGCAGTGGCTTTTTCTCTGTAAATCAGAACCATCTGGGAAACTAGGATAAGAAAAAATTCCATGTTTGGGACCCACCCCTGGAATTCAGATTTAAATTGGCATTGGATGGTTCTGCTGGAAGAAGTGTATCTTACAAGTTCTCAGGTGATGTTACTATATGGCCTGGATAGAGAATCACTAACGTAAAGCATAACATTGTCATCCACTGTACTCCTTTGTTAGCCAAAACTTAAATTTGGGAAAGAATTCCTCAAACAAGATTCCCTACTAATGTGTGGTATGGATATATTCTAAGAAAAGAAATACAAAAGCTGCAATATTTTATCTCAAGTGATAACAGACAAAATACAGAAAGTAGTTATGGATTTATCTTTTGTGGGCCATTCTGTTCATATAAAAATTTTATGAATGATTTAAAACATAAGAATAATGTGCATGTTTAGAGCTAGAATTTCATGATTTTTATTTATTTTAATTTAGTTTATAGAAATAGAGTTTAAGTTTTTGAGAAACAAAAGTCTTCCGGTAAAAAATATAAAAATTTCAAAAAATAGTATGGAAGGAACACAGAAACTAAACTTACAACCAACAAAGCTTTAGGATGATAAAACTATTTTTGAGATGCTTCTATATACGCCCTTTGGACTATGTCAAAGCTGACATAACTGGTAACAGGAACTCCATCAGTAATGACCTAGGCTCAGAAGACACATTCATATGAAACAAAACATCTGTGCTTTGGCACCATAGTTCTGTAGACAATGTTATGTGGAGTCATCTGTAAGTCACTTTAGGTAAATAAATATTCAAAAATTTATCAGCTAGGATTCTAAAAATTGATATGATTTTGAAAAGATAATATATATTAACTTCAGGTCTAAAAAAGTAGCATTGATTGAGCATTTGTTATATCTCAATAAAGCATATATTTTTAATCTGTATAGTAACCATGTGAAATTGCTATCGCTCCGCATATTCTACTAATGACAAAACTAGGCCCATCATGGTCTAAAGCCTGTACTTCTAACCACCTCACTAATTTGTTGTTATAGTTGGTGTTGTTTTCATTGTTTTTTCTTTTATTTTAGGTTCAGAGGGTACATGTGCAGGTTTGTTACATGGGTAAATTGCATGTTGCTGAGGTTTGGTGTAGGGATACTTCTGTCACCCAGGTAGTGAGCATAGTACCAGATAGTTTTTCGACTCTTGCCTCTTTCCCACTGTCCTCCATCTAGTAGTTCCTAATATCTACTGTTCTCATCTTTGTGTCTGTGTGTACTCATTATTTAGCTCCCACTCAGTCTTTGGTTTTCAGTTTCTGACTTAATTTGCCTTGTATAGTGGCCTCCAGCTGTGTTCATGTTACTGCAAAGGACATGATTTCATCCTTTTTATGGCTGCATAGTATTCCATGGTATACATGTACCATATTTTATTTATGCAGTCCATGGTTGGTGGGCATCTAGGTTGCTTCCATGTCTTTGCTAATGTGAATAATGCTGCAGTGAACATTCAAGTGCATGTGTCTTTTGGTAGGATGATTTATTTTCTATTGGGTATATACCCAGTAATGGGATTTCTGGGTTGAATGATAGTTTTAAGTTCTTTGAGAAATCTCCAAATGGCTTTCCACAGTGGCTGAACTAATTTACATTCCTGCCAACACGTATAAGTGTTCCCTTTTCTCTGCAACCTCACCAACATCTGTTAATTTTTGACATTTTAATTATAGCCATTTTGACTGGTAGGAGATAGTATCTCATTGTGGTTTTGATTTGCATTTCTCTAATGATTAGTGATATTGAGACTTTTTAATATCTTTGTTGGTTGCATATGTGTCTTCTGTTGAGAAGTATCTACTTATGTCCTTTGTCCATTTTTTAATGGGGTTATTTGCTTTTTGCTTGTTGAATTAGGTTCCTTATAGGTTCTAAATATTAGACCTTTGTCAAATACAGTTTGTGAATATTTTCTCCCACTCTATAGGTTGCCTATTTATGCTGTTAATAGTTTCCTTTGCTGTGCAGAAGCTCTTTAATTTAATGAGGTCCCATGTTGTCAATGTTTGTTTTTGTTGCAATTGCTTGTTGGAACTGAGTCATAAATTATTTGTCAAACCCAGTGTCCAGAATGGTATTTCCTAGATTTTCTTCTAGGATTTTTTTACAGTTAGGTCTTACATTTAAGTCTTTAATCCATCTTGAGTTAAGTTTTATATAAGGTAAAAGGTGTGGGTCCAGTTTCAGTCTTCTGCATATGGCTAGCCAGTTATCCCAGCACCATTTATTGAATAGGGAGTCCTTTCCCCATTGCTTGTTATTGCCACCTTCACTGAAGAGCAGATGGCTGTAGGTGTGTGGCTTTATTTCTGGGTTCTCTATCCTGTTACATTGGTCTATGTGTCTGTTTTTGTAGCAGTACCATACTGTTTGGTTACTGTGGCTCTGTAGTATAGTTTGAAGTCTGGTATTGTGATGTCTCTGGTTTTGCTCTTTTTGATCAGGATTGCTTTGGCTATTTGGGATCTTTTTTGGTTCCATATGAATTTCGGAATAGTTTTTTTGTTTTTGTTTTTTAGTTCTGCCTCACTAATTATTTTAAGCTTGAATAAATCAAGCTACCTTTTTAAAGTGACACAAATGTTTAACTTTTCATATTCTCACAGTTTGGAACTTATAAATGTTTTGCTTACACTATTAATGTTATTCTTATGTTTTAAAATTTTAACGAAGTATACTTTATGGACACACGTAAGAATAGCTGTGTTACGCTTATTTTCACAAGGGTTTTGTATTGACTGCAAGTTAAATCGCACTTCCTTCATAATAAATTATATTCAGATCAAACAAATCATTGAATGCTTTGTTCCACTTTTTTCACATATCACAAGCCTCATAAATACCCTTTGAGTTAAGTATTACTTTTAACTCATCTCAGAGGTGTGGAAACTAAGGCGCAACAAAAATTCATAGTCTCATTACCTAATACATAGCAACTAGGCTAGAAGTTACTCCGAATTTAACCTCAGTGTTCTTTTTCATGACAGCAGAGAGGCAGTGGCAGAGAAAGAGGCAAAGCAAACCTGAGAATGAATGAGGAGATGTCTAAAAACCTAAATCAACATGATTCACCTGGACAATAAAGATTTTCTTGTTAGTTTCTTTATCTTCACCTCACTACTACCAATTCAGATCAGGCCTTTTTCATCTCTCATGTACTCTTCTATTTCTTCTTTCAAGCTTTCTCTGTGCTATCAATTGATTTATTATTTCAAATTTAATAACACTGCTTGTTAAACACTAGGTATAAGAGGGTGATCAACATACTGGTCAACACATTCTTGTAGCTAAGCCTATATATAATCATATGTAGGAAGCATAATTACATATTGCAGGTCCACTGCTTATAATCCCTGGATAGCTCCAAAAGACTCTTTGAATAAAATATCCTCATATGTTTTCAAGAGTCTTTTAAAACTTGATCCTAACCAAGCATTACAATTTAATTTCTGGTCCCATGTATCTCCTGTACTTTTGGGGTACTAAAAACTCCTTCTGCTCAAGAGGCAAAGGAATTATTTTTTTAATAACTCAACGCTTTTATTCAAACACAAAGTTTGAGCTAATCTCAGTTAAGGGCAGATAAAATTTGAACAGTGGTTGAAGCTCAATATTGGTTGAAAATACATCTTCAATTAAAAAGTATATTTAGCTACATGAAAAATTGATGTGCATAACAAAAGTAGTATTTTGAAAAAAAAATTAGATCTAAGTTTAAAAGTGATCATATTTTGTTTCTTAAGTCTCAATGAAATTGACTTTGAACAGTTTCCTTTAAAACCTTCACTCTTGCCGCAATAACACAGTCTTGGCCTTTCAAAACAGCCATGCTTCTACTGAAGAATTGTGAAACAGGGAGGCAGTTTATAGCATACTGGTTAAGTACACAGTTAAAGTTAGATTCAAACTTCGTTTTCTCTACTTGCTGAAAGATCATGAGCACATTCCTTAAGTGTTTAAGTCTCCACTGTAAAATGGAGATAATAATGGTAACTTCCTGATGTTTAGGTTGGTGCAAAAGTAATTGCAGTTTTTTGCCATTACTTTCATTTTGCACCAATCTAAATATTGCTCAAAGAATTAAATGAATTGATGTATACATGTAAACTTCTTAGGGTATTTCTGAGGCCAAGGTAAAGTGTTAACTCTCATTTTCATTCCCACTTTGAACACAGACACACACACACACACACACACACACAAGAATCACTAGGAGAGAGAATTAGCTCCTCCTTTATTTATTTTTTCAAGATGGGGTCTTGCTTTGTCACCCAGGCTGGAGTGCAGTGGCACAATCTCAGCTCACTGCAACATCTGCCTCCAAGGTTCAAGCAATTCTCCCGCCTCAGCCTCCATAGTAGCTGGGTTTGCAGGCACAGGCCACCATGCCAGTCTAATTTTTAGTATCTTTAGTAGACGTGGCATTTCACCATGTTGGCCAGGCTGGTCGCGAACTCCTGGTCTCAAGTGATCCACCCACCTTGGCCTCTCAAAATGCTAGGATTACAAGCATGAGCCACCATGCCCGGCCGAGCTCTCTCTTTTAAAGCAGATTTCAACTGATCAGATAAATCATGGCAGTTCTTAGTGGTCTGAAAAGTTAAGAAGAGGCAAACAAGATTCTGCCCAATTACCCAGGGACATGCCTTCATTCCTCATGACTGCTGCATCTTGACCTCTGTCAATCCACAATGGGTTCATATGTCTTGGAAAACAGAGTGGAATTAATGTATCTACACTGTAATTTAGGGTTATATTTTTAGCTCTCCCACCATCTTTTTCCCAAACTTTCTTTACCTAATAAAGGATGATCATACATTTGTTGTGTTGTGTTTTCCTTTTTTGTTGGCACTGTGAGAGCCAGTACACAAATTCAGTAGGAGTTCCTGACAAGTCTGGAAAATGTGATCTCTTAATTAAGGAATGACTATTCACCTAGATTTATGGAGGCTCAGAGAATTAATTACAGTTCAACTGTTAAAATGGAAAAATATTTTTAAGGCGGAAGTTCTGTGGATTCAATTCAAATAAATTCCTCTTTTAATAGATAAAGTATAACAAAGAGAATCATTTCATTAAAAAATGCAAAGCTTGTTGCTGGTGTACAAAGGGACAGAAAAACAAATTCTCATTGAGTAGGCTTTATTTTGCGCATATTGCATTAAAAAAGTTTACCCCATATCACCAGAAAGTTATAAATATAGGAATAAACAGAAATATAGCAACCAATGATTGTTAAAATGCCTGATATGTATACAACTATATAAAAATAAATATCACAGTAATCATTATCTCTGGTCATAACTTTGCTCTTTTGTTGTGGGAAGTCAGGGACCCCGAATGGAGGGACCAGCTGAAGCCACAGCAGACGAACATAAATTATGAAGATTTCATGTACATTGATCACTTCCCCAATCAATACTCTTATAATTTCCCATGCCTGTCTTTACTTTAATCTCTTAATCCTGTCATCTTCATAAGCTGAGGATGTATGTCACCTCAGGATCCTGTGATGATTGCATTATCTGCACAAATTGTACAGCATGTGTGTTTGAACAATGTGAAATCTGGGCACCTAGAAAAGGAACAGGATCACAGTGATTTTCAGGGAACAAGGGAGATAACCATAAAGCCTGACTGCCTGCAGGGCCAGGCAGAGCAGAGTCATATTTCTCTTCTTGCAAAAGTGAATAAGAGAAATATTGCTGAATTCTTTTTCTCAGCAAGGAACAGCCCTGGGAAAAGAATGCACTCCCAGGGGGAAGCCTCTAAAATGTCTGCTCTGGGAGTGCCTGTCTTATGCAGTTGTAGATAAGGAATGAAATACGCCCTGGTCTCCTGCAGCGTCCCCAGGCTTTCTAGGATTAGGAAATTCCAGCCTGGCAAATTCTAGTCAGACCAGTTCTCTGCTCTTGAACCCTGTTTCCTGCTAAGATGTTTATTAATGACAATGTGTGCACAGCGGGACATGGAACCTCATTAGTAATTCTAATTTTGCCCTGGCCTTGTGATCTTGCTCTGCCCCCATTTGCCTTGTGATATTTTCTTGCCTTTGAGGCATGTGATCTCCACGACCCACACTCTATTCATACATTCCCTCCCCTTTTGAAATCCATGATAAAAACTTGCTGGTTTTGTGGCTCAGGTGGGTATCACGGAACCTGCTGACATGTGATGTCACTCCCAGACACCCAGCTTTAAAATTTCTTTCTTTTGTACTCTTTCTCTATTTCTCAGACCAGCCAACACTTAGGGAAAATAGAAAACCTACGTTGAAATATGGGGGGCTGGTTCCCCCGATACTCTTTGGTGTTGGCACCTAAAACAAATGAAAGAGTTCAAATTGTTCTTAGGAAGGTGTTCCATTTCTTGGGAAAATTATTTTAAGATATCTGTCTACATGAACAATATTCCATACCTGTGTTACGTTCCAAGCTAAACTAGAAAAGTATTTTTTAAAAATCATAAAAACAAATGCTCCAAGTTTCTTCTGTGTTTCCAGTGCAGTTCAGATTTCTATTTGGAGACCACATTAATTGTGCAGCAAAGCTAAGGGACATTTAAGGGGAATGTGGAAATGATTTTTCAACATCCTTCCTAGATCAGTTCCCTCTTTTAATATAGAACAGGTTTGTGAGACTTTATATACAATTTAAAAAATAGATATGGTCATTAGTATATTCAAACAAAAGCAAAATCTGCAAAAAGCATCAATAAGCACAAATATAGAAAAAGAAAAAAGATAAAAAAATTTCTGAAAATATAAACTTCTTTTTAAAATCTTAAAGATGGCAATTATATGAACATTTATATACCTATACTTTAATAATCACAAAATATTTTATGTTGTTATTATTATATGATTTTGTTCAGATTTTATAGAGGAATACAAGGTAGAAGTTTCCTTTCAAGAATGTTACCCATATGGATGATATCTAACCTTTAAATATTGCACACTTAAAGATACCTATATGACAGTTGTCCTGCTGTTTTCTTATTTAGATCGAGTACAGTTCCTTAATTTGAATGTGACCCTGTCTGGTGTGTCTGATGAGCCAGAGATTGTAGCAACAATAACTGAGGAGTACAGTGAAACAGCAGATACACCTCCCCAAATGGTCAGGGCTGAGAGATGCTGGTGAACACCTACAGCGTTCAATACAGAATTGTTGAGGGAGATCTCACATTTCTTGTTTGCAGTGTTTAAAAGGACTTGGGTCCTCAAACACTGGGATATTATAGGAGCGTTCACTAGGGCTTCTTTATACATGAGCAAGATTGGGCTTTTCTGAGCAACATTCATAAGACATGATAGGAAGTCTTTGAGGGCAAATTTTCTAGCATTTAACCCATTTTCTCTGTAGCTATGATGGTTTCAAGAGTGTGTGGTGGCACTCTTATGAGGAAATTTCTTGTGTGAGACAAGAAGCCATCACAATGCTCCTGTTCTGGACGTGGACTGGAACACTGTGAGGGCAAGTTTCCATCAACTGTTTTATTCTCTAAGATACTGAGTGTGCCCATAAAGGCTAGTTAAGAATGTTCAAAAGAATTAGAAAACTTGACATTTACCTTCGAGGATAAGGGGGAGACAAAGTGTGGTTTACCATACACTTCTGCCGAGGCTCAAGTGTCCAGAGCCCTTCTCCCACTCTTCTGAGTCAGGCAGTTACTCACGCTGCAATCTTCAAGTCAAATGCCACCTCCCACATGATCACTCCGCTATCTCAGGGAAGAATTCAGCTAGAATCTGTGGCTCCTCCTGCTTCCCTTCCATAGTGTGATGTACACTTCAAACTTCATTTTACCTTGCATATCCCCTGACATTTTATGGGCTCCCTGAGGACAGGAAACATATATTATGTGGCATTGCTGAATGTTTTAAATGCTGAAAGGGTTGGAGACTGGTGCTGGGGTAAAAAATCTTTCTTAATTTTTATTTTGCCTCTTGCTTGTCCCGCAGAAGCAGAATACAAACAAATAGGAACATAAAAGGAATTTTTATCTTTACTCACTATACAGATTTCCTTGGGGAAAATCTCCAAGCTCTCTTCCTTTCCAAGCTTTCTCACTTTCTCCCAGAATACTCCCTGGACACACATATAAAGTTTTCTTGAGGGCATTCAGACATGAACTTATATCCTATCTCTGGGCTTTCTTAAATTAGTGAAAATTATCCTGCATCAAATACCCTCTCACCTTGATACCATGCCCAAATCCAGACCGCAGCTGAGGAAGAAATCACCATCCAAGGCTTGCAGATGTGAAGATGCAAGCCAGTTGTAAACATCAATCTGGACTTCCCTACAGCTGCGATCCAGAGCCCATCCCCTCCTTTGGCGGCTCTACTTTATCTTGGACTACCGAAGTCACTGACACTTTCTGTCAGCTCTCAAATCTTCCTAATTTTTCCTGGTGAATTTCCAATGATGGTCAATATATGAACCAGTGTGAAAATAAACATTATCTGTGCTTTAAAAACTCTTCATAAATATATGTTAATATTGCACAGTAGTGACTATGAATAGTCACTGTTTGAATATAGTCACTATTTGAATAGTTTTCAAATAGTGGTAGCAGAAGTACACACACACACACACACACTCACACACTCACACATATTTTGGAGGAGGTTAAGGATTCTCTCCAGGCTAAAAAGGCTATATGGGAAACAGTGGGAACTGGGCTCTTATTGGATAATTGGTTGTGGATGATGAACTCAAGGTTCATGAGGAAGTAAGTCTTGAGCACATTTTGAAGACAATTAGAGAAGGCAAATGTGATTTATTTACAAGCCAGAGAGCAACCTATTGATACAAGTATGCTGATATATTAAATGTCTGTGATCTGATATCACATCAATCCCATGTGCTTGCTAAAGGCTATGATTGGGATCAGCACTTGCACAAACCTGCTCATATTGCTTAGAGAAGCTGGAAGCCCTAAAATCTGAACCCTGATATTGTCAAATAGAGGAAAGACATCTAGGGAGAACTAAGAAGTCCACCCTCCAGTGCTTATCACAAGTTCTTTTTCTGCCAAAAACTGTGAGAGTATATAGAGATCATCTTTCCCTGTAGGTATTCTCAGAGAAAAATGCTTTAGAAGCAAATTTATTTATTTATTTATTTATTTGAGATGGAGTCTTCCTCTGTCACCCAGGCTGTAATGCAGTGGTGCAATCTCGACTTACTGCAACCTCTGCTTCCCAGATTCAAACGAGTCTCCTGCCTCAGCCTCCTGAGTAGCTGGGATTACAGGCATGTGCTACCACGCCCGGCTAAACTTTTTTTTCTTTCCTTTTTTTTTTTTTTTGAGAGATGGGGTTTGCTGTGTTAGCCAGGCTGGTCTTGAACTCCTGACCTCAGGTGATCCACCCACCTCGGCCTCCCAAAGTGCTGGAATTATAGGCGTGAGCCACCGCGCCCGGCCAGAAGGTAAATTTTGATGTAGGTTGCTAAATGGGTTTAGCAGGGCCCTCATGAATACATGATAGGCGGGTGTAATTCCTGTATTTTGCCAGGGAGGATTCAGAAACCATTTCCTCCTGTGACCAAAGGGATTTCTGGCTTTCTTGACTGAGAGTTGAAAAGATCTTAAATTGTGCAGAGGCTCTGGTAAGGGCAAAATAGTTTTCCTGTTATTGAACTGTCTTCTGTATTATTAAATTAGCATTGCTTTGGAGTTTAAAAAGCAAAGACCAAGTGCCAAATAAAACAAACTATATGTGTTCAGATGTTAATGGCTGACTGGAAAATGTCTTTATCTTTCTCAGTGGCCGGTCATTTTTTCTGTAACCATATGGAAATATAAATTCAGCTGGATGGCCCCTTAGGAGTTATGAATTTCAAGTGTAAGAAAAAAAACACTCTACCTATATAATATACTGTGCTTCACTGACAAAGAAATCTGTTTTGTTTCATAAATGAGAGAACTGGGAGAAAAAAATACCACAAAAAGTAGGAAGAAAAAGTTTAATATATTCAGGTGGTGGTCAGCATTAGATGTAACAAATTTTCTCAGAAATAATGATCGAAATGATTTGTTTTTATTCCCATTAAATGGGACAAGAAATGTTTGAACAGTTGCTAGGAAAATTTCTTTATTAAAGGCACTTTGGAACATTCTGTTAAAACTTAGCTTGAGCCACAGCTTTCTCACCCTTTTCCCAGCCAGTATCAAAGTCTCCCTCTGTTGCCTTAGTTTAAGACTTTTTTTTTTTTTCCCCGAGACCGGTGAAAAGTTTTCTCATTGCTTTAACCCACTCTTAGACCAGACCATAATTCACCAATCTTTTGCCCACCTTATTTTTTTTTTTTTGAGTCATGTATAAGATCTTATATGAGTCAGTCCATGGCAAATTTGCCATTTCAAATCCTGCCACTGTCTGTCTCTGACAGTGTGTTTAATCTACATAATTATTTATTCAACATATAATTATGGGGCACCTACTAAGTGTAGCATTCTGTTGTAGGCTTTGGAGTGAAACAGATCCAGTCTCTTCTCCTGTTGAGCTGACATTCCAGTGTCCGTTTTTTTCTCTGAATTTACCCTGCTATTCTTTGAATGCATGTCTTTGATTATGATACCCTCTTTGCCTTTCCATCTTTATTTGGCTAAGTCCTCATTTGTGAAAGATCCAATTCAAATAACATGTCTTCCAGGAAGTCTTCAGTAGTAGCTCTGTATTCTACCAACTTAGCTGAGCTGGACTATACTTCCTAGAATTCCCTTCCCTGGGTTGTTCTAAGATAGCATTGAGCACAAGGGAAATTTGTGTGAGATTTGGAAGGGGGAAAAGAAGCAGCAGCAGCTCCTGAGGTCAGTGTGGGTAGCAGGCACTGTGGCAGCTCCTCCCTACCATTTATCTGCTAGCTCACCTGTTGGTGTGGGTAGCACTTGGGCCGGTAGTTCTACCAGCTTTCATCTACTCTCCTTCTTCAGCTGCTCTAAGTCCTATGCCAGGTGCACGTACATCTCTGTGGCAAAAGCTATCGGCTGCATCTACACATCCCCTGCATCTTTCCAGCTTCTTCTCATGGAGTCTAGTTTGTTCTCATAGATTCTATTTTGCCTTGTAGGTTTTAGTTTGCCACTGCTCTGTTCCATCTTATATCCGTCTTTCTTTCCTGAATCTAGGCCTAGCTGATCCACAGCCTTGTCAAACCCAACACTAAATGCAGAGATAAAAGTCTTGCAAGGACTTTTCTACCAGCAACAAGAATTGTGTAAGTTTTAATTCTAATGCCAGATCTCTAATTTAATGTCACTCACACTGATTTTACTTTTCTGAGTGAAACCTCATTGATACAGAAATGGGTATCAGAAATGGAATGTCGCTGAAACAATAAAACTTAATGGCAGTCGCTTTCAGACTAGGTAAATGGGAAGGACTTGAAGGCTACAGAAGAAATGGATAGCAGAAGCCTGACAGGTCTCCAGGAGGATGTTGGTGAGGCTTAAAGGCAAGTAGAAAATGTTACTGAAAATTGGAGGAAAAGAGAAATCTGTTGAACAGTGGGGGAAATTTAGCAAAACTGTTACCTGCTATAATGTGGAAAATAGAAAATATACCTAAGGAACTAATGGAGGTGATTAAGGGAATTTCCTGGCAAAATATTAAAAGTGTCAACTAGTTTCTTTTAGCTGCATATCATCAGTTACAGATAGAGAAAGAAGAGCAAAGGAAGAAAATAATTCAGGTTTCAAGCAGAAATTAAGATATGTAAGGACCCAAGACTTACTGAATGTGATATTAAAACTGCTTCATATTCTCCCCATCCCATACAATATATATTCACCTTTAAAAAAAAAAGTCTTTAGGGCAAAGATCAAATCCAGGGTGCAGTCAGGAAAATGTGGCCTCTGGGCAGGTCAGAGATGAGGTCAAGGCTGTGACTATAAAACCCTTTGTTAGGAAATTAGAAAAAAAATTAAGTTGGTGCCTTCTAGATCCCTTGAGAGAGAAAAAAGGCAAAAGACTTTCTAAGGGTTTTTTGGATGTGCCTTGCAGATCCTGCCCTTTAAATATTAAGGCTTTTAAGAATCTTAAGGACATTATCTCACAACAGCCTTCTGGAGACCCAAAGCAGAGAAAGGCTTATGTAAAAAACATTTGTAGGCCTGACTTTTGTCTAATGGACTATACTATAACTTCATATATTTTTAAAAATCCACAAAATTTTAAAATAATTCTTCTGTCTTAGGCACTAAGTTATATAGAAACAAAACAAAACTTAGGCGCTAAGTTATATAGAAACAAAAGACTTTTGGAACCTCAAATGTCTGCCAATAGAAGTTAAGCTGAGAAAATTACTTAACTGAAAAACTAATCAGACAGAGGAAGCTACTTAAACAAGGGCTATGTATATGGAGAAGGAAGAGTGACTCAGAAAGTAGAGATAGAATACCAGAGGGCAGGGCTTAGTTAGAACCCTAGAAAACAACTCCCAGATAGTCTTCTGAGCGCAAGACCAGGAAATAGCAATGTGGATTCAGCTGGTATCAGAATTACTAGATACCAGTGACTGTTCTTTCTTTCCTCTTTTCTTACTTTCTGCATGGGAAGGAGGGCTGGTCTCATGAGTGTATGAACTGTGCAAATGCTCAGGGGCCCATCCTAAGAAGGGCCTTGGGCTTAGCTTAGTTCTCTGCTGTCACCATCTTCAAATTCTTAATAATATTTGAAGAAAGGGCCCTGCCTGTTAATTTTGCACTGGGTCCCGCAAATTCAGGACTTTCCCAACATTGTTTATTTGATGTGTGATGAGTAGATAACTTGTCTTTTAGTGACTAGCCTTCAGACCAAAAGAAACCTGTGCATCACTTCCAAAGAGCCTCATCCACACCTAGATCTGATGATGAGATCCTGGACCTTGAGCCTGAGCTGAATGCTGTTTTATATGGGATGAAACATTTAGCAGGCCTTAAAGGGGTCAATATGTTTTATGAAGTGGAGGAATATAAGTAGTTTGTTGCCAGAGGGCAGACTGTGGCAGCTTTAAAAAGTTTTTGACATGTCTTTTCAGAGTGTCGATCTAAAAGGAAGAAGTTGAGGTAAAATTAATATAAGTAAAAGTTTATTTAGACCAAGCTTGAGGATTGCAAGCTGGAAGCATAGGTTCAAGTTGCCTTGAATACACGCTTCAATTAGAAGCAGTTACAAGTGGATTCTCAAAGGGAAAAAAGAGGCAGTTCCTGAGATGTTAATATTGAGAATTTACATTAAAATAACATAAGCTACTGATTAGCTGTACACTATTCTTTGTATCACGAATTCCAGGAGCAAGAAGATAACAGGGAAGGGAGTTAAGAACAAATACTTTTAAACAATAGCTCCCAGGAATCAGTAGAAAGAGCATGACTGAAGCCCCATTACTCACATCTCTCTTGGCCTGTA
Source organism: Homo sapiens (assembly GCF_000001405.40). Taxonomy (NCBI): domain Eukaryota; kingdom Metazoa; phylum Chordata; class Mammalia; order Primates; family Hominidae; genus Homo; species Homo sapiens. The sequence goes on along the minus strand of NC_000008.11, from coordinate 87,938,227 downwards.
AACCTCACATGACTCACACTGCCCTGAGCTTTTTTTTTCTTTTTTTTTGGAGACAGAGTCTCACTCTGCCACCCAGGCTGGAGTGCAGTGGTGCAATCTCTGCTCACTGCAGCTTCCCTGTCCCAGGTTTAAGCGATTCTCCAGCCTCAGCCTCCCCAGTAGCTGGGATTACAGGTGTACCACCATGCCCGGCTAATGTTTTTGTATTTTTAGTAGAAACAGGGTTTCACCATTTTGGCCAGGCTGGTTTCGAACTCCTGATGTCAAATGATCCGCCCGCCTCAGTGAGCTATTTTTCTTTTCTCAAGAGATGGGATATATATCCTTCCCCATGAATCCACATGGGCTTGTTAATGGTGGAAGTTATCTGAGTTACTGGTGGCGAATCCACATGGGTCTGGGGCAACCTCAATTCTTGCCTCCTCAGAAGAAAGAATTCGACTGAGGGGCATAAGGCAGAAGGAGAGGCTGAGGCAAGTTTTAGAGCAGGAGTGAAAGTTTATTTAAAAGCTTTAAAGCAGGAATGAACAGAAGGAAAGTGCACTTGGAAGAGAGCCAAGTGGACGACTTAAAGGACAAATGCATGGTTTGACCTTTGACTTGGGGTTTTATATGTTGGCATGCTTCTGGGGTCTTGCATCCCTTCTCCCCTGATTCTTCCCTTGGGGTGGGCTGTCTGCCTGTGCAATGGCCTGCTAGTGCTTGGGAGGGCAACATGCATGGTGTGTTTATTGGAGTTGTACGCATGCTCACTTGAGGCATTCTTCCATTACCAGCCAAATACTCCTAGGTCATTTACCAGTTAAACTCTGCCATTTTGCCTCTTAATGCCATTTTGCCTCACATGCTTGAGCTCACTTGCCCAACTTCTGAGATCTTATCAAGAAACTACTGATCACCAGTTTCAGGTTTTTTCTGTCTATAGAGAACAATTATTTGAGAAAGACAGATTAACAACTGCCTGACCATCACCTGATGGTCATCTGATATTCTTGGTCAGGCAGAGCCCTCTCCTGCCCTGCTCATGCCTGACTAGCTACCTACTGTAACAGCTTATGATTGCTTCAGTAATGAGTGGTGGAATGACAGCATGACACCTCACTTCTGAAATGAGGTCACAAAAAGTCCAAGCAGCTTCTTCCTGGACCTCTTGAGATCGTCTTTCTTGAGAGGTTCTTTATAGGAACATTCCCTCTTACAACCCTGAAACTATTCCGTGAAAAGTTCAGGCCAAATACAGGTGCTCTAATCAACAGTCACAATTGAGCCCAGCCTTCAAGTAATCTTAAGCTATGTGCTAGATATGTAAGGAACAAAGCCTTAGATGATTCTAATCCTCAATCTTTCAAACCTTCCTAGACCATGCACAAGATACTGATACGAGAATGGGGCGGAGTAAGTGCTGGGAAGGGAAGGGTGTGATCTCTGGCTAGGGCTCCACCTCTGGAGTCTGTGCCCATGGATCTAGAAATGCCTGAACACAGGCATTTCTGTATTCATGCCCAAATGTTGCATTTCCTGAGACCACCCTGGCCTGCCATGCCCCCATCCTGTGCCTGTAAAATCCTATAAAAACCCCGAGAGCCTAGCAGGCAGAGACACAAGCAGCTGGATGTTGAGAGGAAGACATCGGTGGAAGAAAACACAAGTGGCTGGATGTCCAGAAGAATGCACTGGTGTAAGAGCACAAGGCCATCAACATGGAGTTTGGCTGGGGCGGTTAGAGGGGAGCCTGGCCCTGAGAGGCCCGACTCCAGGGGAAAATCACCTTCCCACTCCATCTCCCTTCTGGCTCCCCCATCTGCTGAGAGCTACTTCCACTGAGTAAAACATTGCACTCATTCTCCAAGCCCACATGTGACCTGATTCTTCCGGTACACCAAGGCAAGAAACCCTGGGATACAGAAAGCCCTCTGTCCTTGTGATAAGGCAGGGGATCTAATTGAGATGACTAACACAAGCCGCCTACAGATGGCTAAACTGAAAGCAGGCTGTAGCACATGCCCACTGGGGCTTCAGCTTTAATCATTCAACCCCAGACACTGCTGTGGGGTCAGAGCCCTACAACCTGCCCGTTTGCATGCTTGCCCAAGAGATTTGAGCAGTGGGGCACTGAAGAAGTGAGCCACACCCCCATCGCATGCCCTGTGATGGGGATAAGGGAACGTTTCCCGTTTCAATACCATGAAACAAAAATCAAGAAATCCCTACTACGCACTATCCAAATTCCTGACCCACAAAAGCCATGAGTATAATTCAATGGTACTGTGTTTAATGCCACTGAGTTGGTGATGGTTTGTTACACAGCAATAATAGCTGGAATATCTTGCTTCCTCTACCCACTCAGGCTTGGTTAGATAATTCTCCCTGTGCCTTCCTACTTAATTTTGCAATCCATTACTTATATCTACCACACTTTGTTGCAATGTATATGCTCATGTCTGTCCGTTAGTGGAGAGTAGTATCATCATCATCTATGTCACCCAGAGCCCTGCTCATAGTAGTTGCTCAAATACTGTTTGATGAAAAATTTAACATAACTGCAAAGAGAGTTTCTCTTTCAATTACTAGCCACTCCACTTTACACCTGAAAGACCTAGCCCAGGTATAACATTCAACTTCAAGTTCTTGCCTGCAATGAACTGAATTTACGTCTCCCCCCAAATTTATATGTTAAAATCCTAGCCCCAAGGTGATGGTACTAGGAGGTGAGGGCTATGGGAAGTAATAAGCTCTACCCTCATGAATGAGGTGAGTACTTTTTAAAAAGAAACTCAAGGGAGATCCTTTGCCCTTTCTCCACATGAGGTTAAAGTGAGAAGATGGTTATCTATGAGGAAGCAGGTTCTCACCGACACCAAATCTGCCAGCACCTTGATCTTGGACTTCCTAGCGTGAGAACTCTGAGAAATAAATTTCTGTTTTATGTAAACTACCCAATTTATGGTTGGTTTGTTTGTTTTTGACAGTTTCGCTCTGTCTCCCAGGCTGGAGTGCGGTGGTGCGATCTCAGCTCACCACAATCTTCGCCTCCTGGGTTCAAGCGATTCTCGTGCTTCCTACTCCTGAGTACCTGAGACCACAGGTGCGTGCCACCATGCCTGGCTAATTTTTGTATGTTTTTTAGTAGAGACGGGGTTTCGCCATGATGTCAAGGCTGGTCTTGAGCTCCTGGCCTCAAGTGATCTGCCCACCTCGGCTTCCCAAAGTGCTGGGATTACAGGCCTGAGTCACTGCGCCTGGCCCGGAATTTTGTTATAGCAGCCCAAACTGAGTAAGACGTTGACTCAATGGGAATTCATAGAAGATCTTTGAACCAGGCAAGCTAAGTTGCTAACTAAGTATTGGGCTGACATGGTTCTGTTCTGATTACTTCTGCCTTGACAAGACTTAAGAATACACTACATACTTCCCTGATGTGTGGATTATTTCTCTTAGGACACAGGCTTAGAATTCTAAGTTGATGAGCGATGAGAAACAAGGCTAAGCAAATTCTGAAACCCAGTCTCCTCTCTCTGCCCAATGGTAAGGCCATGTGATACCTTACTTTCATTTATCTATCAGGACCACCCCACCCCCATGCCCACAAAAAAATCCTGCCTGTGGGAGAAGATTTTTGGCAGGCATAGCTTGGTCATTAAGGGAATAGGCTTTGGAATCAGAAAGACCATAGTCCCAGTTTACCATCTGCCCACTTATAAGCTTTTTGACTTTGAACAAAGTACCTGAAACACTCTGGGCTTCATTTAATCACCTCTTACTAGGAATAGGAATAGTATCTAATGCATAGGGTTGTGGTGAGAAATGAAATGAGCTAATGTACATATAGTATTTAGCATAGAGTAAATGTCTAATTAATACTAGCTATTATCCTCTGCAAACCAATAGTCACTGGCACACCATCAATCTCTACTATAGCCTCTTTACCTTTGTTCTAAAAACTGGGTTTCTGCTCCTTCCCCAAGCCTTAATCCTTCCTTTTATCTCTGTTTTTTGTTTTTCTTTTTCTTTTTTTAAAAAACAAAATATTGTCTTTTTTTTATCCCACTTTTGTCATGAAGTTGTTTTTCTTCCTTTTAAAAATTACGTTTCTTTTGCTGGTAACTACACATCCACTGCTGCCCCTTCCCAGCATTGTGATTTGGACTTGTGCTCATCTTTCTCCCACCAAGGTTTTGGAATTTTGTTCTACATCACAGTTTTGCTGATGGGATCATTACCTGGTGCTCAGCCTCCCTGATTTGGAGTCTTTGAGCTACATGTATTTGATCTTATCTCCATTTATATTGCCCATGCCCAACCCCCGATCCACTGCCTGTCTAATACTGCAGTGTGCCACACATTTTAAAGTCCATCTCAACAGTCAGACTGAATCTCCTTCATCAGCATTATCCTCTTTGATCTGGCTCTAAGTCATCAACCGTGCACAGTTATATCCAAGATAATGCAATATACATAATCTCTGAGTAGAGTTTGGTTAGGGTCTTAGATATCTTCTGTCTCAGACCAAGACCGATTTTTAAAAGCATAAAGTGTGGCCTGCAGGAAAGGAACAAATTCTCTTAGCTGTGAAATGGAAAGTAAACGTAGATGCTTTGCTAAGCAACAATGGTCTGAATAAGATTGTGGAAGTGGGAAATGAAGAGGAAGGGAAATATTCAAGAGGCTAAGTACAAAAAGTTGTCACGAAAGGGCATGAGGGAACCTGAGACAAAAACTATTCCAGGTGTTGCTGGATAGGTGGTAGTGCCCCTGTCAGAAAAGGAAATTAAAAAAAAAAGAAGTGACTTGATTAATGATTAATTGGGGATAGGTAAAATTTGAGGTTATGGCAGACTAACCTGGTAGAATCTTTTAGTAAGATGTTGAAAATACATGATTAAATCTCATATGGTGGGCTGGGTGTGGTGGCTCACACCTGTAATCCCATCACTTTGGGAGGTCGAGGTGGGCAGATCACCTGAGGTTTGGAGTTTGAGACCAGCCTGGCCAACATGGCAAAACCCCATCTTCACTAAAAATACAAAAATTAGCCAGGAATGGTGGCAGTGCCTGTAATCCCAGCTACTAGGGAGGCTGAGGCAGGGCGAATCTCTTGAACCCGGGAGGCGGAGGTTGCAGTGAGCCAAGATTGCACCACTGCACTCCAGTCTAGGTGACAGAGTGAGACTCTGTCTCAAAACAAAAACAAAAACAAAGAACCCAAAAACATATAGTGAATTAGGGCAGGGCTAAAAGTTTTAAAATTCAACAGTCCATCGGCATAGTAGGAATTTTGTGAGTGAATGACGAAAAGATTTAATATAAGGTGAGCACATGAGTGGGCTTCACCACTGAGAGCAGCATAAGAAGATGAAATGATAAAGGAAATCTGGAAGGAGTCATTGAAGACTGAAGGAGAACAAGGACAGTATATTAATGGGGATGTCTAGGGGAAGTGGGTTTCAAGAAGGATGGATGATCAGTAGTAACCAACACAGCAGAAAGGTCAAGGAGGATGGAGTAGCGAAATAACGACTGAATTTTAAACAAAATCTTTGGTGTCAGCCAAGAGAACAGCTTCAGTATACCTAAATGGATGAAAGCCAGCTTTCATGTGATTAAGAGTGGTGGTGAAAAATTAAACAGTAAAAATTGTATTTCTAGTATCCTGAATCATTAATCTTAATGTACTTCCACAGTCATCAACTCTTGGAGTTGCTGGAGACCTTAAAGATCTCATAGTTCAATATCTCAGTGTAAAATGTCTGGGACGTTGGTAATAAAATCTCTACACTTTAATTTCCAGGGACTTTTGGAGAACTCACTACCTTGGGAAATAATTTATTCATTTGTTTAAAGGTCTTTCTGACTAAGTTAATGACATATTAATTTAAGTAGATATATAGTCCCCTTGGTGTTGTTTTACCCATGTGCGTGCTCTGAGTATCTATATAGTTTGTGGCTGTTTACGTTCGGGCATTGACATCAAAAAATTGCCTGAAAGAGGCTTTATCAGTGCTATTTTTCAAAATAAATTTTCAAAATACTGTGGCAATAGGCCTTGCAGTCACCTACATTCCACCAGAAGTTAGTAGTGGCATTTGCCTACTCTACCAATAGAAAAACAAACAAAACAGATGATGCAAAATGAGTTGATAAAACATTATAGGCCAATAAATATCATATTTCATTTTCCCATAAATATCTGATTTTAAAGAGTAAGTAAAATTCATACAACCCTTGATGACATGTTGCTTTCGAAATACTTTGTGATCGTGTATGTATGTTTTCCCTTGTTGCGGTCATTTGGAAAACATTAAAAGGGGTTTAGTTTTGTAAATAGCAGAGGTGAATTGAATTCAAATTTTTATGAGTGAAATTTCAAATGGACTTTTGATATGCTGTGTTTATTGTTTGATTATAGTCACATTGCCATCTATCTAGAGAAGTAAATTCCAAAGTAAATGGAATAAAATGTTGTTTCTATGCTAAAAGACTAACTTTCACACCTTTTTGCAAGATGAGATTTTAGTTGACTTGGGAGACTACTTGACATTTTCAAATTCACATTCTTTACTTGAATTCACTGGATAGAGTAGAAATAGCCAAGTGCTGGGTAACCTCCCAGAACTGTTTTGGAGAGGACTTACTGGTAGAAAATGTTGCTCTTCTCTTAGATGTTTTGGTACATACCATCCTGAGAATGGATGCAGAAACAGGTTATCTCTAAACACCTTCCAGCTATGGAAAGCCCTAAGAAAAATATGAGGAAGGTGAAAACTGCTGACTCGGCAGTGTCAAGTTTCCTAAAGGTCCTTCTTGTAATGCCTTCTCCACTTCACTACAACCTCCTTCCACTTTAATAAAACCATGTTTCTAACCGAGGGAAAAGGTGAATAGGGAACCTCTTATTTCAGGGAATCCTGGACTTCTTAGTTTAGAGTGTGTGAAAGGCTTAAAGGGGAGATTGAGTATGGCATATGCCTAAAAGCATATTGAATATTCCTCGAAAAGTATCCTGGATTCCAAAGAGGCCATTTTGAGAGGTAGACAGAAGTGTAGAAGATGACAGAAGCATTCAACAGATTTTGTTTTATCAGATAGAGTTATCGTCAATGTCATAATGAATAAAATTACAGAATTTCTTATATAGTCTAATTGGAGATTAACATATTTCACATATTTTATATAGCTTCTTGACCCATGTGGCATAATGCCAATGTTTCTTTCCAAGTGCAATATATCATCTTTTTATAGCTAAACATCCTTTCAAATGCAACCTTCACCCCATCAATTCTTTTGTGGGATTACTGTGTGAGGTTGGAAATGGGGTCTAAATAAAGCTGTAATCAGAAAGAATTAATAGGATATATAGCATTCTTTCTGTGGCACATGAATCCAGCTCCTAAGAAGATTCCTAATACACTGAAACCTGTATAGGTAAGAGGACTTTCCATAGGTCAGGATCCTGGGAAGTACCAAGCTAAAAGTCCACTTTGGCAGCTTCAAGCAAGATTATTTTTCCACTTTGATGTTTCTTATCATTTATATTTCCGAATCTGAAATTCTCATCGTTATACGTCTATGATCATCTTTGCTCATATAATTTCATGTTTTCTATTTCCCTATGATGGCAAGGGCATGGAGGATGATGGTGCTCAACATGTCGCAAAAAAAACCTTGAAATCCAAGATGTAGAACATGATGGAGGTGGCCACTGATATGTATAACACTGATTAATTTCAAACCTCTTCTCAAGGAATGATCTTGAAAGGCAACACTGACTTTGGCAATTTGTTTTTTTACTTTAGTGTTTAGCAGAATGGAGGCATTCTCTTTAATTAAATCATTTCTACATTTCACCATTATGCTTGAGTGTGAAAAAGCATCATAAACCACTCCTTGTAGATAATTGTGAAGGTTGGAGAATATATACTCTGGCATTGTCCCATGTTCATTCACAAATAATATTATTTCTTTTTAAAAAATATTTAACTATTCTAAGAAAGAACAAATATCAATATGTGTAGAAATATTTTAGATTACTTTTTGGCATGACCAACAATAACAAGCTTTCTATAATTTTATTTCTTAAATACACATTGTTGATTTCAAAGAGCAAAAAAAAAGTGTTTATAATTCAGACAAAACAAATGGTGAAGTAGGAAGCTATTGGAACCCTTGTGCATTTCTGGTGGGAATGTAAAATTGTTCTGCTGCTATGAAAAACAGTTTGGCAGTTTCTCAAAAGTAAAACACAGGATTATCATATGACCCAGCAGTTCCACAGCTAAGCATATACCGTGAAAGAATTGAAAACAGCTACTCGAACAAAAGCTTGTAAACAAATGTTCATAACAACACTATTCACAATAGCTAGAAAGCAGAAAGAGTACAAATGTCCATTGACAGAAGAATGGATCAACAAATTGTGGTACATACATAGAATAAAATATCCTTCAGCCATAAAAATAAAGTACTGACACATGCTACAGCATGGATGAACCTGGAAAACTATATTCCAAATGAAAGAAGATAGACACAAAAGGTCTCATATTCTGTGATTCCCTTTATATGAAATATCCAGAATAGGTAAATCCATAGTAAAAGAAAGCAGATTGGTGGTTGTCAGGTGCTGGTGGGGGAGAAGAAATTGCAAAGTAACTGCTAAATGGGTATGGGATTTTATTTTGGAGTGATGGAAATGTTTTGGGACTAGATAGATGAGGTTGTACATCATTGTGAATGTACTAAATATTGCTGAATTCTTCACTTTAACGTGGCTAACTTATATGTGAATGTTACTTCAATAAAAAGTTTGTGTAAGATTTAGGCAATTTTCTCAGCATATTATATTGCACTCAGTTTTATTTATACCTCATAGATTTAATCAAGTTTCTAAGCCAAAAAGGAAAATGACAATTAGAAGTTGAAATTTATAATTCCTACTTTCGGAATTTCCATCATAGGTGTGTCCTGCTTTAAACCATATTATTTAATTAAAACTGAAGTTGGAAAACAGATTATTGGGGTCTTACCTTCTAACATATTTTTAAAACTTTAAATTGTACTTTCTTCTGAATAATTTTAAATATTGGATTGCTGCATTATTTAAAGTTGGAAGTTATTTTCTAAAATGTGATTTACAGACATTTCTACAGACATTTCAGGAATATATCATTGCCAGAAAAATTTCACAGCAATCTTCCAAAAATTTAATTGCTTCTTTATCATCCAACTGGAGAAGTAGTTTCCCTGACTTGCTTGGCTTCATTGAGCATTGCAAGAAGACACTTGAGCATCATTCACTGGCAATTTGTGGCTAAGTAGAATATTATGACAATAAGCACACCGGATTCTAAATGTGCACCCCATACCTGGTTGCTCATTTCTTGGCAGAAATTGTCATGAGTAAGCCCCTGCACCAGTGCATACTCTTATAGCTCTTTCCTATTAAATGCAGTAATTTAGGGTTTCTCTTTTGGGATATTTCTTCCTGAGGCGAAAACACTGGTAATGAGGTTTAACTGGAACGAAGGGACACATAGATTGTTTTCCACAAGTATCTGTTTGTACAACAAGCACATAATTGAATCCTTTTTTGTTACATTTTGACTCTTCTATTTGGTATATATTATATTTGATAGAATGAGAATAGTAGCTATTGATGGCTGCATTAAGTGAAATTTAATTGGTCAGAGAAAAAAATTTTCCATTTACTCATGATTTGAACTTCTGAGGCCATAGATATCCTTAATTAAACATTTCAGGATGCCTTCAAAGATTGAAACAGTGGCCACATATATTTTGTGTTTATGTCGTTTTTCTCATTAAAATAAATTCACTTTACTCACTAATGAAATAGGCTCTATACCTACTGGCTACTACAAAAAGCTTCCCAAACTTGCTACTACAGATGTGTACATTGTTTGAATCATAAGGCCGTGTTTTCTTAATGATAATTATGAATTTATGCATTTTTATTCAGAAAATAAATCACTTGATACATTTTATTTGACAAATACATATATTCAGCAAAAGACTCATCTTTCCATATACTTCATTTGATTGTTCAGTTCCTTAATATATTTCAATAGGACAATACGTTAATTCTAAAGTAAAAAATTCACTCGCTACAATTTTCAAATAGTAGCAGCAAATTATATTATGCATAAATTGAAAATGCAAAATCTGTTTAAAACTTGGATAACAAATATTGCCTTAGAGAACCAAAGAACAAAATGGAAATACATTTCACAAGTCCAAATTTTTTCTTTTTTTCCCCTTGGATGTTTTCTATTCTTCCGTCTCCAGTTCAAGTACTCTTCCCCATCCCATCCACTCAGCTATTCAGCCCATTCATAAAGCTTTTTAAATTTCTTTTTTTGTTGTTGTTGAGATGGAGTCTTGCTCTGTTGCCCAGGCTGGAGTGCAGTGGCGTGATCTCGGCTCACTGCAAGCTCTGTCTCCTGGGTTCACTCCAGTCTCCTGCCTCAGCCTCCCGAGTAGCTGGGACTACAGGCGCCCGCCACCCCGCCCGGCTAATTTTTTGTATTTTTAGTAGAGACAGGGTTTCACAGTGTTAGCCAGGATGGTCTCGATCTCCTGACCTCATGATCCGCCCACCTCGGCCTCCCAAAGTGCTGGGATTACAGGCGTGAGCCACTGTGCCCGGCCAAAGCTTTCTAAATTTCAATCATATTTTTCAGCTCTGAAATTTCCTTTTGGTTCTTTTGTATATTTTCTGTTTCTTTGCTGAGACTTTCTATTGCTTTACTTGTTTTAAGCATCTATGTAATTGGTTGTTCAATAATATATATTTTAAATTATATTTAATTTTTATGGGTACATAGCAGGTGTATATATTTATGGGGTACATGAGATATTTTGATATGGGCATACATTGCCTAATAATCACATCATCGTAAGTGGAGTATCCATCACCTCAAGCATTTATCCTTTGTGTTATTATCCAATTATACTCTTTTAGTTATTTTAAAATGTACAATAAATTATTGTTGACGCAGTCATCCTGTTGTACTATCAAATACTAGATTTTACTCATTTTATCTAACTGTATGTTTGAACCCACTTAAGCATTTTTATGATGCTACTTTAAAGTCCTTTTCAGGATGGGTGCGGTCGCTCACATCTGTAATCCCAGCACTTTGGGAGGCCAAGGTGGGTGGATCACTTGAGGTCAGGAGTATGAGATCAGGCTGACCAACATGGTGAAACCCCATTCCTACTAAAAATACCAAAATTAGCTTGGTGTGGTGGCGGGCACCTGTAATCCCAGCTACTTGGAGGCTGAGGCAGGAGAATTGCTTGAACCCCAGAAGTGGAGGTTGCAGTGAGCCGAGATTGTGCCACTGCACTCCAGCCTGGGCAACAGAGTGAGACTCTGTCCCAAAATAAATAAATAAATAAATAAATAAAAATTAAAAAATAATCCTTTTTAGTACTCTTGACGTCTCTGTCACCTGGGTGTTGGCATGTATTGACTTCCTTTCTTTTCATTCTGTTTGATGTTTTCCTGATACTTGGTATGATATGTGTTTTTGAATATAAACTAGAAATTTGGGGTTTTATGTTATGAGATCCTAGATCTTATTTAAACTTTCTGTTTGGCTTGCTTCTTCAGACACCTCTCCAGTAGAGGAAGGAAGTCCCTGCTTCCTTTGCTGCTAGGTTGGGTAGAAATCCAGGTTCCACACTTGGCATCCATTAAGGCCTGAGGTAGTGTGCTTCTCATTACTGGTGGGCAGACAGGGAAGTTTTGGCTCCCCAATAAGCTTCCACTTATTCCCCACTGGCGGGAAGCGGTTTAGTAACTCATTAGTGTCTCATTTCCATTCTCACATGGCCCCTTGTGACACCACAGCTACACAGTCATAATCCTGGGTCTCCACTAGCCCTTCTCTGACACCACTTCATCAGGGATTCTAGGGGATCCTTATCAGTTTCTGGTGGGGATGAAAAGCATTTTTTTCTAAGTGCCTGTTCTTGACCACCTCTGTGCAGGTTTTAGACTACCTTGTTACAGTCTTTAAGAATGAAAGTCCAGGCTCTTCAATCACACTTTGCTGATATGGATGAGGTGAGGCACTTTTTAATTTAATTTAATTTTTTCTATAGAATTTCGCTTGAGTGGAGTGGTTATTGTTTAAAAATGTTCTGTCTTGCAGGGCTGCACCTTTCCTGGCCATTTGGCTAGAGACGGCTGATTTTCATTGCTATTTTACTGTTTTTGTTTCTGCACATTGATGTTTCCAGGTTACCGGCTTCTTCAGTTCTAAGCCTGAGATATATGAGTCAAAAAGAAAACTCAGAAAACTCTCTACCATGTTGTTCTTCAGGTGTCAGATTTCCTATCTGGTATGCCTTCTTCTTTCTACCTTTCAGCATCTTTTTATGTTTGTTTTATATATAATTCCCAAGATTTCTCATTTTGTTTAGTTGAAGGAATAGAGAAAAGTACATCTGTTCTATCTTCCTGGAAGTGAAAACCTACAACACTTAAAAAAACAGTATTATGTACAATAAACTGCGCATATTTAAAGTATACTGTTTGATAAGTTTGTATTTACATAAGCACTCATTAAATTTGCAAACCAATCTTAAAATTTATATGGACAGGGAAAAAAATTAAAATAGTTGAAACAATTTTGAAAAATAACAGTTGGTGGACTTCTTGTCTTGAACACTGACTATAAAGATTTAGTAGTCAAAATTTAGTAGTTGTCAACACTTTGTGCTACTGAAATAAGAATCAAGTAGTTTGATGGAAGAGGGGAGAGAATGTAAAAATAGACATGCTTATGTAGTCTTTCCATTTCATTACAATGATAACACAGCAATACAATAGAGAAGGAAAAGCCTTTTCAGTAAATTGTGCTGGACCAACTGATAGCCCTATGTAAAAGTAAACCTCAAGTACCACTTTATGCTAGCCTTAAAAATTAATTCCAGATATATCATATAACTTTATGAATTAATTAAAATCAAGTGAAACAAGAAAAAACTGCTTTATGAGAGTATTTATAGAAGGCTCTTTCAGTAGTTCAGGTGAAAGGTAATAAGGAATCGAAGAGAGGTAACACATCTGAGCATCTGTAGTGGGTGGGTGGACTGAGAGATTTGCAGGACTGGCTGTGGGAATTAAGGAAGTGGAAGTCATTCCATGTTGCCCGCTGGGTAGGGAAGGAATTGTAAATGTCTCAAAAAAAAAAAAGAAAAGAAAAGACAAGTAACACCAATAGGAATAGAGGAGTGGCGACCATGTCCCCATTTGGGCGGTTTATAAACACCTGAAATGTTCAGAAGTGCTGGGACCAATTCTCTTTTTTTTAGTGCCAAAGAAAAATGCACAAATGTTACAATCAGAGAAAGGGCCACGGAGCATGTGAAGGGCTTGCCTCCATGGAGAGCTGCTTGACTTGTTAATGAATAGCTGAGGGCTTGTGGGATTCTCTTCTTTCATCAGTGAGATAAGATGTGGATTGAGAATGAGTGATTGCCAACATCTGGCGAATTTTAGTTAAAATGCTTTCAGTGAACCAAATTTATTGTTGTGTGTCTGTTTGGTACGGGTCATCAGGTAGACAAATCAATGAGGTGACTGAATTAATAATATAAAGACATTTTCGTCATCTAAGCCACAATCCTTATATTGGGTTGATGTAGTTTTTCAATCAGACTGCCTCTGCTCAGGGTTTTGAGGTCTGTAGTCTATAAAATTTCACATCCATTGTTAAAATATGAATCTCATATAAGCAGTATATACATTAGCAATATACAAGTATTTATTAAGGTGTGCAGATTACAGGAAAGCACATTTCTATCACAAACGCTTCTAAAGAAAACATCAAAACAAAAATAGAATAGAGAGAGGATTGGAAATGTTAATTTAAATGATTTGAATTTACATATTCCAGAAGGAAATATGGGTTTATTTTATACAAACATCTAAAACCATTGCCCGAAACAGATATTTGTAATCTTAACAATTGAAGTTTGTTTGCCAGTTTGTTTCCTCTATAGAAGAGATAGCGTTTTTTATGAGTTAAGACCATTTTACTTTCTTTCTTTTTTTTTGAGATGGAGTCTCACTCTGTCACCCAGGCTGGAGTGCAATGGCGTGATCTCGGCTCACTGCAACCTCCACCTCCTGGGTTCAAGTGATTCTCCTGCCTCAGCCTCTTGAGTAGCTGAGATTACATGTGCACACCACCACACCTGACTAATTTTTGTATTTTAATAGACATAGGGTTTTGCCATGTTGGCCAGGCTGGTCTTGAACTCCTGAACTCAGGTGATCCGCCTGCCTTGACCCCCCAAAGTGCTGGGAGTGCCGCACCCAGCCAAGGCCATTTTACTTTCATTAACTTGAAACTATAGGGTCTTCCCAGATAATTTAAAACTCAACTTTATTTCTTTTAAATTCTGAAAGCTATATTTCATCTTCAGATTTTTTTATAATTGTCTCCTTTTGAGTTAATCCCTCCTTCTTTACTCAGTGTGTAGTATTAATAGATTGAAAGAATTTGTTTTAATAAGTGTAATATCTTAATATAGTGTAACACAATGTCTTATTATAATAAACAAACGATGCTTGAAACCATATCAAACATCTGTGGTTTCACAATACACTTTTTGTGATAACATATTAACAATATTACTATGTTATTATTTTCAAGCAAATATTCTGCTATTAATTATGTTTTCTTATTTAATCAATGTGGAACATAGGAAACAATGTGTATGAGAAAATAAACCTCTCTAATAATATATTATTTTATGTATGACTACTGTTTTCTATTATTTAATCCAATTTTCCTTTGGATAAAATAGAAATTTGCTTATACAAAGCATAAAATTTACTAAAGCCCTTTTGCTCTAATTTCAAGTCATTTCATCCAAGGTTTTTCTTATACAAACACACATAAAATCACCTACTGAGTTCTAATAATACCCTAATAATTTGCCTTTCATGTATTCTTATATTTTCAAATTCTGTTAGATATTTTCATATTTGTAGAGGGTGGGCGGGCCGAGTCCTTAATAAGACTCTCAATCATCTGGAATTTAACACATCTTATCTAAATTTATTATTTTCTGTCTCAAGAAGTTATCATATTATGACTTCTTCAAATGCTTGGTTTTTAACTATGACATTAATATTCTCAGTTAAATCATAAAGATCATTATGAACCTTTCCTTCAAGAAGAAAGACTTTTACATATCTGCATATGCTTTTTCACTTCTTCCAAAAATTCTGCTGGTATACTGTAAGACCTAATAGTCCCAGTAGATTCAAATTCAATTTGATGCCCAAATCTCAAATATCAAATCTTCTAAACTTTATTTTTCATGCATTCTCTATATCCAACCAGTTTCAATATTATGACAGCCAACCCCCTCCAATTTTTCTGTGCATAACAGCAATAACTGCCAAATAGCAGATGTACTATGTGTTAAGCACTTTGCTCAGCACTCAGCATTAACCATCTCATTTAATCTCCATACCCGCTTGGATCCAGATCTAGTCATTGGGAACTGGCTGCCAATATCAGTTCTGACTATTAACAGCTCTGGCTTTTGAAAACCCTATACCAATCTTGCAGTGGGTTGGCTTTATTAATCCCATTTTAAGAAGAATCCTGAGACGTAGTGAAGTCGAGACTTAATACCACAGAGCTAGTCATCATGGAAGCAAGAACTAAACTCAGGCACATTCAACTCCAAAGCATCAATACAATTATTTGTATTTTTATAAGCACAATTCTAATTTACCATTTATCATTTTGAACTTGAATAACATGAGCAGCCTCTAGACTTCTTACATTTGATCTACCTTGGATATCCTACACAGAGTAGCCAGACTAATATTCTTTATTTTTAACTCCCTGTCCAAGTATGAAAAGTGACTTCTTATTACCTGTGAGATAAAATCCAAATTCCTTCTCTCCGTTGTAAGTTTCCACTGACAAGAAGAGACCAATAATGATTGTCCTTAAACCCAAAGAGAAGTCATATAGAAAAAAACCTAGATTAAAGAGGCTAAAATCATACTGGGTATTTGGATTATATTTTTCCTTTTGAAAATTTAAATTTGAAAAAAAATACACATACCTGAGTGTGTGTTTGTATGTATCTTTGTGTGTGTGTGTGTGTGTGTAATTATGTTTTAGTTCTCTCAGGCTGCCATAGAGTAGATGATTTAAGCAGTAGGAATTTATTTATCATATTTTTGGAGGCTGGGAAGTCCCAGATAAAGGTAGCAGAGGGCTTTCTTTCTGGGTTGCAGATGGCCAACTTCTGATTGTGTCCTCACAGGGTGGGGCAGGAGGTGGCAGGGAGGAGAGGGAGCTCTTGATTCTCTTCCTTTTCTTATAAAGACACTAATCCCATCATAGGGGTCCCACCCTTGTGATGTCATCTAAACCTAATTTTCTCCCAGAGACCCATCTCCAAATACCAACACATTGGTGGTTAGGCATTGGTGGCTAGGGCTTCAACATACGAATTTAGGGAGAACAAATATTCAGTCCATAAAACACACACATATATGTACATGTATTAATAGCTGTAATGCAAAGACATCAGTGGAGATTCAGGTGTGGCATTTGTAGGTATTACTTTGAAAAGCAGAATGCATAAATTCAAGAATGTAAAAAGTATATTACTACTGAGAAAATAGTTTTATAAAAGGAAACCATATCAAGCAGGGTTCTCTTGAGAGGCAGAATCAATAGTATAGATAGATGAGAGGGGATTTATTAGGGGAATTAGCTCACATAATTATAAACGCTGAGAAGTCCCGTGATCTGCTGTCTGCAAGCTGAAGAACCAGGGAAGCCTAGAGCATGGTTCAGTTCAAGTACGAAGGCCTCAGAACCAGGGAAGCAAATGGTGTACCTCTCCGTCAGTGGTCAGAGGCCTGAGAATCTGGGGTGAGCCCCTGGTGCAAGTCCTAGAGTCCAAAGGCTAGAGAACCTGGAGTTCTGACATCCAAGGGCAAGAGAAGATGGGTGTTGCAGCTCCAGAAGAGAGAGAAAGAATTCATCCTTCCTCTTTTTGTTCTATCTGGGCCCTCAGCTGATTGGGTGGTGCCTGACTACATTGGTGAGGATGGATCTTCCTTATTCAGCTCAGTGATGAAAATGTCAGTCTCTTCTGGAAACACTCTCACAGGCATACTCAGAAATAATAGCTTACCAGCAATCTGGGTATCCCTTAATCCAGTCAAGTTGACACCTAAAATTAATCATCAGAGTAACTATCATTTCAAATCTAATCTTTATGGCATGGATTATTCTAGATTTATGCAAGCATGATAAAATCTCCATTTTTTTTATTGGAAAACAAATAAGAGGGTCAGAAATGCAAACGAGTTGCCCAAAGCTACACATCTAGAAGACCCAGTTGCCCCACGTTACACAGCTATCTCTGAAGAGTGTTTTGTATCTGCGGGATTTTTATCAGTGTCCTGACTCCATATCCTGCATTCATTCTACTACACCACACTGGATGATCACTAGGGTGCAGCATGAAGATAATCACATTTAGAGTGGCAGTTTTCTTATTTGGAGACTAGACCAAACTTCAGGTTCATGTCCACTTAGAAAATGAAAGTCTAAGACATTGAAAGCTGGAGCAGATTTTGACAGCTAGATTTCTATTGGCTAAACCGGATCCAATTTGGTTGGACCTTTGTTTACAGCATATACTAAAGAAGTGCTTGCTAACTAATCAGGGACTGCTTCAGTCACCCCAAAAATATAAGCAAGGGTGGAACAAATTTTAAATATGATTTTTAGGGATAATTTACATTCAGTGTGTAAAGGATTTTGACACATTCAGTAATACACCGGGATAATAACACATACTCTATCACCATTTTTGAATCAATTTTTCAAATCCTTTGTAGATAAATACTTAAAATTCAATAATTTGAAGAGGATATCTGTTGTCTTTTATATACAAATGATAAAATAGTGATATTAATAATGATATAATACCTTGCATTATGCAAGCAAGAAAATTTCTAGTGTTCATCATAAATTGTTTGTACATATATTCATCAATAATGTTTGGCATGACCTAATACATTTCAATGTTTAATTTTTGTTCAAATGTCAGAATTTCTGTGTTCCATTTGCAAGAGTATTTTTTGGTTGGTGAAGGATTCTTTCACCTCTGAGTGGTGTTTTTGGTTAATATTTCTTAAAGAAATGTGACACGCAAACATAACCCACAGATTCTCAATCACATAGTTCATCCTCTGTATGTGAGTGCATGTACATTTTCTGTATATATGAATTTGCATGGTTGGATTGTTAATGCTGTAATCAACCATGATCATGTTATGATTTAGTACAATTCGGTCTCATTTAACTGAACTATATATGTCTATCACCACTTATGCTTTATTGTCTTCTTATTGTCAAATCTGAAAGAGAAGTAATTAATTTGATGCTTGCTGTATAGACCAATGCAATGACCTTGTAATTCAGACAACAAATGGGCCACTTTCTCTGTTGAAACTTTTTTTTTACGGCTGCCTGCACTCCTCAGGGCATTCCAATACATAGCACTCTGTTTCATTCACATAAAACTTAGACATTGACATTCAATTCTACATCCTTCTGGCTTTTCTGCAGAGTATTTTATCCCTTTACATGAACATGATAACTCATACTGTTGTACCCCAAACCCTTGAACATTTAAACATTTAAAATAAGAGACTTTTTAAATATAAATCTTTATTGTAGGAAATTTAGGTGTTGAAGCACCTGAAGTTTAAAGTCTTATTACTTTTTGCAGGCTCTGTAGAGAGTTGAGATAAACCATCGTGATTATGAAGAATTTATTTTAGAATAAATAAGTAATAAAGATTCTTGAAAGGATTTTTATTATGTTACTATCTTAATGATTATACTCTGAGTCTGAAGCAGAGATCTTCCTGAAACTGAGTCTGTGCAGATATTATGACTAGTTGATTGGGTATAAAACGCATAAATACATAAAATAAGTAACGAAATCAAATAAGACTTTTTGGCAGTGCATAAGAAAATAATTGGCTGAACATTTTACACTTAACTAGAAATTTTTGGAGACATAGCCTCAGGCATATATGGAAGGCACAGCTTGCTTTATTTTTGTTTTGACTCGTAACTATGGTCTAAGATTTCCACAGCCTTTGTCTTGAATAGTTATACTGGATCATTTCTCAAAGACACTCAAAACTTTGTGTCTAAACCACACCATTTAATTTTCTTTGAGAAAATTTTGACCTTTGTGAGGTGTGGTCAAAAAGTAGTATGATATCCCTCATATTACATGTAAATCAGTAGTGAAGGTAATTCCAAAGCAGAATGTTCAAAGCATTGTTCACAGTTTTAACAATGGGAACTTTATTAGAGAAAGCACTCAGTATCTAGATATGACCATCTTGAAGGACAATGCTCATATTATTAGAGACATTCCGACATCCTGTTACAAACCCAAATAGAAAATGCAAAATGAATCAGCTCTTTTTAGTTTCCCCTATGTTTGGAGTTATAGGAAACTGAAGATAATGTGTTTTCTGCAAGTAGTTTTGATTAGTGTTTTGGGAAATTCAGCTTGTTAATTCCAGCTTAGGCCAGTTGTAAGATAAAGCTGCTGTGAACCAGAGAGACAATGAAATAAGCTGGTTGAAGAGGCTAAGCAAATGATGAGTAGTCTTGAATGTAGTCTTGGGAAAGAGCCAACAAGATCTCATTCCTCAAGTCTGACTCTAGTTTAGGATTATGGGAGAAGGTTAAACTATGAGTCCTCAAGTGATCTATGTGGCTTAGCACAGCTTCTGAGACTTAGAAAGAAGAGACCTGTTGTGAACTTTTGAGAAATAAAAGCAGGGCATGTAGCAATGATCATGGTTAATATGTCAAGTTCATTTCAAAGCATTCACTGTTTGTTTTCCTTTAAATAAGATAAAAAGGAAAATAATAGAAAAGAATAGCTGATTTTTTTAAACCTAGGACTCAATGTGGAAGTACTGTGGAGTAGGAAAGAAAAGCATCAGCAGTTTCAGTTTGACACTTCCCAGCACACTCATTAGAATCAGTTCAAGCTTTGTATTTGAAAGGAGAAATCCTATACTAAATCAGAGGGTTTGACTATTTCTTCAAATTGTTTTTTATCCCAGAACACCCCCTAGGTAGGAAAATCTCAGGAATTTAATCAACTATTGAGGTAGCCTGTTTCTTCCTTCCTTGCTTCTGTTGCCTTTTTGCTGTGTGTTTTGAATTTAGAGAAAAGGTTATGAAATTAGGGGAAAAGTCATGATTCAAAGGTAGCTGAATGGCTTTTTTCATGCAATTCACATGAGTTCCACTCTTCCTAGAATTTCCCTTTGTGTACTAATTAGAAAGTTTCTTTGTGAATCTGCATTCATATCCCATTGCACATGAGAATGAGAAGAGGCTATTTTAGACACTGGGACTCATCTCTTGTAGGAAACAGTCATGTTCACTTTGATGTCTTAGCAAACAGTTATTTTTCAAATCTCAGATCTTTTCATTTTTTTTCAGCAAGTGGTTCAGGTGATACCTAAGCTAGGACTTGAGATTTTTCTTGGAAATGGTACTAAACTTCTTGTGGTGATGGCTGTGATTCCCCTTTCTCCCAGGATGATACAGTCGCAACATCAGGCTACACTGCCTTAGGCCTTGCTGGGTTCCTAGATGAGTGTGACAGAGGAATTGGGGAAGAGATGAAACACTTTGCACACAACAGATCAAAGGCTGAGGGGCTGTCAAAGGAAGGCACTGGGGGACCACTAGTAGTGGCCAAAGGATAGGTTGAAGAAACCAAATCAAACAGATTACTCAATGCAATTAACGTGGGGTGTGGGATTTGAATCACCTCTTTTACATCATCCATAAAATCTTCTGTGAATTCAAAATTCACAAGCCGCTGAGTAAATTTGACTTCCTGTAGACCCATACACATACTCATTGATCTAAACTGGGAAAGATTCAGCCTGCCCAGATGAGGAAATAGCTGACTACCTTAATGCAACAGAATTCTCTCATTTAATAACTGTACTGCAAATTCTTGTCCTGTCTTGGAAAGTACAGGACAATTTGAACCTAAACATTAGGGGAGAATCCACAACTTTGAGGTTCTGTGGAAATGAATTTATCATGGATTACTTTAGTTTTATCATTTTGCCGTGACTTTTGTTTGAAACTCAATTTTAAATAAATTGATATTATTGAAAATACATAGTAAAGATTGTATGTTTGAATTTTAGAACCCAAACTGGGGTCTGATACCCAAGGGCATGCTGTTTGACTGCTCTTAGATTTAGTTGGACATTATTGACCTAATCTTTTGAAACTTGTTTTTTGTTGCTAGGCAACTCACTTGTTCAACAGTTAAATAACATGTCCACTTCCCTTTTTCTCCCTTCATAGAAAGTGGAAGTAGGGTGGGGCTAAAGATTCCATAGATGGTTATTCATTTAGTTTGAGAGAAAACTAGAAAATGATATCATTATTAATCCACCTGATAATATAGTACCTCCTTTTGAAGCACAATTAAAATATTTGGAACACATATGCACATAAATGACACCAGTTTTACCTGGAAATTTTGTTCCTTTACCACATTTTTGCATTCACTAATTGTCGGTAGTTGAGGAAATGTTTGCAGCAAAAACTGAGTGTTTGAAACATATCCTAAAAACTGTTAAAGAATATAGGCCTAAAGTATCCAACAATTATCACCTAAAAGACTTAGTATTGTTAAATTTAACATAGCTAGTTATATGCAACACAGACTTATGGGCCATTATGTGTCAAGTTGAGGAATATATTATGTTCCAATTTATAAAAGGACGTACCTCTCCAATAGTATACTGAGAAAAGGAAAATAAAGTGCTAAAAGGTCCCAGTGGTATCCTAGCAACTTACTTAGGGTCTTGGAAACAAGGACATGTGCATTGAATCAATTCCAGGAATTTGTGGCAGTAGCCTGTGTTACGATGGGGAAATTGCCAGGCCAGGGAAGAGAGTTAATAATTATTATATGCCAGGTGGTGTTCTTCCATTTTGTTTCCCTCAGTGAACATAAGATTACCAGAGTTTTGGTCTGTGCCTTTTCTCCACAGAAAAGTCTGCTTCCTCCCAAAATTAATGAATCATTGACAAATGTATAGTGTATATTTATTACAAAGCCCAAACAGTCACATATTATATCGTTTAAACCTGTCCTAGTCTTTGAAAATCAGTATTATCCACATTTTAAAGCTGAGAAAAACTGATGGCAATGAAGTCTAAGTGATTTACCTGAAATGGCCTATCCAGTCACTAGCCTACATGAGACTGGAACCCAAGTCACTGGTTATGCATCAGAGCAACACGGCTGCCCTGCTGGCCTGTTGCTGCTAGAGAGTAAAGGTAAATATGCTGTGTGTAATATAAATCAGTTTCATTCCTCTCTGGGTTTGCAGGTCAACACAGAGCTCCCCTCATCGAAAATTCTGGGACTATTAATACATGGTTCCTCCTCCAGTCTAAAGGATGCATGCACTTTGCTCAAAACAATTTAATTCAGCTCTCAAGGAAAGCTTTCACTGTTGCTACCATATTTCTGTCTTTGTCTCTCTCTCTTACCCTCCCTCTATCTCTCTCTTTTTCTTTCTTCTTAGCGTGTAAGTTTAATTAATATTGCAACCTCTCAATGTATTTTTTCAAGCTCCTCTCTTTTCTTTAAGCACTTCGAACGTACCCCAACAGCCACAGAATTCCTGGGTAGAAATAATGTCTCTTGAGCTTTTATGGTGTCAGACTGTAATCTTTGAAAACAGTGGTCAGTTGACATGATTTCATATTTGTTTATTTAAACGCACAGACTCTTTCTGTCTCGTAAAATCTGTTCTAGGTCAGCGTGTACTGATAACCTACAAATCAAACCCCAGGATCCTGCATAGGAATAGCTCTCTCTTTATTTGTCTTCCAATTAGAGTTTCTGCATAACATCGGGTTTCTAATGGATTCACTCCAAGTTTTTGGCCAGAAGTGATTTAAATTCTTGCCTGACAGACTTCCACTCAGCATCTCTTAAATTAGTAGAAAAGGCTCAGTGACAATAACTTATAATCTAAAAATTTAGTTGGTTGCTTTCAAGATTAATTTCAAAAGCACTATATATTTAGGAGAACTCACCTAAAGGTGTAACTTACAGTGAATATATTTCAAAGAACTAAAAAGCTTTGAAGACTGGTGCTTTTACGTAGTATAACCAACAAGGAAGGTTACCAGCTATCTTCCTCCTGGTTTATATCTATCACAAACCAACATAAACTGTTTATAAAAAAAATCAAATGTGCTGATATCTTCTATTTCCCCATATTCCCTTTCCTAGAGTTTGCTCTTTTGAAAAACAGTAAATTGGCACATGCAGTATGGATGCTTTTCCAGCATACATCTTTAATGATTTTTTCCCCCAACATGGGATTATCAGAAAGAACAGCAAAAAGCCACACATTATGCAAACCTTCCCACTGTGATTGAAAATTTTGGCTGCATATAAAAATTATCACCGGTAATTGCAGAGTCAGAATGAATTGTGGCCTTAAGGCTCTTGAACAGAAGGTCTAATGAACCTGTGTCTCACAAAATGGCATAACGTGTGGCCATTAAGTTAAAAACAAAGACTGTACAGCTTGCTAATATGGAGCCACCAGAACGGTTGGATTATGGTTGGAACGTGACCTTGTAGGTTATATATGTTACCTCATGTCATTACCACAGTGAATTTAGAAGGAAAATCTGTTTATATAAAGTAGAGAAGCTAAGATCCTTTGTAAACCTTTGTGTACATACCTAACTGAGATCACACAGGAGTATTTGCCTCCCTTATTTTAAATTTAAATGATGCTTTTTTCAGATTGTTATAAAACTTTGACTTCAACTTAACACCTTGCTTATCCAACATGTCACGTAGTTGCTGGTGAGATTCTGATACATAAACACTGAAAAACAGCAAACACCAGACATAAACCCACAAAGTAGTTTCATCCCACACCCTGAAGTTCAGGACCTTTAGAGCTGTTGAGTCAATGTTTATGTTCATATGAGAAAGTTGGTTTTGGATGTGGTACCAAACCTTGTGGAAATTTCTTCCTTATTTAACAAGATTAAGCACCAAGCAAAATAACATTTACTGACTGAACAGAATCAAAATGTGAAATTCCAGGGAATTTGCCATGTAGGATTTTAGTTTCATTATGCTGGGATCATCAAGAGAATGAGCACAATATAGACCTGACTCATACCTCCCTTTGCTGCGTCCTGCTTTTTGGCAAAATGGCTGCTATGCACATTTCTGTCGATTTTTATCTTTTCTATGTAGAAGTAGGTGATAAAGAAATATCCTGAAAAAGCATTGTTTTTGAAGTAAAGAAGGAAGAGATATATAACATGAATGCTATTTTTCACTGGGTAGATATGCCAGGTTTCAAAAGGTAATAATCTCTTACTGTAAAACCCAAGTTAAAAACAACATGAACACTGAATAGTAGTTTGAACACCCACATTAAAAGTATTGTGGCATTGACTGAGAAACCAACTTATTTATATTTTCAGTATATTTTTAGGCTTGATTCGGCATGCTGAAAATCATTTTGACAGTACATTATAATATCAGCCATAGTTTCTATATATTCTCAGCAGTTGAAACCAACAGAGGAGAAAACGAGATTAATGTTAATTATTGTAGAATATAAAAATTAGCATCAATTGCTAAGAACTGAGATCTTAGTGGCTCCAGAAACAATTATAATAGCCTCTTGATTATTAGTACTAGAGATCAAGAAGTAATTGATGGAGGAAAGGTTAAGCTGTTGATGGTGCTGATTGCAGTTTGACAAAAACTTCTAGCATAACTCACCTCTAAGCAAAGAAATATTAAATTATTGATTAAATATGAATCTCACCTGGAATAGCTATGCTATGCTTAAATCCATTCAAATCACATCCTTTCAAAGATTTAAATTCAATATTATTTTGAAGTATCAATTTACCAAGGCTTTTTGAGATGGCAATTTGTTGTGATTCTGGTTCTTATTTTATTTTATAAATTTATTTTGCTGAAGGAACTTTAGTAAACTTGCCATATAGATGTTGTCTGGATAAGACTGTCTATACATTAGTAGACTGTAGTCAGGTTTGCATGGAAGCGGGTACATAATGTGTAGGAAGATATCATACATTTTAAAGAGATAATGTCAGGAATTGTCCTGTGCTGCTTTTTTAAAAAAACGTACAGGAGAGGAAAAGCAGAAACATGCAGAATCTGTCAGACTGGAGAAAATAGGAAAGCAAGAACAAAAATTTAAATGCAATCTTTCTGTGACTTTCACTATGATCATTCTTACATATATCTGTTTTTAGTGTCCACGTTCCTTTTTTTTGTTTTGTTTTTTTGGCACAGAGTCTCGCTCTCACCCAGGCTGTAGTGCAGTGGTGCAATCCCAGCTCACTGCAACCTCCACCTCCAGAGTTCAAATGATTCTCCTGCCTCAGCCTCCTAGATAGCTGAGACTACAGGTGCGCACCCCCCACAGCCGGCTAATTTTTGTATTTTTAGTAGAGACGGGATTCCACCATGTTGGCCAGGCTGGTCTTAAACTCCTAAACTCAGGTGATCCACCCTCCTCGGCCTCCCAAAGTGCCGAGATTACAGGCATGAGCCACCGCGCCCGGCCCATGTTCCTTTAAACTGGAAATTAATGTACCCTTTTAAGAGTTGAAAGGATCATTTCAGTGAAAGGACTGTGAGCCATGATGATATATTTAGTGCTGCAAGTCTTCTTAACTTCAGGGAACTCACTGCTGCATCAGGCTTCTAACTCATCACCCAGTTGGTCCCAGTGTACTGTCCCTTTCCAATTCAGCTTCTACATAAGGCTGTGCTCTTTCTAAAACATAAACAAGATCATGTTATTTACATCTTTTCTACTAAAAATAAGTCAGCAAGAACGCCATAAGAAAGTATTGTTTTTGGAATATGGGAGAAAAAGATGTCTAACATGAATGTTATTTTTTATTGTGTAGACTTGCCAGGTCTAAAAATGTCACAATCACAGACTGTAAAAACTCAAGTACAAGAGAAAATGGAATGAGCACTGAATAACAGTCTGAGGATCCATATTAAAAATACTGTTGCACTGACTGACAGCCTGAAAACTTCTTTGATAGGTCCCTGTTGCCTATAGAATCATATCAAATTTAGCATGGTACAAAAGGTTGATGTGATGTGGCACCTATCAATTTCTGCAGCTTATTGTTTTTGTCACTCTCCTTGGGATATTCAATATTCCAGCAAGAGAGAATTAGTTAAGGATCACAATATAATTCAGGCAGTGTTTGAATCCCTGTGCTTTTGTGACTACACACTTCTACCTGGAAAACCTATATTTATCTGGTAAACTTGTATTTAGCTTTCAACATCCAGCTCAAATTAGACTATGGCTTATAATGGGCTAGTGACATTTCATTTAACAATTTTTGAGGCAACATGGAGTTGCTAAAGTTTTATTCTGCAAAGTAAAGATATTAACATAAAACACAAAGCAAGTAACAAGCCACCAGCTACAACCACATCATTTCATAAAAAAGAACATTTAACATCAAAAAGGAAACATGCAAATAATCTGACAACAAGAATAAATTAGCCTTTTGAAAATATCTCTCTGTTTCTTATTTTTCCCATTTTATTTTGGAGTAGCAAAAACTTCATTAAACAGGCACTATTCCATAGAGCAGTGTTTTAGAACATTTTCCCTAGCAAAGTCAAACAGGGCCAATTGCTTTCAACTTCAGGCAATTATTACAGTTATTGTTCTGTACTGCAAGTATTTTTTTTTTTGCATGCATTTTTCCTTCTAGAAAGTAAATTATTAATGACATAAACCAAGTCTTATTCATCTTAGTATCATCTGCACCTAGTGGAATGCCTAGCATAAAATGTGAATACAATGTTAGTTGAATGAATGGAAGCTTTAATAAATGAAGACAATACATCTCACTGTTGGACAGCTTTAGTTATTAGAACATTTCTTAGGTTCAACTGAAATTCTTCCTTGGATCACCCACTTCTGCTGCAAAGGGCAATGATATTCCTGCTCCCAAATAGCAAGCCTTCAGGTGCTTCAAGCTGATTTTCTTCAGGTCATATAACTCCAGTTCCATAAAATACTTCCAGTAGGAAAATGTTTGGGCATTTTGCAATTCTCGGTTTCTTTTTCTTCAATTCAGTCAAGTTTGTTTTTATCCCTCTAAAATTATGGCAATACAGCAGAGGCATTGTTTAAATAGATTTGGATTTTAAAAGACCTGGGTTCCGGTCCTTGTTTGGTCATTAACAAGTTAGAAGAGCAATCTGAGATGATTGACTAGAATTTCTGGAGATTTGGTTTCATCATGTGTGAAATTAGGATGATGATGATTGCAGATAATGTATACAGAATCTCAACAACAGATGATCTGGCATAGAGTAAGTGCTCAATTAATTGTAATAATAGTCCTAAAGTGTAATATAATAACACAAAACAAAAGAAATACATCTGTCATTCATGTAACTGTCTAGAACAGTTACAGATGACTGGGATGGCTTAGCGGGTTAAGCTCCAATAGCCTTTCAGAGACCCAGATTCTGCTATCATTAACACAGGCTTCTAGGGGCACCCTGCATGACCTCCCAGTTAGCCAGTGGGAGGACAGAACATAATGAAGGATCAAGAAAGGAAGGCTTTTATGTGCGAGATCTAGCACATATCTGGTGATATATGTTACTTTGAATCTCATTGTACAAACTAGGGCTCATAGGATCATGCCAAAGTTCAGGAGAGATTGGGAAATATGGTTGAGACAAGTGAACTAAAAGAAAGGGGAAATGGAATTTGATAAATCATACCAAACTATCCAGTTCAGTGCAAGAAAGACTATTAGAATATTAGATTAAGATGGCTAAGGTTATTTTATGGTCTCATTTAATTGCTAGATCACATTAGATTTGTGGCCATGTTCATAGTTTGTGTTGAGAAAGAAAAGAAACTTTTTATCTGAGAACTATGAGCCCCTTTAAATGATCAGGCCCAGAGAGGCATTGAAATGGGAACATCTCACTTCCCCTTGAGCTAACTAATCACCTCTTGAAGCTACTTGCTATGTGGGCTTTAGATTGACCAACACCAAGTAGCCATACATTAACCTAACAATGCTGTACACCATAACTCATACCCTATTATAGTTCAACAGTGTACAGCTAATCACTATTCAATGTTATTTCTGAAAACCAATGAGAATTCCAGCTTAGTTCAGCCCACTCCTTGTTTCCTTTTGCCTTTAGAAACCTACTTGTAATAAAGGCTGAACGGACCACTCCCCAAGGCAACTTGGAAGTGTTTCTTGGGCAGTTGTTCTCATATTGGCTCAAGAAAACACTTAAAAATTATATTTTCTGCCTCATCTTCTTCCTTTAGGTCGACAGTGGGTTATCCTAAATGTAAATTGCTGTCTACTCTTCCATACATTTGCAAAATATTTTTAAATGAAAATATATTTTATTTATTGATATCTACATACAAAAGAAAAACATATTTGCTCTATTAAATTTTGAAAACACATGAAAACCTGACAAAAGTAATAGTCACCTGATTCATTATGTAAGTCCAAAAGTATGATAGACAGGTATCAATCAATACAAAGTTTATTTTGCAATGATAAGGATCATAACCTATGACACAGCCTTAGGAGGCCCTGAGAACATGTGCCCAAACAGCTTGATTTTATACGTTTTAGGGAGACATAAGACATCAGTCAATATCTGTGATGTATACTTTGGTTTGGTCCAGAAAGGCAAGACATTTCGAAGGGGGAGTTGGGAGCTTCCAGATCATCGGTGGATTCAAAGATTTTCTGATTGGCCATTGGTTGAAAGAGTTAAGTTATTATCTAAAGACCTGGAATCAATAGAAAGTAGTGTCTGGATTAAAATAAGAAGCAGATACCATAGTTCATATTATGCAATAAGGTCTCATAGGTGGCTGCCCTAGAGGCAATAGGTGACAAATGTTTCCTATTTAGACCTTTAAAAAGTGCCAAACCCCACAGCTAATCTCTTTAGAATCAGAAAAAGGTCTGGAAAGGGAAGGGGATTCTCTACAGAATATAAATTTTCTCAAGAGACAGCTTTGCAGGGCCACTTCAAAATATGTCGAAGAAATATATTTTGGGGTAAAATACTTTGTTTCTTTCAGGGTCTGCTGTCTGTCATGTTATGCTATACTAGAGGCAGGTTGGAATTTGGTATCTTATTGCTACAAAGAGCGTGTGTCAGTCTTAACATCTGTGTTTTAATGTTAATGCTGATCAGCTGTGTCTAAACTTCAAAAGAGAGTGAGGGTATAATGAGGTATGTCTGATCCCTCACTTCCCATCATGGCCTGAACTAGTTTTTCAGGTTTCTTTGGAATCCCCTTGGCCAAAAAGGGGGTCTATTCAGTCAATTGGGGAGATAGAATTTTATTTTTGGTTTACAATAATTACGTGATAATAAAGATAATTACCTTGAAGATATTATGAAGACAAAATTATATGACAGCATATATTGGACAAAGTGGCTTCCAGCGTTAACCACAATTGTTAACGTTTGACTGTTATAATATTGTGAAATATATATTTTGTCTTCATCCCCATATCCTTGCATTCAACTTCTAAAATCTTTGCAATCTCCAAAGTGATGCTTTTTTGTATGTCAATGATAATGTCTTTTTTGATGTCATGACTGATGGCGGCAGCTTCAGTGTAGCTTCAGGATGGAGACTGGTCATGGCAAAGACTGAAGCATGATTAGAGGGTTGGGACTTTCACTCCCTCTCCGGCACCCCAAACTTCAGGGAGGGGAGAGGGGCTGAAGGGTAAGTTGATCACCAATGCCTAATGGTTTAATCAACCATGTTATTTAATGAAGCCTCTATAAAAACCCAAAAGGACAGGGTTCAGAGAGCCTCCGGACAGCTGAATATGTGGAGGTTCCTGGAGGGAGGCACATGTGGGAACAGCATGGAAGCGCCAGGTCCCTTCCCACATATCTTGCCCAAATTAGTTGCTTCATCTGTTTCCTTCGCAATATTCTTTATAATAACTGGTAAACGTAAGTGTTTCCTGGGTTCTATGAGCTGCTCTAGCAAATTGTTTGAACCAGAGGAAGAGGTCGTGGAACCCAGATTTATAGCCAGTCAGTCAGAAGCCCAGGTAAAACAACTTAGGGCTTGAAGTTGACATCAGAAGTGAGGGGTAGTCTTGTGGGACTGAGCCCTCACCCTGTGGGATGTGAAGCTGTCTCCAGTTAGATAGTATTGGAACTGAACTGGAGGACACCCAGCAGTAGCTGCTGTAGAATTGATTGCTTGCTTGGTGTGTGTGTGGGAAAACCCCATACACACTTGGTCACAGAAGTCTTCTGTGTTGATTGTTTATGGAGTGACAGCAGAGGAAAAACAGTTTGATTTTTTTTTCCACTCGGAACTGTCTAGACATCATAATTATTTTCCTAAGCAAATACACGATACACTTTTTTAAAAGCGAAATTGAATCATCATTGTCCTTTGTATTTTGTGTGGTTGGCTTTTAAAACATCATATATTATGAACTTGTTCTTTTATAATTATATTCATTTTCTATGCTGCACAACAAATTCCCACAAGCTAATGTCTTAAGACTACATACAATTTTTTTTTAATCATCTCATAGTTTCTGTGGATCAATAGACTGGACTTGATGAAACTCGGTTCTTTTCTCAGGGGCTCAGGTTGAAATAAATGTATTAGCTGGACTGTGTTCTCATTTAGATCTTAGTTTCCTCTTCCAGTCTCATTCAGGTTATTAGACAATTTTATTTCTTTCAGTTATAGGACCAAGATCCCTATTTTCTTTATTATTGTTTGCTGGGGGAGTCATTCCCAGCTCCAAGAGGCTGCCCTAAGGTCTTTAGCTGTCTCTGATGGCAATTGACTTCTTAAAAGTCAGCAGAATAATACTTCTCATGCTTTCAATCACTTTTTTTCAGGACCCTGTCCTTTCTAAGGGCTCAATTGATTAGCTTAGGTCCAGCCAGGATAATCTCCCTTTTGATTATCTCAAAATCAATTGATTTAAAACCTTAATTACATCTGCAAAGTTTTCCAGCCTTGGTCATAAAAAATAATCCAGTCATAGGGGTAATATCCTTTGTACCCACAGGTCCAGGCAACACTCAAGGGGAGGAGATTACAGAGTGTATCTCTGGGGGAGAGGTTAGGATTCAGAAAACTTGGGAATCATCTGATAATTCTGCTTACTATAGTCATTAATCTTTGTTGTTGTTCATGCAGTTTACAATAGGTATTAGTACTGGTGGATATTTGTGATTATCCACCCATTGAGCACAGATACAATGGCACTTCTCTGCCCCCTTGCAATTAAGTGTGGCTCAATGACATTCTTTGGCTAATGGATTGTGGAAGGAAGTTATATGCATAACTTCTGGATGGCAGTCTTAAGAACCGATGAGGCTTTTAGCAAACTTTCCTTTCTTTCTGGCACAGTAACCAACAATGACTGAGATGAGGGCTGCATTGCTCTTAAATCTCAGTGACTGATGCACAGAGCCCTGTTACCAACTCATGATGGCATGTGGCATGAGAAATAAATAACCTTTGTGCTTGAAATCATTCAGTTTCATGTCTGCTATAACAGAAAAATTTCTCCTTTTATCTTAGATACACTGAACTTCATTTTTTCCTTTTTTACTAGTGGTAGAATTTTATATATATTCCTGTTTAATTTTACTGTATTGATTTTGGTCGAACTTTCTAAATGGTCAATATAATTTTGAATCCTGATTCTGTCATTAACTTAGCAGTGTCTTTTAGCTTGGGGTCACTTGAACATTTTGGTAAGCAGCCTTAAATGTCTTAATCCAAATAATGCACACAATTACTGATTAGGACTGGGTCAATGACTGAGCCCTCTGCCATGTCCCTACAGTTCCTCAATAGGACAATTAGCCATTAATCACTGTTTTCTGGCACTATTATTCAAAAAAAATCATGTAAAAACTGTGTCCATGATTTAATTTTTATAACAATAATATGGTTACTAAAATTTAAAATGCCGTGATGAAATAAAAACAAAATATTATGTCACGGATTTTAAAATTCTTTTCTTAACAGTTTTATTAGGATATAATTTACATGCTATGAAATTCAACTATTGTAAGTCTCCAATTCAATGATGCTCATTTTCCCTTCCCATTTACTTCTCTAGACTTCTTTCAAATGCTTGTTTAAGCTTCCAGCATTATCAAAGGCTCTCTGTGCCCTTCTCACTGCCTGTGCCATGGACTTCCTTTGCATTTTTCCGGCAGGTTTTCACACACTGGCTGTTTTCCAAAATTTATGCTTCTCAAGACATTCCTCAGAACACACATTCTTGAACTTGAGGCTTAGCTAGGCTATTTATGTGATAGCTTCCTTCTGTTCTCCAATATCAACTACATAGGGCAAATATGGATTTGCTTCTTAAATTCATATTGTATTTTTCCTCCAGCCTCTGAAAATAGTCAATCAAATCAAGGTTAAGACAGTATTAATGGAATTAGAAAAATACATTTGTTCCCCTCCCTCTCTATACAAGAATTTTACATTTATGGTAATCAGCAATATGAGATTCCACTAAACATGTGATTATAAACTTAATAACCTTGTTTTCACACACAGATTGCACCATTGTTATGCATAGGGTATCTTACGTTCTAATTTGTCCTAGGAAGTCTTAGTTTACTCCTTTTGTCTCAATATAATAACTGTGCACTTTCAGTCTGAAATGGAGGCTTATTTTAGATGACAAATTATATGATCATCCTAATTATAGGGCTTATATTTTAAAAAACTTCTGTTAATATCATTAGAAAAGTTTGTAATGATTAATTTTATCTTTCAACTTGACTGGGATAAGAGTGCCAAGACAGCTAGTGAAACTCTTTTTCCGGATGTGTCTGTGAGGCTGTTTCCGGAAGAAATAGCATTTGAATCAGTAGGCTGAGTAAAGATCGCCCTCCCCAGTGTGGATAAGCATTATGCAATCCACCAAGGGCCCGAATAAATAACAAGTTACAGAAATGGAGAATTCACTGTCTTCTGTTTGAGCTAGGACAGCCACCTTTTCCAGTCCTCATATATCAGTGTTCTTGGTTCTCCGGCCTTCAAATTTGGACTGGGACTTACACCATCAGCTGCTCTGGTCCTCAGGCCTTGGGACAAATACTGAATTGCACCATTGGCTTTCTTGGGTCTCCAGCTTGTAGACGGCAGATGGTGGAACTTCTCAGCCTCCATAATTCCATGAGCCAATTTGTATACTAAATCTCCATAATATATATAACATAGTATTATAATAAATATAGTATAGTATAATAATATAATATAATGTAATACAAAATCTTATTGATTCTATTTCTCTGGAGAACCCTGACTAATAGAAATATCAAAAAATAAAGGCAGCAGAAATTAAAGGTTTGAAAAACTCCAACCTGTTCATATTGAAAGAAATGAGAAACCTATTTGGAAGAGGACAGGAAGAGTGTGGCCAAAGACCATCCCATGAAATTAGTCAGCCATCGAAGCAGCAGCCATGAACTAATGAGTGAGAAAATAAAAGAATGACCATGATGGCAATTTAGAAATCATCAGGGCTGCCACCCCCATCCAGCCCCAGAATGCAAGAGCCTGGGCAGCAGAGCAGCTTCAAATGCCAACAAGGGGCTACTGTGCCTGAGGGACCCTAGCATGTCTTGCCTGGCACTGCCTCACATCTCAGGCTGTGCTCCCTGAACTGCAGTGTAGCCATGCTCTTTGGCTGCCCCAGTTGCCGTTATGGCAGGCTCCGGCATGGCTCAGGCCATGGTGGTTGCCCCTCCTGAAGGCACAGACAGCAAATATTGATGGAGTCTGGGAAGCACTGTGTCAACCAGTGCATGCAGTGCTGGAGTCTGGGGCTATGGCTACCTCCAACTAGATTTCAAAGTATGGAGCCCTCCAGAGCCTTGGTAAGCTACACAGGCAGAGAACAACCATGGGAGTGGAGCCACCCTGGAGATCCCACACCAGCAGAGCCACTGGCATGCAACTCTAGCCCAGGAGAGCCACAGGCATACAACTTCAATCATAATACCTGTTGTGTGGGCTGTGCCCAACAAAGCTGTAGAGGCAGGAACACCCAGAGCCTTGGGGCCCCAACCCCTGCATGGCAAAGCTCAGGGGGCAGGGCATCTGCCTTAGTGGGTGTGGAAGGTGGAATCTTCCCTCCAGTGGGCCTGGAAGGCAGACCTCAAGCCAAAGATGATTCTTCATCCTCAAGGTTTAATGTTGTTTGCCCTATTGGGTTTCAGACTTGCATGGAACCTGTTACTCCTTTCTTCTTAACTATTTCTCCTTTTTTGAATGGTAATGTCTATTCTGTTAGCCTGCTCCACCATTGTCTTTTGAAAACATGTAATATGTATGATTTCACAGGTTCACAGAGCAATTTGCCTCAGAATGACTCCTACCTTGAGTCTTACTCACATCTGATTTAGATGATTTGAATGAGACTCTGGACTTGGACTTTGTGGTACTGACTTAAGACTTTTGAGGCTGTTGGGATGAAATGAATGTATTTTGCATGTGAGAATGATATAATTGAAGGTGGTGGTGTGGGGATGGAATGCTAGTGGTCTGAATGTTTTTGTCCCCTCAACGAATTCATATTTTGAAATCCCAACACCCTAAGGATGATAGTATTTTCCTCCTACAGGCACCAGGTGACTGTAATGTTCATCACAAGTGTTTTGTGTATGAGCTTTTCATAATGATGTAGGAAAAAATGATGGGACATGGGCTGATAAGTCCTTGCCTGTGTTATTTCAGACTCAACATGTTCAAATCTGACCTACTTGAGTAATAGCAAAAGACATTGTTCTTAACATATCAGTAACTGATTTTTAAAAAGTGGATGCTTCTTGTTGACTGAAAATGGGAAAAGCTATTGGCAAAATTATGAGGTAGGCATTGTCTGTCCTTGGCATTATCCCCCTGTTTTCAATCTCCTCCCCAACCACTGTCCCAGTTCTGTTTATGAGCTTCTTCCAGTCCCCTAATCCAATCCCCAGCCTCAATGCTTTCATGATATAACTTAGAAAGTCATTTTTGTAGGGAAAATGTCAATATGTGTTACTGTATCAATAGTTTACCCTTCTTACCTCATCCCTAGGACTACTTGCCTTTAACATTCATATGTAGGGGCTAAAAAAAAATGGATCTCATGTAAGGAATATCTCATGTAAGGCATGGTGGTTACCAGGGTCTGGCAAGGGCATGGGGGATGGAGGAGAAAGAGAGGTAGGTTAATGGGTTCAAAAATGTTAGATAGAAGGAATAAGTTCTAGTGTTTGATAGTACAGTAGAGTGACTATAGTCAACAATAATTTATTGTATATTTCACAATAGCTAGAAGAGAAGATTTGCAATGTTCTCAACAGAAGAAAGGATAAATGAGGTGATGGGTAGTCCAGTTGCCATGATTTGATCATTAAACATTGTATGCATGTATCAAAATACCACTTGTACCCCATAAATATGTTCAATTATTATGTATCAATTAAAAAAGACAAGAATGTTAAATCCAAAGAAATAGTGGGAGACTTTTAAGCTTACTGTAAATTTGTCTAGGAGAGACAATTTTTTGTACGTGGTGCTGAAGTGAGCACAGGAGAGACAATTTTGGCAAATCAGACTTTATGTTATCACGTAAAATATTTACATACATGCACACCATTTATATATATAGTGTGTAATCATAATAAGCAATTTATATATAATTGTAATAGTGCGTAATCATAATAAGCAATTAAATAATTATTTCTAATATATAATATGTATATATTATATACATATATATTATATATATACTTTGTATATATGTATACATTATGTATTAGAAATAATTATATATAATATATAATATAAATATTATATAAAGTAATTATATAAGATAATATAAATAATCATATATAATTGCTTATTACATTATATAAAATATAATTATTTATATTATATATTATATACAATTGCTTGTTATGATTACACTACATATAATCTTTTCAACTTGGTATTTAAAGACATCTATAATTGGCTTCATTTTAACCATCCCTCCTTATCTTTTATCACTTTCTAAATTGAAGCTCTTCCTCCCAAGAACTTTATGTTTAGCTTGCTCTTTCTTATTACTATTGTTTCATTAATTTCTCCTGTCTCCAATGACCTTTCTTTTCTAGTCCATCTATTTAAATGCTTCTCATCCTTTAATATTGAGAGTGAGCTCTATTTTTTTTACATCAATCAAGTATTCAATGAACCTCTCACTATGAGTGAAATACTAATACTGATAGTGAATTATATTAATGGTACCAAAGGCAACATAAAATAATGAAAAAGAAGAATAAAAATGAAAAATAGGATTGGGTGGTATGGCTGACAGAATAAAGACCCTCCAAGAATGCCCACATTGTAATTCTTGGAACTTATGAATATGTTAGGTTATATAGCAAAGGGAAATTAAGTTGCAGATTGAATTAAAATTGCTAATTAAGGCAGGGAGAATATCTTGGTTTATGTGATTGAGTTGAGTATAATACAATGTCCCTTAAATGACTGAAGAGGTAGGTGGAAGAATCAGAAAGGAAATATATGGGATTGTGAAAAAGACTTCAACAGCCATCACTGGCTTTGAAGATGGAAAAAAACCATGAGTCGAGGAAAACAGGGAGCTTATAGAAGCTGAAAAAGACAAGAAAATGGCATCTGCCCTAGAGTTTCCAGAAAGAAATGCAGCCATGCCTCCAACTTGATTTTAAATGAGTGACTCATTTCATGCTTCTGACCTGCAAATCGCTAAGACAGTACATTTGTATTGTTTCAAGCCACTGAATTTGTGGTAATTTGTTACAGCAGTGACAGGATGCTAATACAAGCATGATGAAACAATCAGGATTCAAAGAAGATATTTAAGTACAAGAGATTGGGCCGGGTGCAGTGGCTCACGCCTGTAATCCCAGCACTTTGGGAGGCCGAGGCGGGCGGATCACGAGGTCAGGAGATCGAGACCATCCTGGCTAACACTGTGAAACCCCGTCTCTACTAAAAATACAAAAAAATTACCCAGGCATGGTGGCGGGTGCCTGTAGTCCCAGCTACTCGGGAGGCTGAGGCAGGAGAATGGCGTGAACCCAGGAGGCGGAGCTTGCAATGAGCTGAGATCATGCCACTGTACTTCAGCCTGGACGACAGAGCAAGACTCCGTCTCAAAAAAAAAAAAGGAAGTTGAAGGTGGGCCAGGTGCGGTAGCTCATGCCTGTAATCCCAGCACTTTGGGAGGCCGAAGCGGGTGGATCACGAGGTCAGGAGATCGAGACCATCCTGGCTAACACGTTGAAACCCCGTCTCTACTAAAAATACAAAAAATTAGCCGGGTGTTGTGGCGGGCGCCTGTAGTCCCAGCTACTCCGGAGGCTGAGGCAGGAGAATGGTGTGAACCCAGGAGGTGGAGGTTGCAGTGAGTCGAGATCGCACCACTGCACTCCAGCCTGGGCAACAGTGAGAGACTCCGTCAAAAAAAAAAAAAAAAAAAAAAAGTTTGAAGTATGTCCTTTAAGAACAGTTGGAAAAACTGAGAACATTCATTTTGAAAATGATAAATTGAGTTGAGTTTATAATAATTGCAATGATATATCTCACAGATATGAAAAACAATAATTTAGTTGCTGATATTTTAATACTATATACTAGGCTTTGTACTAGGATCTTAATCCTCATTTAATCTTCAATATAATCATACGAGCTAGATACTCTTATTATTTTCCATATAAAATAAATAGAAACAAAGAGAAGGTAAGTAATTTGTTTCAACGTCTTATGTCTGCTAAGGAGAGATGGTATTTGAACAGACACAGTCTGATTCCAAAACTTTTACTCTTCCTAGTAAGCTATTCTAAAAGAAAAAATCCATTTATTCTATGTGACTTCAAAGGGAACAACTGGGATCTGAGAGGTGAAAGTTACAGTAATTTACACTAGTTCTGATGAGGGAAGAAATTTTATAGTGCAAAGCTGTCAACAGTTAATTTGGCTGAGATGCAGTACAGATTGATTTGGTTGAGCAATAGTCGAGACATGGTTGAGTAAAGGCAGAGATTTTTTTTGCTAGAGAAGGAATCAACTGTTCTGAATGATAAAAACGGTGAAAGTAAAGAAGGTAAGTAATGAAAATGTTCAATTCTCTTGAAGAAGAAAAAAGTAGAGAAGAAAAGATCTGGGGTGATTCAGTTGCTGGTGTTGGCTGTGAAACAGTACGGTATGCTTCAGAGAACTTGATCGCTGCCAGGAAAAGGGAAAGGGAAAAACCTGTCAAGAACTGGTTATTAGTATAAATGTATATTTATTATTTATATGTGATAACTCAAGGAATAATTTCATCATATATCTTAAGTTGAAAAATGAACATTAATAAAGCTGCATTTGCATATAGAACAAAAACTTGGTTTACACTAAAACTTCAGCCTGAAAGCAGCTGTAGGTCAAAGGAGCTGATTTTATCTTGAATGCTCAATATTGACCCTGTAATTTATGGTGCTTATGCCTGAAAACATAGCTGTAAATAAAGAATAAAGAACAGTCCT
Source organism: Homo sapiens (assembly GCF_000001405.40). Classification (NCBI taxonomy): domain Eukaryota; kingdom Metazoa; phylum Chordata; class Mammalia; order Primates; family Hominidae; genus Homo; species Homo sapiens. The sequence continues at coordinate 87,899,434 of NC_000008.11, read as the reverse complement.
TTAAACAACAAAATCTATTAAAATTACTTCTATCCCATAGCATTTATGTACACTGATGAAAATGACACAAAACGAAGTTTTCAAGGTATTAGATGCACCCATGAATGATAATGTAACATATATATATATATACACACACACACACACACACACACACACACACACACTGAGGCTACATGAAACACAGGTAAACTTTATTGACACTGGCAATTTACATTTTCCTAGATTTGGAGCTAAGTAAATGATTTTTCCATTTCAGCATCTTCCTTTCTTTTTGGCTAGAATATCCACTAAGAGTCCTGTCCTTTCTCTTATTTGAAAATCTTACATATGCTAAGTATCAGGCAAGAGTAATTTTTATGTTAATGAAGATACAATCCAAATATTATATTGACTATATTTATAAGATTCAATTTTTGTTCTTACACCAAATAATAAATTTACTCAATGTATATTCACAGTAGATGGCTGAATATTTTGGTTGACAAATTATTTTTCCCTGTAGAAGTATCTATACATCTTACAGTATTTGCAAGTAAAACTGTATACCTAGATTCAAAACCTATGGAACATGGAGGATAGATCTATTTCTTGAAAACAAAGTGCTCCTGTGGCAAAATGTGAAACTAATTTTACATGTGGCTTCAAATGATTTGGGCTTTCTCTTTAGATTATTTTAAAAAAACTTGGATTTTTTAAAAAATCAGTCTTTGAAAAGCCATAGAACAGATTAGCACCACTTCATTTATCACATCCTTGCAGATAATGAGTACACAGTATGTGTATAAGTAATACAGAAGGTGTACAAGATGTGGGAGATTTGACTTGTGGAAATATAAGTAATAAAACAATTTATCTAAAATTTGTCCCAGGGTTTTAAGTTCCTAAATTCTGTTATTGAATATGGATCTAAGAATTAGCACTGAACTATCTAGGACCAATATATCTTTACCCAAGTGTAAATCAGACTTCCAAAGCGTTATCTTTCCTGTTTCTCTTAGTATTATTAGTTCAGTGCCTTAAAGGTGAAAAGGAAAATCTGTCATGTGTTTTATTTGCTTGGTCTCTTCTATGAAGCCGCTGTGAGATAGATCAGTATCCACCTTGCCACATCTCCACAAATTGGTGTCCCTCTGTGCTCTAAACCTTGGCATTTTCTGTTATAACATGTACTCAAAATCTACCATAAGTATCGATGAAGACCTGTAAACCCAACATGTAATGTATTTCTGGAATGTAAAAGGCACCCAGTAAATGCTGATTGAATGAAGATGAAAACAATGATTTTTGTAAGCTAGACTGCAGTTTGTTTTTACAGAAATTGATTTATTTGATAAAACAAGATAACTGGATCATCTTTGTAATGTGGATGACCCTAAATGGGACATCCTAAGGGTATTTCCAATGACCTTATCTGTTGTATTAGTCAGGGTTCTCCACAGGGACAAAAACTAATAGGAAATATGTATACACACAGACACACACACACATATATATACACACTCACACACACATACACACATACACACACACACACACACACATATATGTATATGAACGAAAGGGAGATATATATAAAAGAGTTTATTAGGAAGAATTGGCTCACACGATCACAAGCTGAAGTCCCACAGAAGGCTATCGGCAAGCTGGGGAAGAAAGAAGTCAGTAGTGGCTCAGTCCCAGCTGAGAAGCCTCAAAAGCAGGGAAACTGACAATGAAGCCTTCAGTCTGTGGCCAAAGGCCGGAGAGCCGCCGGCAAACCACTGGTGTTAAGTCCAAGTGTCCAAAGTCTGAAGAACCTAGAGTATGATGTCCAAGAGCAGGAGGAACGGAAGGAAGCCTCCAGTGCTAGAGAAAGATGAAAGCCAGAATACTCAGCAAGCCAGCTTATCCTACCCTCTTCCATATGCTTTCTTCTAGCTGCTCTGGCAGCCAATTGGATAGTGTCCACCCACATTGAGGATGGGTCTTCCTCTCCCAGTTCACTGACTCAAATGTCAATCTCCTCTGACAACACCCTCACAGACACACCCAGAAACAATACTTTACCAGCTATCTAGGTGTCCTTCAATTCAATTAAGTTGACATCTAATATTAACCATCACATCTGTCAAGCAACCCTTTCTGGTAGAATTTTTTTTTTTTTTTTTTTTTTTTTTTTTTTTTTGAGACGGAGTCTCGCTCTGTCGCCCAGGCTGGAGTGCAGTGGCGCGATCTCGGCTCACTGCAAGCTCCGCCTCCCGGGTTCACGCCATTCTCCTGCCTCAGCCTCCCGAGTAGCTGGGACTACAGGCGCCCGCTACCACGCCCGGCTAATTTTTTTATTTTTAGTAGAGACGGGGTTTCACCTTGTTAGCCAGGATGGTCTCGATCTCCTGACCTCGTGATCCGCCCGCCTCGGCCTCCCAAAGTGCTGGGATTACAGGCGTGAGCCACCGCGCCCGGCCAGAATTTTTGATTTTAGTTTTATCAATGAATTAACTGTGATTTTCTCTCCTGTTTCTATTATTTTTGCTATAATATGCTGTTAATTAGTCTCCAAAGATGGCCCCTAACAAGTTTTCTCCTTGCTTTATGCACATATTTCTACATACATCAAAATGTGGTAGCTTATCTTTTCTTATTTCCCCTAAACCTTCACCCTCTGGAATGGTCTTGTGACTGGTTTTAACCAAGGAAGGTGGGAGAAGTGATGTTCTAAGAGTTTAAAATCAAAGCCTTAAGAAGACTAGCAGCTTTACCTTCTTGTCTCTTGGCACCATGCCTTGATTTGGGAAGGAGCCCAAGGTACATGGAGAGGAATGTGGAGGGTACTGGGTCTTGATCGACAGCCCCTGCTGAGCTACCAGCTGAAAGCCAGAGACAATTGCTAGACATTTAAGTGAATTATCTTGACATACCAGCAGAGTTGAGTCCCCAAATGACTGTAGCCACAGCTAACATCACATGGAACAGAACTGCCCAGGTGAGTTCAGACCACTTACAATATTATAAGGTATAATAAAACTGTGTTATTTAAAGTTGCTAAATTTGGGGATTGTTTGCTTTTTTATGAAAAAAAGATAACTGAAACAATAGGCTACAGTCTTCTAGCACATAAAGACAGCTTAATTTTCTAATAATATATGACTTACTGCTCTTGAATTGATATCTGAGTTTAAGCATTGCTCTACAGAAATGATAATATTAATCTCTATTAACATAAATGCAATAGCTGTCTTATTAAAATGATATGTGAGAGAAAAATTGTTTCCATTCTTGGTGCTAAATGGTCATAGGTTTTGTTTATGTTGTCCCATGTGTGCACACTATACATTGGCTTGTAGTATAAACTGCTCTTTGTCCTCCAGTATTTGTTCTCCTCTTCTTTCATGGTGATAGAGCCATGATTTTTGGCTGGACATATAGCTGTGCAGGATGGAGACAATTTCTCAACCTGCCAAGCTGCTGTAATTTCTGATCAAGGAGATACCAACGAAAATCACCCATGCAAGCTTATGGAGATTGCTTGCTCCTTCTTTGCTTCCTTTGAATGGATGATAGATAATGTATTTAGAACATATGTTAGACTGGGGGACAAGGTCATTTAGGTAGAAAGGGGCCTGGGCCTTGCACTGTGGTGCACCATGCTCACCTTGGAATGCCTACTAGGAGTTTCATGTGAGAGAGAAAAAGATTCTGTTTATCTAACACTGTTATCAAGATTCTCCAATACTTGTAGGTCAACCCAATCCTCAGTAATATAGCAAGTATACCAGAGTCTAGGCTGAAACCTTTGCTAGTTGTCCACATTTCTAAACACATCTTTTAAAGCAAGATTGCTAGGGCACATTTTTTTCCCCTCAATGACACAGTTTCCTTTATATGAAATAGAAATAATCATTATCAGCTTCAACTAATTTTCTTAAGATGCCATCAGGAAGTATGAAGTAAATGTGTGATATTGGCATTAAGGTAAACCAGAATCTTCCATATGCACATGTTTTAATAGTCTTTCATTTTTAATGATGTGTTTGAATGCTAAACAGAGAATATAAAGCATTTTGGGAAAGAAGATGTACACTGATGAAAATGACACAAAAAGTTTTCAAGGTATTATATGCACACATGAATGATAATGTAACATATATATATATATATATATATACACACACACACACACACACACTGAGGAGATTTTAAAGGAAGAACATAATAAGGCAGCACTAGATGGACAATTAATTGTGAAGGCACTTAACATTTGGGTGCCTCTGGAGGACATTCTTTCAGGCATTATGGTAACATCTTAATACATAATTAAAGCAGCATGCTGATTGAGAGATTGTCTGATAGTGTCTAACTGTCTAGCAACACATGGCTGAGGCACAGGAGAGAATCAGGGTTAGTCTTATTATCTTTTTTTTTTTTTTGAGGTGGAGTCTTGCTCTGTCGCCCAGGGTGGAGTACAGTGGCACGATCTTGGCTCACTGCAACCTGTGCCTCCTGGGTTCAAGTGATTCTTCTGCCTCAGCCTCCCTAGTAGCTGGGACTACAGGCGCATGCCACCACACCAGGCTAATTTTTTTTTATTTTAGTAGAGATGGGGTTTCACCATGTTCCCCAGGCTGGTCTCAAACTCCTGAGCTCAGGCAATCCACCCACCTCAGCTTCCCAAAGTGCTAGGATTACAGGCATGAGCCACTGCACCCGGCTTTATTATCTTAATTTAGTGAAAATAATGTTTATTTTACACTGTGCTTCAGAATCGGCACAATATGAAAAAGCAGGCGTGCTTTGGTATGAATGCTGGAACAGCCAATGTCATTGCCACTCCTCACTCCCCTTAGGTACATTTCCATTAGGAAATACGCCTTTCTCCATTAGGATGGCAAACCTTCCACATACCATCCAGTTACCAATTACCATCATCTGCTATGAAGCTTAGTGTGAGTGATGAATGATAAACTTTTGTTTTCTGGATTAGTAACTTTCCCAATGGCAAGATAATATGCACAAAGAAGAAGATACCCAAAGGTGCATTTTAAATTATGTTTTAATATTGAGGGTTTTTAACCACAAAACAATTTTTTTGAAAAATTACCACAATATACCCCTACACACACAGAGGCATACACACACGATATATTCTCTGGATTCTCTTCCATAAAATATTAAGCAATGTTTTCATGAAATGAAGAAGGATGTCCTCATCTGTCACATATTAAATATATTTCATAAAGCAGAATTATATATAATTTGTGTCACTTTTTGTCTATTTAATGTTATGACAAATGCCGGTTTTATTTATGTTCATGTCAAATTTCTTAATCCTTCAAAAATATCATATTGATTTCCTGTGAAAATGAATCTCAAGTTTCGATTGTATTCACATAACTCTTAAAATTCATCTTCCTGATTTATTGAGGCAGTTCAGCTATTTCCTAGTTAAACCATATTTTTGAAGCTAAACTATATCTTGATGGGAATCTTCATAGTATAAAAACACAGATTAGAAATATGTGAAAATGTGCTCGACTATCCATCTCTTCTTAAAAATGGAAATGATTCACACAAAGCAGCAAATGAGAAATTTATGATTCAGTAGCAGCAACATGCAGAACATTATAGATTGTTTCTGTCACTAAAGGCTTCTCAGATACACGGAATGATGCAGTTTGGGATTCCCCTTTTGTAGTCTAATTTCCAGGAAGTTACTTGCTCGCTAACTCCCAAATAGATATTAACTGATGTCCAAATTCCTTTAAAAATTGGCAAAGTAATGAGAATCTCATCATGTCTTCAATGTTCTTTATTCTTTTGACAAAATCATAAATGTTATCACTAAGAAAATTTTGTATATGGAGAGGAGTCTATAAAAAGTTTTCTATGTGTAGGCAGAAGTATCCAAAGGTTTACAACTTCATTAGCATCCTGATTGAAATCTGAACTTGGTTCCATTTTCTATCTTGCTTTCATGAGCTCACAGCTTGATCAATTTCTCTGCTAGTTTACAAAAGAAAGAGCAAGAGGAATGTACAAAGTGAGAAACTGTAGATTTAGAACAAACCAAAGGAAGTAATTTTAGTGCAGTTAATTGTCATTGCAGTGGCAAGTTTTCCAGAGATCTCTGTGGTTTCAATACTGGATCTCTATGTAAAAATAATATAAGCAAGACTTGTCATTCACAACAAAATGATACTAATAATTATGTCAAATTCATTGCATCATACCTGCTGATACCCTGTGAGGTAAAGAAGAAAGCTGTGAGGAAAAGATGGCCACTCCCTTGTTTAACAATGCCAAATGATGGTTGTCTCTTGGGAACATTCACCTCCAGGCTGGAATTTTTTTTTTTTTTTTTTTTTTTGAGATGGAGTTTCACTCTTGTTGCCCAGGCTGGAGTGCAATGGCGTGATCTCGGCTCACTGCAAACTCTGCCTCCCGGGTTCAAGCGATTCTTCTGCCTTACCCTCCTGAGTAGCTGGGATTACAGGCATGCGCAACCGCACCGGGCTAATTTTGTCTTTTTAGTAGAGATGTGGTTTCTCCACGTTGGTCAGGCTGGTCTCGAACTCCTGACCTCAGGTGATCCACCCGCCTTGGCCTCCCAAAGTGCTGGGATTATAGGCATACGCTACCGCTCCTGGCCGGTGGCTGGAATTTTTCAATAGCACCTCTGTTTGCTGGCAGATATTGAACTCGACAGTGCCAGCTTCTGGAAGATTCATTATTCTCCTTTGCATTACTAACTCTAGAGGCAGGCAAAAATGCCAGAAATCTCTTGAGCAAAAACAGTCTTATACATTGCTTTCCATGAGGTTTCCAGACTCTGGAGATTTGGATAAATGATGCAATTTTGAGGGTTTTTCCTCTAAATTGCGCCCAATTTAAACTCTGAAACTTTAGAAACAAGCATGAAAATGGCAATTATTTTTTTCTTATTTTATGTGTATATTTTACCTGCTTTTATGTAGCTTAAAAGTATTGCTTATTTTATTCCTTAAGATTTGTTTCTATTCATTAATAAGAAATGAGATGAGCCTAGGAAACATGGTGAAACCCACTCTCTACAAAAATACAAAAGTTAGCTGGGTGTGGTGGTGTGTGCCTGTAGTCCCAGCTACTTTGGAGGCTGAGAGGTGGGAGGAACACTTGAGCCTGGGAAGTCCTGGCTGCAGGAAGCCACGATTGCAACACTGCCCTCCAGCTGGATGACAGAGCAAGACCTGTCTCAAAAACAACAACAACAACAACAACAAAACCAGAAAAAAAAAAAAAGAGAAAGGAAGAAAGAAATGAGGCCAGGCATGGTGGCTCATGCCTATGATTCCATCACTTTGGGAGGCCGAGGTGGGAGGATAACTTGAGTCCAGGAGTTCAAGACTAGCCTCGGTGATATGGTGAAACCCCATCTCTACAAAAAATACAAAAACTAGCCAGGCGTGGTGGCATGCACCTGTAGTTCCAGCTACTCAGGAAGCTGAGGTTGGGTGGATTGCTTGAACCTGGGAGGTAGAGGTTGCAGTGAGCCGAGATCATGCCACTGCACTTTAGCCTGGGTGACAGAGCAAGACCCTGTTTCAGGAAAAAAAAAAAAAAAAAAAAAGAAGAAATGAAATGATATTTTGGTAATGACATGTTTTATTTAATGAACTACATTGATTAAAGTAGATAACAGGTCAACAAGTACACTTTTGGATATCAGGTAGAATATAATAACAAAATATGAGTATGCAATGTATGAGTTGGTTACAGGTAGTGACCTAGGCAGCTAATATGTATTCTTTTTACATACAGTAGCATCGGGAAGGGGTGGCAAATAGGGAGAGCAGAAAGGGAAGGTTTTGACTGTAGTACAGTCCTTAGGTTAGCCCTGTTTATAGTAAAGAAACAAAATGTTATTTGCTGTCCTATTGAAAGGACCTTCCTTCTTTGATAATTAAAATGTGCATACATTAAGTGTATTCTTAATTGTGGTTATGCGTTTGCTTTATACATTTGGATTCACAATGACCATCACCAATTAAGCAACACTGGAAATCTGTAGTGATCAAGTGCATCAAATATACCTTTTTCTCTGAAGCTGTGCAGGGGAAAACAGCTCTGCTCTCCCTGAAACTGATAGCACTTTGAAAGGTAATGAGCTACAGAAGAAGCATATAGTGAATACAGGTTTTATTTAGTGAGCATGGGCTGGCTTGCTGTTATAGTATAAAAAATATACTGTTGTAAATTCTACATTGTAAAAGAACAATTGATTTCTGATGAGTAAAAAGAATGGTCTCAGACTGTTATAGCAAAAACTCAATATTCAACAATCGCTGATTTGTACACTACTATCCTTCTTTCCTAGAAACACCAAAATCTACTTTCTATTACTTATATTTTGTCATTTTCCTGCCTCAATGAACTTTATGTAGATCTTAACTTTAGACTAAAGATTTTGTAGGAAATATATATGTTCTTTTTCTAAAGTTGGAGTCATTTATCTGGACAGATGGTCATGCCAGTTTAACACATTGTGCATAAATGCTATGTAGCATGGCCAGAGTATAGAATGTTCTCTTTTGTGAAATAGTTTTATTTTAAAAAGTTACTATATTATCAAAAAAACCATACTTTGCCCATGTGTGCTACTAATTTTTCAAGAACTATATTGAACACAAAGATCAGTGTGATCATGATTTATTTTTCTTTGATTCAAAGGCTTTCATCATTATGTATAGCTGAATTGAAGTTCCACTTAATGTTTTATCTCAGTTATTTTTCATACACTTTTGCAAGTAGGAAATAATATTTATTGAATCTGTGTTTATGCTAGGATCTGACATATGCTAAATCATTTTGACCTTGTCTCTGTCATTAAATTGTTATGATTAATATTTCAGGTTTACAGTTGAGGAAACATACTCAGAGGCATTAGGTAATGTGCATAAAGATGGTAAGTGTGAAGGCTGTTGCAGGAATCATACTTAAGGCAGTGTTTCCTCGGTGGTGTTCTGCTCAGAACCTTTTCTTTTTCTTTCTTTCTTTCTTTTTTTTTTTTTTTTTTGAGACTGAGTCTCGCTCTGTCACCCAGGAATGCAGTGGCACAATCTTGGCCCACTGTAACCTCCATCTCCTAGGTTCAAGTGATTCTCCTGCCTCAGCCTTCCGAGTAGCTGGGACTGCAGGCAAGCGCCACCACACCCGGCTAATTTTTTGTATTTTTCAGTAGAGATGGGGTTTCGCCACGTTGGCCAGGCTGGTCTCGAACTTCTGACCTCAAGTGATCCGCCCACCTCAGCCTCCCAAAGTGCTGGGATTACAGGCATGAGCCACTGTGCCCGGCCTGCTCAGAACCTTTGATGGTATCCCATTATGCATCGAATACACTGCAAAAATCTAGCAGACATCACAAATGAATTTCAATCTGCATTTCCTTTACTTTCCATCCACTAAATTTTGTGCATTAGCTGCAGATAACTTAGAATTCGTTGGAAATGTCCTGAGCTTTCCTTTGTGCCTGCTCCATTATTTTCCCCCTATGAAACGCTCCTTTTCATAATCTCTGCCAATGAATATCCTAGTCTTTCTTCATGACGCAGATCAACTGCCAGCTTTCCATATGTGTCCCTCAATTCCTTCAGGTGGAATGAATTATCCCCTCTTCTAAGATTGCAAAATTATATTCTTTTACTAAAAAATATCTTCTGTTCTAATGTGCATTTGTCTGTTTCCTTGGTGTTGATTTCCACTGTTGCTTAATTGGTGATAGCCATTATGAACCGAAAAGTAAAAAGCAAACATATAATCACAATAAAAAGTACACTTAAGGTGTGCACATTTTAATTATCAAAGAAGAAATTTCCATCGGTAAAGGAATACACCTTTCGGCAGGACAGCAAATAAATTTTGTTTCTTTAACAGGACTAGCCTAAGGACTCTGCTAAAATCAAAGCCTTTCCTTTCTGCTCTCCCTATTTGAACTCCTTCAGGTATGCCCCTGTATGTAAAAAGAAGACATAGCAGCTGCCTAAAGTATAGATATTTTTTGTAAAATGGTGGCATTTTATATATCTGTATCTTTTACTTCACGCATAATTATAGATAATTATAACATGTACTTTGATTCACCGATCCTAATATCTTTTATACTGAGTAGGCACTCAATAGTTTTGAGTTGGCTTTCTAGTTGTTAGAATATTTTATAAATTAGCCTTTTGTGTATTCAGAAATGTTGGAAATGACAAAAGACTGGTTGATTTTGGAATACCATGGTGATATACAATGTGTACATTCTATTCTAAAGATATTACTTCAGTATTCAGCATGCAAACATTTGATAATTTTCTATTATATTGTTATTACAAATTTAATCTTGTTATTAATTCCTGGAAGAGAGCTTCTAATTCCATATTGATTATAAATATTAAACATGAAAATTACAGTGAAAGGAATTCCAAGTTATACACGATACATCTTTAGCTCTTTATACTGTTCTTGTAAAACAAGATATATTATTTATATTTACCATCCAAGATATGCAGTTGACCATTTTTAATCTAATGTTCAGTGATTTAATCATAGTGGCAATTTCTGGTTATAGAAATAATTTTTGTTAGCATTAGTGGATTGATTTAATATTTCAAGGACTTATTAGGACAGATCTAAATGCTAGATCATGGAACCTTAAGGATGATCTAGTTAAGGGCTTCTTTTTTTTTTTTTGAGATGGAGTCTCGCTCTGTCGCCCACGCTGGAGTGCAGTGGCACGATCTCGGCTCACTGCAAGCTCCGCCTCCCATGTTCACGCCATTCTCCTGCCTCAGCCTCCCGAGTAGCTGGGACTGCAGGTGCCAGCCACCACGGTTTCTTAGCACTAGGATTCTAGATTTAGAGATGCTGATGAACCCTCTCAATTTACATGCAAAATGTTTGTATTTGTTGTTCCTTCCTGCACCTGTAGAGCTTTTTGTATATTCTTCTCATATAGTTTCATAATCACCTAAGGTGTCAATAACCACTGAAGTCATCTCTCTAAATTTACAAATGAGTCCCAGAGAGATAAAAAGACACATATATGTCATTGCCTCACTGTAACCAGAACCCAGGTATTCTAATTCCATGCACAGTGACCTTCCTGAACATGATGTTAACTGGTGACATACTGTGAATTCGTAACACATCCATATATTCTTCCTAAACCTTAAAGAGAAACAGAGGAAGATGATACATTTAATGATAACAGTAAAAATGAAGCTTACTGCTAATTTTGTTTGTCCTTCAATTCCTAAATTAATTCTGGGAGCAGAATGTAACACTAAACATATAGTCACAACATGACCTATACTCAGCATTCTTTATTTCTGTTTATTTCTTTCATCTTAAAATATTTTTTTGAAGTGAGTAGAAGCTCTACATTTTGTGAGAAGTCTCCGAAATACTGAGGGAAATGAGTCTGTCCCAAACACCCTTGATAAAGTAAGCAAGCATCTGAATTATTTTTCTGTTTAGGGAAAAGATAAATTATTATAGTTTTGACTTAAAAAATTCAGCATTTATTTTATTGATATACTTTCTGACACTGCATTTTTTAACAATACAACAAGCAAAAAATCCCACACATACAACAAAACCAAAACAAGGAAATAAGTAAACCAAAAGTGATATGGCAAATATTAACAATTTATTTTCTCAGAAACTTGCTTATTTTTCTGGATAAAAGGAGAAACCTTTGGTGTCAATGATTGATACACAGTAATGTACAAAATACACAATATATTTTATCAATTAAAATACTAAGCCAACACCTGCTACTTCATCCTATCAGTATTACAGTAAACTAGAATTAGCTTTAGTTTGGAAATCCAATTTCCTCTAAAGGCCTATTTATAGTCCTTTTGGTAATTTTTGTCTCACACAAATTTATTAGTATAAACATACATTTTAAGAAGTAGTACATTTTAAAATCATATTCAAAAGTGATCTTTTCTGCATACAGATACTAGCTGAGTTACTGATCAATTGATTAATTTTCATTTGTATCCTTTCCAAACCAGGAATTAAGGTAGCTCAGTGCCTAAGTTGTTTCTCTAGGAAGGGGTTATAGTTTCTTTTGTACCTGGCAATAAATTGTAAATTTTCTGACTAGAGCCAAGTACCTATCTATGTCCCCAAAACATATATATAGTTTATCTTTACCTGTCTACTTTTCTTCCCTTTTTCACTCCCTTCCTCTCTCTCTCTATCTGTGCCAAGTTAACTAGGTTACTCAAAGACTGAAATATTTGTGTAGCAAAATACTGTAGCCTAAATTGTTTTTAGAAGTATGTATACATTCCCTCAAGTCCATCCCTAAGACTTAGATTGTCTCAACTGTGTCAAGATCTCTAAAAAGCCTGAGATTTTACCCTAATTGCAAGCTACCAAGTTAGCCTGCCACAGTTTCATAGATGTTGACAGGAAATACAAGACTCTTGGAACAGAGACAAAAGACTTTATTGTTCACAGCAGAGCAGACACCATAAACTTCATGTTTGCATTGGTTCCCCTTGACACCCATGCCCCATAGGGACAACATGAAGGAGGGCCAGGAGGATGCTGTGCATTGCAAGTGGGTTTGTGTCACAGCTGAGGAAACTCCAGGTTAGGAAACCCCATTCTTTTAAAATGGATGCTAGCTAACTTACATAACCTTTGCCACAAAAGAAAACATATCTTTATTATTTTGGATAGCTACCAAGTGTTCCGTGTTCCTCAGAGAGAGACCTTATCTCTAACTAATTGTTGTTTCCTATACAAATGTCTTTGAAAAGATAGTCCAGAACAAAAGGGTGGCAAGATGTGCAGCAATGAGAGGGAACTTTGTAGAGTTGTCACCCGTCAAATAATGTTAAACTTGATCCTTACTTACTGTGGTAAAGTATGTGGTAAACTTGATCCTTACTTACTGTGGTAAAAAGTGGTAAAATTGATCCTTTATCCTTTTAATGATAAAGAGTGCATAAAGAGTTACTAAGAGTATATGTAGAGGAAATAATTTTTGTCCTCTGCTATATGATTCCATGCTATTTTCATCTTACGCAAAAAATCGATACACAGAAAATAATCTAAAGTTGCTATGATACAACTGACAAAGATGAAATAGATGAAATAGTAAGGCCCACAGAGGAACAAGAACTCTCAGATACTGCTGGTGTTAGTATAGTTTGGCATAATTTTTAACAGGTGAATTTGTTTTATGTATCAAAAGTCTTAAAATGTGTGTGACACATACTCTAGATACTTTCCCAAAGACATCAGTGCAGAAATGGACAAAGACAGAAATAGTTATTAGCTGTGTTTTTCTAAAAATAAGGAAATAGAAACTACCTACTTCATGAATACAAAAGAAATTATTTAAGAAAATTATAGTTTACTCATGCAACGGGCAACCATATATAAAATGAAACCTACGTTATGGAAGAATTCCTTATACCATTGTAAAATAGTCACAGTATAGGGCTGGAGGCTACAAAACAGTGTACACCATAAAACAATGTTTTTAAAAAGGAAGTACTTAACTATGTGCATGTGAGTATATAAATATAGAATTACTGAACAACTATATATTAAAATGTTTATGTTCATGGTGAGATTACTATTTATCTTTTAATAAATTTACTTAAATGTTTCTACTTTTCTGTTTTTAATATTATTTTCTAATAATTGTGCATGTGCTACTTTATGATTAGAATATATGTGTTTTTTAACTTTTAATTCAGATTCTTTGATGTTAAGTAGAACATTATTCTATGACATAAAGTATATAAAACTGTTCATTTATCCTGGATTTTGAAGTGACAAGTTATAATAAGGACAAAAGAAGCAGACACTGCCTTTAGGTCCACTGAAACATCCACCTTTGCCATCAAACTGGTGTTAAAAAACTAAGTTAAGAGTAAACATAGAAATGAAAATATATTAAGTATTTCACAAATAAAATTCTCTTTATCAGGAGCATAATTGATACACCTCTGATCAAAACTATTGATTGACATATCAAAATGTCTGGTATTTCAGACGCCAATACTAAGAAAAAGTTTAGTAACAATTATATATAGTTTTGATTTTCATATTGAAATAAAGAATATTTATAACTTTATGAGAGTGTTTTGGGAAAGTGATTGTAAATGGCTGATTGGAACCTTCTACATCAGCTCATTTAGAATCAAATCACAAAAATTATAAAATCAAACAGTTTATATTTTAAACTAAAAAATATACAAATTTTATGTTATCAACAAGTCATGTTTACTTTTGCAAAATTAACTAAAAATTAAAATAGTGTTCACCATTTGCAAAATGAGCTATTTTAAAATTTCTCATACACTACAAATTTTACATATTAATTAAAAAATATAATTTAAATAGAAATATTAATTTAAATGCTTTTTTAACCTTAGATCACACTTGTCAAATGCCATACAAAAATGACTAAATTATTTAAATTCCTTATATATTCAAAAATTGTATATGACTCAACAGGAAAGACCTTAGAATGCATACAAGACTGAAAGAAGTCAAGTACTCTTTTTTTAAGGTTATTTATTTATTTATCTGAGATGGAGTCTCACTCTGTCGCCCAGGATGGAGCACAGTGGCGTGATCTCGGCTCACTGCAACCTCCACCTCCTGGGTTCAAGCAATTTTTGTGCCTCAGCCTCCTGAGTAGCTGGGACTACAAGTGTGTGCCACCATGCCTGGCTAATTTTTATATTTTTAGTAGAGAGGGGTTTTTGCCATGTTGGCCAGGCTGGTCTTGAACTCCTGACCTCAGGTGATCCACCTGCCTCAGCCTCCCAAACTGCTGGTATTGCAGATGTGAGCCACTGCGCCCCAGGCATGTATGTTTGGATCATAGTAATCAAATATGAATATTTTTAAACAAAATCACGTTTCAACACAAAAACTTCTAAACTACTAAATCTCTTTAACTCTTATAAAATTCATTGTTTCATATATAGGCCAGGTGTCTTTGCCCTCCAGATGTGCACTCCACCTTTCTTTCTATACTTTCTGCCCCAGAACGTGTCCTCTGTAGACAACATCCCAACTGCACAATTCAATGATGTTAGTGATGTTGTTAGGACATCGTGGGAGTATTTACTCCATGAAAATCCTAACAGGCGCCAAATCAGTTTTTTTCTTCTTCCTCCCCTAAGAGCCAGTGGTTTAAACATCTACCAGCATGAGGCCCTAATTCACACATATAGTAAATATCTATTAATTTCATAAATTATCTAATAGTTTACATTGAGAATAACCATTTAAAATATGTGTGTGTGTGTGTGTGTGTGTGTGTGTGTATGTGTGTAAAATTACAAGGGAGTCATGGGTATTGCCTGCTAATGAGAAACCCCACCACCTTCTTATGGGTAGAGGGAAAAAGGTTTGGGTAGAGGGAAAAAGTTTAGGATGAAGTACAATGAAATGGGAGAATTCCCTAACAAATAAAACAACTGGCTATTATTTGGCAAAGTATATTCACCTGAGTGAACTATAGGGACAACTGAGATACTGTTAAATGAATGGGACTACCCTTAATTTTTAACACAGAAACTATAATATGGTCTTCATATTGGCCTTATTTCTTCATCAACGTTTACTAAATCAAATCTAGTTTTTTTCTCCTCTCAGAAATAGTTAGAAACAGCAGTATGATGGTATCAACCACTTATAGGACTATGTACAATTATTAAGCTGTTGGAAAGAACAGGAAAATGAATTTTAATCAGAACTCATACTGTTAATGCCTACAAGCCAAAACATGTATATCTAGAACAAAAGGGTAGATGATCCCTTGTTTTACCATAATAACACTGAAGCATTTAAAAATATTAATATTCCTGAACATATGACATACAGTAATCTCAAGGTCTCTTGAAGTTATAATAATGTGCTTATCAAGGAAAGAAATAACTCCAGTTAAATACTTTCCTCCTAGTAGAAAATGCTGTAGTGAAGACATACCACAAACAGATGGTGCAGAGGATGTGAGATGGCTTGATGATGGGAGGATAATATCACTAAACCAGAATAAATTTGTACTTGAGCCTGAGGATGGAACTGCTCAGAGAAATAGATAAGAAGACAACAGTTTGGAGTTGGGATTACAGAGATAACTGCTTAATATCCAAATTATGTTTCTCAAAACATCAGAAGAGGTTGAGGATGCAACTGAGTTGTAAAATATATCAAAGAATGGGAGTGAAATTTTTATTGCAATGATAATGCAAGGGCAGCTGAAGGAACTTTGTAGAGCCATGCGAGCCTGCAAAGTTTAAATAAATGCACATCTATGAATTCCACCAAGCACTCCACAGTCTCTGCAAGCCAGGATTGCTTAGCATATGGCATGTGGGCATGCAGACCCTTTTATATGTGTAGATCTATATGCAAAAATGAGGAGGAATGTGGAATTAAAATGTGATAATTGTCCTTTTGTGCTTGTTCTTTTGGGAGTGCCTGTGTGTGTTGAGGAGTGATGTGGGAGAGAAAGGAAGTGAGGAGAAGGCAGGAGGTCTGGTTTATCCTACTCATCTATTTGTTGACTCCAATAATGTAGAATGAGATATTTTTGTGTGTTGATCTTTCCCTTACTGAAGTATGAGGCTAATGAAAAGCAAATAATGGTCAGTTGTGCACATGCTTGTACAACACAACACCAGCAGAGTTTTAGATGGGTTAAGTGTGGGAGATGTACATTTTTGCATAATTTGGCATACAATTGAATTTTCTGAACTAAACATGTAGCAAGGGGGGATTTGAAATTTATTTCAGGAAGAATCAGCAATTGAACATAACAAAATATTTTTTATTTAAATTATTTTTGAACTCAAATCATTGAGCAATGTCATTTAATTTTAAAACATGAGGCTATTATGACCCCACTTATATTATTTATTCACCTGCTGACAGCTCTATCTTAAATAATTATGATTCTATTCATCAAAATGCCTGATTTTTTAAAAAGTAAACCCCTTGATGGACATCAATCTGTTTCATAACTCTTCAGTGCATTTTTGATGATAAAGGATGCTGTTAAGTTGGTAATGAAAAAATTAGAGGAAAAAAATTCAAAAGGCAGGGTCTGAGAAAATGAATCATGAAAACAATCTGTTTTTTTAAAAATACAAGATAATTTAAAAAGCCTAAAGAATGGTGAGCAGTGCTTTGCAAAAGTGTTAATTGAGTACAGTAAATATTATGTGTAAGGCACAGAGCAGTTGATGGTGGGAGTATCAGGAACATTTTTTAAATAATATTTTTATTGAAGTACAGCTTACATATAAAAAGTGCTCAAATAATAATTATACAGCTTGGTGAATTTTTGAAAATTGAAGAAACCTACATAACTAGCACTTGGATCAAGAAATAAAATATTTCTAAACCTCTAAAGTTCCACCTTATGCACTACTCTGTCACTACATTCACTCTCAGGGTAGCCTGTATCCTGAGTTATGACAATGTAGGTTAGTTTTGCCTGAAATATGTTCTTTTTTAAAAAATAGTTTTGCCTGAAATATATTCTGTTTTTAAAAAATCTCTCTTTACATTCCATCTTTCTCCTCCCTTTTGTGCTCGTCTTCATCACTGTAGCACTTACCATTTGCCAAGAACCATGTCTACATTATTATTTACTCCTTAAAACAACTCTAAAAGGTAGATATTATTTTTATTGTTTACCTTTTACAGATTGGAGAAATGAGTATTAAATTATTTAAATAACATATTCAGTAGTAAAATCAGTAAAATCAGTAAAAGATAGATGAGGGGTTTAAACCCAGGCTTGTCAGACAACATCATGAAAGCCTTAAGACATTACACTAAAAGATATCCTCCCTGATTTTTATTGATTTCCACGAGTATTTTTGCTTCTACAAAGCTTTAATTTCCTTGGACAGATATTTCTCAACTAATTTTATAAGCAAGATACAAAAGTTAAAATATTGATCGTCACAGCATCTGCCCTCAAAGAAAACCCCATACATATATAAATTTTATTACAGAGTGTATATTTGGGGATATAAGGCAACATATTGTTGGAGCAAGAATCACATGTGTTTTCTGTTGAGAATCATTGCTGTGATGAGTCATACTTTTTGCTGAGACTGTGTATATGTATACTGAGACAAAAAAGAAAGGTTGAGAACAACTGGCCTATCAGAAGAGAATAACACATTACAGTCACAGATATAAGGAGCCAACTCTGTGTCTTATGATTAAAACAACAAGTGAGTACTGAAGAATATCGAACTAAAAACTTCTGAGTTTTGACTGGTAGAAAGAGTGACACTTTTCCTCTAGATATCTGAATTTTATCTAAGCCTTATTTTAAATACAACCTATATAATATGAAATTTAATATTAAAAGAATAAATAAAAAGAAACCAGAAAAATATTTTCGGGGGAAAGGGGTATTTTTTAAAAAACAGTATGTGTCAACTTTGATTATACAGAAAACAGAAATAAAGTTGAAGGCAAAGCCACTGAGTTAATACTTGAATAAAAATACAATATCTTATATCTTTCCCAGACTAAATTATGAAGACTTTTAAAAGTCTGGTGCTTTGTCAGAGATATAGGAGGAAGAATTACTCTAAAATAAAAATGTCTCAATATTATGAAATCATTATCAATTATAGGTGAGATTTTTTAAATTTAATTTGACAGGCTTATGTATGGAGTATAAGTTTTCATGTATCTGTGAGTGTGTGCACATGCAAGAGACTGTTAGAACTAGGACTTAAAAATACCTACTTTAATTGAGTTTAATATTTCTATTAAAAATATACAAGAAAAAAACAAACAACCCCATCAAAAAGTGGGCAAAGGATATGAACAGACACTTCTCAAAAGAAGACATTTATGCAGCCAAAAGACACATGAAAAAATGCTCATCATCACTGGCCATCAGAGAAATGCAAATCAAAACCATGATGAGATACCATCTCACACCAGTTAGAATGGCAATCATTAAAAAGTCAGGAAACAACAGGTGCTGGAGAGGATGTGGAGAAATAGGAACACTTTTACACTGTTGGTGGGACCGTAAACTAGTTCAACCATTGTGGAAGTCAGTGTGGCGATTCCTCAGGGATCTAGAACTAGAAATACCATTTGACCCAGCCATCCAATTACTGGGTATATACCCAAAGGACTATAAATCATGCTGCTATAAAGACACATGCACACGTATGTTTATTGCAGCACTATTCACAATAGCAAAGTCTTGGAAACAATCCAAATGTCCAACAATGATAGACTGGATTAAGAAAATGTGGCACATATACACCATGGAATACTAGGCAGCCATAAAAAATGATGAGTTCATGTTCTTTGTAGGGACATGGATGAAATTGGAAATCATCCTTCTCAGTAAACTATTGCAAGGACAAAAAACCAAACACCACATGTTCTGACTCATAGATGGGAATTGAACAATGAGAACACATGGACATAGGAAGCGGAACATCACACTCTGGGGACTGTTGTGGGGTGGGGGGAGGGGGGAGGGATAGCATTAGGAGATATACCTAATGCTAAATGATGAGTTACTGGGTGCAGCACACCAGCATGGCACATGTACACATATGTAACTAACCTGCACATTGTGCACATGTACCCTAAAACTTAAAGTATAATAATAATAAAAAATAAATAAAATTAAAAAAAATACAGCCTTTTCATTTCCCTGTTTCACCAAAGAAAGCATGTTATTTTAGCAAATAGGATGTAAGATTTACTAAAGAGATTATCTGGCAAAACCAGAGTTGGGGCATTTCCAAGCTCCCACATGGAATTTAATAAATCCCCAAGAGAGGTGACCTTTTCATTTGGAGTAAGCTATTTGGTTAATATGAGAAGTCAGTGGGTGAAGAATTACATCAAAAACACATGAAGCTTCATAGGTAACAATCTACTAATCCATTATGAAATGCCAGTGAATTAGTTTGTACCTTAGGTTCATTATTGTAAAAAAAAAAAAAAACCAACTATTTTTATTTGCTTCAAAAAGGGTATGCTTTAGAGCAGAAATTGTAACAGTTCATATAAAAGCATAGTAATGTTTTTATAAATATGACTGCTTTTAGGTATAATATTTGCAATGTTATGTTTGCATGATATTTGCAATGTGCTGAGACTAGTGCTAAGTACTTTGCATACATTTATACTCATCTTTTTAGCTAACAATGTAGTGAGATATTATAATCCCAATTTTCAAGATGAGAAAACCAAGCAAGGCACATAGAAATTTACTTGTGTTATGTTTTACCAATACTAAATGACAGATGTAGAATTCAAAATTGAGTCTCTTGATTCAAAATTAAATCTCTTTTCTTCTGGACAGGCGCAGTGGCTCATGCCTGTAATCTCAGCACTTTGGGAGGCTGAGGCAGGAGGATCACCTGAAGTCAGGAGTTCAAGACCAGCCTGGCCAACATGGTGAAATGCCATCTCTACTAAAAATACAAAAATTAGCTGGGCATGGTGGCAGGCACCTGTAATCCCAGCTACTCTGGAGGCTGCAGCAGGAGAATCGCTTGAACCCGGGAGGCAGACGTTGCAGTGAGCTGAGGTGGTGCCACTGAACTCCAGCCTGGGCAACAGAGTGAGACGCCATCTGAAAAAAAAAAAATTCTCTTTCTTCTAGGTCACAGTGATTCATATTTTGACCAAAAATCAAGTATAGACAATAAGAGCAATTTTAGTATACTCAAGATGAGAAAAAGAATTCTAGATTGAGTAAAATATTCAAGGGTTATTTAGTCAATATACAAAATGTGTACATTCTGGTGCATATATTTAATGCTGCCAAAATATAATCTCAATCTAAGCTTTCGATATATTCAACTCTTCATGTTATGTTTTTTGGCTAAATGAAGGCAGTCACTCACACAGGATTTTATATTTATCTTATGAATTACCTTTCTTCTTTTGGGCTTTAGGTGTATGCTTATAAATTTTTATTTATGTGTTTATATGAACATACTCATTGATATTAATATAACAAAAATGCTATCCATCTGCTAGAATTATATTAAAAGAAAGTACATTATGTGAGAAAGAGAACAATGAAATGTAAGTTTGGACTTAAGTTTTATTAGAAAAGGACATTTCTTCAAAGACAGTTCAAACTGTATCTCAGGATAAAGGACACAGCTGAAAGCTCATATATCTATGCTGTAACAGGACAGCCCGCTTAAAGCAATTTGATGCTCATTCAGTACATTCAAATGAGTTTTTAAGATTATGAAGCCTGCCTTGTCTTGCCAAGGATAAATGAATGGCGGGCTACTCAAGCAACTGTGTTGTTTCATATAAGGATTATCATCCCTTCTCCTAAATTATTAGCTTATAAAATTGAAGACAGTGTTTTGGCAGAAATTAAGTGAGGTTCCAGGTTTTTTTTTCCCTGCAGCCTGACTGATAATACAATTAAAACCACCTTTAACACTCAGAACACCTCATTAAAAATAAACATCATAATTAAGTAAATATCTAGATTTTAAAAGATCTATGCTTTTCTGGTTTCAGTATTAAGTAGAAAAAATTTATAAAGGGATTCTGATGTTCCTCAATGATATTTTCAAATATTAATGACTCTGCTGTCCATAATTCTTCAGAAGATATTGTTAGTCTCCTCATACCCTATAAACATTTTATATTTGTGCTTTATACCAAGATAAGAAAAATACTTTTCTCTTATATGCCCTCTAATTGCTAGCAATCACTGACCTTTTTACTACCTCCATAGTTTCTCCATTTACAGAATGTCATGTAGTTGGAATCTTACAGTATTTAGCCTTTTCAGATTGGCTTCTTTCACTTGGTAATATTCATTTAACTTTTCTCCATGTCTTTTCATGGTTTCATAACTCATTTATTTTTAGTGCTGAATAATATTCCATTGCCTGGATGTACTACTGTTATTTATCCTTCCATCTACTGAAGGACATCTTGTTTGCTTCTAAGTTTTGGCAATTATGAATAAAGTTGCTGTAAACATCCGTGTGGATGTTTTTGTGTGAATACAAATTTTCAATTCCTTTGGGTAAATATGAAGGAGCATGATTGCTGGATCATATGGTGAGAATATGTTTAGTTTTCTAAGAAACTGCCAAACTGTTTTCCAAGGTGGCTGTACCATTTTATATCCTTACCAGCAATGAGAGTTTGCGTTACTCCATATTATCACCATTTTTTTTTTTTTGCCATTCCAAAAGTTATGTGGGTGTGTCTGTTTGGTTTTTAGAAATCTCCATTTCTTCTTCAAATATTTCCACATCCAAAATCTATTTTTTGGAATGACAAAATATATAGTAAATCAAAATCAAAGGTGGCGAGGGACAAAAGACTATACACTGGGGACAGTGTACACTGCTCAGATGATGGGTGCACCAAAATTCCAGAAATCACCGCTAAAGAACTTATTCATGTAACCAAACACCACCTGTTCCCCCAAAACTATTGAAATAAAAAAATAAAAAATTTACAAGAAAAAAATATATTTAATGGTTAAGGCTTTTACTTCTACTTCTTGATACCCTACCTGGGGATTCTACAAATCCTAAGAATATATGGTAGTTCTCAGATATTATTAATACAAATTGTTATCATTAAAAAAAAATCTCAATTTCTTCTTCAAATATTTCCACATCCAAAGTCTATTTTTTTGGAATGATGCAATATACAGTACATCAAAATCAAAGCTGTAAGAAAATGATTATAATTTTTAATCACATATTTAAGTCTAAGATAAGGGCTCTGGTGTCAAGTGGTCTCAAGCTTTTAGAGTACAGCTAACCATGCAGTTAACTATAGGCAGTCAATCACAGGAGCCATAAGAGCTCTCAATAGCCAAAGCTGGAACAATTTTAGCAAATAAATAAATGAAGTATAAAATAAATATTCAAGAGGCCATACTATATAAATAAATGGATAGATTAATAAAGACACACCTAGAAAAATCTCCCTTATAGAATAATTCCTAATAATTGATGTGCATGTTCTGCCCTCAAGAAACTAAAGCATAAATCCCTACTCCTAAAGTGATAGATATGCAAAGCTACTTCCTTTCAAAGGGTACAGTATGAAAAGAGAGGGAGATGTTTACAGCATACAGTGGAGAAACCCAAGAAACACTACCTTATTCAGGTGACCAAAGTTAACATCAATGACAATAAGTCATGTCCATAGTCTGCACCCTTAATGGGATGGCATTTTCCTCTGTTGTCTTCTTCCAAAAACATAAAATCCCAGTGTTAATATGGGAAAAACATCAGACAACTCTCTATTGAGAGACATCTATAAGATATGTGACCAATATGCCTCAATGCTGTCATGTATATAAAAAGTAAGGAAAATCTAAGAAAAGGTCATGGCCAAGAGAAGCACAAGGGAACATAATTAATATTATATCATGGATGGGATCCTTGAACAGGAACAGGCCACTGGATAAAAACTAAGGAAATATGAATAAAATATGGACTTCAGTTAATAAAGTATCAATATTGGTTTATTAGTGCAATGTATTTATCATTCTAGCGTAAAATGTTAATAATATGGAAACTGGGTGCAGAGTATGTGGGAAGGCTCTATACTATCTTTGTAATTTCCCTGTAAATCTAAGACTGTTCAAGAATTTTTAAAGGGGTTAGTTAAAACATTAAATTGCCTAGACACTCACATTCAAAGGTAAAAATTATTATACTGGATAAAAACTTACCAGCAATGTATTGTTTATATGAACCCATTTACATAATAGAACAAATTTAAGTTGAAAGTAAAAGGTGAGAAAAGGTACAGCAAACACTATCAACCAGAAATCTTGGTTGCATATATAAATATTAGACAAGAAGGGTTTAAGGATAAGGATACTTTAATATCAGAGAACACAGATTTAAAAAAATTAAAGTTGGGCCAGGCGCGGTGGCTCAAGCCTGTAATCCCAGCACTTTGGGAGGCTGAGGCGGGTGTATCACCAGATCAGGAGATCGAGACCATTCTGGCTAAGATGGTGAAACCCCATCTCTACCAAAAATACAAAAAAATTAGCCGGGCATGGTGGCGGAGCCTGTAGTCCCAGCTACTTGGGAGGCTGAGGCAGGAGAATGGCCTGAACCCGGGAGGTGGAGCTTGCAGCGAGCTGAGATAGAGCCATTGCACTCCAGCCTGGGTGACGAGCGAGACTCCGTCTCAAAAAATAAAATAAAGTAAAATAAAATAAAATAAAATAAAATAAAATAAATAAAAGTTGGTCGGGCGCAGTGGCTCATGCCTGTAATCCCAGCACTTTGGGAGGCCAAGGCAGGTGGATCACAAGGTCAGGATATCAAGACCATCCTGGCTAACATGGTGAAACTCCATCCCTACTAAAAATACAAAAAATTAGCCAGGCATGGTGGCAGGCGCCTGTAGTCTCAGCTACTCAGGAGGCTGAGGCAGGAGAATGGCGTGAACCCGGGAGGCGGAGCTTGCAGTGAATCGAGATCACGCCACTGCAGTCCAGCCTGGGCGACAGAGCGCGACTCCATCTCACAAAAATAAAATAAAGTCAATCAATAAATAAAAGTTAAAAAGGAATATTTTATAATAATAATGGCAATCTTTCAACAGGAAGACAAAAACAATTATAAATTATTTATATCTAAAATGTAAACTGACCAACAAGAATTGGCAAGGATATATATACACTTTTGACAAGAGTGTAATTGGTTTGTCAATATCTACTTAAGCCATATTTTGACAAGAGTGTAATTGGTTTGTCAATATCTACTTAAGCTATATATGTCTACCTAATAACCCTCCACTTTCAAATTTTTTTTTTTTGAGACGGTGTCTCCCTTTGTCGCCCAGGCTGAAGTGCAGTGGGGCTATCTCGGCTCACTGCAACCTTCGCCTCCTGCGTTCAAGCGATTCTTCTGCTTTAGCCTCCCGAGTAGCTGGGACTACAGGCGCGCGCCACCATGCCCGGCTCATTTTTGTATTTTTAGTAGAGACAGGGTTTCACCATATTGGCCAGGCTGGTCTCGAACTCCTGACCTCGTAATACGCCCACCTCGGCCTCCCAAAGTGCTGGGCCAATTTCACTTCTTAGTAAATAAGAGAAATGTATGCATACAGCTATTATGACGTGTGTAAGAGGGGTCGGAAAAGAATCTCTAAACAGGAATAGAAATGAATAAAAGCAGCTGTCTGAGTAGGGGAAAACTCGAGAGAAGCAGCGGAACTCTTGTTTCAGATCACGCGATTCTAACGAGAGTTATGTCAGGGCACCTCAGAGCATTCGGGATTTGGGCCAAGGCGACGAAGAATCTCGTCCGGGTCGACCTCATACGCACAGGCGCAGGCGCAGCGGGAAGTTCTTCCGTGCCAAGTCGTGCTTGTAAAGAAGCGGTACTTCCTCTTACTCCCGGGACAGAACTTCCCCTCAGGAGGGAGAACATCCGCCGAACGAAATGGAGAGCAAAAGACCGCGACTGCTCGAGGAAGCAGACAAGCAGAAAAAGACAGTCAGAGTGGGACTCAATGCACCTTCCATGCTACGAAAGAACCAGCTAGGTTTCCTCAGATTCGCCAACTATTGCCGTATAGCTCGCGAGCTGCGTGTAAGCTGCATGCAGAGGAAAAAGGTCCAGATTCATAGCTGGGATCCCTCCTCTTTGGCAAGCGACCGATTTAACCGCATACTGGCGAATACCAACACTGACCAGCTCTTCACAGTGAACCAAGTCGAAGCTGGAGGCTCCAAGTACGGCATCATCACCATGCGAGGCCTGACGACCCCTGAGCTCCGGGTATACCCGCACAAAACCCTCTACGTCCCTAATCGGAAGGTGAATTCTATGTGCTGGGCCTCACTGAATCACTTGGATTCCCACCTTCTGCTGTGCTTCGTGGGACTTGCAGATACTCCAAGCTGTGCCGTGCTGCTCCCAGCGTCGCTGTTCATAGGTAGCTTCCCAGGAATGCGTCGGCCTGGCATGCTTTGCAGTTTCCAGATCCCTGATGCCTGGTCCTGTGCCTGGTCCCTGAGCATCCACGCGTATCACTCTTTCAGTACAGGCTTGTCTCAGCAGGTCCTGTTGACCAACGTGGTGACGGGACACCAGCAGTCATTTGGGACTAGCAGTGATGTCTTGGCCCAGCAGTTTGCAATCATGACTCCTTTGCTGTTTAATGGCTGTCGCTCTGGGGAGATCTTTGGCATTGATCTGCGCTGTGGAAATCAAGGCAGCGGGTGGAAGGCCATTTGCCTGTCCCATGATTCAGCAGTGACTTCTCTGCAAATCCTCCAAGATGGCCAATTCCTGGTGTCATCAGACATGACTGGAACTATCAAGCTGTGGGACTTGAGGGCCACTAAATGTGTAACACAGTACGAAGGTCATGTGAATAACTCCGCCTACCTACCCGTGCATGTGAACGAAGAAGAAGGAGTCGTGGCGGCCGTGGGCCAGGACTGCTACACGAGAATCTGGAGCCTCCGTCATGGCCACCTGCTCACAACCATACCCTCCCCATACCCCGCCTCGGAGAACGACATTCCCAGTGTGGCCTTCTCTTCTCGCCTCGGGGGCTTCCGAGGAGCACCAGGGCTGCTCATGGCTGTCCGGGAGGACCTTTATTGTTTCTCCTACGGTTAATTCTTCAGGATGCAGCCCGGAGGAACGTGGATTTGACTTAAAGAAGTAAAGAGCATCGTATTACCGTTTCTATGAGCGCATTTTAAGAGATGTTCGGTGTTTGTAGATCCCATCCATCCGGCTGCTAGGGGTAAGGTGCTGTTTTATGTGAAGATAGTTCTGTAAAGTTGTTTCAGTTAAACTGGGCTGAGAGAGCTTGAAAGTCCTTTTCATAAAAGATAACTATTTCCTTTTCTTGTTGAATACCTTAGAATAGTTATCCCCCCCTTTTTTTTTTTTTTTAACAAAAAAACACTTTTCTAAGGACTGAAGATTGGCAAAAACTAAAATAAATTAAAACTGCTTACACCAGAAGCCTTTTAGAGAAGCATGAGACTGTTTGACTAGTCCTACCTGGGTTCCGGAAATACATGCATCATCTGTACTTGAAGAGGCCAGTGGGAGAGGAGAGGAGGGGGAGGTCATTTATCTGAGTCTCTCCAGAAGTTTTTAAGGCTACATTTTGGAATCATTAAACTTGGCCTTCTCAAACTCAATAGCAGATCTCTGAGATTCTCCTTTTATTATTTTCCATAGGCAATGGGAGGAAAGGTGGATCTTTTTAAATAATAGAAGTTTTAAACAGTCCTTAACGTGCTTTTGTTGAGGCATCTTCCAGAATGTAAGGTACAGCAGCTCCGGTTTCTATTATTGTGACTTGAATGTCAGGATTCAAGGGCTCAGTGTCAAAGATAATTGGCTTTGACTTTTTGTAATCTAGGAGCAGCAGTTTGTGAGATGTTTATTCAAAGTGTTAGCCTGTTTTTCTACCAACAATAAGCTAGAAAAGACAAAAAAAACAAAAAACAAAAAAACGTGTAATAAAGTTAGTGGCTACTTCTTAATAGCCAAAGCCTGGAAATGATCTCACTTTACAATATGCTAAAATTGATAAATAATTTGTGCTGTAGTCATACAATTGGATAAAGCATAATATAAAATAAGGCACAATTGCTATATGAAACTGTGGATTAATCTCAACATGTTGATTGTAAATGTAGGTAGAAATGAGTACAAACTGATTCAGTTCTAAAGTTCCAAAGCACTAAAAACTTATCTATGGTGATTACAGTTTGAATAGTAGGTATCTCTGTGGAAGGAAGAAAGGATATTGTTTGTTTTTTTCCCTTTTATTTTTAGGATATTGTTTGGAAAGTAACACGGGGAAACTTTAGAAATGCTGTTTTCTTTTTCTTGATCCTTGATACATACATATTTTGTATGTCTATACACTTCACACTTTATATAATACCTCAAAAATAAAAATATGAAAACAGTACACTGTTGTAGGTTGGTCAGGAAAGGGAATGATTGTGGCTTGGACCTGACTATGAGAAGTAGAAATAATCAGAAAAATCAGAAATGATTGCATTGGAAGATCATTCGAAGGTAGTATTAGTAAGATTTGCTGATGAGAGTAATCTAGAAAGTGAAAGACAGCATAAAGATTGCAGCTTTTTTGTTAACTTTAGGACTGGTGGATGGTTGGTGTCATTTACTAAAATGGGGAGGATTTGAGGTGAAAAAATTTTAGGTGAAGAGAATAATGCTGAGTTTTAGGCAACTATTAAAATGTCCATTCTGTAGATTAGAGGTGATGTCAGGACATAAATGAGGTTAATGTAATATTACATATTGATAGAGGAATAGGTCAATAGAGAAGATACAAAAGAGTGGTTAGGTGCATAGATTTTTGAAATCAGTTAAATTAGTTTTTGATACTTGATGTGTGACAGGGGAAACTGTGTAAGCTGTACTTGTTATTTCTTTGTAAAATGTCTTAGATAATAAAACTAAATCATAAAGTAGATATTGGTTTAAAGGATGTATACATTGTCCCTTTTACATTGTAAGCATTCAATAAGAACTAGCTGCGGATGTAATTTTTTTTAAAAAAGTCCAAAAGCAGCTATGGGCAGTTGACAAAAGAAAATGTAATGACTACGTAACTTGCGAATCTGTTTACCCTCACTTGCAAATAAAATAAGTGCAAATAAAGCAATGATTATGTATTGTTTTCATTCATTATTCTAGTACAATTTTTGTTTATAGCAGCTTTATTTATAAATGCCAAAAACCAGAAACAAACAAGATGTTCCTCAAAAAGTGATGGATAAACAAACTAGTATACATACTTATATGATGGAATATTACTTAGTAATAAAAATAAAATAGCTATTAAGCTGCAAAAAGACATGGAGGAATCATGAGTACTTATGAAGAAGCCAATCTCAAAATGCTATATATATATATGTATAATTCCAACTATATGGCAGTCTGGAAAAGACAAAACCATAGAGATGGTTAAAAATATTAGTGGTTTCCCAGATTTCAGCAGGAAGGGAAAGAGGTCAATAGGTGCAGTGCAGGCATTTTTAGGGTAGTGAAATTATTCTGCATTATACTGTAATGATGGATGGATGACATGCAGTGTCAAAGCTCATAGAACTGTACAACACAAAGAATGAACCCTAATGTAAGTTATAGGCTTCACTTAATTATAATGATCAATATTGGTTCATCAGTTGTAACAAATGTGCTACACTAATGCAAGATGTTAATAATAGGGTAAGTTGCAGAGTAGAGAAGTGGTATATGCTCAGTTTTTATACTGTCTATACTATCTGTTCAATTTCATGTTAACACTTCCCTAAAATAGTCTATTAATTAATTATTTTTAAAAATAAGTTACTATCACAGAAACCAGAACAATGTGGAACAAGTTGTTCTTGGGTTGGATGACATGTACACTTGAAAAATCCATCAATAAGCATCACTAAGACCGACAATGTCCATGAAGAAGATAAACCTTCCCTTCAAGCTGCAAGCAGAATCAAGTTCAGGTCCTGTTAGCTAATGATGATGGTGATATAAGACTTAAAATTAAGGCATTAAGGCCTATTATTATTACTTTTTTTGAGACAGTATCTTGCTCTGTCACCCAGGCTAGAGTGCAGTGGCATGATTTCGGCTCACTGCAACCTCTGCCTCCTGGTTCAAGCGATTCTCCTGCCTCAACCTCCTGAGTAGCTGGGATTACAGGCAGGCACCACCACGCCTCGCTAATTTTTAATTTTTATTAGAGATGGGGTTTCACCATGTTGGCCAGGTTGGTCTCAAACTCTTGACCTCAGGTGATCCACCCGCCTCGACCTCCCGAAGTGCTGGCATTACAGGTGTGAGCCACCGCACCCTGCCTAATATTTGTATTTTTTAGTAGAGAAGGAGTTTCACCATGTTGGCCATGCTAGTCTTGAACTCCTGACCTCAAATGATCTACCTGCGTAGGCCTCCCAAAATGCTGGGATTACAGGCGTGAGCCATTAAGGCCTATTATTATGCAATGCCTTGAAATCTGGTGAAGTCAAGAGGAACTCTGGTGGCCTAATGAATATGTTTCCTTCCCACTCTGTTCCGACAGGTAAGTGTCCTAGCCTATTAACCCTTTTTATTAAGGGGACTAGGCGCAGTGCCTGCTTATTTCTGACAAGCAGGTTTACGTTCCTGCGGGCCCATGGAATTATCCAAACAAGCCAATCCCATTCTCCCACAGCAAACGAGTAACCTTAACATCTTACAGCTACAAAGTCTATCTCCCTGATTGTTCGCTTTGTTCTCAAATGCAAACCTGTATGACCCTGTGCAATGTGCAGTGTCCTCCTCCCTCAGGCTGTGAGTCTATGTGGCTAATAAACTGCTACCAATCTCATCTGTCCAGGGGCCAGCCATCTCCATAACCCTAGAGTTAGAATTCCTCCCTTACCAATGGGATGACTAAGAAGAAATTAAAACAGAAGGGTCTTATCTATGAGTAAAACAATGGTTCCACAAACTGGAACCCCTAATAGGCTTAGGCTACTCAAAATTTCTTACAGGAATTGGAGAGAGGTCACAGAAATTTGCTGATGCACACCACGGACAACTGCCAGCTGGTAGAGTTGAAATTGACTTTGTCACAGGTAGTAGTGGCTACATAACTCTGGTAAAGTCCTTGGACAGGTGAGGACATGCAACTTAGCTCCAAAAAGTGTTCAATATATCCAACACTCATAGGAATCTCCCCAGTATGCATATTTGGATGAATGAGATTTAGTTGTAAAGGCTACTTAAAGAGTGTCTCTCTGGTGTGTGTCAGGTTTTGTTTCATTCCTTGCATTCCTGAAGTCTTTCTCCAGTGTGAACTTTCTGGTTCCAAATAAAGTTAAGTCTTTGGCTGAAGGCTTTCCCTAAATTCATTTTATTTATAATGCCTATCTGGATTGTGAATTTTCTGCTGCTGAATCAGAGCAGACATTTGGTTTAAGCTTTTCCCACATAAGGCTTTTCTCTGTAGCAAACTTTTTGGTGTCAGATGAGGTTGGACTTTTTACTAAATCATTTCCAACATCTGCTTTACTCATAAGACCTTGCTGCATTCTCTGGTGTTGAAAGAGACTTAGAGATATGGTTAGAGAATTCCCCACATTCACTTCATTAATTAAGCCTTTCTTCATTATGGATACCTTGATGTTTAATGAGGCTGGAGATGTGAAAAAATGTCCAAATTTGCTGCATTCTAAATGCCCTTTTGAATTCTTCAGTGTGAACTCTCCAGTGCTTAGTAGGTGTGTGGTTGCAGATAACTGATATCTCCCATTTGCTACACTCGAAAGGCCTTTCTCTAATATGAACTGTTCTATGTTGAGTGGAGTTGAAGCACTGGCTAAGGAAATTCCCACAGTTGTTTGGCGTATAAGGGGTTTCAGTGTGAACTCTTGCCTGTATGATAAAGTTGTATTTATGATTAAGTAATTTTCTGCATTTGCTGTTTTCATAAGGATTTTATTCAGTATATATTCTCTGGTGCTTAACAAGTATTTATTGTGATTAAAGGCTTTCTGATGCTCAAGACTTCTGTAGTGCCTTTGTCCAATGTGAAAGGCCTCCTCCCACCTGGTGCTCCTGTGTTGCACCCCTTCCCCACTGTGAGTGACCTGTTGCTTGAGAAGACCTGAGCTGGTCAGAAAATCCTTCTTACCCTTCCTATATCTGAAGGGCTTTTATGACAGGTGAACTCTGCCATTCTTCAAAACTCAGTCCCTGCCATCTTTTCTTATTAAGGGCTTCTCCCCACTATTCAGCTTCCGGTGCTGGTAAAGGCTTGCTCTGAACCAGAAGCCTCTGTCATGTACACAATATCTTTCAAACTGGACCACACGTTGCACTGGAGTGGGCCTTCTGGCTAGGCATTCCTGTCGTGGAAGCCTTGACATGTGACACTCCATGTACAAAAACACTGTGTTCCAAAGGTGCTTCCTTAGGCTTTACTCTGCAAACAAACAGGTCAGGCTCTCTCCAAGCAGTTTTTGCCATGGCTGAAATCCTGTCCACATAATCAGGCACCGTATTAGTCTTATAGAGCTTCCATAACAAAATACCACAGACTTGGTGGCTTAAGCAATAGACATTTATTTTTTCACAGTTTTGGAGGCTGGAAATCCAAGATCGAGTTGTCAGCAAGTTTGGTTTTTCCTGAGATCTATCTCATTGGCTTACAGACAACTCCCTTTCTTGCTGTGTGCTCGCGTGGCTTTTCTGTGTGTGTCCAATCCTGGTGTCTCTTCCCCTTTATATAAGGATACCATTCCTATTGAATTAGGACCCCAACCTTAAGGCCTCATTTAACCTTAATTAACTCTTTAAAGGCTCTGTTTCCAAATACAGTCACATTGGGGGTTAGGGCTTCAATATATGAATTTGTTGGGGACGCAATTCTGTCCATAATACACACCTAGAACTCTCCTAACCACTACAGTTGGATAATTTCATGCGACCAGGAAGGTGCTAATATGTATGGTTCCTAAGTGCTCCTGCAGTTATATGAACCTAAATTATAAGAGCCAGAATGACTGCCACCACACTTTCTTTTTAAGGTAGAATTTGGTTGTAAATGGGAAAGGGAAAAAGTGCCCCCATACGTAGTTGTGAGGAATGTAAAATTTAGATACTCCTAGAGGTTGACTTAGCAAGACCGTAGCAAAATTTTCGAACTTTGCATAATTTTAAAATTAAAGTAATTTCATTTCTAGGAATTTGCCCCAAATTAATAGACATACAGAGATATTTATTTTCTACTATTTTCCTATATACAACATGCAATTTGATACATAAACTACATAGAAGAATCCATTTAGATAGGAAAATATACATTTCATATATGCCATTCTGACATACAATTATTTGCAATTTATCAATATTATAAGAACTTGAGGGGAAAGAACTAGTATGTTAAATATAATATTGTGATATGCCCTAAGATGTCTTCACATGAAAAAATGCATTTTAGAGAGAAAAAACTCAAGTATGTGTTTGTAGTGAAAGAGGGACATTTTTTAAGCAAGGGAACAGGTAATTGTGGCCAAATTGTCTGAAGATCAACTGAAATAGCCATCCTTTGTTTTAGAAAAAATTATCAAGATAGTTACAAGAAAGTAAGATAACTACCTACCTAATTTAAGAATGATAATTTTGAATGTAGATACTATGGAGTAAGATGCAAAATGTAATATAAATTGGGTTTATCTTCAGCCAAACATTTTTTTTTTGAGGAATTAGAGAAAATATTCTCCTAAAGATTTAGACTGTAGAGCTGCTTTTCCCCACATGGTTTTATTTATACAGAACAACACTGATTTCAGAAATTATCTTGAAAACTATTGGAGTTGCCTTGTCCATACCAAAAAACAAACCAAGAAAAAAAACAAACAAAACAAAAAACAAACCCAAAACAATCCCTCTCTAAATGACCGCATCCTGTGAGTGAGGGAGGGAGTTTTCCCTAGAGGAAATGGTCCTTCCCACTGTCCTTCCTGTTGTGGAGAGAATGGTGGTTTCAGGAAAATAAAGAGAGAGAGAAAAAAAAAAAACTTTCCACTATTGGGGGCCAAAAGGTTGAGAGACTTTGTGGTAAATGTATCTAGAGATTTTCCTTAGCTATGTGTGGGAGTAATAACTAGTTCTCTGACACGTGGAAATAATCAGGAGATTTTCAAGACCCTCAGACTAGGTCAAGGTTCTTTGAGTTCAAAGAGATAACACTGCTATTGCCAGTGAAATACCTTCTCTTCCTGATTTTAAGGTCAATTACTCCTGTGTGATGGAGACTCATTTCCTTGCCTGCTGTCAATGGTGTGCTGGTAAATGTTTAATAGCCAGCTCTGGGGGTATGGGCAGGGAGCCCTGATTGGTAGCATTTGCAGTTTTCATGGTGTAAGTATTCCCACTTTGGACAATTTCAAGCTATTAATGTGATGCTACATGTTGAGATGAGATGTACATTGTTGGCTCTGCAGCCAGTAGTAAACTGTCTCTTGGCATGAGAAGCCTGAAGTGACAGAGCAGTGCTGGACCTTAACATTGAATGGGAAAATTGCTGTGCCTCATTGCAGGTTATTTTCTTTTGGATAATCGTAATCAGTAAATCATGATTTCCCACAGAATTAAGTTTGCAAGGATAAGAATCACAGATTCTCCAAATGAGTCACAGGGAGTGATGGTAAGCCGAGCGTCTCCTACTGCCACCCTTTGGTTCCTGGGCCTAGATATTCTACCTATTGGGTAGAAAACCATATGAAATTTATTGATACATAGATACCATATGATATTTATTGATTTAGGATGTGTACTGCATTCTGGAAGATGGTTCTCTATTCTTGCAGTGTTGTATCTCTAAGCCGGTCTTTAAGAGTCGTAAAAAGGTCATTCCGTTGATCTATCTTGCCGTCAGTTTATTTGTTAGAATGTTCCCCTAAGCTATTAAACATTAGACAGGCTGTAGGCCAAGCTTGTCCAACCTGTGGCCTGTGGGCTGCATGTGACCCAGGATGGCTTTGAATGCAGCCCAACAAAAATTTGTGAACTTTTAAAAAAATATTATAAGTTTTTTTGTTTAGCTTGTCATCTATCTTTAGTGTTATTTTATATGTGGCCCAAGACAGTTCTTAACAGTGTGGCCCAGGGAACCCAAAAGATTGGACACCCCTGCTCTAGGCCCTGATCTCCCTTTTCTTAAAACACTTGCTTTAGAAAACTTATAAGAGTATGTTTTATCCCTGCCCCTTTGAGATGTAAATGTTTCAAAAAAACCTCTTGCAAGTTCTACATACCAGAATGTCTTAAGGAACTGGGAGCCATCCCTTTGAAATAAAATCATCAAGGAACAGATTATCACTGTCTCCTAGTCTAGGTGGGAGATTAAGAGCCTACCTTTAATAAGCACCATTTAGCAAACAGAGGAGGCCAAATCACAGAGAAAAACACTTGGAAACTCAGGAATAACTCAATGTGTTCGATAAATTTCAAAATTTCAATGATCAACCTCCCCTCTAACATCCTCCTTTAGTTTTCAGTGTACTCACCCCAGTGATCAGAAAACACTCTGCCTTTTGTAAAATTCAGACAGTTCTGTCTTCTCTCCCCAATTGTAATAGCTTTGACAAAAGTTTTCCTTGACTGATTAACTTTGTCCAGTGTAATTTTTGCCTTGGCAATGGATCTGTTTTTTCAAGGTGATACTTTGTGAAATGTTGTACAGGTGAATCTGACACTGTAAACTTTTTGTCTACTAGTGTTAGCTGAGGCCCTAGAGGCAGGATAGGCAGACTATACAGGGATAGATGTGTTTTTCCAGTCAAGATAGATCCTTGCTCCTTCCACAGTAGAATGAATCCAGTGTAAGTCAACTTGCCACCACCACCAGTCTGGTACTTGCTTCAAAAGTGATGGTGCTGTATTGGTGAATTTTAACTTTTTTCTCTGTGACTAGCACATTACATGTTCAGCAGTTGCAGAATCTGGATTGGCCTTATGATTGTGACACCATATTACTGAGCCCAGGCATAGCCTTCCCTGCTATCATAGTTACATGAGCACATAGAGTCAACACTGGAATGGTTCACAGAAAAGACAAGCTGTGTTAAGCTACTTGAGTCATTTTGTCTACTTGGTTTTTCAGTGCTCCTTAATGATGGATGCACTCTGTTGGACATTAACACATTGATACAAAGATCCTCACACTTGGGCCTCACTCAGATAGATATGTTCACAGATCTCCATTACACAACCCTAATATCTAACCACAAATGAAGCCCTTTGTCAGTGCTAATGAATCCGTGCATATTCTTACCTTGGGACACTTCTCTTTCTGACGAAGTATATAACCAAAGGGATTGCCCAAAACTCTGTCCATTTGAGTATATTTTGCCTCACCACTCCCTTTCAGTACCTCCCTTAAGTGGCTTGACAGGTGTATTAGACTCTTTTTGCTTGGCTATAAATAAATACCTGAGACTGGGTAATTTATAAAGAAAAGAGGTTTAATTGACTCACATTTCTGCAGGCTGTACAGGAAGCATTATGCTGACATCTGGAGAGGCTTCTGGAAGCTTAAAATCATGGTGAAGAGGGTAGAAGCATATCACGTGGTGAAAGCAGGTGCAAGAGAGTGAGGGGAGAAGTGATACACACTTTTAAACAACCAGATCTCACGAGATTTCACTCACTGTTGTGAGGATGGTACTAGGAGGGATGGTGTTACACCATGATCCAATCATCTCCTACCAGGCCCCACCACCAACACGGGATTACATTTCAATATGAGACTTGGGAAACTTTATCAACTGGAAGCTACATTAACAGGAAACTGTAATGCATTTTTGGTTTGGACCCACACATTGAACCAACCTACCCATAAACCAAACTTGGCTTTTTCTCTCCTCTTTCAGCTAGGTATAAGTATTCCTCATATCTCTCTAAATGTGAGCTGAAAGAGAGGCTCTGGTGTAGTGGTGGTAGATAACATGGATATCTGGGCATCTTGCTATAGATCTTACTGTGTCTTCAGCTTTTCCTGCCTTCTGGTTGCAAGATGTAGAAGCCACTTTTTATGCTACCGAAGAGGTCCTCTGGCTTTTACCTGCTGCCAAAGAGGTCTTTAATTGGTGACTAATTACCCTCAACCTTCATTTACCAACACAACGTCAATAACCCCCACCAAGAACTATCTTATTTTATATTTCTGTAAGATTTATTAGAGTTACAGTTCCTTGCTCATTTCCCAAGCACCTGACGTATGCATCAACCAACGCATTAACTTCCACCAGTATCCCATTCTCATTCACCATGGGTGAAAATGTAACAATTTTACAGTTATGGCATGTTTGGGGATGTTATTGTTTTTATTTTCTAGGACCACTCCTGGAATCCACTGTTTTGGGTCATGTGTCTCAGCATGAGACTCAGATAGAGTTACATGCAAGATTTTTCTTGGGGAGTGATATTAGTTTCTTAAGGCTGTTATAACAAGTTATTGGCTTAAAGCAACAGAAATTTATTCTGTCACAATTCTGGAGGCTGAACCTCTGAAATCCCATGTCAGCTGGGTCACACTCCATCTGAAGGCTCTAGAAGAGGATTCTTCCTTGACTCTTTCAGCTTCTGGTGGTTTCTTGCATTCTTTGGCTTGTGGCATTACCCTCACTTTAACTCATCATTGGGAACAAGATGCGTGGAGTAAACTTGGGCACTGCATGTTAATACCTTTTGGCTTACTACAATTACCAGAGAGGCACTTAGTTGTGATTTATCAGCAGCAAACAGCAGTATACACATACACACATATATATCTATATATGTATATATACACAGATATACATACATATTACTATACATATATACAGACATATCATATGTATCATCTAAATTATCTATACATATATATCATATATATGCTATTTATTTATTCATATATATATATATATAGAGAGAGAGAGAGAGAGAGAGAGAGTAATGTATGATATTTATTCTAAAGAATTGACTTATGTGATTTTGGCGGCTGGCAAGTCTGAGCTCCACAGGATAAAACAGTAAGCTGAAAACTCAGGCAAAATTTAAACTTGCAGTCTTGAGTTTGAACTTTATAGATCAGGCCAGCAGGCTGAGAACAGGCAGAATTTCTATGTTATAGTCTTGAGGCCAAGTTCCTCCCTCTCTGAAAAAACAGTTTTTCCTATTAAGGTCTTCAACTGATTGGATAAGGCCCAGCCATATTATGCAGGGTAATCTGCCTTATTAAAGTCTAGTGATTATAAATATAAAATACCTTACAGCAACATCTAAGAAAAGTTGGTAACCAAACAACTGGGCACCCGTAGACTAGCCAAATTGATATGCAAAATTAACTCATTACAGTATTTGTCTCTTGGTGGTAAGAGATAGGATTCTATTTATTTTTTTAAAAAAGTTTTCATACTTTAATTTTTTTGTTTTCTAGAGTTTTAAAAAATGTGCATACAATAATTTCTAATTTTGAAAGGTCAATAAACATTATATTATTAAAATATGAATGTATTTGCCAAAATGTTTCAAAGTAGAAGAAAACAATGTTGTAGAAATGAGTGAAATATCAGTACCTGCAGAAAAACAAGCATACCAAGTATCAACTGATTTTTAAGTTGAAGTAATATTTTCATGTAGACCAGAAACTAGGCTTGTTCCCACGATT
Source organism: Homo sapiens (assembly GCF_000001405.40). Lineage (NCBI taxonomy): Eukaryota > Metazoa > Chordata > Mammalia > Primates > Hominidae > Homo > Homo sapiens. The sequence goes on along the minus strand of NC_000008.11, from coordinate 87,861,205 downwards.
TTCAGTAATAAATCAAGTATGATGTGATGTTCTTTGAGTTGCTGCTGGCCATCTGAAGAATATTTCTCTCTTTGTTAAAATGGGGATAAAAAATATATTGCCTTCTCTTAAAGCAGTGTAAGTTAGCTAATGATTCCAAATGGTGCAGGTTATTATTAGACTGTTTCCATAATCTGTTCCATTTTTTATCCATTCCAAAATGATGTGCTGCTTTTCCCTCAAAAGAGTTGTTAAAAATCAGGAACAGATTAAAGCCTGGGAAGCTCTTATTCCCACCAACTCACTTCCCATCGGTTATATTATGGAGAAAATTAGGCCTGGTAGGGTGTGTACACTGTTTCATGGAAGAACTCTGAAATCTAGTAAGGTCATTTTATGGCCATTCTCAGGGTTACAAAAATATGACTTATAATAAGAGGAAACTATATAGTTCTCCCCTCAGGAAGAATGACAACCCTGGGCACTTTATAATGACGAGCCTCATCACAAGCTTTACTATCATCTTTAAGGCCTATATAAACTTTTAGTTAGTTGTACTAGCATGTGCTTTTAGCTATTTGACCAAGTAATAAATTTTTATGCTATCCTTCCACTCAATTATATTACCTTCAGGTAAAATCTTCTCTGATTGCTCTTGGGGTACAGTCTTCATGCTTTTGAACAACACTCAGTCCTAACAACTTCATGCTCTTCACATTGACTGGCAAATTCCTCACATGGAACAGCAATCATTATGAATAAGAATTTTCTGCTAGGAACAGTGGCTCATTCCTGTAATCCCAGCTCTTTGGAAGGTCCAGGCCGGCAGATTGATTGAGCCCAGCTTCTCCAGACCAGCCTGGGAAACATCAAAAGCATTAGCTGGGCATGGTGGTGTGCCCCTATAGTCCTAGCTACTTGGGATGTTAAGGTGGCAGGATCACCTGAGCCTGTGAGGTGGACGTTGTAGTGAGCTGAGATAACACCACTGCACTCCAGCCTGGGCGACACAGTGAAACTGGGTCTCAAAATAAAAAAATAAATAGAAATAATAATAATAAATAAAAAGGAAAATAAACAATTTTCCATAAGTCCTTTAATCCTTTCATATTACCTCTTTTTTCTTTTCTCCACCATCCTTAGGCAATAGAGTCTCTGGGATAGGTCAAATTGCAAAGAAAATTGCCAACACTGGCTCTTAATCCTATAATGGAGAGGGAAGCCATTGAAAATAGAAATGAGTAGACTTTCTTTCTTCTTTTCTTTTTTATTTTTAAGACAGAGTCTTGCTCTGTTGCCAGGCTAGAGTGCAGTGGCGCAATCTCAGCTCACTGCAACCTCCACCTCCCTGGTTCAAGTGATTGTCCTGCTTCAGCCTCCTGAGTAGCTGGGATTACAGGTGCCCACCACCACACCTGGCTAATTTTGGTATTTTTAGTGGAGATGGGATTTTACCATGTTGGCCAGGCTGGTCTCGAACTCCTGACCTCAAGTGATCCACCCACCTCGGCCTCCCAAAATTTCTAGGATTACAGGCGTGAGCCACTATGCCCGGCCAGAAATGAGTAGACTTTCTTTGAAATTCTTTTTAGATAATTTAGCTGAACACGAAAAGTTCTGTTGACATTGTTGATGTTATAGTCACAGTTCCCCTAGTGATTTCTATCTATTTATTCAGATAACATTTATTTGTTCTGCCTACCTATTATATTTAAAATGTTAGTTATTTACACTTCACTGCAATCACACTTGTTGGAAAATTTATTTTTGATGCAAAAATGAATTATTAGGTTTTTTTAGTCATATGCTAATATGTGTTCTTTCCTTATTTGTCTGAGCTGGAGTGGACTAGTTCAAAGTATAAACTCTTAGAATACAGAAACCTTGATTGTAAGAAATTTCACCCCAGGTCATAATGGCCCTGCACAATTCTTAGTAATGCAAGAAGACTAAGATGCTAATAATGGACTCAAGTGCAAATTAGCTGCAGCAATAGTAAAACCTCCTGTGATAGAAGACTGTTATCATTTGAATCCAATGTAGTTTTGTGATGCTGCAGGAAGGTATAGCAGAATCGGCTTGCTGTTGTAATTCCGTTTTGCCTTACCTCTCAACAACTTGTCATGTGCCCTGCTAACTACAGGACCCACATCTTTGCATGCTACTTGGAGTGTGCTTCTGTGGGTCATATATTGCATTTGACATGTGATGTTAGATACATTTTAATATGTAAATTCACAGGCCCTATGGATTTCATAGGCATTAGAAATAATTTAAGAAATAATTTAAGCCTTTGATTCTTTTTTTTTTTTTTTTTTTTGAGATGGAGTTTCGCTCTTGTTGCCCAGGGTGGAGTGCAATGGTGTGATCTGCACTCACTGCAACCTCTGCCTCCCAGATTCAAGCTATTCTCCTGCCTCAGCCTCCCTAGTAGCTGGGATTACAGGCATGTGCCACCTCGCCTGGCTAATTTTGTATTTTTAATAGAGACAGCGTTTCTCCATGTTGGTCAGGCTGGTCTCGAACTCCCGACCTCAGGTGATCTGCCCGCCTCGGCCTCCCAAAGTGCTGGGATTACAGGCGTGAGCCACCACGCCCGGCCAAGCCTTTGATTCTTAACCATGATATGACATCCTCATGTGTCATAGACAGTAATAATGTGTGTCACAATAAATTAGTACTTCTGGAACAATTTACTTATGTACTAGAGTAAATTCAAAGTTATCTTTGAAATAGTGATATTATCACTCATTATGCTGTCTTTGAGTAGAAAAAAATGCAATGACAGCATTTCAGGAATTAAAAAAAGTCTTGTATAAATTATATTCAAGCAATTATGCTAAGGAAGGAAAAATTATTTGTTACATATTCCATGCTGGATACAGTCTGGAAAACTCAGATCTTGTCTGATCTCCTCCCTTAGGCTTAAAATAGTTAAAAAAAAAAATCAAGAAGTGACAGCTAAGAAAAACTAGAACCTATGCCTACTGATTCCCCATTACCATCATGAAAGCCTAGACAAATTCTTCTGAAAACAGAAGAATGGAGATAAACATGCATCATATTTGATGATCCACTTCCTCTGTGAAACTCCTCATAGTCTTAAAAAGAAAGGATGAAAAAGAGTCCTATGTGGAAAGCAGTTTTTGAAAAGCAATTGTTAGGCCAGGCGCAATGGCTCATGCCTGTAATCCCAGCACTTTGGGAGGGCGAAGTGGGCGGATCATTTGAGGTCAGGAATTTGAGACCATCCTGACCAACACGGTGAAACCCCGTGTCTACTAAAAATACAAAAAAATTAGCCAGGTGTGGTGGTGCATGCCTGTAGTCCCAGCTACTCGGTAGGCTGAGGCAGGAGAATCACTTGAACCCGGGAGACGGAGGTTGCAGTGAGCCAAGATTGTGCCACTGCACTCCAGCCTGGGCGACAGAGCGATACTCCATCTCAAAAAAAAAACAAGAAAGAAAGAAAAAAGAAAAGCAATGGTTATGTATTTGTAATCTTAAGTATAGAAAGAACTAGATGTGTAAGAGTTACCCAGAATGTATAATAATATCAGGTATTCAAAAATGGCTCCTATTCCTTCTATGGGTTCAATAAATAAGAACTCTTGTTCCTAAAGTCTGGTACCCAGGGAGCAAAGATTAAAACGTGAGGTTAGACTTTAAGTGTAACTAAATTAGTCTCGTGGAAATTTTCATAAAAGGAAATTCTCATTTGCTTTTATAAGAGTTTCCTTTGATTTCAGATATCACTTATAACTGCTTAATAACGTATCAATACTTTAATATCAAGCATTTGGTTAGTTCCATCAAGTAACATAGCACTATATTGACTAAAGAACATCTCATTATGCTGGTTTCAAAGGTTTTGGATAGAGGAGCTTTATGATTTGTTATGTAGGCCATAGTTGAATTATTCCGACTAGAATTTAATAGAGATTATAAACACAATGATTAAGTCAAGATTAATGTTTCAATCCAGTTGATGAAGTCTGAAGAGAAATTCAACACGCATCAAAGTTATTTTAGACGTTACTAAGGATAACATTTTTTGATGGTGATATTTTAAGTTAATAAAAAAGGAAAATAAAAATCTTATTTTTAATTCATATGTAATTTAAAACATGTCTTTACTGATTATATACTGTGAACAAGGCTATTGTGCTAAGTGTGGTAAGGTATTCAAAAATTATTGGAGAATAAATCCTTATCCCACCCCTAAAAAGGGAAATTTAAAACACTGAAATATAAATTGAACTGAAAAGTTGATGCTACCACAGTATTTAAAAAATATATGAAAAGAGAATTGTGATCAGTCCTATTCCCACTACAATAATGTACCTTAAACAAGAATTCATATCTTTAATAAATACCCCAATTTTGACTTTTCCCCACTGAGATGTTATCACACTGTGCTGAGGTAGTGTTCTTCCTAATTGTGGTATAAATAAACAACCTTGTATTATCAGCATTTTTTTGGTAACATTTTGGAGAGTTAGCATTCCTCAAAATTAGTTTTATGAAGATTTTAATAAAGTTAAAACAGTGATAAAAATAAATCAATTAAAGACATTTTAACACAAAATTTTTAAAAGTTTATTTATTTTAAACATAGTGTAATGACACTCCCCACCCCAAAAGGGCAGCTCTGAGATATCATTAAAAAATGTAGTGGACACTTTTCCATTTTAACTTGAGAATTAAGATTTTATCTATACTTGGTAGAGTCCTGTTTGCTAATTATCACACGAACCTATTTTTATGCACACGTTATTACCAAATAACATTATCTAGCTTAAAATGCCAGGAAAGGCAAATTTTTGCAGTAGTACAAAGGTCAGCAATGGGATTAACATTTTAGCTTTTATTTTGTCAGTCAAATCCTGCAAATTCCTGGATCTTTTGAGTAAGTAGAACCTTGCATGTGTATCCTGAGGATAAAAATCAATTCCACATGCCTAGGATATAAACGACCAACTTTGGATGCAAAACATTAAGTGAAGGCTTCAAAAGGTGTAATTGAAAGAGCATTTTTAGCTTCCTAATTACTTTATTGAACTTTTTACTTCCTTCTTAAGTAAAGATTGTTTCTTGTTACAAATGGCTTTCATGAGGAGATGTGTCCTTTTTACCTCTGTTCTTGGGGAAAACAGGCTATTCTGAGTAAATTGGCAAGAAAGAGAATATGGAAAACTGTAGTATTGGTGAGTGAGTCAAGACCTTGGCTTTATATATTTGATTTATATTAATACTTCAAAACAGTACAAGAACCTTTAATACTCTGTTTAGGTTATCATTAATTACACAAATTCTGCTTTAGCACAGCTGTTTATGATAGTTCATAATTACTGCATTCCAGTGTATTTTTCCTTCTGGCTTACTGCTAATTTAAACTTTTCATACATTCTTAATAGAGGAAAAAAATCACTTATTCACATATTCCCAAGGCAACATCTCATACACTACAGAGGAGTAAAGGATTGTTATTAAGAAATATGGCTGTTGAGGCCTGGTGTGGTGGCTCACGCCTGTAATCCCAGCACTTTGGGAGGCCGAGGTGGGTGGATCACGAGGTCAGGAGATGGAGACCATCCTGGCCAACGTAGTGAAACCCCGTCTCTACTAAAAGTACAAAAATTAGCCTGGTGTAGTGGCGTGGGCCTGTAGTCCCAGCTACTCGGGGGCCTGAGACAGGAGAGTCGCTTGAACCCGGAAGGTGGATGTTGCAGTAAGGCGAGATTACGCCACTGCACTCCAGCCTGGGCAACAGAGCGAGACTCCGTCTCAAAAAAAAAAAAAAAGAAAAAAAGAAAAGAAAAGGCCGGATGCGGTGGCTCACGTCTGTAATCCCAGAACTTTGGGAGGCCAAGGTGGGCGGATCACAAGGTCAGGAGATCGAGACCATCCTGGCTAACATGGTGAAATCCCATTTCTACTAAAAATACAAAAAAAATTAGGCCGGGCGTGGTGTCGGGCGCCTGTAGTCCCAGCTACTTGAGAGGCTGAGCCAGGAGAATGGCTTGAACCCGGGAGGCGGAGCTTGCAGTGAGCCGAGATCGCGCCACTGCACTCCAGCCTGGGTGGCAGAGCGAGACGCTGTCTCAAAAAAAAAAAAAAAAAAAAAAAAGATTATATATATATATATATATACACACACACACACACACACACACACACATATATACACACACATATATATACACACATATATATATACACATATATATGTATTTTAATGATTTCCCTTTTGACTTAAAATTTTAAAAATCCTTAAAAACTCTTCTAGGCCTGCTTGAACTGGCTCTTGACCTCTTGTTTAAATTTATCTTGTAGTCCTCATTTCCTCATCATTTTATTGCAGTATAATTGACCTATAAGAAATACATGTATTTAAATCTTACAATGTGATAAGTTTTCACATAGGTATACAGCTGTAAAACTATCATCACCATCAAGATAATACACTTCTACCTCACTCTCTAGAGCTTCTTTTCTGTTGTAATTCCTCCCACCCAGCCTTCTTCTTGCCCTTCCCTGGGCAAGCAGTGATCAGTCTTCTGTCACTGTGGTTTAGTTTGTACCTTGCGGAATTTTATAAAAACGGAATAAAACAGTTTGTACTCTTCTTTTTCATCTACCTTTGGTAGCATAATAATTTTTCTGATCCATCTATGTTAAGTGTGTAAATAGTTGATTTCTCATTATTGAGTAGCAGTCCATTGTATGAATATGCCACAATTTGTTTATCCATTCACCTGCTGATGACATTGTTGTTGTGTTCAGCGTTTGACTATTTCAAATAAAATTTCCATGAATATTTGTGCACAAGTTTTTATGTAGACATCGCTTTCTTCTTGGGAGAATACTTAGGAGTAACATGGCAAGATAATCTGGTAGTTGTATGCTTAACATTTTAAGAATCTGCCAAACTGTTTTCATAGTGGTTATAGTACTTCATATTTCTACCAGTTGGTAAAGAAGCTCTATTTCCTTTATATCCTAACCAACACTTGGTATAGTCAGTGTTTTAAAGTTAGGTGTGTAACGGTATGTCACTGTAGTTTAAATTTGCTTTACTCTAATCACTAATGATGTGGAGTACCTTTTCATGTGTTTATTTGAAATTCAACATATCTTTTCTGATGAAGTGTCTTTTCAAATTGTTGGACTTATTTTTAGGGGTGTGTGTGTTCATTGTTTGTTTTTGAGTGTTCTATATATATTCTGGGTATGAACTCTTAATCCTATCTATGCTTTGCAAATACTTTTGTCCCAGTTTGTGGCTAAACTTTTAATTCTCCTACCAGTGTCTTTCAGAAAGCAGATGTTTTTTAAATTTAACAAAGCCCAGTTTATTTTCTTTTATGGATTATATGTGTTTAAATTGCTTAATATCAATCAGCAATTTGTTCATGGCCTAGTTGTTTTGTATATTTTCTTCTTAAAACATTTTTTAAATGGACACAGAATAATCATACTTATTTATGGGGTACATAGTGATATTGCAATACATATAATGTATAGCAGTCAGATCAGGATTATTATATGCATTATCTCAAATATTTATCATTTCATTTGTGTTGGGAACATTCAGTATTCTCTTTCTAGCTATTAGAAAATATATATTATTCATAACTATAGTCATCCTATAGTATAATAGAACACTGGAATGTATTCCTCCTGAAGGATTTTGTTTTATATATATCACATATTTAAAAATTTCTTGCCTAACATAAGGTCGCAAAGATTTTCTCCTATGCTTTCTTCTGCAAGTTTTTTAGTTTTAGGTTTTATATTTAGGTCTATGATCAATTTTGACTTTGTGTGCTTGTGCAAGGTATTAATCAAAGTTCACTTTTTGCGTAAGAATATTCAATTGTTTCAATATCATTTGTTGAAAAGACTACCCTTTCTCCACTGGTTTGCCTTTTTATTTTGTCAAGGATCATTTTTCTATATATGTGGGCATAGTCTGGACTCTTTGTTTAATTTTGTTGATCTATTTATCTATCTCGATGCAAATATCATGTTGTATCAATTGCTATAGTTTCATAGTTTTGAAATTAGGTAGTGTTAGCCTTCTGAATATATTCTTCTTCAAAGTTGTTTGGGTATTCTAGGTCCTTTGCACTTCATTATGGATTTTAGAATCAGCTTGTAATCTGCTAAAAAAAATTGCTGGCATTTTTTAACATGATAATTGAGGTATAATTTACATAACACAAAATTCACACTTTTTATTTGTACAGGTAAACAAATTTATAGAGTTGTGCAACCATTAAATTTCAATTTTAGAACGTGTTATCGCTCCAAAATATTCCTTGTGTTTGTTGGCAATTTTCTTTTTCAACCCCAGCCCCAGGCAACCACTAATCATTTTTCTTTTTCTCTAGATTTTCCTTTTGTGAACATTTCATATAAATTGAATGATACAATGTGTGGTATTGCACCGAAATTCTTTTACTTAGCATGATGTTTTTGAGGTTCTCTCATGTTGTAGCATGAAGCAACATTTCACTTCCTTTTGTTATTGAATAGTGTTCGATTCTATGATACACATGTTTAGTTTTTCCATGAGCTTGTTGATAAATATTTGGTTTGTTTCCAATTTCTGACATCAATTATTGATGCTGCTATGAACATGTGTATGTAAATCTTTGTGTGGACATGTATTTCCATCTCTCTTAAGTACATTCCTATGATTAGAATTGTTGGGTAGAATTGCTAAGTATGTGTTTAACGTTTTTAACAAAATAGATTTTATTTTTTATAACAGTTTTAGGTCCACAGTAAAATTGAGCAGGAAGTATAGAACATTCCCATATATGCCCCTCCCCATGCATATATAACCTCTCTCACTATCAGAATCTCTCACTGCAGTGGTATATTGGTTACCACCTATGAACCTACATTGACACATCATTATCACCCAAAGCCCATAGCTAACATTAAGGTTCACTCTTGGTGTTGTTTATGAATTTGGCAAATGTGTAATGACATGTTTCCACTATTATACTGATATACTGATTAGTTCCACTGCTTTAAAAATCCTGTTTTCCATATGTTCATCCCTCTTTTCCCCATAACCCATGGCAACAACTGATCTTTTACTGTCTCCATAGTTTTGCCTTTCCCAAAATGTCATATATATAATTATGCAGTATATATAGCCTTTGCAGATTGGCTTCGTTCACTCAATAACATATATTTAAAGTTCCTCCATGTCTTTTCATGGCTTGATAGTTCATTTCATTTTAATACTAATTTATATTCCATTTTCTAGATGTACCAGATTTTATCCATTTACCTACTGAAGGGTATCTTGCTTGTTTCCAAGTTTTGGGTATTATGAATATACCTTATATAAATATCTGTGTGCAGGTTCTTATGTGGACATAAGTTTTCAGCCTCTTTGGGTAAATGCCAAAGAGTGTGATTGCTGGATTACATGGTAAGAGTATGTTTAGTTCAGTAAGAAACTGCCAAACTATCTTTTGTTACAAAGTGTTTGTACATTTCGTATTCCCACCAAAAATTAGCAAGAGTTCTTTCTGCTCCACATCCTAGCTAACATTTGGTGTTATCAGTGTTTTAAATTTTAGCCATTCCAATAGGTAGGTGAAGGTAACTCGTTGTTTTAGTCGGTAGTTTCCTAACGACAAATGATGTGAGCATTTTTTCATATTCTTATGCTATCTAAATATCTTCTTTGGTGAAGTTCCTGTTGAGGTTTCTGCCCATTTTTAAGTTGGCTTTTATTTATTTATTTATTTATTTATTTATTTATTTATTTATTGTGAAGTATTAAGGATTCTTCTTGTATTTTGAATAATAGTCCTTTATCAGACAAACCTTTTGCAAATATTTTCTCCCAGTTTGCATCTTATCCTCGCATTCTTTTGACATTGTCTTTCAGAAAACATAAATTTTTTAATTTTAATAAAATTCAGATGATCAATTCTTTGTTTCAAGGAGAGTGCCTTCAGAGTTGTATCTAAAAAGTCATTGTCATATCCTCAGTCATCTAGGTTTCATCCTATGTTATCTTCTAAGGATTTTTAAAGTTTCATATTTTATATTTAGGTCTTATGGTCTATTTTCAGTTAATTTTGTGAAGAGTGTAAGGTCTGTGTCTATATTATTTTGCAGGTAGATGCCTATTTATTTCGGCAACATTTGTTGAAAAGATTATCTTTTCTCTATTATATTGCCATTGCCCCTTTGTCAAACATCAGTTGACTACATTCATGAGTGTCTATTTCTGAGCTCTCTGGTCTGTTCCACTGATCTCTTTGACTATTATTTGCCAATGCCAGATTGTCTTAATTATTGTAGCTTTATAGTAAGTCTTGAATTCAGATACTGGTGGTCCTCCACCTTTGTTCTTCTCCTTCAATATTGATTAAGCTATTGTGGGTTTTGTCTCTAACACGTAAATGTTAGAATCAGTTTGTTGATATCCACAAAACAAATTGCTGGAATTTTTATTGGTATTGCATTAAATTTATAGATCAAGTTGAGAAGAACTCACATCCTGATAATATTAAATCTTCCTATTCATGAACATGGAATATCTCTCCATTTATTTAGTTTTTAAAAATTTCTTTCATCAGAGTTTATAATTTTTCTCATACAAATCTTGTACATATCTTATTAGATTTAAACCTAAATATTTCATGTTTATACATGCTAATATAAATGGTAATTCTTACCTTCAAATTCCACCTGTTCATTGCTGAAAAATAAGAAAAACATTGACTTTTGTACAGTAGCTTTGTATTTTTCAACATTACTATAATTGTTCTTTCATTCTAGGAGTCTTTTTGTTGAACTTTAGAATTTTCTTCATAGGCAACAATGTCATCTGTGAAAAAAGTTTTATTTCTTCCTTCTCAATTTGTACACCTTTTATTTCCTTTTCTTGTGTTATTGCTTTAGCTAGGACTTCCAGTATGCTGTTGAAATGTAGTAGTGGTGAGGGAAGACATCTTTGCCTTGTTTCTACTTAGTGAGAAAGCTTTGCTTTTGATGACTAATTATTGATTCAATTTATTTAATACTACTAACCATTATATTAGCTGTAAGTTTTTTTGCAGATATACTTAAATGAGTTGAGGAAGTTGCACTCCATTTCTAGTTTGTTGAGTTTTTTTAAATCATTAATGGGGTTGTGTGTTCATTTATTACTTTTCTGATTGTATTGATATAATTATGTGATTTTTCTTTTCTATCCTGTCAATATGATAGATTGTATTAGTTGATTTTTGAATGTTGAAAATCAACATTCATTTTATACCTGGGGTAAAGCTACTTGATCATGGTGTTTAATTGTTTTTATACATTGTTGAAATTGATTTGCTACTAATTTATAGAGGATTTTTGCAGATATGTTTATAAAAGATATTGGCCTTTAGTTTTCTTGTGATTTCTTTGTGTGGTTTTGATGTTAGGATAATGCTGGTTTCATAGAATGAGTTCGGAAATATCTCGTCTGCATCTGTCTTCTGGAAGAAAGTGGGGAGAATCGATATAATTTCTTCCTTAAGGACTTCTTAGAATTTACTGCTGAATTAATCTGAACCTACTGTTTTCTGCCTTGGAAAATGTTTAATTATTGATTCAATGTCTTTAATAGACATAGGCCTATACAAGATGTCTATTCTAGTGTGAGTTTTGACAGATGTGTCTTTTAAGGAATTGGTCCATTTTACATAAGTTATCAAATTTGTGACCATGGTTTTGTTTATAATATTCCTTTATTACTTTTTTAATGTCCATGGGATCTGTAGTAATGTCCCCTATTTTATTTTCTTCTATTAGCAATTTGTGTCTTCTCTATGTTTTTCTTACACTAGATAGAGTCTTATTGATTGTATTGAGCTTTTCAAATAACCAGCTTTGGTTTTCTTGATTTTTTCTATTTATTTCTTATTTTCAATTTCATTGATTCCTGCTTTAATTTTATTTTATTTTCTGGCTTATTTGGAATTAATTTGCTTTTCTCTTTCTACTTTCCTAAGGTGGGATCTTTTTCTATTTTAGATCTTTTGTCTATTATTGTATATTCATACAATGCTATAAAATTTCTTCTAAGCACTGCTTTTGCTCTAGCCCACAAATTTTTTTAAGTTGTATTTTAATTTAGTTTAAAATATTTTAAAATTTCTCTTGAGATTTTTTGACACATGCGTTATTTAGAAATATGTTGTTTAATCTCCATGTATTTTGGAATTTTTCAGCTATCTTTGTGTTGATGATTTCTAGTTTAATTCCACTCCAGTCTGACAGCATATATGGCATGATTTCTATTCTTTTTAATTTGTTGAGGTGTAGTTTTTCCCAAAATGTGGTCTTTTTGTTTAACTTTTTCAAAAAATGCTAAATTGTTGTCCAAACTGACTGTACCGTTTACATTCTCATCAACAGTATATAATCCACCTTACTAGCAATATTTATTATTATCCTTTTTTCTTAATAGCCATTTCAGTTGGTGGGAAGTGAAATCTCATTGATATTTTTTGCCTGCTGAGATTTTTAAAGGGTTTGCCTGAATCTATAGATTTATTTGGGGAAAACTGACATGCTAAGAATATTGTATCTCCTAATGCATAGACAAATAATATCTCTTTATTTTTGTCTTCTTTAATTATTCACATTAATCTTTTACAATTTTCAGCTTATAGATCTTGAGTATCATTTGTCAGATTTATTCCAAAGTTATCCTTACCATAATGCTATTAGAAACTGTATTGTTTTAATATTTCACTTATGTATTTTATTTGCTTTTATATGGAAACATAATTGCTTTATGTATTGATCTTACAGCCTGCAATCTTGATAAAATTACTTATTTATTCTAAGCCTGCTTTTTGTATGTTTCATCAGAGTTTCTACATAGACAATCTTGTTATGTGCAAATAAACATTTCTGGCTATTTTTGACATGAATAGTCATCTCTGAAAAGGCCACCTGCTATGGACTGAATTGTATCCCTTAAAATACATATGTTTAAGTCCTAACCTTTAATGTGTTGGTATTTGGAGATAGGGCCTTTCTGAGATAATTAGGTTTGGATAAGGTCATGAGAATGGGACCTTCATAATAGAATTAGTGCCCTTATAAGTAGAGACACCACAGAGCATGCTCTCTCTCTCCCTTTCTCTCTCTTTTTGTGTGCACACATTGAGGGAAGGCCGTGTGAGGTCACGGTGAGACACTGGCCATCTACAAGCGAGGAAGAGAGCTTTCACCAGAAACCAATCGTGTTGGCACCCTGATCTCAGAGTTTTAGTCTTCAGAACTGTGTAAAAATAAATTTCCGTCGTTTCAGTACCAATGTACGCAATTTTGTTATGGCAGCCCAAGCAAACGAAGTCAGATTTTGGTATTGGGAGTGGGTTGCTGCAGCAACAAATACCCAAAAATGTGGAAACAGTTTTGGAACTGAGTGATGGCTAGCGGCTGAAAGAGTTTTCTGGTGCACACTAGAAATATGGACATTAAATGCAATTCTAGTGAGGACTCAGAACAAGGAGGAGAGCTGGAGAGAAAGCTTCCGTCTCTTAGGGAATACATCCATAGTTGTGACAGAATATTGGTAGAAATGTGGGTATTAAAGGCCATTCTGGTTATATTTCAGGTGGAAGTGAGAAATATGCTATTGGAAACTGGAGGAAGGTGATCTTGTAATAAAGTGGCAAAGAACTTGGCTTGTTCTAGTATATTACGGGATGTAAAAATTGTAAGTGATTAAACTTTGATATTAGTTGAGGATATTTCTAAGCAAAGTGTTAAAGGAGTGCTTTAGCTTTTCCTGACTGCTTATAGTACAATGCAATAGGAAAGAGATGAATTGAAGAAATAATTATTAAACAAAAAGGAACCAGAACTTGGATATTTGAAAAAGTTTTAGCCTATCTATATTGCAAAAACTGAGAAAGTTTGTCCTTGAGAGAATACTGCATGTGGCTGAACAACCATTTGAAAAAGAGGTCATGGGTATGAACTTTGTATTTAATTATCAATCTCTGCAAAAGCCAGGAATAGAGATGGCATTGTACCAGCAGAAACAATGCTTGTTTGAACTGAAGGAAATGGAGATGGGATGAAATGAAGTGGGGCTGTTGACCTTCTTGGATTATACAGGACAGGACCATAGAGCTATTCTGCCATTAACATGTGTTATTCTTCAAGAGAAGAATGACCCCAAAGGTGATTTACACATCACCAGGTCTGCCATGCTAAACATAGGCCTAGGGGAAAAGGCTGTTTCCTCCTCAGTTTCAGAGGGTGCGGCCCTCGGAGGTAGCAATAAGACCTATGCCCCACCAACCTGAAGGGTCAGGGCAGCCCCACAGAGCTCTGGGGGTGATGCTACCACTCCAGCTGGCCTGGAGGCAGACCATCAGACCAAAAGCATTATTCCTGAGCCTTAAACATCTAAAAGAATTTTGGCTGGGTGCAGTGGCTCATGCCTGTAATCCCAGCACTTTGGGAGGCTGAGGTGGGCGGATTACTCGAGGTCAGGAGTTTGAGACCAGCCGGGCCAATATGGTGAAACCCCATCTCCACTAAAAACACAAAAATTAGCTGGGCGCAGTGGCAGGCACCTGTAATCCCAGGTACTCGGGAGGCTGAGGCAGGAGAATTGCTTGAACCCAGGAGGTGGAAGCGGCAGTGAGCTGAGATCATGCCACTGCACTCCAGCCTGGGCGACAGAGTGAGACTCAGTCTCAAAAAAAAAAAAAAAAAAAAAAAAAAAGAAGAAAAAGAAAAAAATCTAAAAGAATTTTTCTCACTATGTTTTGACTTACTTGGGCTGCCATCACCTCTTCCTATTTCCATTTATCCCTTTTGGAATGGAAATGTCTATTCTTTGCTTGTCCAGCATGGTATTTTGGAATTCACAGGTTCTGGTTTCACAGTTTCACAGCTGAGGAGGCAGTTTTTCCTCAAGATGAATTGTACCTCATGTCTCACCCAACTGGTGTGGATCTATTTAGATAAGACCTTGGACTTTAGATTTGAGAGTTGATCCTGAAATGAGTTAAGACTTTTAGGGCTCTGGGGATGGAATGAATGTATTGTGCATGTGAGAAGAACATAAATTTTGCAGGGCTATTGGTGGAATGGTATGAATGAAATTGTATCCCCTAAAATTCATATGTGGAAGCCCTAATACCCAAAATGATGGCATTTGGAGATAGGGCTTGCATTAGCCAAAGTTCTCCAGAAAAACAGAACCAATAGGAGTATATATGTATAGAGAATAAGAAATTTGCTTATGTGATTATGAAGGCTGAGAAGCCCTACAAGCTACTGTCTGCAAGCTGGAGACCCAGGAGAGCTGGTAGTGTAGTTCCAGGTCAACTCCATTCCGAGTCTGAAGGTCTGAGATCCAGGAAAGCCAATCATGTAAGTTCAACCTAAGTGCAAGAGAAGATTGATGTTCAGCTTCCAGGAGTCAGGCAGAGAGAGCAAATTCCACCTTGCCCAACCTTTTTCTTCTTTTCAGGCCCTCAACAGATTTGATGATGCCAACCCACATGGGGGAAGACAATCTGCTTTACTAAGTCTACCAATTCAAATGCTAATCTCTTCTGGAAACACTGTAAGAAATACAACCAGAAATAATGTTTAACCAACTATCTGGGCACCATATGGCCAAGACAAGTTGAAACACAAAATTAACCTTTGTTAATTTTGAGAGACCTTTGAGAGATAATTAGTTTTAGATTACTTCATGAAGGTGGTGCCATTATAATAGAATTGGTGCCCTTATAAGAAGATACATAACAGAGCTTGCTGTCTCTCTTTCTTCCCACACACATGCACAGAAGAAAGGCCATGTGTGCACACAGTGAGATGTCAGCTGTCTATAAGTCAGGAGGATGGCCCTCATCAAAATTCAACCATGCTGACATCCTGATCTCAAACTTCTAGAACTTCAGAACTGTGCAAAAATAAATTTCTGTTGTTTTAGCCACCAAGTCTATGGTTTTTTTTTTTTTTGGTGGCTCTAGCTAACAAAAACACCATTCATTTGTTAGGCATTATCTGCCCATACTCAAAGGAAGAAGATATTAAATTCATAGTCCACTACACTGTTCTATTTCTGTTTGCATTGTGTGGGACTCTCTTGGTTTTTACAGACAGAAACTCAACACATGCACAACAACTAATGAAATAAAAGGACAAATTGGTATACATAAGTTGGTAATCTAAGAGATGGCTGAGTCACAGGGCTGAAAAATATTATTAGAATTCTATGTCTCAGCTCTGTATGACTCTAATGACATACACTTGCAGGCAGGCTTCCTCTCCATGGAAGCTAGATGGGTGTAGGCCAATTCTGTGTAACAGATTTCCTGTTGCTACAGCAGCATCATTCCTGTTGCCTTCCATACTCTCTACCACATCATAAGGATGATATCTGGGAACTACACTTTCCTTAGCTCCTTCTCAGCAAATTTTCCTGTTAGGTTGCAGTTAGTAGCATATTTTTGGAAAGGTTGGAAAGACTAAGAGAAAGAAAACACATACCTGTGGCCAGCTGTGTGAGGAGAAACAGTCTAAGACATGAGTTTTAACTTCCTGAAATTCTGTTAGAATCATCCATATTATTGCTGCCAGCATTTGAAATCACTGGAATGCTTGCTTGTAAATCCTGCACTTCTAATTTTACTGAGACCTGGCAATGGCCTCTTAACCTTTACTTCAGGCTATTCCAAAGGCTGTGTAAACCTCTAATAACCTGTCCTAGAGCCAGTTCTGCTTAAAAAGATGAAGATAGCTTCTGTTCTCCTGAAAGGATACTGATGGATACAATATATACAATACATTCCTTATAGCTGTTCTCAAAGAATTAGTAAAGCACCTTCTTTCAGTGTTCATATAAAGTTCCTGAAATAAACATCAATTTTTCATAGATTATTTGCCCACATCTGAAAAAAGTCACTATGTTTAGGCTTAGCCTTAGACAGTTCCCCACATTTACAGCACTGGTGGTGGGACCTCTTGATAGTCAGAAAACAGAGTCACAAATAATGGAAACATGGACATTTCCAAAAGAAAGGTATAGAAGTAATATTAGAGGAAAAAGACATCTACATCACTTTTTTTGGACTAACACGGGAAAACAATGTTGCTAAGTATTCTTTTTACAGTTTTATAAAAGGTAGAATAAATTGCATTGTTCAATGAAAATACGTGCTGCTAATTGGAAGCAGTAATTTCTAAAGTCTGTTAGCATTTATTTTTAACAAAGCAATTATGTTCAGTTTAATTTATAAAATTATATCTATTATTTCACTGAGAGATTAATGGAGAGGAATGTCAGATAAGTTAGAAATAAGTTATGTTTCATATCTCTGGTAGGTTTTAAAATTTGTTTTCACCTTCATGGCTAATACATAAAAAATGTTAATCATTTATATACTTTATAGAAATTCTGTACATATCACAAACAAAATTATTTTATTATATGTTCTTTTTATACATTTTGGATTTTTAAAGCTTAATGCATTAAATTACTTAAGACATTGAGAACAGAATAGCAGATGTGCTAAGCTCTTTCTCATTTTATATTATAGAATATTTTAGACATAAAATTCATAATATTAGCTAAACATAAACAGTTGTAATAAATAGACACAAAAATTAATGATATAAACAAGGTAGAAGTTTGTTTCATCATCTTGTGTTACTACTAATATTACTGTTGCAAAGCAGCTGTTGTAAAATAATAGACTTCTCCCTACAATCATTCAGAAGGTCCTCAAATTCCCTGATTTTGTGTCTCCACTATCTCCATCTAAAGATTGGTATTGAAGTTGGGTTAATACCACATGTTAATTAAATCCCACTGGAAAAAGAAAGGAGATGAGGAATGTGGGAACATATCTGCATTCTTAATGCTTAGGCCAGAAACTGATATACATCATTCTATTGGCTATGCCTAAGTTACAGGTCTACACCTTACTGCAAGGAATTGTTTAATGTAGTCTAGCCATATGACTAGCTTAAATTCTACTCTATGGAAGAAGAGGATATTGGAATCTTGTGGAAAGCAGCAGTCCTCAAAACATGTAATATTATAGGCACTTGGAAACCAAAGAAAGAACTGAAACCCCTCTATCCCTCATTTTGTGTCTTAACTTTTGTTTTCTTCCTTCTCCCCTGTACAGGTAATTATTACAGTGAATTTATGATTATTATCCTCTTGCATTCTTTACACTTTTGCTACATATAATTGTATTAATATATGCTATAGAGACAGACTTTTCATGTGCATTCATCTTATATAAAGTGACATACTGTCTGTATCCATTTTATAAGTTGCCAATATTCCTCAAAGATAAATTTGTAAGATTATGTGGTCAGCCGGGTGCGGTGGCTCACACCTGTAATCCCAGCACTTTGGAAGGCCGAGACCGGCGGATCACGAGGTCAGGAGGTCGAGACCATCCTGGCTAACACGGTGAAATCCCGTCTCTACTTAAAAAAAAAAAATACAAAAAACTAGCCGGGCGTCGTGGTGGGCGCCTGTAGTCCCAGCTACTCCGGAGGCTGAGGCAGGAGAATGGCGTGAACCCTGGAGGCGGAGCTTGCAGTGAGCCGAGATCACGCCACGGCACTCCAGTCTGGGCGACACAGCAAGACTCCGTCTCAAAAAAAAAAAAAAAAGATTATTTATGTGGTCACATATAGCTCTAGTTCATATATTTTTATTACCCTATAGGATGCAATTGTCTCAAATATAACAATATTTATTTATCTATTTGTTTCAGCATTTTTCTATTACCATTAATGTTAGGAATACTTTTTTTGGTATCATCAGAATTTTTACATCATTGGCCAATCTATGTGTGAGAAATGACATTTCACTGTGTCTTGTGACTGCATTTCCCAAAATATTAGGAGGCCAAGCATCTTTTTCATAGGAGATAACGTTTCTCTTCCTATGACACTTTCCCATTTCCATTACCTGTTTTGTTTTTCCATTGTTGATCTTTCTTATTTATTTATTTTTGTCCTCTGTGAAAGTTTCTTCTTAAAATATATTGTGGTTGTTAATCCCATGTTAGTATATTCATGACAGATATTATCTCCCATTATGTAGCTTGTCTCTTCTTTTTATGGATGTCTGATGCTGTACAGAGAATTTTAATTTTAGTACTGTGTGCTTTTTATCAGCTCCTTCCTATGGAATTGTGTTTTTAAATGTTTTGTTTAAGTAATCTTTTCCAATGCAAAAAACAGTTATTTTCTCATATTTTCTTTTCTTTTCTTTCTTTCTTTCTTTTTTTTTTTTTTTTTGAGACGGAGTCTTGCTTTGTCGCCCAGGCTGGAGTGCAGTGGAGTGATCTCGGCTCACTGCAACCTCCGCCTCCCGGGTTCACGCCATTCTCCTGCCTCAGCCTCCCGAGTAGCTGGGACTACAGGCACCTGCCACCATGGCCGGCTAACTTTTTTTTATATTTTTAGTAGAGACGGGGTTTCACCGTATTAGCCAGTATGGTCTCGATCTCCTGACCTCGTGATCCGCCCGCCTCGGCCTCCCAAAGTGCTGGGATTACAGGCGTGAGCAACCGCAGCCGCCATTTTATCATATTTTCTTTTTAAGTTTGTATAACTACTCTTTTTCATATTTGTCTTTAATATGTGACTTATTTTTTAGTACCTCACGATCTATGATTCCTTATTTATATATTTTCCATTTAGATAAAGTTACATCAGCATCACTTATCAAATATTAATTCACTAAGAACCACCACCTTTTTGAGATGATTAGAATTTCATTAAATTTATAAATTCATTTGGAAAAATTGACCTATTTTGTCATTTTATTCTGAATATGGCTTATGTAGACCTTTAATGTTTTTGAAATAAATTTTACATTTTGATTTAAAGCCTTAGACACCTTATTTTTAGGAAACTGAGCATGATGTGCTTTTCAATTTTGATGTATCATAGACAGTATATTTTTAATGGACATATTATAAAAATATCTATTGCTAATACCTAGATACATGTAAGCACAATTATTCATTAAATATTGGTCTTTCTAAAACATAATAAGATGTTTTAGATTCTGGGAGGCACAAATGCACAATAATAATGTTGTGAGTAGTGTCTCTTTTACCTTTCCAATCATTTTACGTTTGCATTTATATTTTTTGCCATACTTATTGAGAGACTTGTCTCACATATATAGACAATTATTATTTCTCTAAGTTGTAAGTTAGAAGGCTTAACACTTTATTATTTGGTTATTTCTTCTCCAAAATAAGCATTTCCCTCCAAATGCTGCTTTTGTTTTATCCCATGAATTTTGCTATGTGGCATTTTAATTATTGTTTATATAAATTTTTAATCAAATTTTATTATAAATTATTCTATCACTCATGCATATATAGGAATGTATTTTCTAAAGTTTGAAAGGTGTGTTTTCTTTGTTTTAAAAATTTAGTCATGAATTTTATTTTATTGTAGTCATATAAGATATTTTTGTTATTAGGATTGCCTTATTATCTTTTGATGTCACTGTTTATTTTTTCTCATTTTAAACAAATTGATTTTATATTCTTTATTACTTCGTGAAATAATGGAATTTCTGCGACTCTCACTAATTGTTGCCTTTCTCATTTTGTGTTTTAGTTTTGTATTATGAGCTTCATGCTATCATTAACTCTAAGTTCAAAATCTCATCTGTTACCTAAATCAAGTATAAGTTAGACTTGGGGTATGATTTGTTCTGGGGCAAAATTTCTCTCTACTCTGTGAACCTGTGAAGCCTGACAAATTATCTCCCTCCAAAATATAATGGTGGAACAGGTGTAGGATAGACATTCCCATTTGAAATCGCAAGGAAAAGAGGATGATGAGTCCCAAGCAAGTCTCAAATGTAGCAGGGCAAATCCCAGTAGATTTCAAGGTTTGGGAATAATCTGTGACTGATACGGTATCCTCTGAGTACACTGGGAGGCAGCCCCCACCCTTAGCCTGGATGGAGGAGGTAGGCCCAGCCTCTGGGACCACGGGCATGGCAGCCCTGATCCCTGAGCTTGTGCTTTCTGGGCCTGTGGTGAAAGCAGTAATCCTCCTGGCACATTCGTCCTTTTTCTTGAAGGATAACACTTGTTTGGGGCTAAGTAGTTCTATTGGTCCATTTCCTGCCTGTAGAATCCCAAATGACACAGAAGTCGGTTTCCTTCTCCTCCTCCTCCTCCTTCTTCTTCTTCCTCTTCCTCCTTTCTTTTAAAAATTGTTTTCTGTTTTTTTATTGTGGCAAAATACACATAACATAAAATTTAGCATCTTAACCATTTTTAAATGTACAGTTCAGTGGTGTGAAGTATCTGCATATTGTACAACCGTTGACACCATCCATCTCTATAATGCTTTTCATCTTGCAAACTGAAACTCTATACTTAAGCACTAAATCTCCAATCCTCCCTTCTCTCAACCCCTGACAACCACCATACTACTGTCTCTATGGTTTTGACCATTCTAGATACCTCATTTAAGTGGAATAGTATAGTATTTTTGTTTTTCTGACAGGCTTACTTCACTTAACATAATGTCCTCAAGATTTATCCATGTTGCAGCATGTGCCAAAATTTCTTTACTTTTTAAGGTTGAATATATTGCATTTTATGTATATACCACATTTTGCTTACCCATTCATCTGATGGACACTTCAATTGCTTCCACATTTTAGCTATTGTGAATAATGCTGCTCTGAATAGAGATAGACAAGTATCTGTTTGAGATCCTGCTTTCAATTCTCCTGGGTATATATGCAGAAGTGGAATTGCTGGATCAAATGGTAATTCTATGTATATTTTTCCTTTTAATTGATATGTAATAATTGTGCATATTTATGGGGTACATGTGATCTTCGATACATGCATATAATATGTAATGATAAAATCAGGGATATTGGTATATTCATCACCTCAAACATTTATCATTTCTTTGTGTTAAGAATATCCAAAATCTTCATTTCTAGCTATTTTGAAATATACCATAAACTATTAATAGTTACATTTATCCTATTGTACTATCAAACACTAGAGCATATTCCTTCTGTCCTATCATATTTCTGTGCCCATTAACTAACCTCTCTTCATCCCATTTTTTCCCATATTCTCTCCAGCCCAGGCAACTATTGCTATATACTTCTCTCTTAGTACTGTTTTTGCTGGGCCCATAGGTTTTGCTGGGCACATAGGTATATTGTCTTTCCATTTTTATTTGTTTCTAAATTTTTTTGTTTTTTTAATTTTTTCATTGACTCAATGGTCGTTCAGAAAAATGTTACCTAATTTTGATGTATTTGTACAGTTTCCAAAGTTCCTCTTGTTATTGATTTCTAGTTTATTATTTTTTGTGGTATGGTCTTTACATGATTTTGATTTTTAAAAATAGTTTTTGAGACTTGTTTTATGGTTTCATATATTGTCTATCCTGGAGAATGTTCCATGTGCTGATAAGAATAATGTGTATGCTGTGACTGTTGGATGAAATGTTCTGCAAATGTCTGTTAGATACATTTGGTTTGTAGTGTAGTTGAAATCTGATGTTTCTTTGTCTGTTGTCTGTCTAGATAATCTGTCCAGTGCTGAACATGAGGCATTGAAGTCACCAACTATTATTGCATTGGGGTCTATCTTTCTCGTTAGCCCTAATAATATTTGCTCTATATATTTGGGTGCTACAGGGTTGGGTGCATTTATATTTACAATTGTTATATCCTCTTACTGAATTGATCAACAACTTATCATTATATAATGACCTTCTTTGTCTCTTTTTATGTTTTTTGACTTAAAGTCTATTTTGTCTGATATAAGTATGGCAACTCCTGCTCATTTTTGGTTTCCATTTGTGTGGAATATCTTTTTTTGTTCCTTCACTTTCAGTCTCTGTGTGCCTTCACAGGTGAAATAAGTAAGTTTCTTATAGATATTACACAGTTGGGTCTTGTCAGATAGTCTTATTTGGTCCTATCTCAGTTGTTGTAGTTTAAGCAAGTAACATTTCTGCTAATGTGGTTGATTGGATCCATAGGTCAAATGCCTAATCTCTTTAGCAAATGGTTGTCCAGCTCTCCATAGCATACTTTCTTATTTTTTGCAATATGAATGACCTGAGAATTTTTCAAGTATTCATATTCTGGTTCCTTTTGCTTAATAATTCATTATTTAATTAATCTTGTTTTTCTATCATTTTCCTGTTAGCAGCAAAGAACAACCTATCTGCATCTTCCACTTTGCTTAATAATCTCAACTAAATATTCTAATTTATCACTTCCAGCAATAGAAGATAATTCAGCCAAGTTCTCTGTCATTTTATAACAAGCATTTTATTTCCTCCATTTTCCAATAGCATGTCCCTTATTTTCATTTGAGGCCTCATCAAAAGCACCTGCAACTTTCATATTTGTAGCAATATTCTCTTCTTGACATATGTCTTCTTTAAAATGATAATAGCTATCTCTACAGTTCCCTTTTTTCCTGAGCACTCACTAGAATCACATTTAATATCCATATTTTTGCCAATAGTCTCCTATAAAGCAATATAAGCTTTATCTACCATGTGACTTAAAACTCTTCTAGGCTCTTCCTATTATCTAATTCCACTGCAACATTGTGGAAACAAACTTAAATTTATAGGTATCTTTTTCATACCACCTCACCTTCAGGTACCAAAATCTGTGTAAGTCTCCTATCACTGCTGTAGTAAAGTAACACAAACTTGAAAGCAGCTTAAAACAACAGAAATTTATTCTCTCACAGTTCTGGAAGTTAGAAGTCCTAAATCAAGGTATCAGCAGGGCCATGCTTTTTCTGAAAATGATAGAGGAATCCTTCTTTGATTCTTCTTAGCTTTTTGTGGTTTTCTGTCAATATTTGGAATTCCTTGGCTTGCAGCTGCATACTTCTGATCACCCCCTTTGTCATCATGCAGTCTACCTGTCTGTGTGTTTATATGGCCATCTTCTTATAAGAGCATTAAAGGCCAGTAAGCAGAGATGCTTACTGATGCTCACCACTAGTAAAGATACTCACCATCCTTAGTTATGAGAAAAATGAAAATAAAAACCTCAATAAGATAGCACTACATATTCAGTAGAATTACCATAATAATTAAAAAACACAATAATATGTTTTGATGAGAATGCAGAACACAATAATATGTTTTGATGAGAACGCAGAATCCTCATACATTGCTGGTGGGAGTGTAAAATTGTTAGTCACTTTGGCAAACTGTTGTAGTTCCTCAAAATGTTAAACAGAATTACCATATGACCAAGAAATCCCACTTCTAGTTATATAGAGCTAAGAGAGGAAAATACATGTTCGTGCAAAAACTTTTACAAGAACACTCAAAGCAGCATTATATATAATAACTAAAAAGTAGAAAGAGCTTACATTTCTATTAACTGGTAAACAGATAAAATATAGTACATCCATACAAGGGATTATTATTTAGCCATAAAAATGAATGAAATTCGGATACATGCTATAACATGGATGGACTTGGTAAACATCATGCTAAATGAAAGAAGCCAATCATAAAAGACTACATATTTTATCACTTAATTTATACAAATGTCCAGAATAGATAACCCTTCCTTTAGAGATAGTAGATAGTGGTTGCCTGGGGTTGACATGTGGGTGGAAATGGGAGATGACTGCCTATATTTTTAGAGTGATGAAGATATTGTAAAATTAGTTTATAGTGATGTTTGGAACATACTCTGTAGACATATTTAAAAAATCACTGAGGCTGGGCTCCATGGCTCATGCCTGTAATCCCAGCACTTTGGGAGGCTGAGGTGGGTGGATTTCTTGAGGCCCGAAGTTCGAGACCAGCCTGGCCAACATGGCAAAACCCCGTCTCTACTAAAAAATAGTAAAGAAAAAAAAAAAATTAGCCGGCATGGTGTCAGGTGCTTGTAATCCCAGCTACTCTGGAGGCTGAGGCAGAAGAATTGCTTGAACCCGGTAGGGGGAGGTTGCAGTGAGCTGAGGTCGTGCCACTGCACTCCAGCCTAGGTGACAGAATGAGACTCTGTCTCAAAAAAAAAAAAAAATCACTGAAATGTGTAGTTTACATGAGTGAATTTTATGAAACATAAATTCTATTACAATAAAGTTGTAAAATATTGAATGCAAATAAATTTTATTTTTAAATCTTAAAGATTTTTTATTTGATTTTCAAAACATTTTTAAAACATTTAATTTAAAAATTATAGGGTACAAATACCACATTATTTTCCTTTCATAAAAATAAATTTAAGACGGCATAATAGAACCCCAAACTTAGAAACAAAGAGCTATTCTAGAAAATTAGCTTGAATTTCA
This sequence comes from Homo sapiens, assembly GCF_000001405.40. Lineage (NCBI taxonomy): Eukaryota > Metazoa > Chordata > Mammalia > Primates > Hominidae > Homo > Homo sapiens. Next base: position 87,835,853 of record NC_000008.11, on the reverse strand, counting down.
CCTAGATAGTTAAAGTAAAAGTTTTAAATGATAGCTCGCAGACTTGGATTTAGAACTGATTGTCTCCCTCACAAATGTCTTATGACTCTTAATTGACATGGACAACCCTGTCAGCTTATTTGCCATATTTATATATCTGAATATCCCCTCTTTCTCTACTTGTTAGAGGGTAAAAATGAAATAAAGGTAATAAAAAAGACTCATTGGTAAAGTAATTAAAGGCAGAGAAGTCTTGATTTCCTTTTTGATAATCTACCCTGAGGGATCAAACTATTTTTTTTTCCCCTTGACACATAGGGATTTTACCTGACATCTTAACTCTTGTGACCACACACCCCCCTTCCCAAGGTGAAATCTAGCGGCACTCCCTTTTGGTACTTTGGGAAGGTGGTGGTGTAGTGGAGTGAATCATTTAAAGGATTAATAGCACCAAAGTGCTTGAGAATGGACTGTAGAAAAATGCAAAAGGATATTAAAAATAAATTTATTCAAAGGTAAAATCATAATCTAACAAATATAGAATTAACATATATCAAAAGTCTTAATTTATTAATGAAAGAAGTAATAAGATACAGCTGTTCAAAGGTAGAATTTAAAGACCACATATATTTAGACAATAATGAATATTGATATGAATTTACATTCAGATGCAAAGCTAGCCTATCTATAGGCAGTCATAAATTGCACTCCCTCAAACATTATTATTTTGCATTTCTAAAGATGATAATTATTTACATTATGTTTTCTATGACTGACAGAGTTGAAAATTAGCTAAAAAACAATGACATTTTGAGAAAACCTGAAAGAGTGAGCTATACAGGACACCCAGTAGTATTTTTCCCTGTTCCAAAGCATTTCATAATTTTTCACAATAGACATCTCTAATAAAGATGTTCTTTGCTTATTATGGAGGTTGTGAATGTTGAAGAAAATGAAAGAGTTGGGGTAATCAAAACATGAGATCAAGTTCCACAAAACAAAGAAGTTACTTCCAGAAACCTATCTCCCTATATTATATGGAATTGCTTAAACCTGAAGTAAAAGTATATTGAAGATATGCAGAAGGATCTTGTTAAATGACTCTTCAATAAGGCTTTTGCTAAAATAAAATGTCTCATCCATTCACTCATTTATTTAGAGGCCTTATGGCAAGGGTTATCTTCAAGGATTACTCCTTACTTGTATCAGGTCTGAATGGAATCCAAAAAAGAAATAATAAAAATTATGTGTGCTGATGTATTGGAATCTGTAGAGTCATTTTTCTTAGAATTAACGGAGGAGCACATACCTCTTCACCTGGAGCAGCTTTAGGTGGCAGTTTGCTGGGGTGAAATAGGGGAAGTTCTTATGGTTTACTCTTTAGTCTGGTATGGATTTTGCTCTTGATGTTATAGAGGCTTAATAACCTCTATGTCACATTTGAAAGGCCTGCTACAGCACGTTCTGAGAACATTTCCACTGTTGGTCAAATTTCAAATTGGCTCCATTCAGCTCACCTGCACACAGGCACAACTTGAATGTCCCAACTCACACTTAGCTTTAAAACAAACATTCATTGCTTCAGTGTAGGTGGCTCCATAAGGTTGTAGGTTGATGATTTTTTATATAATGTGAAGGTCCCACATAATTATTATATAAAAATATTATATGTATAAATATTATAAATAAAATATATTTTTATAATATTTTACAAATAAAATATTATGTTTTTTATATAATGTAAGGTCCCACATAATTGTTTTGACAACTACAGGGAATCCAGAAGAAACATTTGGTAAGAATTTTATAGGCATTTAGGAAGTGAGACTTGATTATTTCTCTTTTCATCTTTAAGCTTGGTTTAGAACTTAATGCTTGGCATCCCCTTAAGAAAGCATATAGTTAATGATTTTATTCTAAAACTGCTGAATATGTTTCCTTGCCCCCAAATGCTTCATTCATTAGTGTCTGAAATGTCCATCATAGTCAGTTTTTTGCATTAAGGCAATGCACCAAATTAAAATTTTTATGCCAATAGGAAAATAATTATTTTAGCTATTAACACCTGGGTAAAAATAGCATAGCCAATTAGTGAGGTCCTGATGGAATGGCACATGGAGCAGATAGGATTTGACTGAGAGCAAAGAAGGGAAAAAAAGTGAAAGAAAAATCAAGAGGGAAACTACAAAAACTGGCGGAATAAAGACTTTTTTTTGCAGTAAGAAAAAAAGAAAGAAAAAACTTTTGGTGAGGAAACATCTTAGTCCATTCAGGCTGCTATAACAAATACCACAGACTGGGTGGCTTATAAACAACAGAAATTTATTTATCACAGTTCTGGAGGCTGGAAAGTCAAAGATCAAGGTGACAAGAGATTTAGTGTCTGGTGAAGGCCCACTTCCTCATAAATGACACCTTCTCACTGGGTACTCACATGGTGGAAAGGGCAAGGCAGCTCTGTCTGAGACCTCTTTTACAGGGCAATGATCCCATTCATGAGGGCTTCGCCGTAAGACGTAACCACCTCCTCAAAAGGCTCTACTTCCTAATATCATCTTGAGGATTAGGATTTTAACATGTGAATTCGGAGGGCACGAACATTCAGACCATAACAGAAGAAATGTCAAAATGGAGAAGGAAAAAAACTGCCAAACCTTCTATCATTCATAATTTTCCTTAGTGTTTACTGTATTGATGTCAAATTCTCTTTTTCTTCTATGCTTTCAAATGATCAAGTCCTCTTTGGAAATGTTTCTTCAAACACTACAACTCAGTACATTTTAATCAATGATAAAAATGGTCAGTTTTGTGTCATGTGTTTTAAATAAACACAAGGAAAGCATTTGTGTCAGTTTTCAATTTACTGCCTCTGAGGTTCAAATTTTTGTTTTAATATATGCTCTGCAATAGTTCTCAAAAAATTTTAAACAGGACATGTTAAGCAGGCAAGGAAGACTTTATTCAAGAATACTGCAATAGGATACGGACCTTGAGCTGAACTCCGTAGATACAAAAACTGGGAGAGTTTAAGTGCTGGAATGAGCTGGTGGAAAAGTACTGGAGGAAAAGTTAGGGGGAAGCTTGTCAATGTGATTACGTCACACATATATGCTAATTTACACTTAGAGAAGTTAGGATCTTTCCTTCCCATAAGGACTGAGAATTATGGGTGCTGTGCTATTTCTCCTGATGAGTACATATCAAAGGAATGGTGCCCAGGTCCCTGAGAAAGACAGTCCTGTGTTGTGAAACTGGCAAAAGCCCAGAGAAGATTTACATCTCAAAGGAGCAGAGAAAGAATTTACAACTGCAAGTTTTCTAAAGGAAATGCTCTAAAAAGAGGGAAGTCAGATATCTAGAGTCCAGAAGAAATCTATTGAAAGTTTAGTGAAGCTGCGGGGAATGTTAAGGCCTTCTTGGTCATAATAGATTGCGTAATTCCTTTATGCATTTCTTCTTAAAACTAAACAGAGTGTTAAGCTTTCTTAGAAGAAGATGCTAGAGGGACATTGCATGAAAAAAGCCTTTGCTTATGGTGTCTTGATGCAATATGGTTGGCTGGTGGTGTGGGTGCGGGGACATCTAGTGGAGTTCCGCCATAGCCACACGGCCAGAATACACATTGACCTTGCAGCCCCAGAGTATCCTAGGGATCTCCCTTTTCAGCCCTTCCCATATGGACATCCTGTTCTCTAGGTTTCCAGCCAAGTTGGAGCCTCCACTCCACTGACACTTCAATCACCAGCTGTGACTCCTCCATCTTTCCTGCTTCCTGGAGTGTTGCTTGCTTTCTGTTCCATAACAACAGATCAGCTATAGTCTGGTGTATTAGTCTGTTCTCACATTGCTATAAAGAACTACCTGAAACTGGGTAATTTATACAGAAAAGAGGTTTAATTGATTCACAGTTCTGCAGGCTGTACAGGAAACATGGCTGAGGAGGCCTCAGGAAACTTACAATTATGGTGGAAGGCAAAGGGGAAGCAGGCACATCTTATGTGGCTGGAGAAGGTGGAAAGTGAGAAGGGGGAAGTGTTACACACTTTTAAACAACCAGATCTTGTGAGAACTCACTATCATGAGAACAGCAAGAGGGAAGTTCACCTTCACCTCCATGATCCAGTCACCTCCTACCAGACCTCTCCTTCAACATTGTGAATTAAAATTCAACAAGAGATTTAGGTGGGGACACAAATCCAAACCACATCATCTGGCAAACTAGCAAACTGCTGCTATCCAGTGGGTTCAACCTTATTCTGTACCCTAGTCTTATGGAGGGATCCTCTTTCCATGTTCATCCTTCCTTATGTACTCTCCCTCAGCCCTAGGATACCATACAGAGTTTCATTATATCTCCAGTTACTCTTTTTTTTTTTTTAAGATGGAATCTTGCTCTTGTCCCCCAGGCTGGAGTGCGATGGTGCGATCTCGGCTCACTACAACCTCTGCCTCCTGGGTTCAAGCAATTCTCCTGCCTCAGCCTCCCAAGTAGCTGGGATTACAGGCACCTGACACCATGCCTGACTAATGTTTGTATTTTTAGTAGAGATGGGGTTTCGCCATGTTGGCCAGGCTGGTCTCGAACTCCTGACCTCAGGTGATCCACCCGCCTTGGCTTCCCAAAGTGCTGGGATTACAGGCGTGAGCCACCACGCCTGGCTCCAGTTACTCTTTTATCACTTTAGTTATGATTCATATTAACCTTCCCCTAATTAAATCACTGAATGGTTCTAGAGCTGATTGGATCCAGACTACTATTATATTTTTTTACCATTTAATTTTCCCCCTAAACTATAGATTCTCACTGGGAGACTTGGGCATATGCCCAATTCTTTTAAAAGCATCATTGGATAAGGATTAAGAGGTGGATGTCCGTAATCTCCCTGGCTTTAAGGTATGACTTGGGAGGAGATGGCCAGAGCTTTCAACAAATTGTCAAAGATCTCAGTGATCAAGGAAAAAAATGGAGGATAATTTTTCTAGTTTAGAAAGTGAGTACCAAACCTGGTTGCATTTTAGAATTACTATGGAGCTTTTAAATATACCACTGCCTGGGCCCCACCCCAGACTAATTAAATCAAAAGTTCTAGGAGTGAGACACAGGCATTGGTATTTTTCAGCATGCCCCAGCTGATTCTGATGTGCAGTTGGAATTGAGAACCACTGCTCAAGGGGCTTGCTGCCATTTTGGTTTCTTGTGCTTTTCATGCCCTCTTCATCATTGCTTTATTATTCTTGCTTATAATAGAAGACTATTGGATGGAAAGTAGAGATCAAAAGTGCTCTTCTAGCAATTTAATACCCAAATTTTTAACTCATTTTCCACATAAAATGACCTTACATTAACAGTGACTCTTAGGAAGAGTAGCACGTGTGAGTTACGATCAAGAAATTAAATTTGCCCATTTCTTTTTGGTAGAGGTCAAAAAGCCCTACAGCAGGTAGATAGTGCACTCACAAGCATGACAGAAAAATTCTCAAGATAAAATGACCTTTCAAGTGGTAGAAAATGTTCTTTTAGAGAAAATTTCTTCAATACTGTTTAGAGGGCTCATTTAGAAAATGCCACCTAACCACTGAGTAAAGGCATGTTCTGAACAAAACGATTTTATATTTAGTTTGAACTTTATACAAGCAATTTGCTGTTCCTTATATAGCATGCAGTGACAAGAAAAGAGAGATTAACACCATTCTTTCTAAGCATTGAAGTTAAAAACTGACTAAATATGCCAAATCTAAGTGTCAATTTATTTTTTCAAATGGTGTCATGATGTTTCTTTATTTCTCCTGCAAAGAGATTAAAATGTGTTTTTATAGAAAACCTTAAACATGATGCAGCACAAATGTCATATAACGGAACAAATAAAATATATTGTTATATGTATCCTATATTCTTTCTTGGTTTTCTATAGATTTTCTTAACAAAGTCTTGTAAGTGATATGTGGATTGGCTGGGCTTCTGTATATTTGTATTGCTAATCTTAATAAGTAAAGAAGTCATGTTCTTGACTTCCAGCTAATTCCTTCATCTTGTCTGACAAAATCTTGGTTAAACAAATGGTTCTTTTGTTATGGATCTGAAGGTCAGCAGTATATTCGGCCAGACTAAACTAGGAAATTATTTCAAAATGTATGATTGATTGTGGAAGACCCTTTGCACCTGTACTCTGAACTTAATGCTGATATCTAAAATCTGAGAAGTTTGGCTGATGAGAAATGAATTGGGATCAAGAATAGAGGTTATGTTGACATAAGTGAAACCTCAACTCTATGAATTCTTCCTGATTTATGACAATTATTTTCCTTTGTGGACTATGGAGTCTATATCTTAAGAAGACATATTAATGGGATTTGAAGGCAAGTAATGGGGTAACAAAGTTAAAGGGAAAATTAGAAGAATGTAGCTTTTGATTGACTTTACTGATTAAACTAGACTTAACATACATAACAAAATAGACAAAAACATACTCTAAAATTTGGATTCTCTGATATATAGGAATGAGAAAAACTTAAAGGAGCTAAGATAAATTCTTTAAGAGTGTCTATGAAAACTCACAATAGGCTTTTTTTTTTTGTAAAAAAGAATAAATTTGCTCAGTTTTAAAGTGTATAAAATTGGTTAGTACAATTTTGCTGAAAATTAAATATGAGATATTGAGATTAGATATCAAGAGACTTTTTTGGCAAGATAGCTTATTAGTTGGTTTCCTAGGCTGCCATAACAAAATACCGCAAACTGGGGGGCTTAAAACAATAAAAAATTATTTACCCACAATTCTGGAGGTTAGAAATCCAAGATTAAAGTGTCAGCATGTTTGGTTCCCTCTCGGTGCTCTGAAGGAGAATGTTCCATGCCCTTCTCCAAGATATGAGTGGTTGCCAGCAATCCTTCGTATTCCTTTGCTCATAGATGTATCACTCCAATCTGTGCCTTGATCATCATATGGCATTCTTATGTGTCTCTGTGTCCAAATTTCTCTATTCTTTTAAGGATGCTGGTCACTGGATTGGGTCCTAACCTAAACTAACATGACTTCTTCTTAACTTGGTTACATTTGTAAAGACTCTGTTTCCAAATGAGGTCACAATCATAGATACCAGCTGTTAGGGCTTGAACGTATCTTTTTGGAGGATGCAATTCCACCGAATGCACATAGTATTTCAAGAATGTTTGGAATATTCTTTTGGAGATTTTTGGTTATGCAAAGACCTTAGAGCATTTTAACATTTTTAGCCCCTCAAATTATGATTTTTACTGTGTATTATAATACTCAATGTATTTTTTAAGCCCCATAAGACATTCTTATTTATACAGTCAGTATTCATCTAAATTCATTCATATAATAATCTTTTTCTTTCCTCTTGGTTACTTCCTGAATCTTCCATGTATATTTCTATGTGTGTGCATTGGCAGGAATAATGAAGGACAGCATGTGTGGATGTTTATGGGAAACCTACGTGTAATCTTTCTTGTCAAAGAGATAATAAAATGGACCAAGTACCCTTTTAATATCTCCTCTAAGAACATGGTTCTATGATAAATTCATTTAATGACTTCAAATATTTAGAGGTCCTTTTCCCCAAGACAATGTTTTTCAAGCTTTCAGCTTGCAAAATGTTGCAACTTTAATTTTGCTGTGATGCGTAAAATGCATCTTTCATCATTGTTGCAGTGAAATGAGAATTTGGAGATTAAAAAGTCAGAGAATCTAAGATCTACTGTCTTTATGTGTGTGTAAAAATAGGCACTTACAGCCTCATTTTTGGGAGTTGATTTTATAACTATGTTGGGGGCCATTTGGTAGTATGTATTGGTAATTTGAGAAAAGGAATGTATATATATATATATATTTGTATTTTCTAATTAATAAATATGTGCATGAAATGTATATATAAATGATTTACTGGAGATTATTGATAATAGTAAAAACTGGAAACAATTTAAAGATCTGTAGGGGAAAATCTGTGATCAATGGAAAATTATGTATTTTTGTTTAGCCTCCGGCATTATCTTATTCCAAAATTATTTTCAACTCTGTAAATTGTAGATAATTCATAGTGATGCAAAATAATTATTGTCTATAGATGTGTCAATTTTTTCCTCTGGAGGTTCAATTGACTCCCCTCCTATACCATGAAAAAGACTAGTTTTGTTCCTATTTGCACATTTATTTTATTATTATTGGTTTCTAAATCTCTCTTTCTTGTTCTCTCTGTGGTTTTGATTCATTTTTGAAGAGATTTGAACACCTCACCAGTTTCTTCCATAATGGATTAAAGAAAATCTTTATTACAAGTTTATTTTTAAACTGTTTGAGTCAGGATTTTACCTTATTTTGAAAACTATTGCTTAACATGCCTTATAATGAAGGAACAGTTCAAATATGTATACCAGGTAATGCTGCATTCACTCATTTAAATAATCTGCCAGTGAATTTGATAATGTAGGTGTGGCCTAGCAAATTACTTAAGAATGTGGTCAGATCACAGCTCCACCACTAAGCAGCAGCGTGAACATGTGCCTCCATTATCTTTTATAAAATGAGCATAATAATATCTACTGGATAACTGCATTGTGTAAGACACTTAGAAGAGTGGCTGATACAATATATTATTAACCTTTAAACATATATAAAAATAGCAAGGCCTAATTTTATAATTTTATAATTATTTGATTATTTACTTATGTATCTTAATCTATCCTGAAAGGAAAATATATCAATATTTTATTTTTGATCATAGAAATACATTAGTCATTTTATTTTCTTTTTGTTTACTTTTGTCTATTACAACAGACATATGTTAATTTTATGAGAAATTAAGAAACAGGTTAATTTTTAAAATGCCACTGATTTTGTGAGCCATTTAACAAATATAAGAGAGAATAGACAAAAAAAAAAAATCTCCCTGGGGTGAAAATGTAATGTCTAGACCCTTTTTTTTTTTCAAATGCTTTCCTTTGTTTACCAGCTTCACTGTGTTCCTGGAATTAGTCTATGTAAGCTTCTCACCAATCATGCATATGAATGGAAAAAAAGGGGAAAATTATGGCAAAGTCACTGCTCTCTTTATGAAAAACAGAATAAGCCTGTGCATGGGCAGATGGTGCTTTATTCCTAATTTGCAGGGCATGTACATCTGGTGATTCTGTCCATATTTTAAAACCTGTGTTCGGGATGGGGAAGAGCTGCATGTGACCTCAGTAACAGGCTGCTTCCTGAAAAGTTGTCATGAAGCAGCCTGAGACAGGAAGAGATAAACCAAATGGTGCTTTTTCATCTTTAAAATATAAATCTGCATCAATAATAAATATATGCTCTCCTTCATTATTCCTGTCAAAAATTGGAAGATAAGAGCTCCTATTGGACAATAGGAGCTCAAATTGATAGACGGGCACATACAAGAGTCACTAACAGTGCTGCTAGCCTCAGGACAAAATAGCACAACCTTCTCAGTCACGAAGGATCCAAACTCAGCTAATGGATTCAGATCTACTTCCACAAAGTAACTTACTCATCATGATGGTGTTTTCTTAGGTATGGTCAGCAGCTACAAGGAGGGATTTTAGCATGATTGTCCCCAGATGGTTACCGGTTCTGCCAACCATGCTGTCTGGAATACCCACCTATTCCACCCATTTGTTCTCCAAAAAACCTAGAGAAGTGCAGACACATTAACTGGAGGTACATTGCAAGAACTCATTATACGATACAGTCACCTTAGCAAGGGAGACTTAGGCCCGTGAGAAGAGAGGGGTCTTTAAGTTATGGGCTAGAAAAGACCAATTCTGATGAGAATTATACTGACTACAGGGACAAGGTTTGTCAATTTGAATCGTGGAGGTCAGAAGACAATTTCTGGTTGTTGGCACATTCAATCAAAGAGAGAGAGACAATGAAAGGAAAATCTACACCCTGCAGTCACTAAGGTAGATCTTCCTAGCTTAATATTGTGTCTAGGTTTGCATTATTGTGGAGGATGAAACAGTTTGGTAAGTATTTTGTATACAATAATCTTTTCTGGTCTCTCCACTAGATGTTTGTAAGGTATGGGGAAAAAATGCAGATATTGTACCTTGTCTAATCTAATGCCTAGCCGTATATCATAGAGGATTGAAAGTGGCTTACATAACTGTGAATCTCTCTTTCCTGGGGCACCTTCTCTACACTCAGTGAGTATAAACCAATGTGGAAATAGCAAAACAGTCTTATGTTTTACATAGATACCCTATATACTTCTGCAAGTCAATATTTATTAGGCCAGTTTGGTGATAAGTATAAAATATAGAATTACTTTTGTAGAAAGAATTTTTGTTCCAATGGAAAACTACATATTATTCATAATGTACCCTTCTAGATTTGTCAGATTCTATCTCTGGCCATTGCCTTTGAGGTATTTTTAAAGTGTTAGGTAAATTCTTTCCTGCCTAGTAGTGATTTTAATTGACTTCCTTCCCCCCCATGATGAAAATTCTCTTTCACATTTGCAATTCACCTCAACATTTTTTTACTCCATATAAATTTGTGCTATTTGATTTATTCTTTTAAGTGGCTATCATATCTGCCTGTTCCCTTATATGACATGAGTAAATTCTTTAACACATGTCCATGTTCATATTTGTGTGCAAGAAATGATTTAACATTTTATTATTACTTTCCACTGACAAATTGTATACATTTATGGGGTACAATGTGATGTTTGGATAAATGTATACAATGTGGAATGATTACATCAAGCTAACTAGCATATCGCCATTTTTTTTGGTGGTGAGACATTTGAAATTTACTCTCTTAGCTATTTTGAAATATACAATATATTATTATTAACTATTGTCAACCTGCTGTGCAATAGATCTCAAAAACTTAACTTTTATGAAAAGTACCTTTGAACAGTTTTAGAGGATTTTCACTAAGATGCCCAATGAGTTCACCCACCAGAATCTGGCAAACTTCATTGCTAGACAAGTGCACTTCATGGATAGTTTAATTTGCTGGAGGTGGATCCAAAGCAGTTGTTGAACTGGCCAGGTCCAGTGGCTCATGCTTGTAATCCCAGCCCTTTGGGGAACTGAGACCATAGGAATCCTCGAGGACAGGAGTTAGAGACAAGCCTGAACAACATAGCAAAACCTGCCTCCACAAAAAAATACATAAATACATAAAAATTAGCTGGGCATGGCAGTGCACACCTGTAGTCCTAGCTACTCAGGAGGCTGAGGCAGGAGGATCATTTGAGTCCAGGAGTTTCAGGCTGCAGTGAGCTATGATCATGCTACTTCACTCCAGCCTGAATGAAAAAGAGAGACCCTGTCTATAAAAATTAAAAGTAAAATAAAATAAAAATAACATGAGCCATTGATAAGAAAAGGGAATAATTATTTGATACTAACCATTGAGTTTTGTTATTCTGTATTTAATCTTTACCCATGGCTAGAAGTTGAAAATTGAATAAATTCGATGTGTCCTTGTCTCTGGCTACAAGTCTGGAATTCAGAAAGGCCTTTATGTCTTATTGTATAAGGTCATAATATTTTCCTAAATCCAATGGTGTTAATAAATTTGATATAAAACCTCTTAAACAAAAAAACTCTATTCTGATTGGCTTAAAGTAACAAATAAGTGCTTATATAGAGATAATAATTTTAAATTTCCAGCAAATAAGAGAACTGAACTTCTAATATTTCCTATACGCTGTACTTAAAAGGTACTCTTGGCTGGGTGCAGTGGCTCACGCTTGGAATCCCAGCATTTTGTGGGGCCGAGGCGGGTGGATCACGAGGTCAGGAGTTTAAGACCAGCCTGGCCAAGATGATGAAACTCCGTCTCTACTAAAAATACAAAAATTAGCCAGGCGTGGTAGCGGGTGCCTGTAATCCCAGCTACTCAGGAGGCTGAGGCAGAGAATTGCTTGAACCCGGGAGGCAGAGGTTGCAGTGATCCCAGATCGTGCCACTGCCCTCCAGCCTGGGTGAGAGAGCGAGACTCCGTCTCAAGGGGGAAAAAAAGGGACTCTTATTGAAACTAACTGGGAAATGTTTTTAAGAATTCTAGTTTATATAATTTAGGTAAATCATGGCAAATGAGACTAGTTTAATAATTTTGTTTTAATAAAAATAGCTACATCAATCCTGATTTATTAATGTTAAATACAAAGGTAAATCTTAATTCTACTTGAGTATGTTATTAAACTTACACAGGTTTACTGATCAACCAACCTAACATTACTTCTAGTTCGTGTTTAAGGTTGTGAAAAATATAAATTTGTGTTTAGCCAAATTAATTCATTATCCTGACAATGTTATTTCAGCAGTAATTATGTTTTGTAGGATGTCAATTTGAAGATAATTTCTAAGCTTTTCAGATGGTTTAAAACTCTGGACAGACATTAAAGGAAATCAACTAATGTATGTACATTCATTCATTACACCACTAGATAAATACTCATTAAGCATAATTTTAGGTTTATATGCTTTGTTTCTTATTTTATATTTATATGCTACAGAGAGACTATATCTTCGGATCTGTTAATGAATGTGTTCATTTTGCCCCTTTGAGGAGGTTAGTATAAAGAGTAGCTGTGTTCATCAGCTATGCTGGACTGCAAGGATGCAGGTTTGTAACATTCATGGAGGTCCACCCCCCAATTTTCTCTGAAATAGACCTTACTTTGGTTAAAAGATATAATTGATATATTGGAATGAGAATGCTTATAAACAGTAGTTTCAGAGAAATACAACTATGTACATACTTCTATTTTTCAAGGAAAAGAGTAGTTTTTTTTTTGTTTGTTTGTTTTTTTTTTTGAGATGGAGTCTCACTCTGTCACCAGGCTGGAGTGCAGTGGTGCTATCTTGGCTCACTGCAAGCTCCTTCTCCAGGATTCACACCATTCTCCTACCTCAGCCTCCCGAGTAGCTGGGACTACAGGTGTCCGCCACCACGCCTGGCTAATTTTTTGTATTTTTAGTTGAGACAGGGTTTCACTGTGTTAGCCAGGATGGTCTCAATCTCTGGACCTGGTGATCCACCCACCTCGGCCTCCCAAAGTGCTGGGATTACTGGAGTAGTTTTCTCTTAAGGAGTGGCTTTTTGGGTCTCTGAATCCCTTTGCACTCTTTAGGCTTATTGAGGATTCTAAAAAGAGTTTGTGGGTGATAATTATTTTTATTTACTGTGTAAAAATTTGAAATGAAAAATTTAAATGCTTACTTGTATTCATTTGAAGATAGCAACAATGACTACACTGATGTTAATAACACTCTAGTAATATCATAAAACTAATTCTGACCTTGTGGATCCCCTGAGATTGGTCCTAAACTGTCAGTTTGTTCCAGAATATGAAACTGCATAATAGAAGACAATATTTGCAAATTAATTTTATTTGTCTACATTTATAATATCTGAGTTTGAAAAACTATGAAATATTTTAAACTCTTAGTAAAATGTGCTCATTTTTCATGGCCTTGTTTCCTTGGCTAACTTTTTATTGCCATAATAAAAATAATTATTCTTATATTTTCCTGTGGAATATGCCTAGATAATAAAGATACTGTGTTTTACTGGAATAACCTTCGATATTTGTATCAATTTTCTGATGTCCTTTTTAAAGAAAATAAGTTTCTCATTTAGGTTTTTTACATTCATGTTAACTTCTTATGTTTAATTTTTAAATGTTTTATTGTTACTTTAAAATGAGTGACACTCTGGGTGTGCTGATTTATGCCTGTAATCCCAGTACTTTGGGAGGACAAGGCAGGAGGCTTGCTTGAGCTCAGGAGTTCAAGACCAGCCTGGGCAACACAGTGAGACCACATCTCTACAAAAAAAATTTTAAAAATAATTAGCCAGGAGTGGTGGAGTGTGCCTGTAGTCTCAGCTACTCAGGAGGCTAAAGTGGGAGGATTGCTTAAGCCCAGCAGGGGGAGGCTGCAATGAGCTGTGATCATACCACTGAACTCTGGCCTGAGTGACAGAGCAAGACCCTGTCTCGAAAAGATAAAAATATAAAAAAAGAAAGGAATGATAATGTGTCCGGAATCGGTGGGTTCTTGGTCTCACTGACTTCAAGAATGAAGCCGCGGACCCTCACAGTGAGTGTTACAGCTCATAAAAGCAGTGTGGACCCAAAGAGTGAGCAGTAGCAAGATTTATTGCAAAGAGCGAAAGAACAAAGCTTCCACAGTGTGGAAGGGGACCCGAGCGGGTTGCCACTGCTGGCTTGAGCAGCATGCTTTTATTCTCTTATCTGGCCCCACCCACATCCTGCTGATTGGTAGAGCCAAGTGGCCTGTTTTGACAGGGTGCTGATTGGTGCATTTATAATCCCTGAGCTAGATACAAAGGTTCTCCATGTCGGCATCAGATTAGTTAGATACAGAGTATGGACACAAAGGTTCGCCAAGGCCCCACCAGAGCAGCTAGATACAGAGTGTCGATTGGTGCACTCACAAACCTTGAGCTAAACACAGGGTGCTGATTGGTGCGTTTACAAACCTTGAGCTAGATACAGCGTGCCGATTGGTGTATTTACAATCCCTGAGCTAGACATAAAGGTTCTCCAAGGCCCCACCAGACTCAGGAGCCCAGCTGGCTTCACCCAGTGGATCCTGCACCGGGGCTGCAGGTGGAACTGCCTGGCAGTCCCGTGCTGTGCGCCTGCACTCCTCAGCCCTTGGGTGGTAGATGGGACTGGGCGCCGTGGAGCAGGGGGTGGCGCTCGTGGAGGAGGCTCCGGAGGCACAGGAGCCCAAGGAGGGGGTGGGAGGCTCAGGCATGGTGGGCTGCAGGTCCCAAGCCCTGCCCCACGGGAAGGCAGCTAAGGCCCAGCGAGAAATCGAGCACAGCGCTGGTGGGCTGGCACTGCTGGGGGACCCAGTACACCCTCCACAGCCGCTGGCCCGGGTGCTAAGTCCCTCATTGCCTGGAGCCAGCAGGGCCAGCCGGCTGCTCCGAGTGCGGGGCCCGCCAAGCCCACGCCCACCCGGAACTGCAGCTGGCCCGCAAGTGCCGCACACAGCCCTGGTTCCCGCTCTCGCCTCTCCCTCCACACCTCCCTGCAAGCTGAGGGAGTGGGCTCCGGCCTTGGCCAGCCCACAAAGGGGCTCCCACAGCGCAGCGGTGGGCTGAAGGGCTCCTCAAGTGCCGCCAAAGTGGGAGCCTATGCAGAGGAGGCGCCGAGAGCGAGCGAGGGCTGTGAGGACTGCCAGCACGCTGTCACCTCTCAATAATACTGTTTCTCAGGCATTTCTGATTTTTATCTTAAGTATTAAAATCTCTTCACAGCTTTTGATTTTTGTTTTTGTTTCTGAAAGCAAATTATAAACAAAATAAAATAATTTTTAGGTTATCTTACATATAAAATTATCTTTGAGATTTATGAGAGGGCGTCTGGAAGATCAAAGTATTCTGCTTTTCGAAGGAAAAATGCTTGAGGTGATGGATATCCCATTTACCCTGATGTGATTATTAGTCACTGCATTTTTTTATTAGAATATCTTGTGTACCCCACAAACATATGCACTTACTACTAGTACCCACAAAAATTAAAAATAAAGAATTGAAAAAAAGTTCTTTCTGTTCATTTATCTTATAAAAAAAGTAGAAATAATGAGGCTTATTTGATACATTACTATTGATGAATTGTGAGGGAAGAGTTATAAAATGAGAAAAGATGCCCAAGTTCGCTTAGGTAAATGTTATTATTATAAGTATTTCAGAAATTGAATGAAATATGGGAAGTTCGTAGAGATTTTTCAGTGTCCTTGCTGTCCAAGGGATGTTTCTACTTAGTAGTCTGCTGTGCCTGATGTTAGTTGAAAAGGGTGCATTTTAGCCGTCATAATTTCAGTTATATTTTAAAATGTTAATGTGGTTGAATCATCAGTTCTTTAATTTGGATCTTCTATGTCAGTAGTTTTCAACTGGAGATTCACAATAATTTAATATGGAGTTTTACTAATACACAGATGTTTAAGAACTAGTACTGATTTAGTAAACCTCTTACTGATATCCTTGCTATATTTTTAGAATATCTTATTATATGCTTAGTTTATTCATGATATGTCAGGCTTTTTTTTTAAGATTCCTATAATGTGTTCTATGATAAGGCTTATTTTTATATCAAAATTTTTTCTCCGTAAATATTATGATCATCTATTTTTTGCAATTGATTATATTATCTTGTATTGCATGCCATAGACATAACCAAATTTTCTTGTCAACTGTATTATTCTTGTTATGAATTTTTAATAGATCTTTTACTGTTAAAAATTATCACTAATAAGTTAGCAACAGTCATATTAAGTCTTTTGTTCTCTATGGGCAATTTTTTGTTGTTATTTTACTCTGATGCTTTCCTGAAAGCTCTGAAATAAATTATAGGTCAGATGTTTTTTCTTCAACAATGAACTACTTGAGAGCCCTATGGAAAAGGGCATTGCCTGGTACTTTTGGGTATGAGCTTCTGATGACATCACTGAAATAAGCTTTTTAGACTATAATACTGGAACTGAGTCAGGAATTCCAGAATTTTAGTCATTTTAGAGATGAGTTTATGAAACTCCTAACAAAAGATCCAGTGGAACAAAAATTACATAGAATTGAATGAATTAATGAGTGATGATTAAGTTTTATTTGGACTATTGGTATGGTTTTAATGTTCTATTTACCAATATATAAGAAAGGCCTTTTTCTTTTTTTTTCTTTCTTTTTTTTTAAAATTATACTCTAAGTTTTAGGGTACATGTGCACAACGTGCAGGTTAGTTACATATGTATACATGTGCCATGTTGGTGTGCTGCACCCATCAACTCGTCATTTAACATTAGGTATATCTCCTAATGCTATCCCTTCCCCCTCCCCCCACCCCACAACAGGCCCCAGTGTGTGATGTTCCCCTTCCTGTGTCCATATGTTCTCATTGTTCAGTTCCCACCCATGAGTGAGAGAACATGTGGTGTTCGGTTTTTTGTCCTTGCAATCGTTTGCTGAGAATGATGGTTTCCAGCTTCATCCATGTCCCTACAAAGGACATGAACTCATCATTTTTTATAGCTGCATAGTATTCCATGGTGTATATGTGCCATATTTTCTTAATCCAGTCTATCATTGTTGGACATTTGGGTTGGTTCCAAGTCTTTGCTATTGTGAATAGTGAAGAGAGGCCTTTTTCTATCTTCTTAAGCTATCTATAACTCACAGCAATTTAATAGACTCCATTTTTGTAAACTAAAATAAAACATTGTGAATTATCTTATTCTTTCTACTCAAACTCTCCAGGATTTGGAAACTCTTTTATTTTATTTTATTTATTTTATTTTTTTTGAGACGAAGTCTCACTCTGTCGCCCAGGCTGGAGTGTAGTGGCACGATCTTGGCTCACTGCAACCTCCGCCTCCCAGGTTCAAGTGATTCTCCTGCCTTAGCCTCCCAAGCAGCTGGGACTACAGACGTGTACCACCATGCCCGGCTAATTTTTGTATTTTTAGTAGAGATGGGGTTTCACCATGATGGCCAGGCTGGTTTCAAACTCCTGACCTTGTGATCTGCCCGCCTCGGCCTCCCAAAGTGCTGGGATTATAGGCGTAAGCCACCACACCTGGCCAAGAATTTGGAAACTCTTATTGAATATTCTTATTTTGTAGCAATGTAGCTATTTGCATGAATCCAGTAATAATCTGTTATTCCTTATGCTAGGACATAATTGGAAACTTTGGTTATGCAACTAAAGACTTGCCAGGATTGTCCTATTTGAGACTGATGCTCATTTAATCAGGTATGACCAGACACTTTTAAGGAACAAAGATTGACTTCATGAAAGCAATGTTTACAAAGCCCTCTTAGGAAAACTGTTATGGCAGGTAGCTTACAGGGTTCCCAGCCTCACAAGTGAGTAATGAAGGTCACTTCCTGTCCGTCCCAGGAACATTAGGATATTTTAGGGACCTTGAGAAGAAAGAAATTCACCCAAATAAATAGGTACTATAGATAAAATCCTGTGGTGCGTTGTTAGCTTGACTGCCAAGCCTCAAGGGGCTTTTAAAGGTCCAATTTGAGATTCTTTAGAAAAACTTTTAGCAAAGCAAACTTAGGAAGGCCCATGTAGCAAATTAACACTGTTGCTGCACCTATGTAAATAATCAGACTAAATCTAATGAGAACAATTTGTATTTTGTGATCAAGAGTAATCTTTCTTTGAGATTATTTTTAATCAATAGGGGGAATATTGTGGAAAATTTCTTTCAATAGAAAACTATGCATCTTCTGTAGCATGTCCTTCCAGATTTATCATATTCTAGTCCTGTTGTCTTTGAGCTACTTTGCAACTCTTTGTAAGTTGTAAATTGACTAATGATATGTAAATTCTCTCCTGTAAGTTAATGATTTCAATTAATTTCTTTCCAGTGTGGAACAATTTTGTCCCCATTTACAATTCATCTCAATATTCCCTTACTTCTTACAAATTTGTGCTGTTTTGATTGTTTCTTTAAACCAGTCATAATATCTGCCTTGGTCCCTCATATGACATTAGTAAAATAAATTCTTTAACAAGTGTTTATTTTCATATGCATTCTTGAGTCATGATTTTACCATTCTTTCTAAAAATTACATTTTAACATTTTTTTCCCAGCGAAATTGACAATGGGTTGTAAACTATAGGATTTAAGAGAGCATAGTGGTTACATTAACTACTATATGGACTATAATACTGTCAAAAAAGTAAGGGCATTTTCTTCCCAATAGAGTGTTATGTACTTAAAATAGTTGTAAAATGTCTATCTATTAGTGGATTAGAGAAATAAGCAGAATAATGAGTATATTTTGCCATATTCTAATACAGAAGTAAAAGGTAAGGCCATTTTTACCCGCTTGCAGCAATAAGCAGATATGCCTTAACTTCACTCTAGGTCAATAAAATTATAAATTAGAGCTTAAAAGTAAACAAAGACACCTTGGGATTGGGCTAGTTTTTATGTGAGTAGTTAGGAAGATCATTGTTTTATAATCCTACTAAACTCGTATATGCAGATTATTTTAGGTTATCATTTTCTATTGATATCTTGGCTTGCTTTTCACACCAAAGGTATATTGTGATGTGATAAACTAAATAATGTTTCATCTATTCCAGAGTCTCAATAGGATAAAATGGTTAAATTTTTATTTTTCTTAAGAATGACCATAGAAATAATAATTTGATTCTTACTCTTTGCCCTCCTTTTTAAAATCACTGTAATTAGAAGACATAAAAATTTAGAATCCCACTGACATGACTTATGCCATGGCACTTGAAAGGCCAAGTGGCTAGTTTAAAGGCAAAAGTAAACATTAAGTTTCAAATAATCATTATTTCAAATAATTTTTTTACATATTATACTATGATTAAATTAGTAGCTGAAGTTATTATTTTAATATTTTATAGCTCAATAGGCATAACAGACACATGTTATAGAAAGTCCACTGATCAAAGTCTGACCAGTAGAATGGCTCTTGGTTTTTAAGAACTGAACTTTGTAGAACAAAATATGTTTTGAACTTTTTCTTTACATCTTAACATGAGCTTGTCATTCATAAATAGTTTTAGTTGAGGGTTTGGGGTTGACATACATCATTTCAAATGATGAGATATAGATTACTGCTGTTTATTAGGATACATCTGTAATTAAATCCTGTATTGGGAACTACTCTCCAGCCTCTATCAGTGGAGAAATTGTCTCCTAGAAATAGTAAGTGGGATTTTCCCGTAACTTTTAATTCTCATGAATCAGTAAAACTATCACGTTATATAAATTTAAGAAACTGTTTTTTTCAGATATTACGAAAAATTTTAAAAATTAGATGAATTATTTTTGATATTATTGTTGTTGTTCTCTTGAGATTCAAAGTTTTACCATGTGTTTTCTAGATGTATTCATTCTAATTTGAATTTAAAAAATCACATAATTATTAGATAAGGCAGAGGTTCCTGAAATTAAATAGTTAATTGAATTTGAGGGGAAAAAAAGAATAGCAGAAGCCCCTGAGTATCCTGCATTTCAGAATTGGTGACATAGGACCAAAACAAATTCCATGGCAACACTTATTGTGTGTGGTAAATGCAATGCAGATAAACCTATTTATGGATCCACTGGGAACACATCATAAAATGATGATCACTTAAAATTGGAATAATAAAATAAATCTCTGTTCCCTTTGGCACTGATTTCTACTAATAGCAGTTCACCCATGTGGCAATTTCTTGATTCAGCGTTTACATATAAATAAACCCTGAGACTCTTACGGCAGTAATGACTTTTTTTTTTCTGCGTTAATTTCTTTTGAGGCTATTAAAAAAAAAACTGCTTTTGCCATTGCCATCTTTCCTCCTCAACTAATTCCACTGAAACTTTAATATACATATTTGTTCATTTTTGTTCACTTCATTGCCCAGGCTGGAGTGCAGTGCCATGATCACAGCTCACTGCAGCCTCGACCTCCTGGGCTCAAGTGATCCTCCCATCTCAGCCTCCCAAGTAGCTGGGACCACAGGCTCGTGTCACTATGCCTGACTGGTACTTTTTGTAGAGACAGGGTTTCGCCATGTTGCCTGGGCTGGTCTTGAACTCCAGGCTTAAGCAATTTGCTTGCCTTGGCCTCCCAAAATGCTGGGATTACAGGTGTGAGCCACTGTACCGGCCAATATAAATTTTTGAACAGACAAAATGGAAGCTACTTTCTAATTAGCTGAATAGGAATCAGAAACATAACTCTATTGTTTAGCACAATGAGCAAAGGAATTGAAATATATCTCATTACAATAGCCAAAAAAAGGTAGCTAAACTCAGAACAGGTAATATTGTTATTAGAAAGCATGCAGTGGCTTTAGTCCTTTAAATAATATATAATAAACCCAGAGAAGTTTCAGAAGAAAGTAAAGCATCTTACATTTTGGAGAGGATAAGAAACAGTGTAAGGTAATGACCTTCAGGAGAATAAAGTTTAGGAGTACACAAAAAAACTGAACTTTTTGTGTTTTTCTTAAGAAAAAAATGAGATTTTATAGCTATTTTTATAGTTTTAGGCAATAAGGATGCATAACAAGAGAAAATGACTTAAATTTTAAAATTAATTTAACTAAAGTTTCCAAGAGTGTGCATCATTAGGCAAGATTCATTCAGATTAATAGTTATCCATATATTATCATTCACTGGATATGTTTCAATCTTGTTTTAGTTCATGCCATGGTCATTTCTTAGACTATGCTTATTTCCTTCTAATAATGCTTTTAACTAATATATAAATAACAATGATTGTAAAATTTATTTTCTGTTAGTTTTTCTTAGCTTCCTCTTATGATCTTAGCTTGCTTTCCCCTACTTTTCATCATCTGGATTTCTATGAAGACTAAATCTTAAAACAAACACATCATTAAACAACTCGATGAAGGTAACTAATAAAATCTAAAATATGTAGTGCAATACTTTAATAATGCAGCTAAATCATTAGTCAAGATTTCAAGTCACAATGGCATATTTATTAAACATCTTGTTTAAAGACCAAAATAACATGCATGTAGGATTCAGTGTTTAATATGTGTGAAAATAAATGTCAATATAGCAGTGATTATGTGGCTGTACTCAGCTATTTATTGAATTGATCAATTTAGCAGAAGACCACACGACAGCAAAAGTGCAGTAATATTTTTTCATTCCTTCCCCTTTGGATATATTGGAGGTTGTAGCAAGATGTTCAGTCATAGCTGCACTATTTTAATGCCAAGCCAGTATGCGTGTTTTTTACTTTCTTCTTAAAATAGTTTGGAACGTTTCTCAGCATTATGAAATGTCATCCAACACATCTACAAAGTGTGACAAACATCTGTGATTCCTCATGTCTCATACGTGCTAAGACTATATTTCCTATTTGGAGAAAGTGGTTCTCTGTGAAGCACTGGGATATTATAACATTACTGCTACATTATTTAAAATGGTTCATTATTCCTGCTTTGTTCATGAGGGAACTGGAAACGTAAGTAATTAGACAAATACACCACTGATGTTATCCTAGAACTGCATGTAAATGGCAGCCTGTTAATTTCATAAGGTGCTGAGGGGTATTCAGTTACTGGTTGATCATAAAGACATTAAAGTTAGGTGAACTCAGATGCACGTAATAGCCTCCCCATGGCCTCATTTGGTTCTGATGTGGTATAGTGAAACACATTCATCTAATCCATTTAAAATATGTTAGCTGAAGTGCAGGGAAAGTAAAAAAAAATGGAATGTACTTTTAGTGGCGTACTTAACAATCTTACTCTAGTAAAATATATGCTTAATGTTAAATGACAGGCAATTAGTATAAAAACTGATTCTTGAACTAGATGTGAATGACCCAAGTTATAAAATACCTCAGTTCACATCACCTTGCTGGATTCCCTCCAAAACACTGAGAAGTGGCTGACCCATCATTTTGAACAGATATGTACATTACTGTTTAACCGAGGAGACGAAAATGTAAAACAAACCAAAGACAATACCTAAAAATATGAAATACTGAAAAGCTAAAATATTGGTTATTATAGAAAGTTTGTTAGTGAGAAATCAGTTCACCACCAAAATAATAATCAGTTCCATAAATCTTTGTATAGACTGAGAAAATTTTCCTTTGAAGCTATTGACTGATTTTTAAAACTATAATCTGCACGGCCTCTAGACAAAGAGTATTGAAGAAATCCTTAAATTCTATCGACCATGATTTTTCCTTGCTGCCAAACCTGGCAGTCATTGATAGCTTCTCTAATTTCAAGCCTGTCAAACTCATTAAACAGCAACATGGCTGAATGCTTTTCCAAAGATCATACCACCATCTGTTTAAATTATAACCTATGATTTTTTCAAAAAATTTAGAACTTGAATATTAAATAAGATGAAAGCAGTTTACCTCTGATACACATAGTTTCTCTGTAACCATTTTGAGTTATATGACAATTTCATAAATATTAGCCATAGAAATTAATATTTACAGATGCGAATACTCACTATATTCACTAATGTTTTATTTATTTTTTATTTTTTGAGACACAGTCTCATTCTGTCACCCAGACTGGAGTACAGTGGTGCAATCATTGCTCACTGCAGCCTCAACTTGCCAGGCTGAAGCAGTCCTCCCTCCTCAGCCTCCTGAGTAGCTGGGACTATAGGCATAGGACATCATGCCTGGCTAATTTTAAAAATTTTTTGTAGAGACAGGTTCCCTCCATTTTCTCAGGGTGGTCTTGAACTCCTGTGCTCAAATGATCTCTTGCCTTAGCCTCCAAAGATTTAAATTTTAACCACGAATGTGTGTGTGTGTGTGTATGTGTGTGTATATATATATATATATTCATACACACATATATATACACACAATATACTATATATACTGTGTGTTTATGTGTGTGTATGTATACGTAATTGTTCATATAATTCTAACATATTTTTCATATATTCCATTAAATTTTTATTAACTTTTAAAGTATGCTTGCAAATATCTCCTTAATAACAAAGTCATGTCTTAACTGACTGGAAATTTGGCTACAAAAAGCAAACTTGAAGTCTCTAGCAAAGATTATTAGTTTCACCTAAATGGATTTTTTAGCTTTATCAATATTGACTTTCCAAATTTACTACAATATCTGTAGTAGCCTTTACAATGGGTGCTTAGACTTCAAATAAAAATAAATAACCCTATTATATATGGGAATTTTTACATGAACATAGGCAATTCTGGCACAAAAGTACTTTGATCACTACTGAGCCATTACAACAAATATAAAAATTAATACCAGAAATTCTGCTATTGCTGTGGCTTTATTTCAGGGCTAGTAAAAGGCTTATCAAATAGAGTATTTCTTATTTTCTAAGATATCCATCATTTCCCACATTTTAACATCTGTGAAATGAGGCTTGATACAGTTAGGCTTTGTATCCCCACCGAAATCTCATCTTGAATTGTAATCCGCAGGTGTCGAGGGAGAGTCCTGGTGGGAGGTGATTGAATCATGAGGGCGGTTTTCCCCATGCTTTCCTCATAATAGTGAGTGAGTTCTCGTGAGATGTGATGGTTTTATAAGCGTCTGGCATTTCCTCTGCTTGCGCTTCTCTCTCTCACTTGACGTCACCTAAGATGTGCTTGCTTCCCCTTCTGCCGTGATTGTACATTTCCTGAGGCCTCCCCAGGCATGTGGAATGGTGAGTCAATTAAACCTCTTTGCTTTATAAATTACCCAGTCTTGGGCAGTTCTTTATAGTAGTGTGAAAACAGACTAATACAAGGCTACATCTTCCAATTGACGGAGTATCATTGTTTAATTGGCAATAGATGTTTTTGTTTTGTTTTTAAGTGGCACATAAAAAATGTTGAAAATAGGCCGGCGCAGTTGCTCATTTCTGTAATCCCAGCACTTTGGGAGGCTGAGGCGGGCGGATCGCTTGAGGTCAGGAGTTCAGACCAGCCTGGCCAACCATGGCCAACATGGTGAAACCCCGCCTCTACTAAAAGTACAAAAATTAGCTGGGCTCAGTGGCATGCACCTGTGATCCCAGCTACTCAGGAGGCTGAGGCAGGAGAATTGCTTGAACCTGGGAGGCAGAGGTTGCAGTGAGCCGAGATTGCACCACTGCACTCCAGCCTGGGCGACAGAGTGAGTCTCCATCTCAAAAAAATTTGTTTGAAAATATTTCCCCCTATCTATAATTTCACTTTCTCTAGTTTTAGTTACTCTCAGTCAACTGAGGTCTGAAAAATAAGCTATTAAGAGAGAGAGACCACATTCATATAACTTTTATTATAGTGTTTATTATAATTGTTCTGTTTTTTACTAGTAATACTTGCTACTCTGTTACTGTGCCTAATTTTTGTAAATTTAACTTTATCAAAGGTATGTCGGTATAAGGAAAACTCTATATAAAATGTTGGGTATTATCTGTGGTTTCAGGCATCCATTGGGAGTCTTGGAATGTATCCTCGGGGGAAACTACTGTATCTTAAATTGACTGTCTAATACTCTGAGAAATAGTTGTGCATTACTAAGGGCAAAGTAAGTTCAGAATATGATGTAAGAAAACAAAGAGGTAACTTATAAAATTACCTCTATGTAGTTTGTTAATTTGCCTAGAGTTGGTGTTCCATATTCAAATGCTTCTGAGTCAGGTATGAATAAGCATTGGTCCCTGACTAAAGTAAATGTATTTGCATTCTTGATGTTAGATTACCAACCAATAGCTTACAGCTGAAGTTTAAATTTGGGCTTTTTTTTTTTTCTCCTTGTGTGTTTTAAAAATATGTATTCAGAAAATAATCATTAACAAAATTTATTTAGGAATCAGCTTATGATTGTTAAAGATTTAGAAAAGCTCCAAAATTGAACTATTTTGTTTTAAAATATAGGTAGAACACTAAATGTAAAACAAAAGAGCACTCTTCAAATTATGTATATGTATAAACATAAAACATATATATACATATGTATGTATAAACATAAAAACATATAATTTTTTCCCTAGATGTTAAGAAAGTGAAAATTGGCTCAAGATAGTCTTGCTGAGATTCGACACTGTAAAATCAGTTTTCTAAATCTATACCCTGACTTGAGCAAGTTTTTAAAGTCATATCTTTCAGTGAATGAGTGAATAGGTTTCCACATCTTGACAAAGTAAATCTCCATTTCATTGTATTTCATTTTTTATCAGAAAACAAGCAGGGGAAAGAACTTAAAAGAAAGTTTTTTGTTGGTTGGAAATCTTTGTGAGCTAAGGCTATTTGTGTCCATAACACTAGTGGGTGTAGGACAGCCTAGACAACTAAGTGTATGTGTGAGAGGGTTAAGAGGCTAGCAACATTGAGGCAGAAAATGGTAAAGAACAGCAAAAATGACATTTAAAATTGAAAAATTACCCCAGTATGGTCCTTTAACCAAATGAGTGAAATAAGGGAGAGAATAATTCTTCCATATTATGCAATTGCACATTCCATGTGAATCCCATGTAAATTATAAGAAAGCCTTAACTCTCAGGTCCTGTTGAGTTTTTCTTATTGTTAACACATATTTGATCTGGAATTAAAATGTTCATGTGTTTGCATGCTCTTCCATCTGTATTTTGTCTACATGCGAGGATTCTAGAGAGTAGATACTACATTCATCTAAGTTAATTTTATTTCATTTCATGCTGCAATGCATTGTTATCACATATTGATAATATTAATGAGAATGCTGTTAATCCAATGAGAAATCCAAAATGAAAGACATAATCAAGTAAAGTATTTGTGGTTTCAGTTTTTCCTAATATGTTTACAGTCTTTCATTTTCTCAGTCTATTGTGATAGGCAACAGCATATTTTTACAGTGTAATTTTAAATCCTTTTGCAAAGCAATTCTTCCCTCGTTGCTTTTTCTGCCTCTGTTCCACTCTCCACTTGCTTTTCCAATATGTGTGTATTTTTTAATAGACGATTTTATTTTTTAGAGCATTTAGGTTCACAGCAAATTTGAGTAGAAGGTATAGAGATTTCCCATATATCACCTGCCACCACTCATGCATAGCTCCCCTCATTATCAGCGTCCTTCACCAGAGTGGTATTTTTGTCACAATTGAGAAATCTGTATTGATACATCATTATCACCCAGAGTTCATAGCTTATACTAGAGTTCACTTTAGGGTTATACATTCTATGGGTTTGTACAAATGTAAAATGTTGTTCATTCACCATTATAGTATTATACAGAATAATTTCAATGCCCTAAAATCCTCTGTGCTGCCTCTAACACATGTCAAACTCTGATTTTTTAAACTGTTCTCATAGTTTTGCTTTTTCCAGAATGTCATAGTGTTTGAATCATACAATAAGTAGCCTTTTCTGATTGACATCTTTCACTTAGTAACCTGCATTTAAGTTATTCCATGTCTTTTCATAGCTTGATAGGTTATTTCTTTATAGCGCAGAGTAAAATTTAATTGTTTGAATGTGCCAGAGTTTATTTATCCATTCACCCTCTGAAGGATATCTTGGTTGCTTCCAAGATTTGACAATTATAAATAAAGCTGCTATAAAAACTCCTGTACAGATTTTTGTGTGGACATAGATTTTTACTCCTTTGGGTAAATATTAAGAAGTGCAATTGCTAGATTTTATGGTAAGAGTGTTGAGTTTTGTTAGGAACCACAAAAGAGTCTTCCAAAGAGACTGTACCATTCTGCATTCCTATCAGCAATGAATGAGAGTTCTGATTGCTTTACATCCTCACCAGAATTTGTTATTGTCAACAAATTTGGTATTGTTTTGGATTTTGGCCATTGTAGTGGGTGTGTAGGGTTTTTTTTTATGTGTGTATTTGCCATCCGTACCTCTTTGGTGTGATATCTATTAAGGTCTTTGGCCCATTTATTTTTATTTTTATTTTATTTCAATAGTTTTTGGGCAACAGGTGGTTTTGGTTACATGGATAAGTTTTTTAAATGACATGTTGGTACACTTGTCACCCCAGCAGTGTACACTGTACCCAATATGTAGTCTTTTATCCTTCACCCGCCTCCCACCCTTTACCCCAAGTCCTCAAAGTCCATTGTATTATTCTTATGCCTTTTCATCCTCATAGCTTAGCTCCTAATTTAAAGTGAGAATGTACGATACTTGGTTTTCAATTGTAGAGTTACTTCACTTAGAATAATGGTCTCCAACTCCATCCAAGTTGCTGCAAATGCCATTATTTCATTCTGTTTTACAGGTGAGTAGTATTCTGTGGTGTATGTATATCATTTTCTTTATTCACTCATTGGTTGATAGGCATTAAGGTTACTTCCATATTTTTGCAATTGAGAATTGTGCTGTTACAAACATGCGTGTGCATGTGTCTTTTTCATAAAATGACTTATTTTCCTTTGTGTAGATATCCAGTAGTGGGATTGCTGGATTGAATGGTAGTTCTACTTTTAATTCTGTAAGGAACCTCCATGCTATTTTCCATAGTGGTTGTACTAGTTTACATTCCCACTAGCAGTGTAGAAATATTCCCTTTTCACCACATCCATGCCAACATTTTGTTTTGTTTTGTTTTTAAATTATGGTCATTCTTGTAGGAGTAGGGTGGTATCTCATTGTGGCTTTAACTTGCATCTCCCTGATAATTAATGATTTTGAGCATTCTTTTCATATGTCTGTTGGCTATTTGTATATCTTCTTTTGAGAATTGTTTATTCATGTCCTTTGCCCACCTTATCATGGGATTATTTGGTTCTTTCTTGCTGATTTGTTTGAGTCCCTTGTAGATTCTGGATATTAGTCCTTTGTTGGATGCATAGTTTGTGAATATTTTCTCCTACTCTACAGGTTGTCTGTTTACACTGCTGGCTATTTCTTTTGCTATGCAGAAGCTTTTAATTTAATTAGGTCCTATTTATTGCTGTTTGTGTTTCATTTGCTTTTGGGTTCCTGGACATGAACTCTTTGCCAAACCAATGTCTAGAAGAGTTTTTCTGATGTTATCTTCCAGAATTTTTGTGGTTTCAGGTCTTGGATTTAAGTCTTTGATCCATCTTCAGCTCATGGATGGGTAGAATCAATATTGTGAAAATGACCATACTGCCAAAAGCAATCTACAGATTCAATGCAATTCCCATCAAAATACTGTCAACATTCTTCACAGAACTAGAAAAAACAATCCTAAAATTTATATGGAACCAAAAACAGAGCCCACATAGCCAAAGCAATACTAAACAAAAATAACAAATCAGGAGGCATCGCATTACCCAGCTTCAAACTATACTTACAAGGCTATTGTTGCCAAAACAGCATGGTACTGGTATAACAATGGACACATAGACCAATGGAACAGAATAGAGAACCCAGAAATAAAGCCAAATACTCACAGCCAACTGATCTTCAACAAAGCATACAAAAACATAAAGTGGGGAAAGGATACCCTATTCAACAAATGTCACTGGGATAATTGGCAAGCCACATGTAGAAGAATGAAACTGGATCCTCATTTCTTACCTTATACAAAAATCAACTCAAAATGGCCCATTTTTAAATCATGTTCTTTGTTTACTATATTACTAAAACAACTATTACTATACTATGCTTACTATAGTTTAAACTCAACAACTATATATAGATATATAGTTTAAACTATAGTAAGTGTAGTATAGTAATTGTTGTAGTAATATAGCAAATATATAGTTGTTAAGTTTAAACTATATATATAAATATATATAGTTATAGAGGGTGCATATATATATAAGTATATATATATAGACAGAGAGAGAGATAGAGAGAGAGAGTAATAGTCTGCTATCAGATGTGTCTTTTGCAAATATTTTCTTCCACCCTGTGGCTTATCTTCTCAGTCTCTTAACATTATCTTTTGCAGAGCAAAAGTTTTAAATTTTTTTGAAGTTCAGATTACCAATTATATATTTCATGGATGTGTCTTTAATATTGTATCTAATGAGTCATTGCAATACCCAAGGTCGTATAGGTTTTCTCATATGTTATCTTCTAGGAGTTTTTATAGTCTTGTGTTTTCCATTTAGGTCTATGTTCCACTTTGAGTTAATTCTTATGAAGGATGTAAGATCTGTGTCTGGATTTGGTTTTCTTTTGTAGATGGGTGTCCAGTTGTTCCAGCACCATATGTTGAAAAGACCATCTTTGCCCCATTGTATTGACTTTGTTCCTTTGTCAGAGGATCTTGTCAAAGATCAGTTGACTAAATTTTATGGGTCTATCTGGGCTATTTTGTTCCATTGATAAATTTGTCTCTTCTTTCATCAATACTGCACTGCCTTGATTATTGTAGCTTTATACTAGGTCTTAAAGTCAGACATTGTGATTCTTTTTCCTCTCCATATAAACTTTACAATCAGTTTGTCAAATTCTACTAAATAACTTGCTTGGATTTTGATTCGAATTGTATCTGTGCTATGACATCAAAATCATATTTACCAGAAACCCATCTACAGATATCTTGAGTTCCTGATTTCATTAACTTTGTGAATGTGGACATTCCTTTCCTTAAACTTCAGAATATTTTATTAAAAATTGAATTTAATAATACCTCTTCTACTTGCCTTACAGAGGCACAAAACACATATTTTATAAATTGAAAATCTTTCTATAAATGTAACGAAGTATAGCTGTTATTCCCATTATCCTGGATCATTTCTTACACATTGTAATTTGAGCTAATTCTATTGCATTCCACCCATTACAGGGCAGTAATATCATATCCTCAGAGTGCTACCTATACGTAGAGAAGCAGCCTAGGATAGTCTGCCAGTTAGACATGTA
The DNA here is from genome assembly GCF_000001405.40 of Homo sapiens. Taxonomy (NCBI): domain Eukaryota; kingdom Metazoa; phylum Chordata; class Mammalia; order Primates; family Hominidae; genus Homo; species Homo sapiens. The sequence goes on along the minus strand of NC_000008.11, from coordinate 87,805,575 downwards.
ATCTTCTGAAATTTAATGTATAAATTGATTATTTAATGCTTATAAGATGTTTTCATTAGGAATATCATTATGCCTGGTCATAAAGCGCCTAGATCAGATGACAAAAAGATTCCTATAATGCAGCTGAAGTATTGTGTCAGTATCTTTGTTTCTAAGTGGAAAATCTAGGTTTCTAATTTGTGGAATGGAAAAGAGACTCATCGACCTGTCCTGCAATGAGTTTTAGGACTCTGTTTCTTACTTTGCCTTCATGGTAAGAGGGTAAAATCTATGCATAGGCCTCCACTGACTTATGGACTTTCCTTTTTGTCCTCAGTTATCACTTTTAATTGCAATCAACTTTTGTTCTAAGGCTTTGTAACTTCACAACTGCTTCGTCGGGTTCTTTTCCTGGAAGTAATTCTAAAAACTTTAATCATAATAAAGGGCAACCATAGGAAAATCTTTGAAACTTGCTTATGTAATTAAGTTATCCTTTTCTTTTTCCAAATTTTTTATTGTGGTAAAATATACAGAACACAAAATTTACTATCTTCATTATTTTTAAGAATACAGTATTTAAGTAGTTCTTAAGTGGTATTACATAGTAGCATATACTTAGTACTCAGTACTAGTTAGTACTCAGTAGCATTAAGCACATTCATATTGTTGAGCAGCCAATCACCACTATCCATCTACAGAACTCTTTTTCTCATGTAAAACTGAAACACCATATCCATTAAACAATAAATCCCCATTCACTCCTGCCTCCACCCTCTGACAACACAACACAACTCTATGCTCTGTCTCTATGATTCTGACTACTCCAATTACCTCATATAAGAGGAATCTCATAGTATTTGTCTTTTAGTGACAGGCTTATTTCATTTAGTATAATGTCCTCAAGGTTCATCCATATGTAGCATATATCAGAATTTGCTTCCTTTTTTTTTTTTTTTTTTCCAAGACGGAGTTTCGCTCCTGTTGCCCAGGCTGTAGTGCAATGGCACGATCTCAGCTCACTGCAACCTCTGCCTCCCAGGTTCAAGTGATTCTTCTGCCTCAGCCTCCTGAGTAGCTGGGATTACCGGTGCCCACCACCATACCTGGCTAATTTTTTTATATTTTTAGTAGAGACAGGGTTTCAGCATGTTGGTCAGGCTGGTCACGAGAATTTGCTTCCTTTTTAAAGATATATAATATTCCATTGTATGTATCTATCATATTTTGCTTATTCATTTATCTCTTGATGAATACTTGAATTGCTCTCATGTTTTAGCAATTGTGTGTAATGCTACTTATGAACATGGATATAAAAATATCATCTCTTTGAGACTCTTATTTCAATTCACTGGAGTGTATAGCCAGAAGTAAAATTGATGGGTTATATGGTAGTTCTATTTTTAATTTATTTTTGAAAATTACTATACTAGTTTCTACAGAAGCTGTTTGTACATTCCCAACACTGGTGTACAAGGGTTCTAATTTCTCCATAGCCTCACCAATATTTGTTATTTTCTATATTTTGTTATAGTAACCATCCTAATAGGTGTGAGATGGTACCTCTTTGTAATTTGAGTTTGCATTTTCCTAAAGATTAGTGAAGTTGAGCATCTTTTCATGTACTTACTGGCCATTTGTACATCTTCTTTGGAGAAATGTCTGTTTGGATCCTCTACCCATATTTGAAATGAGTTTTTCTTTGTTGTTGAGTTTTAAGAGTTCTCTGTGTATTCTAGGTATTAATCCCTTATCATTTATATCATTCACAATTATCTTTCTCTAATCTGTGGGTTGCCCTTTACTCTGTTGATAGTCTTTTGGTGCACACATTTTTAAAATTTTCAAGAAGTCTGAATTGTCTGTTTTTTCCTTTTTTTTTTCCTTTGGCTGCGCCTTTAGTGCCATATTGAAGAAATCCTTAACTATATATGGGAAAGTTTATTTCTGGACTGTCTATTCTATTTTATTGGTCTATATGTCAGTCTTTATGTCAGTAGTACATTGTTTTGATAACTTTAGCTTTGTAGTGAGTTTTGAAATGAAGCAGTGTGAGTCCTCCAACTTGATTCTTCTTCAGGATTGTTTTGGTTATGTGGGGTCTTTTGAGATTTTATACAAATTTTAGGATAGGTTTTACATTGGGATTTTGACAAGGATGGCATTCAGTTGTAGACTGCTTTCAATTTACAGCTTAACAGTGTTAAGTCTTCCCATTCCCAAATGTGGATGTTTTATCATTTATTTACATCTTCTTTAATTTATTCATCAATGTTTTACAGTTTTCATTGTATAAATCAATCACTTCTTTGGTTAAGTTTATTCCTAAATACAGTCATGTGTTGCTTAATGACAGGGACATGTTCTGTTGGTGATTTTCTTGTGTGAACATCAGAGTGTACTCACAAAAACCAAGATGGTATAGCTTACTACATACCTACACTATAGCTTATTGCTCCTAGGCTACAAATCTGTAGAGCACATTTTACTGTACTGAATACTGTAGACAACTGTACCACAATGGTAAGTATTTGTGAATCTAAACATATGGAAACATGTAAAAAGTAGAGTAAAATGTGATATTAAAATCTTATGAGACCACTATTATTTATGAGGTCTGTCACTGACCAAAAGATTATGTGGTGCGTGACTGCATTTAGTTCTTTGTGATGCTATTGTAAATTGAATTTTTCTTTCAATTTCCTTTCTGGGTGGTTCATTGTTAGTGTGTAGAAATGCAACTGATTTTTGTGTGTAGACTTTATATTCAGCTATTGTACTTTGCTGAATTTGTTTATTACAGTAACCTCCACTTATTTGTGGTTTTCTTTCCATAGTTTTAGTTACTTAGGGTCAACTGTAGTCCAAAAATATTAAATGGAAAATTCTAGAAATGAAAAATTCACAAATTTTAAATTGTACACCTATCTGAATAGCCTGATGATATCTTGTGCCATCCTACTCCATCCTACCCAGGACAAGAATCCTTTTGTCCAGCATATTTACACTGTGTGTGTTACCCACTCATTAGTCACTTAGTAGCATCACGGTTATCAGACCAACAGTCACAGTATTGCAGTGCTTGTGTTCCAGTAGTCCTTATTATGTTTAATAATGGTCGCTGAGGCAGGTGGATTACTTGAGGCCAGGAGTTCGAGACCAGCCTGGCCAACATGGCAAATCCCTGTCTCTACTAAAAATACAAAAATTAGCCAGGTGTGGTGGCAGGCACCTGTAGTTCCAGTTACTCGGGAGGCTGAGGCAGGAGAATTACTTGAACCCGAGAGGCAGAGGTTGCAGTGAGCCAAGATTACGCCATTGCACTCCAGCCTGGGTGACAGAGTGAGACTCCGCCTCAAAAAAAAAAAAAATGGTCCCCTAGTGAAAAAGTAGTGATGTTGGCATATTGTTATAATTGTTCTAGTTATTATTTCTTATTGCTGGTAATCTCTTACTGTGCCTAATTTATAAATTAAATTTTATCATAGGTATGTATGTATTGGAAACAATATAATATATGTAGAATTAGGTACTATGTACATTTTCAGGCATCCACTGGGGGCACTGGAATGTATCTCTCATAAACAAAGGAGCACACTACTTCTGCAGGGGTGCGTGTGTGTGTGTGTAAGTGTATGTGTGTTGTCTTTAGGGTTTTCTATATATAACATCATTTTATTTTTGAAAAGAGATAATTCTGTTATTTATTTTTCTTGACTAATTTCTCTGGCTAGGATTTCTAGTCTTATGTTGAATAGAAGTGGTGAAAGCAGGCACCCTTGCCTTGTTCCTGATTTTGGAAGAAAAGTTTTAAGTCTTTCACCATGGAGTATGGTGTTTACTGTAAGTTTTACATATATGTCTTTTATTACTTTCCTGGTTTGTTGAGTGCTTTTATTATGTAAAAGTATTGAATTTGTCAAATGCTTTTTCTGCATCAATTGAGATGACTTGTTTGTGTTTTTTCCCTTCATTATATTGATGTAGTATATAACACTGATTAATTTTGATATTAATCCATGAACCATCCTTACATTCCAAAAATATATCTCTTGCTCATGAGATGTATAATCATTTTATGTGCTCTCAAATTTAGTTTGCAAGTACTTTTTTGACAATTTTTATGTCAATGTTCATAAAGGATATCTGTCATTGGTACCAGGGTAATGCTGGTCTTATAGAATGAGTTAGGGAGTGTTTCTTTCCCGTCAATGTTTTTGGAAATGTTTTAGATGAATTGTTACTAGTTCTTTAAATGTTTGCTGAAATTCACTGGTAAAGAGTCAGGTCTAAGGCTTTCCTTTGTTAGGAGATTTCTGAATATGGATTCAATCTCCTTATCAGTTATCTGTTCTTCAGATTCTCTGTTTCTTCATGGTTAAGTATTGGTATGTTTTTCTAGGAATTTGTTCATTTCATCTAGATTATCCGATCTGTTGGCATATAATTGTTCATAGTACTCTTTTTATTTCTGTAGAATCAGTAGTAATGCTTCCAGTTTATTTATTTATTCTGTAGAATCAGTATTAATGCTTCCAGTGTATTCCAGAAATAAAAAGAATACAATTCTATTTCTGTAGAATCAGTAGTAATGCTTCCAGTTTCTGATATTAGTAATTTTAGTCTTCTCTCGTTTTTTCTTAGTCTAGCTAAAGGTTTGTCCATTTTATTAATCTTTTCAAAGAACAAACTTTTGTTTTCCTAGATTTATATCTCTTACATTTAATTATTTATCTTTGCTCTAATCTGTACTATTTACTTTCTTCTGCTAGTTTTGGGTTTAGCTTTTTTTTTTCTAGTTACTTAAGTTAAAAGTTAGGTTATTGACTTGATATTTTTCCTTGTGTTTTAATATGATCTTTCATATTTATAAATAATTTCATTAGCACTGTTTTTGCTGTATCTCATAAGTTTTAATATATTGTGTTTTCACTTTAATTTCTTTAAGTATTTTCTAATTTCACTTGTGATTTCTCCTTTTATCCTAGGTTGTTTAAGGGTATGTTGTTTAATTTTCACAAATTTGTAAATTTTTCATTTTTCCTTCTGTTGTTGATTTATAACTTCATGCCACTGTGGTGAAGAAGACACATTGCATGATATCTACTATTTTATTGATTGAGAACTAATTTGTGACCTAACATATGGTCTATCCTGGAAAATCTCTCATGTGCACTTCAGAAGATGTGTATTCTGTGGCTGTTAGATCTAGTTGTTTTATTGTGTTGTTCCAGCCCTCTATATCTTTAATTATTTTCTGTTGAGTTCCACCCATTTCTGAGAGTGAAGTATTGATGTCTCTGAATATTATTATAGAACTGTTCACTTTTTGCTTCATATATTTTGATGGTCTTATTAAGCATGTAAATGTTTATAATTATTATACCTTCTTGCTGTATTGAACCTTTTTAAAATATATAATGTCTTTCTGTGTCTCTTGCAAACTTTTTTTATTTAAAGTCTGTTTTGTATGTTATTAGTATAGCTACCCTTGCACTCTTTTGGTTACTATTTGCATGAAATATCCTTTTGCATTTTTTCACTTTTAACCTTTTTGTGTCTTTGGATCTAAAGTAAGTGTCTTGTAGACACTATGTAGTTGGGTATTTTAAAAAATTTATTCTTACAATCTTTATTTTTTGATGGGGCAGGACAGTTTAATCCATTCACATTTAAAGTATTACTGTTATGGAGTGACTTCTGTCATTTTGCTATTTGTTTTCCACATGCCTAATATCTGCTCTCCCACCTCATTTCCTGCATTACTCTCTTCTTTTATGTTCAGTTGATTTTTATAGTGAAAGTTTTAAATTCCTTTCTCATTTCCTATTATTTAGCTATTTTCTTTATAGTTTTCTTGGGGATTGCATTTAACATTCTAAAGTCTTAAGTCTAAGTTAAATGTAAACCATCTTAACATCAAGAACATACAAAAATTTTGCTCCATTAGCAGTCCCACCCTTACTACTTTCAGTTGGTGATGTCACAAAATTACATCTTTATACATTGTGTGTCTACAAACATAAACTCATTTAAAAAACATATTAGTCTCTTATGTTACCTAGAAAATGAAATGCAGGGTTATAAACCAAAGGTACAATAATACTAGCATTTAGACTAATAATTCTTGAAGTATCTTAGTTTGTTAAATCATGTAGAAAACAAAAAGTGAGTTACACATTATTTTTGCAGTAATTATAGCTATTTTTAATTGTTTTTTAAATTATACTTTAAGTTCTATGGTACATGTGCACAACGTGCAGGTTTGCTACATAGGTATACATGTCATGTTGGTTTGCTGCACCCATCAACTTATCATTTACATTAGGTTTTTCTCCTAATGCTATCCCTCCCCCAACCTCCCAACCCCCCGACAGGGCCCTGTGTGTGATGTTTGTTCCCTGCCCTGCGTCCAAGTGATCTCATTGTTCAATTCCCACCTATGAGTGAGAACATGCGGTGTTTCATTTTCTGTCCTTGTGATAGTTTGCTGAGAATGATGGTTTCTAGCTTCATCCATATCCCTGCAAAGGACCTGAACTCATCCTTTTTTATGGCTGCATAGTATTCCATGGTGTATATGTGCTACATTTTCTTAATCCAGTCTATCATTGATGGACATTTGGGTTGTTTCCAAGTCTTTGCTATTGTGAACAGTGCTGCAATAAGCATACATGTGCATGTGTCTTTATAGGAGCATGATTTATAATCCTTTGGGTATATACCCAGTAATGGGATGGCTGGGTCAAATGGTATTTCTAGTTCTAGATCCTTGAGGAATCGCCACACTGACTTCCATAATGGTTGAACTAATTTACACTCCAACCAACAGGGTAAAAGCGTTCCTATTTCTCCACATCCACTCCAGCATCTTTTGTTTCCTGACTGTTTAATGATTGCCATTCTAACTGGGGTGAGATGGTATCTCATTGTTGTTTTGATTTGCATTTCTCTGATGACCAGTGATGATGAGCATTTTTTCATGTGTCTGTTGGCTGCATAGGTGTGTTCTTTTGAGAGTCATCTGTTCATATCCTTTGCCCACTTTTTGATGGGGTTGTTTGTTTTTTTCTTGTAAATTTGTTTGAGTTCTTTGTAGATTCTGGATATTAGCCCTTTGTCAGATGGGTAGGTTGCAAAAATTTTCTCCCATGTTGTAGGTTGCCTGTTCACTCTGATGGTAGTTTCTTTTGCTGTGCAGAAGCTCTTTAGTTTAATTGGATCCCATTTGTTTATTTTGGCTTTTGTTGCCATTGCTTTTGGTGTTTTAGTCATGAAGTCCTTGCCCATGCCTATGTCCTGAATGGTAATGCCTAGGTTTTCTTCTAGGGTTTTTATGGTTTTAAGTCTAACATTTAAGTCTTTAATCCATCTTGAATTAATTTTTGTATAAGGTGCAAGGAAGGGATCCAGTTTCAGCTTTCTACATATGGCTAGCCAGTTTTCCCAGCACCATTTATTAAATAGGGAATCCTTTCTCCATTTCTTGTTTTTGTCAGGTTTGTCAAGATCAGATGGTTGTAGATGTGTCGTGTTATTTCTGAGGCCTCTGTTCTGTTCCATTGGTCTATATATCTATTTTGGTACCAGTACCATGCTGTTTTGATTATCATAGCCTTGTAGTATAGCTTGAAGTCAGGTAGTGTGATGCCTCCAGCTTTGTTCTTTTTGCTTAGGATTGTCTTGGCAACGTGGGCTCTTTTTGGATTCCATATGAACTTTAAAGTAGTTTTTTCCAATTCTGTGAAGAAAGTCATTGGTAGCTTGATGGGGATGGCATTGAATCTATAAATTACTTTGGGCAGTATGGCCATTTTCACGATACTGATTCTTCCCATCCATGAGCATGGAATATTCTTCCATTTGTTTGTATCCTCTTTTATTTCCTTGAGCAGTGGTTTGTAGTTCTCCTTGAAGAGGTCCTTCTCATCTCTTGTAAGTTGGATTCCTAGGTATTTTATTCTCTTTGTAGCAATTGTGAATGGGAGTTCACACATGATTTGGCTCTCTGTTTGTCTGTTAATGATGTATAGGAATGCTTGTGATTTTTGCACATTGATTTTGTATCCTGAGACTTTGCTCAAGTTACTTATCAGCTTAAGGAGATTTTGGGCTGAGACAATGGGGTTTTCTAAATATACAACCATGTTGTCTGCAAACAGGGACAATTTGACTTCTTCATTTCCTAATTGAATACCCTTTCTTTGTTTCTGTTGCCTGATTGCCCTGGCCAGAACTTCCAACACTATGTTGAATAGGAGTGGTGAGAGAGGGCATCCTTGTCTTGTGCCAGTTTTCAAAGGGAATGCTTCCAGTTTTTGCCCATTCAGTATGATATTGGTTGTGGGTTTGTCATAAATAGCTCTTATTATTTTGAGATACATTCCATCAATACCTAGTTTATTGGGAATTTTTAGCATGAAGCACTGTTGAATTTTGTTGAAGGCCTTTTCTGCATCTATTGAGATAATCATGTGGTTTTTGTCGTTGGTTCTGTTTATGTGATGGATTACTTTTATTGATTTGTGTATGTTGAACCAGCCTTGCCTCCCAGGGATGAAGCTGACTTGATCGTGGTGGATAAACTTTTTGATGTGCTGCTGGATTCGGTTTGCCAGTATTTTATTGAGGATTTTCGCATCAATGTTCATCAGGGATATTGGTCTAAAATTCTCTTTTTTGTTGTGTCCTGCCAGGCTTTGGTTTGCCAGTATTTTATTGAGGATTTTTGCATCAATGTTCATCAGGGATATTGGTCTAAAATTCTCTTTTTTGTTGTGTCTCTGCCAGGCTTTGGTATCAGGATGATGCTGGCCTCATAAAATGAGTTAGCGAGGATTCCTTCTTTTTCTGTTGATTGGAATAGTTTCAGAAGGAATGGTCCCAGCTTCTCTTTGTACCTCTGGTAGAATTTGGCTGTCAATCCGTCTGGTCCTGGAGGTTTTTTGGTTGGTAAGCTATTAATTATTGCATCAATTTCAGAGCCTGTTATTGGTCTATTCAGAGATTCAACATCTTCCAGGTTTAGTCTTGGGAGGGTGTCTGTGTCCAGGAATTAATCCATTTCTTCTAGATTTTCTAGTTATTTGCATAGAGGTGTTTATAGTATTCTCTGATGGTAGTTTGTGTTTCTGCAGAATCGGTGGTGATATCCCCTTTATCATTTTTTTTTTTGCATCTGTTTGAGTTTTCTCTCTTTTCTTCTCCATTAATCTTGCTAGCAGTCTATCACTTTTGTTGATCTTTTCAAAAAACCAGCTCCTGGAGTCATTGATTTTTTTGAAGGGGTTTTTGTGTCTCTATCTCTTTCAGTTCTGCTCTGATCTTAGTTATTTCTTGCCTTCTGCTACCTTTTGAATTTGTTTGCTCTTACCTCCATAATTCTTTTAATTGTGATGTTAGGGTGTCGATTTTAGATCTTTCCTGCTTTCTTTTGTGGGCATTTAGTGCCATAAATTTCCCTCTACACACTGCTTTAAATGTGTCCCAGAGATTCTGGTACGTTGTGTCTGTGTTATCATTAATTTCAAAGAAAATCTTTATTTCTGCCTGCATTTCATTATTTACCCAGTGGTCATTCAGGAGCAGGTTGTTCAGTTTCCATGTAGTTATGCGGTTCTGAGTGAGTTTCTTAATTCTGAGTTCTAATTTGATTGCACTGTGGCCTGAGAGACAGTTTGATGTGATTTCTGTTCTTTTAAGAGTGCTTCCTTCCAATTATGTGGTCAATTTTAGAATAAGTGCGACATGGTGCTGAGAGGAATATATATTCTGTTGATCTGGGGTGGAGAGTTCTTTAAATTTCTATTAGGTCTGCTTGTTGCAGAGCTGAGTTCAGATCCTGGATCTCCTTGTTAACCTTCTGTCTCGTTGATCTGTCTAATATTGACAGTGGGAAGTTAAAGTCTCCTATTATTATTGTGTGGGTGTCTAGGTCTCTTTTTAGGTCTCTGACGACTTCCTTTATAAATCTGGCTGCTCCTGTTTTGGGTGCATATATATTTAGGATAGTTACCTCTTCTTGTTGAATTGATCCCTTTACCTTTATGTAATGGCCTTCTTTGTCTCTTTTGATCTTTGTTGGTTTCAAGTCTGTTTTATCAGAGACTAAGATTGCAACCCCTGCTTTTTTTTTGCTTTCCGTTTGCTTGGTAGATCTTCCTCTATCCCTTTATTTTGAGTCTACGTGCATCTTTGCATGTGAGGTGGGTCTCCTGAATATAGCACACTGATGGGTCTTGACTCTTTGTCCTATTTGCCAGTCTGTGCCTCTTAATTGGGGGCATTTATCCCATTTATATTTAAGGTTAATATTGTTATGTGTGAATTTGATCCTGTCATTATGATGTTCATCGGTTATTTTGCCCATTAATTGATGCAGTTTCTTCATTGCATTGATGGTCTTTACAATTTGGCCTGTTTTTCCAGTGGCTGGTACTGGTTGTTTCTTTCTATGTTTTGTGCTTCTTTCGGGAGCTCTTGTAAGGCAGGCCTGGTGGTGACAAAGTCTCTCAGCATTTGCTTGTCTGTAAAGGATTTTATTTCTCCTTCACTTATGAAGCTTAGTTTGGCTGGATATGAAATTCTGGGTTGAAAGCACTTTTCTTTAAGAGTGTTGAATATTGGCCCCCACTCTCTTCTGGCTTTTATGGTTTCTGCCGAGAGATCTGCTATTAATCTGATGGGCTTCCCTTTGCGGGTAACTCGACCTTTCTCTCTGGCTGCCCTTAACACTTTTTCCTTCATTTCAACCTTGGTGAATCTGACAATTATGTGTCTCGGGGTTGCTCTTCTCAGGGAGTGTCTTTGTGGTGTTCTCTGTATTTCCTGAATTTGAATGTTGGCCTACCTTACTAGTTGGGGAAGTTCTCCTGGATAATATCCTGAAGAGTGTTTTCCAACTTGGTTCCGTTCTCCCCATCACTTTCAGGTAATCAATCAAACATAGATTTGGTCTTTTCACATAGTCCCATATTTCTTGGAGGCTTTGTTCATTTCTTTTTACTCTTTTTTTCTCTCACCTTGTCTTGCTTTATTTCATTAATTTGATCTTCAGTCACTGATACCCTTTCTTCCACTTGATCAAATCGGCTATTCAAGCTTGTGCATGCGTCACAAAGTTCTCCTGCCATAGTTTTCAGCTCCATCAGGTCATTTAAGGTCTTCTTTACACTGTTTATTCTAGTTAGCCATTCATCTAATCTTTTGTCAACATTTTTAGCTTCCTTGCAATGGGTTCAAATATCCTCCTTTAGCTCAGAGGAGTTTGTTATTACCGACCTTCTGAAGCCCACTTCTGTCAACTCATCACAGTCCTTCTCCATCCAGCTTTGTTCCATTGCTGGCAAGGAACTGCAGTCCTTTGGAGGAGAAGAGATGCTCTGATTTTTAGAATTTTCAACTTTTCTGCTCTGGTTTCTTCCCATCTTTGTGGTTTTATCTACCTTTGGTCTTTGATGTTGGTGACCTACAGATGGGGTTTTGGTGTAAATGATTTTTTTGTTGATGTTGATGCTATTCCGTTCTGTTTGTTAGATTTCCTTCTAACAGGTCGCTCAGCTGCAGGTCTGTTGGAGTTTGCTGGAGTTCCACTCCAGACCCTGTTTTCCTGGGTATCACCAGTGGAGGGTGCAGAACACTGAATATTGCAGAACAGCAAATATTGCTGCCTGATCCTTCCTCTGGAAACTTTGTCCCAGAGGGGCAGCCGCCTATATGAGGTGTCTGTCGGTCCCTACTGGGAGGTGTCTCCCAGTTAGGCTACGTGGGGGTCAGGGACCCACTTGAGGAGGCAGTCTGCCCGTTCTCAGCACTCAAACACCATGCTGGGAGAACCACTGCTCTCTTCAGAGCTGTCAGACAGGGATGTTTAAGTCTGCAGAAGTTGTCTGCTGCCTTTTGTTCATCTATGCCTTGCCCACAGAGGTGGAGTCTAGAGGCAGTAGGCCTTGTTGAGCTGCGGTGGGCTCCACCCAATCCGTGCTTCCTGGCCACTTTGTTTACCTACTGAAGCCTCAGCAATGGCGGACGCCCTTCCCCCAGCCAGGCAGCCATCTCACAGATCAATCTCAGACTGCTGCGCTAGCAGTGAGCAAGGCTCCATGGGCGTGGCAGCTGCTGAGCCAGGCACAGGAGAGAATCACCTTGTCTGCTGGTTGCTAAGACCATTGGAAAAGCACAGTAATTGGGCGGGATTGTCGCGATTTTCCAGGTACGGTCTGTCATAGCTTCCCTTGGCTAGGAAAGGGAAATCCCCCAACTCCTCACATTTCCCTGGTGAGGCGATGCCCTACCCTGCTTCAGCTCACCCTCCGTGGGCTGCACCCACTGTTCAACCAGTCCCAATGAGATGAACCAGGTATCTCAGTTGGAAATGCAGAAATCACCCATCTTCTGCGTTGATCACACTGGGAGTTGCAGACCGGAGCTCTTCCTATTTGGCCATCTTGGAATGCCCCAATTATAGCTATTTTTAATTACTTACACATTCCCTGAGATCTTTATTTCTTTACATGGCTTAAAGTTACTCTCTAGTGTCTTTTTATTTCAACCTGCAGGACTCCTTTTAGCATTTTGCAGGGCAGGTCTAGTGGTAATGAACTTTCTCAGCTTTTGTTTTCTAGGAATGCCTTCATTTCTTTTTATGTTTTAAAGGGCAGTTTTACCAGATATAGGATTCTTGGTTGAAACTTTTTTTCTTTTGGCACTTTGAATATGTCAGCCCATTGTCTTCTGCCCTGTCTTAGTTAGCTTGGCCTGCCATATCAAAATACCATGAGTTGGATAGCTTAAAAAAAGTCATTTATTTCTGACTAGTCTGACATCAGAGTTTTAGCATGGTTGTGTTCTGGTGATGGACCTCTTCCTTGCCTGAGGATAGTTGCCTTCTTGGTCTTCACGTGTCAGAGAGAGATGGTCTCATTTATGTCTCTTCTTGTAAGGCCATTAATCCCATTCAATAGAGCTCCACCTTCATGATTTAATTACCTCCCAAAGAACCCACCTCCAAATTCCATCTTGGGGATTAGGACCTCAACACATTTGTTTTGGAAGGACACAAACATTCAGTCTATAGCATGGCTTTCAAAATTTATAATGAGAAATATGCCAATAATCTGATTGAGGAGAAGTTGTATGTGATGAGTCACTTCTGTTTTGTTGCTTTCAAAATTCTGCATCATTCAATAATTTGATAATAATATATCTCAGTGTAGGTCTCTTTCAAGTCATCCTACTTGGAGTTTTTTTGAGCTTCTTATATATTTATGTCTTTTGTTGAATTTAGGAAGTTTTTGGTCATTATTTCTTCAAACAGCCTCTCTATCCTTATCTCTTTCTCTTCTTCTGCTGGAATTCCCTCAATGTATAGATTGGTCTGTTTTATCTTGTCCCACAAGTTTCTTAGGCTCTGTTTACTTTTCTTCAATTTTTTTTGTGTGTGTTCCTCAAACTTGATAATTTCCATTATCCTACCCTCAAGTTTGGTGATTCTTTTACCTTCCTACTCAAATCTGCTTTTGAATTTCTGTAGTGAATTTTTCATTTCAGTTGTACTTTTCAGTTTGGGGATTTCTTTTTAGTTTCTCCTTATGTTTTCTGTCTCTTTATTGATAATCCAATTTGTTTATATATTTTTTTCTTAACTTTCTTCTCATCTTCATTAAGTTCTTTGAGCATCATTACTACATTTAATGCAGTTGTTTTAAAACCTTTGTCTAGTAGATCTGCCATTAGGTCTTTTTTTAAGGAAAAGTTTCTGTTTGTTTATTTTATTTTCTCCTTGAATGGGTTATATTTTCCTTTTTCTTTGTATGCCTTGTGATTTTTATCATTGCAAACTGGAAATTTGAATCTAATAATGTGGTAACTCTGGAGATCAAATTCTCTCCTTTCCCAGGATTTGTTCTTTTATTTTGATTTGATTTTGTAAAATGTTTTGATTTATTAGTTGTTGTAAAAATTTGTCTCTGTGGTGAGAATCAGCCTGTGGTATGAAATGGAGATCTCAGGTTTTTTTCTGAGCCTGAACCTTCCCCTGAGCATGTGCAATGAATCTAGAGTTCCAAAAATGTTACATCAGGCAGATCATGCCAGTGTATTGTTGTACAGGTGAAGAGACACGTCTCTGGTGTTTCCTACTCCACCATCTTCTCAGTTATCTTATCTTTTTAACCTAATATTTACTGTCAACAGAAGAAGGGAAAGGATAATGTAAAGGAAATTTCACATGGCAGAGGTGGGTTAGTTGTCCTTAAAGATGCACTGTTTACCTAGCCATTGAATTCTTTTCTTCTTTATTCCATTCCTAACTTCTTCCTTTATTCATTTATTCAACCCATTTCTACTAGGCATCTATAACGTGAAATACAATGATAATGAGAACTCATAAAGATAAAAGAGGCTTCAAAATACTTACCAAAGTAGAAGGGGAATTATTGCAGGTCTGTGCACACATAACACCTACCCCACATATGTATATAATACAGTGTTCATATGTTTTAACTATATGAAATATATTTATCTCATAAGTATTACAATAATTGGAAAATAAGTTTTATGTGTGTTCAAAGCCAAAATAAGTTATTTCCAAATCAGGGCAAACTGATTATCTTCAGAAAAAAGGTAGATTTTAAATATTTGCATTGAGGCTTTTTTTTAGATGGTAGGGTTTAAATATTAACAGATTGCAGTAAATATGGAATGCCAAGACACAAGTAGAAAAGTTCAAGAGCTATATAAGAAACAGTAAATACTTCTTTTTGTTTATTTATTTATTATACTTTTAAGTTCTGGGATACATGTGCAGAACGTGCAGGTTTGTTACATAGGTATACACATGCCATGGTGGTTTCCTGCACCCATCAACCTGTCATCTACATTAGGTATTTTTCCTAATGTTATCCCTCCCCTAGCCCCCCACCCCCTGACAGGCCCTGGTATGTGATGTTCCCCTCCCAGTGTCCATATGTTCCCATTGTTCAACTCCCACCTATGAGTGAGAATGTGCAGTGTTTGGTTTTCTGTTCTTGCGTTAGTTTCCTGAGAATAATGGTTTCTAGTTTCATTCATGTCCCTGCAAAGGACATGAACTCATCCTTTTTATGGCTGCATAGTATTCCATGGTGTATATATGCCACATTTTCCTTTTCCAGTCTATCATTGATGGGCATTTGGGTTGGTTCCAAGTCTTTGCTGTTGTCAACAGTGCCGCAATAAACATACGTGTGAATGTGTCTTTATAGTAGAATGATTTATAATCCTTTGGGTATATCCCCAGTGATGGGATTGCTGGGTCAAATGGTATTTCTGGTTCTAGATCCTTGAGGAATCACCAGACTGTCTTCCACAATGGTTGAACTAACTTACACTCCCACCAACAGTGTAAAAGCGTTCGTATTTCTCCACATCATCTCCAGCATCAAAATAGTAAATAAATCAATTTGACCAAATCACAGATTGTTTGAGAAATATGTTACAAATAGAATATTCCATTGGTTGGTTCCATTACTTTCTCCAAGCATATTATTGAACTCAAATATCCAGAGACTCTATGAAATGCTATAACATACACCTGGTATTCTAGTAGGAAATGTCTCTAGCTCTTCCCTTTCTTCCTGGTTCAAAACTCCTCCAAATTCAATTCTTTCTCTTAATTTCCTCAGTATTTGGCTTCTTATCATGGGCTTCCCATCTATTAAATATTTATTCTGTTAGGATTTGGTGATGCAGGTCTAAACTCTACCTTGCATTGTATCCAGCTATCCCATGAAATAATGCCACCAGTAAGCTTTATTTTACTCACCAGTAAGATTTATCACCAAATCTTCCTAGAACTTTGTTTTCCTTTTCTTCAGTCTCCTACCCATTTGAATAAAGAGAAACTCGAATTTGTGCCATAGGAGCTGTGCATACAGGATGAACTGGCACAGCTGCTGAACCTATCAGCCAAACCCAAGACCTCTGATGGCAAATCACCCACATCACCCACCTCTCCCTATATGCCAGCTCTGAGAATAAACAGTGGGGCAGGCCCCTTCAAAGCTTGTGTTGCAGCAGCGTTTGGTAGTCCTTCAGCCAGAGTTAGCACAATAATTTACTTAAATGTCCATGATGCTGTCACCAAGGCAATCCAAGAAGCTCGGCAAATGAAGGAGCAACTTCAACGGGAAAAACAGGTGCTTTATGGGAAGGTGGCTGTTGTGAATAGCCTGGGTCTCTATAACTGCTGGACAGAAAAGGAAAAAACAACAGTGGAGGGTCTGACTCAGCAACTGGCTGTTAAACAGAATGAAGAAGGATAATTTAGCCATGCGATGATGGATTTCGATCTGAGTGGAGATTCTGATAGAAGTGCTGGAGTCTCAGAGTCAAGAATTTATAGGGAATCCAAGGGGCGTGGTAGCAATGAACCCCTCATAAAGCGTCCAGTGAACGCCTTCATGATATGGGCTAAAGATGAGCAGAGAAAGATCCTTCAAGCCTTTCCTGGCATGCGTGACTCCAACATCAGCAAGATATTGGGATCTCACTGGAAAGCTATGACAAACCTAGAAAACAGCCATATATGAGGAGCAAGCCCGTCTTGGCAAGCAGCACCTGGAGAAGTACCCTGACTATGAGTACAAGCCTAGACCAAAGTGCACCTGCCTCATGGATGACAAAAAGCTGCACGTTGGTGAATACGAGGCAATCATGCACAACAGGCAGCAGGAGATGCGGCAGTACTTCAATGTTGGGCAACAAGCACAGATCCCAATTGCTACTGCTGGTGTTGTGTACCATGGAGCCATCACCATGGCTGGAATGCCCTCCCCTCACCTGCCCTCAGAGCACTCAAGTTTGTCCAGCAGCCCAGAGCCTGGGATGCCTGTTATCCAGAGCACTTTTGTGAAAGGAGAGGAACCACATATCAAAGAAGAGATAGAGGCCGAGGACATCAATGGAGAAATTTATGATGAGTATGACAAGGAAGACGATGATCCAGATGTAGATTATGGGAGTGACAAAGAAAACCGTATTGCAGGAAAAGCCAACTGATAAGGTTCAAAAGATTGTTGTGACCTTAGGACTTAAAGAAGCCCTAACTGGTTCATCCTTACCAGTGGTAACTTTCTCATACACTAACTGTTACTTTAACTGTTAGTCTTAAATAGTTGGGACATGAGCTGACTAATAGACCTCAGCCTCAAAAGGCTTGGAAAGACAAAAAAAAATATGACAAGCAAACAACAATATCAACAACAAGAGATTGAAATAAGCTATGGGTAAAATAATGCCGGTAATTCAGCTGCTACATCCAAGCACTGAAGTCTTACCCTCAACTTTTTTTTTTTTTTAATGAACTTTACGGCTGTTTCTTCTAAAAATAAAAATAAAAAAAAAATAAAAAGAGGGAAACTCATCAAAAAATTTATGTGGGGCTAAATTTGAAGGTCAAATCAAAGGTGACTTTATAGTTTAGATTTTATCCAGCATGACTGGGCAAAGTATATTAACAATGAAAGCAAAATGGCACAGCATAGGAGTAAAAGATTTGCAAAGCAATTTTGAGATGAGTTAAGAGCATAATAGATTTGAGAAACAGGTTAAAGAATGAGTCGTGATAATGCCTTACATTCAGCCAGATTTTAGTAAACAAATGGATAAATGGTAGGCAATCCCAGGCTAAAACAGTTTTGTGAGATTTCCATGTTTTAAAATTTATTAACGAACTAGGGAGCATAATGTATTTGTTTCTTGAAAATTGTTTTCCATGTCCCCATCTTATGGCTAGTACCTCCCATCTCATGCCTAGTACCTGTTTGTATGAGGCAATAGAAATTTTGTGTTGTATTATGGCTGTACTTTCCAGCACTCTCTAGTATTATTCACACTGGGAAGGGATATTCTAAATTGAGGTTCTACAAAACAGTTAGATGACAGGGCATGAATTAAGTTTGATTTTATATCCAGAGATATGCTGCTTTCAGTCTAGATAGGTAGTTTATGATACGAAAGAGCTTCCCAAAAAATGGTCAATTTAGTATCAACCGGTCTGTCTCATTATGTCTCATTGATAGCCTCAATTTTATTTGTTTAAGGAAATAGAAGCAAAGTCCTATGCTACATTTTTTTTCCCACTGGATCTAGTAGAGGGGGAAAAATCCCTTGTTCTTTCCTTTTGTCTTCATTGTGTAGTTGCTCTTAATATCCTCTAACATTTATAAGAAAAATGGTTATATATCCTGGTTCACATGCCTATGGATTATATTATCACATAACAATACATGAATATAAAGTTACAAGGGCAGGCACCGAAGTGACTACATTTGGTTGCTTCAGTCTAAGATTGGATGTATATTTCCATTTCCTAGATGAAAAATAAGTCAATCAAGATTACTTTTGATTATTAAAAATATTCTCCAAAGTATATCAGTATTTCAAAAATGTTCAATCATTTTCAGGATTGAAGTTTTACTTATTCTTTAAAAAGTTCAAATTCTTTTTATAAAAGAACTATGTTTATATCTTTTAAAAATGGAATACTGCTGAGGAAGAAATAAGTGTAAGTGTTTGTGTGTGTTTGTCCATATGTAAACCACAGTGAGGTTGAGACAGAGGTGGAGAAAAAGAATTTTAAAGATTAGACCTAGGGTTGTGAGGACATGAGAGAAAGAGACTATAAGTAGAAGCTGAGGCTGCTTTTTCTAACATTAAAATGGATAACGTCTTTTCTCCTACCCCACAATCCCATCCATTCAAAAAAAAAAAAAAAAAAGGAAAATAAAGAATTAAATGTCATTTTTCTAGAGGAAAAACATACCAACCAAAAATAAGTTGGCAACACTCTTTTGGAGCCATGCTCTCTTACAAAGGTGTATTTGCCCTGTGTTTAATATATTTGTCCTTCAAATTAAAAATTATTTAAATTTTAAAAAATAGGCAAAAAGTGTCTGTTTCTCTGTCATTTTTGTCCCTTTCTCATTGTTTATTTCATCCCGTGCATTCTCAACCAAAGTTTAATATGGTGTATTAAAAACATAGATGGTTACTTTAACTTGCTTAAACTCATGCATCGCAAGAACTCAAGGTACATGCATTCTACGAGAAACACATCAAGTCTATACCTTAGTAGAGTTCTATAATTCTAAGATTTTAAAAAATGATTATTTTTATTTTTAAAGAAAATCTCTTCAAACACTTATGCACTTTGATATGGTTTGACTGTGTCCCCACTCAAATCTCATCTTGAATTCCCATGTGTTGTGGGAGGAACCTGGTGGGAGGTAATTGAAACACGGGGGCAGGTCTTTCCCGTGCTGTCTTGTGATACTGAATAAGTCTCATGATATCTGATGGTTTTAAAAACTGGAGTTTCCCTGCACAAGCTCTCTTTTTGCCTGCTGCCATCCATGTAAGATGTGACTTGCTCCTCCTTGCCTTCCGCCATGATTTTGAGGCTTCCCCCATCATGTGGAACTGTAAGTCCATTAAACTTCTTTCTTTTGTAAATTTCCCAGTCTCAGGTTTGTCTTTATCAGCTGCATGAAAAAGGAATAATACAGTAAATCAGTACCAGGAGTGGGGTGTTACTGAAAAGATACCCAAAAATGTGTAAGCAACTTTGGAACTGGGTAGTAGGCAGAGGTTGGAACAGTTTGGGGGGCTCAGAAGACAGGAAAATGTGGGAAAGTTTAGAACTTCCAGAGACTTGTTGAATGGTTTTGACAAAAATGCTGATAATGATATGAACAATAAGGTTCAAGCTGAGGTGGTCTCAGATGGAGATGAGAAACTTGTTTGGAACTGGAGCAAAGGTGACTCTTGTTATGTTTTAGCAAAGAGATTGGTGGCATTTTGCCACTGCAGTAGTGATTTGTGGAACTTTGAAATAGAGAGAGATGATTTAGGATATCTGGCAGAAGAAATTTCTAAGCAGCAAAGCATTCAAGAGGTGACTTGGGTACTGTTAAAGGCGTTCAGTTTTAAAAGGGAAACAGAGCAGAAAAGTTCAAAAAACTCGCAGCCTGACAATGCAATAGGAAAGAAAATCCCATTTTCTGAGGATAAATTCAAGCTCACTGCAGAAACTTGCATAAGTAATCAGGAGCCAAATGTTCATCCCTAAGACAATGAAAAAAATGTCTCCAGGGCACATCAGAGGTCTTCATGGCAGCCCCTCTAATCACAGGCCTGGAGGCCTAGGAGGAAATAATGGTTTTGTTGGCTGGGCACAGGGTCCCCATGCTATGTGCAGTCTAAGGACTTGGTGCCTTGCATCCCAGCCACTCCAGCTGTGACTAAAAGGGGCCCAGGTACAGGGGTCCATAGCTTCAAAGGGGGTAAGCCCCAAGCATTGGCAGCGTCTACATGGTGTTGAGCCTGCAGGTGCACAGAAGTCAAGAATTGAGGTTTGGGAATCTCCACCTAAATTTCAGAGGATGTGTGGAAATGCCTGGATGTCCAGGCAGAATTTTGCTGCAGGGGCTCTCATGGAGAACCTCTGCTAGGGCAGTGTGAAAGGGAAATGTGTGGTTGGAGTCCCCACATAGAGTCCCTAATGGGGCACTGCCTAGTGAATCTGTGAGAAGAGGGATACCATCCTTCAGACCCCAGAATGGTAGATCCACTGACAGCTTGTACCATGCTCCTAGAAAAGCCACAAACACTCAACACCGTCCCATGAAAGCAGCTAGGAGGGAGGCTGTACCCTGCAAAGCCACAGAGGCAGATCTGTCCAAGACCATGGGAACCCACCTCTTGAATCAGCGTGACCTGGATATGGCACATGGAGTCAGAGGGGATCATTTTGGAGCTTTAAGATTTGACTGCATTGCTGAATTTTGGACTTGCATGAGGCCTGTAGCCCCTTTGTTTTGGCCAATTTCTCTGATTTAGAATGGCTGTATTTACCCCAATGTCTGTACCCCCATTGTATCTAGGAAGTAACTAACTCACTTTTGATTTTACAGGCTCATAGGCTGAAGGATCTTGCTTTGTCTTGGATGAGACTTTGGACTGTGGAATTTTGAGTTAATGCTGTAATGAGTTAAGACTTTGGGAGACTGTTGGGAAGACATTTGGTATGAAATGTGAGGACATGAGATTTGCAAGGGGCCGGGGTGGAATGGTATGGTTTGGCTGTGTCCAAACCCAAATCTCATCTTGAATTCCCACGTGTTGTGGGAGGGATCCAGTGTGAGGTAAATGAATCATGGGGGCAGGTCTTTCCTGTGCTGTTTTCATGATAGTGAATAAGTCTCATGAGATCTGATGGTATTAAAAATGGAGTTTCTCTGCACAAGCTCTCTTTCTGCCTGCTGCTTTCCAGTAAGATGTGACTTACTCCTCCTTACCTTCCACCATAATCGTGAGGCCTCCCCAGCCATGTAGAATGTAAGTCCATTAAACTTCTTTCTTTTGTAAATTGCCTAGTCTTTTGTATGTTCTTATCAGCAGCATGAAAATGGAGTAATGCACACTTATATGACTAAGAGACCAAGATTTAATATTCTGACTTAAGATGTTCACCAAAATTTTGTTTACAATATTTTCTGCTTTCATTGGATATTCAGTTCAATGAAGCATGGTATATAATATGGAAAAGTTTATCTGCTATACTTGTAATCTAAAACTCTTCCTCTTTTATAACTGTTGAATTAACTTCAAAGCTGTATTTCTGAAGTTGCAAATCACATTGACTGACCATGTACGATCTTCATTACACTGCTAATTACCATCCTTTTCTATTTTTAAGTTTAAAATTGACAATCTTCAGAGATTCCTATTACTTTAGATAATAATTTAATTGTAATATTAAAGCATATATAGATTAAATGCTATGGATAAATTATTTCTCTGGTTAAAATTTTCTCGTATCTTTTGCTGTAACATCTTGGAAGCAATCCATACAGCAATTCTGCACCTAAACCATGACAGCAGTGAAAAGAAAAATATATTATACTTTACTTATTTTTATATAACATTGGAAAGATTTATTTCCTCATTGGTAATAGCTTTATTTTATTAAAATGGCTTTTCAGTGAATTATTTAATGTATTGTGTATGTTTTATTCTAATTTAAAAAGCTAGAAAATCTATCAGAAATGTCTATAATAAAGACAAATCCGTTGGCTGTAAAGACATTGACTTATTTCCGAGTTCTCCATTCTGTTTTGTTGGTGTATGTGTTTTTATACCAGTATCATGCTGTTTTGGTTACTATATCCTTGGAACATATTTTGAAGTCAGAAAGTGTGATGTCTCCAGTTTTTTTCCTTTTGCTAAGGAATTCTTTGGCTATTCAAGCTCTGTTTTGGTTCCATATGAATATTAGGATTTTTTTTTTCTAATTCTGTGATGAATGTCATTGGTATTTTGATACGGATTGCATTGAATATGTAGATTGCTTTGGGCAGTATGGTCACGTTAATGATATTCATTCTTCTGATTTATGAGCTTAGGATGACTTTCCATTTTTTTTGTGTTCTTTTTCATTTATTTCATCAGTGTTTTGTAATTTTCCTTGTTGAGGACTTTCACCTTTGCGGTTGAATTTACTCCTATGTCTCCTTTTTTGTAGCTATTGCAAATGAGATTGCCTTCTTGATTTCTTTCTCAGCTGGTTCATTATTGGTGCATATAAACACTATGGATATTTTCTGGCTGAGCAGGGTGGTTCACGCCTGTAATCCCAGAAATTTGGGAGGCCAAGGCACACGGAACATGGGGTCAGGAGATCAAGAACATCCTGGCTAAAATGGTGAAAACACTTCTCTACTAAAAGAAAAAAATACAAAAAATTAGACGGGCATGGTGGCCGGCACCTGTAGTCCCAGCTGCTCAGGAGGCTGAGGCAGGAGAATGGTGTGAACCTGGGAGGCAGAGCTTGCAGTGAGCCAAGATCGCGCCACTGCACTCCAGCCTGGGTGACAGAGCGAGACTCCATCTCAAAAACAAAAACAAAAAAACAAAAAACACTATGGATATTTCTAGGTTGATTTTGTATCCTGCAACCCTACCAAATTTATTCATCAGGTCTGAGAGATTTTGGTGGAGTCTTTCGGTTTTTCTAGTTATAAGATCCTGTCATCTGCAGAAGGAACAATCTGATTTCCTTTTTTTCTGATTTGGGTGCCTTTTATTTCTTTCTCTTGCCTGATTGCCCTAGCTATGACATGTAATACTGTGTCGAATAGGAGGGGTAAAAATGGGCATCCTTGTTTTACTCCACTTCTTAGAGGGAAGGCTCTCAGCTTTTCCCCATTCAATGTGTGGGGTTGTTATACACGGCCTTAATTATGTTGAAATATGTTCTTTCTGTATCTACATTGTTGAAAGTTTTTATCATAAAGGGACATTGAATTTTATTAAATGCTTTTTCTGCAATTTATTGAGATGATCATATGGTTTTTGTCTTTCATTCTGTTGATATGATGTATCAAATTCATTATCATATGTTGAACTGTCCTTGCATCCCTGGGATGAATCCCAGGAGATCATGGTATATTATCTTTTTGATTTGTTGTTGGATTTGTTTTGCTAGTATTTTGAGAATTTTTGTGTCTATATTTATCAGGGATATCGGCCTGTAGTTTTCTGTTTTTGTTGCATCTTTGTCTGGTTTTAGTATCAGGGTAATTCTAGCCAGATAAAATGAGTTAGGGAGAATTCCTTTTAAATTTTTTTTTGGAATAGTTTGAAAAGAATTGGTATTAGTTCTACATTGTAAGTTTGGTAGAATTTGGCAAGTGAGGCCATCTGGTTCTGGGCTTTGCTTTTTTGGAGACATTATGGATTCAATGGTATGACTTGTTATAGGTCTGCTCAGGTTTTCTGTTTATTTCTTATTTAATCTTGGTAGGCTGTATGTGTCCAGGAATTTATTATTTCCTCTAGGTTTTCCAGTTTTTCAGTGTATAGTTGTTCATAATTGTCTCTGATGATATTTTATATTTCTGTGGTATCAGTCTTATGTCTCTTTCATTTCTGATTTTATTAAATAGGGTTTTCTCTCTTCTTGGTGAGTCCTGCTAGTGATGTATTGCTTTTATTTTTTCAAAAAAAAATCAATGTTTCATTTCACTAATCTTTGTATTTTTTAAAGTCTCTATTGCATTTAATTCTGCTTTGATTTTTATTATTTCTTTCCTTCTACTAATTTTGAGCTTGTTTTTTCTTGCTTTTCTAGTTTCTTGAGGTGTATGATTAGATTGTTTATTTGAAATCTTTCTACTTTTTGGATATAGTTGTTTACTGCTATAAACTTTCCTCTTAGTAATGCTTTTGATGTATCCCATAGGTTTTGCTGTGTCATGTTTTGATTTTCAAGTATTTCCAGGTTTTTAAAATTCCTCTTTCATTTATTCCTTGACCCAATGGTCACTCAGGAGCATGTTGTTTAATTCCCATTTATTTGTACAGTTTCCCAAGTTTCTTTTGTTATTGTTTTCCAGTTTTATTTCATTGTGGTCTGAGAAGATACTTAATAGATTTCAATATTTTAAAATGTCAGGAATTGTTTGGTGTCCTAATGTAGTCTATTCTGGAGAATGTTCCATGTGTTGATTAGAAAAATGTATATTCTGTAGCTGTTAGAGGAAATGCTTTCTAATTGTCTGTTAGGTCCATTTGATATAAAATGCAGTTAAAATCCCATGTTTCTGTGTTAATTTTATGCCTAAATGATCTGTCTAATGCTGAAATTTGGCTTGTTGAGCTTCCCAACTATTTTTGTATTGGAGTCCATCTCTTCCTTTAGATCTAATGACATTTGCTTTCTATATGTGGATGTTTCATTGTTGGGTGAATATATGTTTAGAATTATTATATCCTTCTCCTGTACTGATCTCTTTATCATTATATAATAACTTTCTTTTCTCTTTTTACTGTTTCTGACTTAAAGTCTGTTTTATCTGTTACAAGTATAGCTACTTCTGCTTGCTTTTATTTTCTGTTTGCCTGGAATATATTTTTTCACACCTTGACTTCCAGTTTATATGTCTTTACTGACGAGATGAATTTCTTGTGGGTAGCATATAGTTGTTCATTTTGGTTCAATCCATTCAGCCAGTCCATATCTTTTAAGTGGAAAATTTAATCCATTTACATTTAAGTTTATTATTGATATATGAGAGCTTATTCCTGTTTTGTTCTTTCATTTTTGTATGTTTTAGATATCCTTTGTTCCTTTCTTTTTCTGTTTTTGTTTATAATTGTAGTTTCATGGTTCTCTGTGGTGGTAGCATTTGAGTTCTTTCTTTTCCTTATTTGTGTGTTTGTTCTACCAATGAGTATCATACTTCCATGCATTTTCTCGGTGGTAGATTTTGTTGTTCCACTTCCAGGTTTAGGACTCTCTTAAGCATTTCTAGTATGGCCAGTGTAGAGATAATGAATTCCCTCGGCTTTTGCTTGTCTGAGAAAGACTTTATTTCTCCTTAATTTATGAAGGATAACTTCGCTGGGTGTGGTACTCTTGAAGGGTGGTTTTTGTTGTTTTGGTTTCTGTTTTTCCCCTTTTAGCACTTCGAATGTATCTTCCAATTCCTCCCTGACTTGTAAGGTTTCTGCTGAAAAATCTACTGTTAGTCTGATGAAAATTCCCTTATAAATGTCTAGATGTTTTCTCTTGCTGTTTTTAGAATTCTCTCTTTGTCTTTGACTTTTAACAGCTTGACTATAATATTTCTTGAAGAAGACCTTTTGAACTGAATATTTTTGGGGTTCTCTGATCTTCCAGTATCCAGATGCTAGACTGGTAAAGTTTTTGGCTATTATTTCACTAAATATGTTTTCTATCCCTTTGGTTTTCACTTTGCCTTCTGGGACATGGAAAATTAAAATATTTGGTCACTTTATTGTGTCCCATATGCTATGTAGACTTTGTTCATTCTTATTTATTTTATTTTTTAAAACTTTTGTTTGACTAAATTATGTCACCTATTTGCATTTATGAAATTCTTCTGCTTGATTTAATATATTATGGAATCTTTTGAGTGCATTTTTTATTTCATTCCATAAATCCTTCAGTTACAGAATTTCTGTTTGGATCTTTTTCATGAATTCTCTCTACCTGATGAATTTCTCATTCATGTCCTGAATTGCTGTTCTGACTTCTTTGTATTGTTTGCTTTTGTGCTTTTGCATCCCACTGAGCTTTTAAAAAAATCATTATTTTGAATTCTTTTTTTGACATTTTATAAAGTTCTATTTCACTGGAATCTGTTGCTGGAGAATTATTGTGTTCTTTTGGAAATGTTATATTTTCTTGTTTTTTCGTTTCTTGTGTCCTTACATTGATATCTGTGCATCTGGTATAATAGTCACTTCTTCCATTTTTAAAAAAAAAAATGTTTTAATATGAGAGGACTTTTTCTTGAAGATGTATCTATGGTGTTGGCTGGGTAGGGCACTTTGGCTTTCAGTCTGCTTATGTACAGTAGTGTAGTCTGTGTACAATTTCTTTGGCTATAAACAGTGTCAGTCATATCTGTGATTTCCTCAGGGGCTTAGGCTATGTCGGTTAGTGGAGGTTGTGGTGAGATCTTGCTGGCGATGAAGATGCCAGGTGGCCCAGTCCTCAAGCCCCAGTGGTGTTAGTGTAAGCTGAGCATGACTGTCCTTGGGCCCCAGAGTGTTGTATACTGGCATCAGTGTTAGTGAGTCCAGGCAAGCCTATTCTTGGGCTTCTAGGATTCTTGCTCAGGTGCCATTAGTGGTAGCAGTGAGCCAGTTAAGAGAGTGTGTTCTTGAGTCCCTGGCAAGCAGGTGTGGCTTGGGCAATGGCAATGGCAGTGGCAGGGCAACCTTCTGGCTCCCAAGTGGTATGCATTGGTGTTGTTAGTGGTTGCAGTGGGCTGGTCAGGCCAGTCACTAGGCCAGCAGATGGTGTGTGCTGCTTAGTGCTAGTTGTGGTGGTAGTGGCAGGTTGGGTGGGCCTGACCTCAGGTACCCAGGAGGAATTCCTAGGTGCCAATGGCAGTGGATGGGGCTGGGTGATACCCATGTCTCTGATGGCATGCTTGGGCACTGGGAGGGACAGAGCTGGACTGGGCAGACCTGGCTTCAGGGTCACTGGTGGTGTGTGCAGGCACTGGCTATGGTAGTCAGGGGCAGGGTGATCCCAGGATGCAGGTGGAATATTTGAGTGGGGAAAGCAGCAGCTGCACTGCAGACTTATCACTGGGGAGGGCAGGGTTACATTTAGTGGCAGCAGCCGTAAGTAGGTGGCTGGAGAGCATGTACTTTGGCCTCAGGTGGCAGCTGTTGGCAATATAACCTATGCTCAGAGGGCTTATAGCTGTTAAGTGGTTCTGATACTGGGGGCAGCAAGGTCACTGCCAGTGGTTTGCACTTGGGCCCTGGTGGTGGCAGCCATCAATGCTAGTGACTGTGAACTGGTAAGTCTTTTCTTAGGGCATGTGAAAATGTGTGGCTGTTCTGCTGGGGCCAGTGGGGTTGCTGCCAGTGCTCATACTTTGGCCCTGGCAGCAGCAGCTAGCTGTGGCAGTGGCTGTGGATAGGGATGTCAGTGGAGCTCCAGAAATGTGGAGATGCAAGGGCTGTTTGGCTCCAGAGTAGAATGGAGTTTGGTGGAGGTTTGGTTCTCATAATGGCACCATGCTGTAGCTGCTTAGGACTTGCAGGGTATATGGAACCCAGCCCGAGCTTTCTTTCTAAAGCAATTCTATTGTGTGGTCTCCAATCAGCTTCTTATGTTAGTCTCAGGGTCCATGAGGGTTGGCTAGGAGTGAAGGAGTTCATTGTGGGAATGTGGACTGCTGAGGGTCTCTTACATATTCTTTTTTCTGCATTGGGGAGCCTCTCCGTGTTCCTAGTGGATCCAGGCCAGCAGGCTGCCTAGCTTCCCCCCACTTCCTTGCTTTAGGTGTTTCCTGTCACTTCTCTGTTGAATGCCAATGTTTTCTCATAGATGATCTTTTCAAAGTGTGATTATTTACTCTCTATTTTTGTTTGTCTTTGTGGAGGATTCTTCTCGTCAGCCATCTTGAAGCCTCTCCAATTTTCTGATTTTAGATTCAGTTGAGGTGCAGTACTTCTAAATATCATTTTTAGGATGACCTTTGCTTATTTAATTTTAGAAAATTTATTTTATGTAAGGCTTTTCTATTATTTCTTGAGTTTTAGGACAACATCTAAATAATGTCTAATATTCAGTAGTTAATATCTAATACATACATATCCTTTTTGAGGACCACGTAACAAATATTATATACAAAAGGAATTATGGAGAATATGATAGTTACTTTACAAAGGAATTAAAAAGGAGTGTGTTTTAAGTAATATAGCTAAGAAAGTGTAGAAAAGTTGGCTAGCTGCATGGAGGAAATGAAATGACAAGAACAGGAAAAGATACTGCCAGGAAGTGGACAATTGTGTCATATTCAACAGAATAATATGACCTTTGGTTGCCCTTCATTTTATTCTAGAGTCCAAAAGATCGAGTTATTTTCAAGAGGAAATACATTTTGATAAAAATTAACAAAGACTTTAGACAATGACGTACTCATTTTTTTAAAATTGAATTATCTACATTTTTATTTATCTAGTTGTTTTACTTGCCTGATGTGAAACCATATTTAGAAAATATATGTCCCATTGCACTGGTAATCTCTCCAGTGCGCTACTATCTCTGGGATTGATCAGTCCTGCAGTCATGAGCATGTAAGTCTCGAACAATCGTTGCTGACAACCTCTTCCTGCAAGTCTACATGATTTTCAAATGGAAATAACTTAAACATAAACATTCACTTTTTTTAGAATGTTGAAAATATAAACTTCTTTATTAACTGAAATGGAAATATATTCATCGTCTAAATGGATCAGAGAAAAAGATGATTTTTAATCTTTTTTGTTTGCTTTGAATTCTTTTTGTTAAATAATCTGTTGGATACCATTAAATCATGATCTCTGTGATAGATTTTTTTTTGAAAACTAACATTGGTTATCATTTATTAATTAATTCATTCAACAACTTTTTAAAAAATCACTTGATGTGGACTGATTATACACAGATCAATTATCCATTGTCACGATTTTATTTGAATCTAGACCCCACAAGTTCAGACAAACATAGAAACAAATAATTATGAAATAGTATGAACAGTTCCAGAGAACATATGCGTAGCATGGAAGGTACTAATTGAGCCCAGGAAGCAGTTACTCCATCTGCCCCTGGATAATTGAAAAGAGCTTCACAGAGGAGTAGAAACTGAAGCTGAGACTGAAATAATACACATTTTCCAGAAGTGCATTTAGTGAGGTGAGTTCTAGTCCTTTAGATTTATTTTCAAACTGAAGGTGTCCTTTGGATTTTCTCTTGTCATTTTACTGGTACAGACAGCACAATTGACTCCCTGAGCAGTGAACTTGAATAAAATCTCTTACAGAAGGTAAAGGAAGAGGGTCTATGGATATGTGTAATGAAGACTTCCAGTTGATCAGATTCTTTTCAGTGTTTTAACTACAGTTTCAGGTTTCCCTGTGTTAGAACACAGATGAAGAATTTTTTCATCATCTCAATTCTGTTTTAAATATAACAATAGACAAGTTAGTGGTGTTACTCTGTTTCTGTCATGCGCCTTCTCCTATTTCTATTTGAGATATGTACTTAATAAATGTAGAAATAATTTATTTTAAAAGAAACTCTGAATGTACTAAAAGTGAGATTTATTGAGCAAGTAGTTCAGGCATCAAGTGTTCAACCAATTATTTGAGCCACCTGCCATTAATCTGATGGACAATATTGGGACATGAGGGTAATAGAGAAAATGTTAGTGTTCTCCTGAAAATATGATGGTGTCACCACCATCTGCAGGGGAAGAGGGAAAAATTCAATTTATATTCTAGGGAAGAAAAGCTTTCTAATATTAGGCTTCAAAATTTAATTTTCTTTTTTTCTGATCATAGAGAAGATCAGGATCTCCTAGGAAAACTGGAGCTCAGAAAGATCAGAGATACAGGGAGACAGAATTTTGTCAACCAGAGCCACTTCTCTGTACACTGTAATGGAGAAAACCAAAGCTGACTGTAGGTATAAGTCAATTAAGACTTATCAGTATAAACAAAAACAGTGGCAAAACTAGGAAGACTGAAGGAGAAGGGTAGGAAGCTATAGTTAAAAACATTCCCTTGATTTTCCTAAATTCTTATATTGGAAAGATATTATGGTCTGTAAGTCTATAATTACTTCTTAAGTATCTTCTGTGCATTTTTAAATGATTAGTAACACCATAAATGTATTCCTATTTTTCTTCAAATTCTCGGTTAAATTTTCACCAAAATATCCAAAATTAGTATTTAATCAAAACAGGTACTGAAAAATGTGCACAAATCACAAATGAAGGGTTCAATGAATTTTCACAAAATGAACATAACTTTGTAATTTGCATCCAGGTCAAGAAATAGAGCATTAATAGTACCTTGGAAACCTCTCTTATATGCCTTTCAAATCACTACCCGCTTTCCCAAAGTTAACTGTTATAATGATTCTAACATCATAGATTAGTTTTGCATGTATATGAATTTGAGATAAATCAAATCATATAGTATGTATGCTTTTGCATCTGACTTCTTTTGCTTAATGCTGTGTTTATTTGTGAGATTCATCCATGTTTTGATATGTATAAGTGTGCATTGTCTTTTTAGCTTCATTAACTTCCTAGAAATTGTGTCTTATCCCTTTTAGAACTGATTTGCAGTAAAAAATAGGAGCCTCTCTTTCCTCACATTTTGTGAAGTCATCAGTTTAAAAATAAAAATAAAAAGAGATAAGTAAAGACTTGAGATGTCAGATTGTCTTGAAGATAAAATAATACTACTATTAATTATAATGGTTTCATTAATATTTAAAAAGGACTGTGTTTACCTGTTTTTGTACTTTTAATACATTAAGCTTTTTTATACATATCAATTTTCTCTATTTTTTAAGGAATTCTTATGTGTGAGACAGTCATCACTTAAGCGAATCTTTCACCAATTATTTTATTTCACCTTTAACTAACAATAGCTGTTATGCTCTGAAAGAGTAAATCATTAGGTAGTTTTAATCTCTCGGACAGTTTTGAGAATTAAATCTGTAATTTAATCTGGATCAGTTTTGAGTTTAATATCCTGGACAGGTTTGAGACCTATTATAAACTTGCACGAGTTTTGGTGTTCCTAGCCCAGGAAAAGAATCACTCTTACTGCAACTGAGCAAAATGGTAAGCTCTGTACCAAATTGATGAAAAGCTTACCAAGTCCTCAAGAAGGCAATAAAATTTCTCAATGCTAATGGTTTAAAGGTCATCAAAGCACTTAAATGCTCAGAAATAGTAGTTCTCACTATCTCCAAATCCACCGGAAATTTGATAGCTCATATAAATAAAACTGATGAACAATATTCTTTTTCACTGTAGGCTCTACTGGGCCATAGAATAGAAAATGATGGAAATTTGCTTAAAAGAATGTGAGGATACTTCTCAGAGACCAAATCCCAAATCTAATAAATAGTGTTTGGAAGTAATTATCGATGGTATTGGAAGTAGTATTAGTATTTAAAATGGTAAGTTGCATATGATTTTTATGACATTATCAAAATGTGATAAATTTGTTTTTGCAAGGTGGAAGTCATAAAACACTAAGAAAAATATGAATATCAATTTCATTATAGAAATTCAGATTGCCTAATTATTAAATACAGAGCATTCTTTTTCTTTTGTGATAATGTTAAAAGAGGAAAATCCTAAAGTTTACAATAAACTTAGTAAATCCTAAATAATGGTGTGGAGAAACTAGTGTATATCCATATTTGTACTGCTTTTGCTAGCTGCAAATTGTATTGACAGTGTTTCAAATTAGAGATGGAGAGGAAAACTTATTTTCTTTAGGTCGCTTACACAGATTTTGAGCATAGTCACATTTTGCAATAGAATCTAATTATTAAAATCCACGTCAGTCTTAAATAAATTTTTACAGATTGGAGGCATGAAGTTGGAGTGGTGGAAGAGAGTTGTGGTGGGTGAATGTTTACTATGATAGCATTTTACTGATCCTATAAATATCCCATCAAGAGATGAGATATTGTTAATGCAGTATGATTTCTAGGCATCCTTCCTCAATGACACAGTTTAAACTATACAGAACCTTATAAACAAAAATAATTATATTAAAAAAGGAAATTCTTTTCTGAACTTTAAATATTGGAGATAAATACTTGTAAAATTAAGTAGAGATTAGAGAGTGTTTCAATTAAGAAAGTGACAAGAAGCATTATAATTGGCTTTAAACAAATAAAATATAAATACAAGAGGCTATTCAAGAGACTACTTTAATTCCTGACTCTGTAGCCAATTAAAGAAAGAAAAAGTTATAAACACAACGTTGAGGTTTGCCTAAGTAGTGATTGATAACTTTCCAAATTTACTCAAGAAGTATTTGTGAAATGAGTTTATTAAATGTAGTTAAATCTAAGCTGAATTATACATATTTTCTTGTCTATTTCATTTATTGATTCATTTATTCTTTCAAAAAATTGTATACTCACTATATGCTAGACACTGCTCTCGGTACTGAAGAAGCTCTTTTTCTACTTTAAAAATAACTAAACAAGAGAGAATAAATGTAAAATATAATTTTATGTAGTTGTTATAATGTCTGTAATCTTAAAAAGTGGGAATGGACAGGGTGATATTATCTATGTATGTGCTTATCCCAGCCTCAACTGTAGGGGCAGTTAGTTGCTGAAGCTGAAAAATTACACTCCAGGAATTGTCAGAAAGGCAGAAAGACCAACTGTAGAAGCAATTACTAACAGGGGTTTGTTAATGATACCTGCATAAACACTTCACATTTGGTAATGACCATGATGGATTCTTACTGATGGGCTCTTATGAATGAAATTGGATAGTCAAAATGTATGGATTGGCTAAAATATTTTAGAGACACATATACATTGATATATTTTGGATATAGCCTTGTGATATACATTTCCAAGAATCATGGATATATAAGGAATCTGTAAGAAAGATTAAATTACTTGCTGACTTTATGCTGTCTTCTTCATATTACTATGAATTTTGTAGCTACTGAAACTTAGCAGAGGAGAACCTCAAACTTCCTCTTTATCCCTTGCTATTTCCCTATTGTTCTCCACTCCCAAAGAATAACTGTGATTTGGTAAGACTTAAAGTCATTATTGGCTACTGTGCTAATGATTGCAGGTTGCTGAGGGAGTTTCAACATTATAAATGGTCCTTATGGGGTTCCTCATTTTTCCTAAGTAAATTCTGCTGAAGGAGAACTGTCCATTCATTTCTCTTTATCTTACTGGCCTTTGGGAAGTCGAGGTCAGGCATCCTGGAGGAACTCCTCTCTAGGCACTGGGGAAATGTTAGTCCTGTATTTAGTGCTTCCCTTTGTTTTAGTTCTTTCCCTCAGGTGGCTGCTTAGATGTCCATAGAGATCTAAGACTTTGGTTTCACATTTAGGATTTGGTGTAAAAATAAAGACAGAGTCATTTGCTCTGCTTTGAGTCTTGGCCTTTCAGGCCTACCTAGAAGGAAAGAGGTTCTACATGGGATTTGACTTTTTGCAACCAATACCCTTAGTACTTAATAAAGAGTATTTTGCCTTATTAATTGTTAGTATATAATCCCTGACACACTGAGGTGGGGAGTCACTTGAGCAAGGGATTCAGATGTTTCTGTTTCCTTGGAGTAATTGTATTTTAAACAATTATCACTCTTTAATTGTAGCCCCATATGCTCAAGAGTAATTACTAGAAATAAAAAATTATTTCCTCCTCTACAGAAATGTGTAGTTTTGTTGTGTTACTAAATGAATAAACAGGCTGGGTACAGTAGCTCACACCTGTAATCCCAGTGCTTTGGGAGACCGAGGTGGGAGGAATGGTTGAGGCCAGGAGTTTGAGACCAGCCTGGGCAACATAGCAAGACTAGCCTCTACAAATAATAAGACGAAAGCCATGTGTGATGGCTTTCTCCTGTGGTCCTAAGCTCCTTGGGAGGCTGAGGTGGGAGGATTGCTTGAGCCAGGAGGTCAAGCCTGCAGTGAGCTTAAGATCATGGCACTGCACTCCACAAGAGACAGAGTGAGACCGTGTCTTAAAAAAAAATAGAAAGGAAAAAAAAGACAGATGCTGAGACACTTATGAACAAATGTGAGACAATAAATTAAATGTGTGTACGTGTGTGTGTGTGTGTGTGTGTGTACTAAGTATGGGGTATATACAGTAGCACTTGCCACATGGTAAGTTTTTAACAAATATTTGTGTGATAAAAGCATGAATTCATAATCAATGTGTTGTAAGGTATTCTCTTAAAATACCAAAATATAATTAAAAACAAAGAAGAATCCCAAAGTGTAAAGTAATGGATCAAAAATATTTGCTGTTACTGTCCCCAGAATCAATGAACATGAGGATAATGCAAAAGGAGACAACGTATTAATTCATCTCTAAACACTTTTCTTGTTTTCTAGGTTTTGAGTATCTGTTTTATCAATCTTGTGTGTGTATCACTGTTTTCTAATCAATTATCTTACCATGCTAGTGGCTGAAGCACAATAGAGATCAAAGATTTTTTTAGTACTTAAATGTTAAAATATTTCCCCTATTTGGATTACCTCTTAATTATGAAGGCATTTGTAATTGCTTCTCTCCAGATTTAGGATTAGTCGAAGCGTGAATGACAAGAGATATGTTCAATAAAGTGTTGTTATCCATAAATAGCTAAATGGCCTTTCGATAATTTTTGTAATGAATATACTAGTATGTCTTAAATTTAAATAGTGAAACATTAAGGATCTTTTCCTGTAAAAATTTTTTAGCTTGCAAGGTTATGTCTTTTATTTGTTCATTTGTAACTGAAGCACTCTAAAACAATGTTAATTTCAATGCATTAATTACTTCATGATTTTCTACTTTGGGAGATGGTTTAAAGATCAACAATTAGTAGGTGGGGTATGGTGGCATGCACTTGTAGTCCCAGTTACTTGAAAGGCTGAAGTGGGAGGATTGCTTGAGCCCAGGAGTTTGAATCCAGCCTGGGTAACATAGTGAGACACCCGTCTCTAAAAAAATGTTTTTAAACACCCAAACCAGCAATTATTAATATTTTTTTTACTGTGTATATCCAACTATGTAAATTATAAGGGAAATCTAAATGAATGATCTTAAAATTTATTTTTTTAACACAGCATTGAAGAAAAATTAACAAACATTGACCATTCTCTATATTACAGACACCCCTGCTAGAATCTAGGAATTCAGAAAGAAAAGGACTGTCCTCTGTGCTTCAGGAATATTCATATAAGCGAGTTAACTATTTTTCTAGATTTAAAAAAATTATGTTAAACTTGAATTATATTTGTTTGGTTTTGTGGGGACCAAAGGCCAAAAGCTTGTTTTGAAAACACACTTAAAACGGATGAATGATTTTTTTTATCAATTTACAGAAGTTCTGTTTGCTATGTTGAAATAAGTAGCACTTTTTTTGTCTCAGAGAATTTCTTTGTTTCAAAATCCTCATGTTCTTTTATAAGCCATCCTTTACTGAAACTAAACAAAAGAAAACCAAAGAATAAAAAAGAAGCCTTACATGAAACTATTGTACAGCATTGTGCAAATAGAGAACTTATAACAGTAGGTTATTTAGACACAGCTCAGGCCATATTATGTGTAATTTGAAACATTACATAACTGTAATAGGCATATCTCAAATGTTTATAAGTAAAAATTACTATGTGGGATGATGATGAATAAATAGAAATGTAATCAAACCATGATCTTTGCTTTGGAAATGTTTTTTTCTTGACATTGTCATGGTCTCAGATTTTAGATTCTAACTCAAATTGCATTTTTATTTCTGGCTAACATCCCTTACAGCCCTGTAGCAATTACAGAGTAGATCATCCAGAGTAAAAGCAAAAAGGAGAGATGAAGTTAAAGGGCTTCCTGCTACATTTACTTGGCATGAAATTTTATATCAACCCTCAGAGGTAGATGTGGGCACTAATCACTTCATCTTAGGGACTTTTCCTCAGCTCCTCAGAAACTGAATGTGTTAAGCATATAGCACAACCGGAACAGCTCCATGCAGGCTCACTTGTTCATTCATTAATAATTTATTTATTACCAATATGTAATAAACACCCTTTTCTTATTGGACAGACCACTTCCAGGATAATT
The DNA here is from genome assembly GCF_000001405.40 of Homo sapiens. Classification (NCBI taxonomy): domain Eukaryota; kingdom Metazoa; phylum Chordata; class Mammalia; order Primates; family Hominidae; genus Homo; species Homo sapiens. The sequence goes on along the minus strand of NC_000008.11, from coordinate 87,769,406 downwards.
TATATGATTGTGTGAGCATTGCCTTTATTTGTGGTTTCTGGGGGAACCTTATCAAATTATCCCATTCTACTTAATTTCCCTATTGGTGATCTGTATGAAAGTGTGTCCTATCTTGACCTTGGGATTTTCCCTCTCAGATTTTAAACATACAAATGGGCAATGAATTCTGTTTTTCAGAGGAGACACAATAAAGTACATTTATATTCTCCATATTGCAGGATATTATTTTGGTATATGCTGAGCCAGATTATCTCAAGGCCTATGTTATCAATAGGTGGGTATCTTTATTCTCTGAAAGCCTTGTTTTAAAGAGGTACCTTAAAGCTGTTTTGATTTTCAGTATGAAGGATCAGTTGAATATTGCCCAAATTAAATGTAAAAAAGAAGAGAAGGGGACAAGCATTATTTGACTATCTGCTACTATTAGTTCATTAGTTCAATTCTCAAGACAACTTTTTAAAAATTTTATGTGTTTAGTTATTTAATATTTTTGAGGTGAGGTCTTGCTATGCTGTTCAAGCTGGTCTTGAACGCCTATAAACAATTTTTTGAAGTATAAACAATTATCCTCATTTTATTGATAAGGAAATTAAAAATTAGGTCATCTATAGGTCAGACTATAACTAACATTGCCATGGAGATAGCATTCAAATCCAGTACCCTATCATGTTATATCTTTTGCCCTGAGTTAAATATCAATTGGAAAATGCATTGGGTATCTAGAATTTCTCCTTGCTTATTGGAATTTTTTTTCACAGAAAAACAACTTCTGAGACTACATATCACAGCGATTTTAAAATGACTTAATTACATTGTCTAGTTGCAATCACAGAGAATGGGCTGGTGGTGCTTTCTGCCTTTAAATAATCATGTCCACTAATATTGCAGAATGGGTTTTTCTCTTTCTGTAAACTAGGTTTAGGAATAAAGTCTGATCGATTTTCAAACCAAATCATGTTTTTCATTGGAAAGGTACTACCCTACCTACTACCAAAGGTACTATGCTACCTACCCTTTGGTAATAGGTATAGTACCTTACCAATGAACTCATACCGTCTGTTATATCCCATACTTCAGAATGACTGTATTTGGATGTAGAGTCTTTAAAGAGGTAATTAAGTTAAAATAAGATCATTAAGGTGAGCCCAAATCCAATATGACTGGTGTCCTTATAAGAAGAAAACATTAGGACGGAGACACATTTAGAGGGAAGACCATGTGAAGACACAGTGGGAAGGTCACCATTTGGAAGTCAAGGAGAGAGGCTCAGAAGAAACCTACCCTGCCAATTCCTTGATTTCTGACATCTAGCCTCCAGAATTTTAAGAAAATAAATTCCTGTTGTTTAAGCCACACTGTCTGTGGTACTTTGTTATCTTTATTAGGGGAGCCCTACCAAATTAATATACCATTTTATTTGATACTGTAGGAACTGAGATTTCCTGGCTCACATTTTCAAGTAGTCCTGCTTGGGAATCCTTTATAATATTTAGAAATCATCTATATTAAGATGTGGAAAGAGAAATATAATTAGTCACCCAACATATTAAATTAATTTAATTAGTTGTATTTGTAATGGGGTATTAAATAAACACCCTGAATGTGATACGAATATTTAGGGTCTCTCTATCATTAGGTTGCATGGATGATAACCAGTCTGTGTATTATGTTGTTGTTGTTGTTTTTTTGAGATGGAGTCTCACTCTGTTGCCCAGGCTGGAGTGCAGTGGCAGGGTCTGGGCCCACTGCAACCTCTGCCTCCTGGGTTTAAGCGATTCTTCTGCCTCAGCTTCCTGAGTAGCTGGGACTACAGGTGTGTGCCACCATGCCCAGCTAATTTTTCTATTTTTAGTAGAGACAGGGTTTCACCACATTGGCCAGGCTGGTCTGGAACTCCTGACCTCGTGATTCGCCTTCCTTGGCCTCCCAAAATGCTCAGATTACAGGCATGAGCCACTGCACTTGGCCCTGTGTACTATATTGTTAACAGCATAAAGTAATAATTAATGATAAGCCTGACATTATTTGACTATTCTTTGTCAAATATCTATAAGATTTTATTTGAAGATAGTGAAAAAGATGCGTTCACTCTAAGATACCTCACCACCTGGCCCACCAACATGTTTAACATCACTGGGCTTATCACTTCTTTGCTACAGACTACTAAAGAGTTTTGTTAATATGCAAATTTTTCATCTAAGTAAAGCAACAAATTAGGTTTGAATTATTCATTAATATTGTTATACAAATTAGTTTAATAGATGATATAGCCAATTACTTAGCCTGTCCTTGCAGCCAGTGGACATGTATTTTTTTAATTTTATTTTTATTGATAATTAATAATTGTATATATTTAGGAGGTACAATGTAATACTGTAATACATGGATACATCATGGACTATGTAAATTATTTTAATTAGTATATTAATCACCTCACATATTTACCATTTCTTTGTAGTGAGAACATTTAAAATCCCCTCTTTCAGCAATTTTGAAATATACAATTTATTATAATTAACTATAGCCACTGTGCTGTGCAACTGATCACCAGAATGCATTCCTACTCTCTAACTGAAACTTTATACCCTTTGACCAGCATTTCCCTTACCCTGCCCACCCCTCACAACCACCATTCTACTATCTCTACTTTTATGAGTTCAAATTTTTAGATTCCACATATATGTGAGATTATGTGATATTTGCCTTTCTCTTTCTGGTTTATTTCACTTATCATAACATCCTCTAGATTCATCCATATTGTCAGAAATGACAGAATTTTATTCTTTCAAAAGGCTAAGTAGTATTCAATTATGTATATTTAAAACACATTTTAAAAAATTCACTCATCTTTCGATGGGCACTTAAGTTTGTTTCCAAATCTTGGCTATTGTAGATAATGTTGCAATTAACATGGGACTGCAGATATCTCTTCTGCATACTGATTTCAAAGAATAAATACAAAAGGCCAACAGGTATATGAAAAAATAGTCAATATCTCTAATCATCAGGGAGTTACAAGTTAAAACCACAAGATACCACTTCTCAACTATTAGAATGGCTACCATAAAAAAAGGTGAAAGTTCACAACTGTTGGTGAGAGTGTGTGTTGTACACTCTTGGTGTACAAATAATACAGCCATTATTAAAAAAAAAAAACCAGGAAGGAGGTTTCCTGGATAGCTAAAACAGAATGACTGTGTGATCCACCAATTCCACTTCTGAACATGTATATTTTAATAGAGAATAGTTGAAGGCTGAGATAGGCACAGCATACTGTGGGAGGGTACAGGCAGAAGGAAGAGGAATATTAAAAGAAGAAATAGGTAGGCAAAGGGAGATACAGGCCACAAGCAAAGAAAGTGTATTTGCTTTAAGCTGGAGCTGACAGCACATAAAAGTATGACAGGAAGTTAGGTAAGTTCACCATTTATAAATCAAAAGCAAGCATGGAGAAGTGCTGTATGTGGAATAGACATCTCTCACGTGGGCACAGAGTAGGCAGTTGATTCGCAACACCAAGCCTCATATGATTGGTACCATACTTCATTAATTAAAACAGTTCCAGAAGGAAAAGTAAGGTACGTACATATCCCAATTTGCTTGGGGCATTCTTTATTTTCTCCCTTTGTCCCCTTGTAAGTATAGGTTAACCATATGACATCAACAGTATTTGATCATTTTAGCCTATAAATACAGCAATTTTTATGTAGTTTAATCTAATATTAATAATATCTCCTTTTTCTCTTGAGTGTCTGAGTTTGATAAAAAGTTATATGTATATATAGTTACCTTAATAAAATAGCTGTGGTATTATTGTTTTTCCCAGGATGTCTGTAATAATTTTCCTTATTTCTTTTTAATTGGTGACTTTAATTAGGTATATTTAGAAATGTTTTCCTTGCTGAAACATACACATACAGAATTGTACTGAGAGTAGGTAATAAGAATGAGACAAATTATTCTCCCATAAAATATGAGTTTTAAGACCAGTAACAAGAAAATATTTTTAATTGATACATTTAAAAGATTTGTGGTTTATAAATAATTTTTAATTATTATCTTTGCAGAGGGTTAAAATGGAAATATCTTAAATGTAAAGATAAATTTTACTATGTCTATAGGGCAAATCAATCATATTTCTTTCATAAAGGAGGCACTCTCTCTCTTACTACATGATAGAGCTGCTTCAAACTAGATTCTGGTAGGTATTGGAACCTCTCCTAGGACCACAACACAGGCAATATATAATTAACTGTCAGATGGCTAGCAGCCGAAACCAATTATGTAGCAATGCAGACATATACTACCTCTCATAAAGAGAATGGAAAAGTGCCTAATAAAATAAATAAGATAATTTTTACACTCATGATAAATAACCATTACTGCTTCATGGTGTTTTTTATTTTAGTTATTCACTCTTTATGACTGAAAATAATCAATAATCTAAACTCCAGAGACTGAAATTGAATTACTAAGTCCCAATAAATACTGAATCTATCTTTTACTTCTAGTATTGTTATTTCTGTCACTACGTGATTATTTTTTACATTTGTCTCTGTTTTTCCTTTATTTATCATCAAATATGTTAACAAAGCCTGGGAAATGTTTTTGAGTTAAGGTGAATGTCAACATTTCTCTGCTTAACTGGTATTAATTGGTTTTCCAAGGGCAGTTTTGCCTTACTTTTTCCACTAATCATTGTACTGCAGAAAGGCAAAGAATAGTGAGAAGATGTATTGCCAATTCTCTGCTGCAAGAGAAATTAATATGCTTAAAAATGTAAAAATATAGACCTCTGCAAAGAAATTGCTCAACTACAGCAATCCCATTGTGTGTGTGTGTGTGTGTGTGTGTGTGTGTGTGTGTGGTGGAGGGAATTTAGTTATACATTTTTGAAGCACCAACCAAGCTTACTTTTTATTAGAGGGTAGTTTGAAAAATCCCTTGGGGCTAGCTATTCTTTTTAAATTTGAGAGTCACTAGACTAATTAAATTTATTTGGTTGAACTTTGTTTTTTATTGACTTAAGATATGAAATTATTATTTGTAAACATGCCTGTAAATCCTAATTGCAGAAATTAATGCCCTCATCATTTCTCAGTTACCCAAATAAAATTGATATCCTACCCACACACCCACATCCATCTACCCACCCCAACACATTGAAAGTTAAATATTAGACCTTGGATTGGACTGTATTCTGTATGGTCACGATTAGACTTTGAGTGACAGAGTCGGGTAATAAAAAGTTATTTGTGTTTCCACAGGCAGATGACACTATTTCTTTCTAAAGCAAAGCTACAATTAGGACCCATCCTTAAGCTATGAAGTCACAAGGTCATATAAAGTCCACAGGGAATTGAACTCTACTACATTTCACAACTATTATTAAGGACAGAATATAACATGAGGAGAAGCAAAACTCATAATGTAATTTTAAAATGTATGACTTCTAGTTTTATACAGAAAAAAAGGCTAAACTACTATAGTATAAGATGTTGTTAGTATGAAAGAAGGGAAACAAATATAGTTAAAATGTGGGGACAGATTTGAGTGCTCAGTCTCTCATTTAGATTTTCACAAACAATTCTCACACCTTTTAATGTCTTCTCCATCATCAAAATACAGTTACCCACACTGCACTCAGGTTGCAGTGGGCCCTCAAAGCCCATCTTACATTGCTCCTAATGTCTTTTTTTGGGGGGTCTTTAATTATTAATTGATCCATTAATTTATTATATACTTTACTGAGTGTCCTATTTGTTATGGGCAAGTGCCAAGAGATACAGAGAAGAAAAAGATATTGTAATCCCTCCATGCTAGGAACCCATAGTCTGATAGTGGATACCACCATGTAACCAAATAATTGGAAACACATGAAATATAGATATATAGGCAGTATAATGTGAGGGCACAATTGTTTGGGAGTTAGTGTGTGTTAATGAAGAATACAGACTTGATAGGGAACAAAACCAAATGGGAGTTCAAACTTCCCTACCTTCTAGCTTTTGAATTTTGTCCAGTCCTCAAACCTGTTTGATTCTCCATTTCCTACTTGTAAAATTGGTGCTTGTCCTGCCATATTGTTCTAAGGATTAGAGCAAATACATGCAAAGTACCAGGAATTTAACAGATTCAAGAAATAAATGCTATCTGGTTCATATTAGGGTGAGGCCTGGTCTGCTGTGTCAGCAAGCAGTTTTGAATTTTTCTTGTATTTGTTAGAAATCTTTTAACTATTTCTAAGCAGCAGAATGACAGGGTCAGAAGGACACTTTAGAAAGATTAGTCTGGCAACAGTGAACAAGAGAGATGGGAGGGGGAAGAACCTGGAGATCAGAGACAAGTTAAGAGACTATTGAAATAGTTCAGGCATGAAGTTAAAAGGACCTGCACATAGAGGATAGAAGGCATCCCAGGTGACTAGATTGATAAAATGAAAAGGATTCTGCAAGGGAGATGAATGGCACTTCTTTTTCAGAAGAATGGGCACTGGTATCCTTCAGGGAGAGGAGAACTAGCATTATCGTACCCCTAACAGTTGCTCACTATAAATTTGACATTATGAACACTTTAAGACACGTAAATATTCCAAAAATGAGGTATACACTGTTTCCTCATTTTTTAGACAAGAAAGCATTAGAAAGCTTAATTGGCTTGCCCAGGGCTGTACAGGTAGAAAGCGCTTGAGTAAGATTTAAACCCTGGCCTTCTGTTGCTAGAATATATGAGCCACCCATTGTTATATTAACTTGTCTTCGGAAGCAGTAGCGACTTCCCAATGTTGGGAAGTGACGGTAATAAAGTCAGTAATAGAAATAAAGCAGGAAAAAGGTATTGGGGATGGAAAAGGCAACAGCTGACATTCTCCCTCACCAACCCACTGTAATACTAGCAGAAAACATACAGCTCAGCTGGTGTCAGGCTCTGTCCCTTGCTTTCCCCCACTGGGCTCCTCACCATCACCTTGTGCACAACCTGACCTATGTTCTCAGTTCATCGTCACTATTTGAAGAGTATGGTTAAGGGGCATACGTAGCATATTCTGCAGAGTTGAAAATTAATCAAGATTCCTTCGATTTTCATTCACTTCTAGATTCTAAGATGCTTGTTTATTTATACTGAGGAGTTGGACTCATGCACTAGTTTGCCTCAATATCATTGTCTTTTTTTTTTGCACAATGCTTTGTGCATAATATTTGCTTTTTTTTATTCCATAGATCTTAAATAATACTTGAGTTAAAGTGTGAACACCTCAAAACTTTGACAAGCAGTTGAGTCTAAACAAAAACTGAACCAATCCTATTTTTGTCTGTAATACACAGGTCAATCATCCATCTTCTGGATTACCTCTCTGAATTACTTGCAAACTCACCCTGCTCTTTAAGAAAGGTTTAGTGAAGCAGTTAGAGATGTGGAATACAGAGCATTTGAGGAAAGTCCGCGCTTATAAATAACAAATGGAGAACTAGTAGACCATAATGAGAAGATGGGAAAGAAAAGGTTACATATTAAATTGAAAAATATCTAACATTTAAGGCAGCAACAGTAAAGCCTGCTTCTCCATAGAATATTTGTCATAGACACAACACAATCTCACTTTTTGCTTGACATTTGTATAATTCGTTCGACTGCTATAAAAAAAGTCACCTAAATAGTGAACCTGGATATTTTATTAAGTCATGGAATAAATAGAATAAAGCATTGCTCTCACTTCCGCATAATGCTTCACCAGTTGGCTTTCTTAACAAAACTGTGTTTTTTGTTTGTTTGTTTGTTTGTTTTGTTTTAAAGGAGAGCCTAAACTAACAGCTACTATGTTAAAAAATGACATTTTGACTGACTGGAGTGATAAGAAGTCATTTGTTTAGCTGTTTGTTATGCTTTTAGGTAGGACCACACCTACACCCTCCTAGATACGTGGAAGTGTATCCTAGATGTATTGACTATAAGGAATTGCATTTTATAGCCTTCCTGTATTAACAGGCCTTCTCAAGGGGGCAGTGAGAAGAAATTATTACAGCCTTTCTAAATCTCTCCCTATAACTTGGGTTCACTTCTTTCATGTTCTCCTGGTCATTATTTTGATGTAATAACTTTCACCTACTTAGACAGGTGACCTTTACTATAATATATTATGGGTTATTTTTTAATATAGTTAAAAGCTCACAGGCCAGGAAAAATATCAGTGTGCATAGGCTTCAACGATACGGGAGAAATAGATATTTTTTGAACTATTGTTAAACTATTTTCTATTTCTTTCTGCATCTGCTAAAACAGTTTCATTTCGCAGGTACTATATCATATTCTTTACGATGAAGCAATTTTTTCTTGTTCTTTGACTTTTCACAGTACGTGAGACAAGCTTACTTTCCCATAGTAACTCTGGTCCTAGCACAAGGAGAAGCTTTTAAGGGGACTTTTACCAACAACTGTTTGTTGTTTATTTCTGAGCCATCCCTGAGTACTTATGTGGGAAACCAGCATTAGCAGGTAAAGATGAATAAGAAGACTGATAGGTAGTCAATTTTGTAATGTTCAGAAGCAATTCTCAAGAACTTTCTTAACAAAATCAGATACATTCTTATAGAGGAGCAAACTTGAAGACTGACTGTAAATCTCCAGAAGGAGAAAGAAATACCTGGAAATTCTCACAGTCTAAATGCAGACCCAAGAATATGACAGATACATCATAGTAGCCCTATACCGCTACATAATTTGGGATGCCTTGACATTTTCATTTTTTTCACATTCATATTTTATGGCAGTATATGAGGTTCTTGGTTTTTCAAATTAGTACCCTGAGCTCTGGTCTTACCTCATACAATGTGTCCTCATCACTGCTACATCACCCATGCTTGTACATTCATGTAACTAAGATAGCAACAATTCAAACAAGTGATTAGCAATATAGCTTAGCAAATAATGTCAGTTCTCTATAAATTATTATAATGTCATTGAAACACTGGTTTTGAAGACTGTTTTATCAATAGTAAGACATGTTCATTGCATGCATGTTGTTAGTGGGGGTGGGGCTAGGAACAAGTGGTTGGAGTTACACTGTAACTACCATTTAGCTATTTAAACATAGCGGATATACGACAATTGAGTTAAAGATAAATTCCCAGATGATAATGAAAATTGCCTCAAGGTGGTAGGATAATTAAAAACTATTTATTTACTCTCTTCTTTTTTTTCAAATGTACTGTAACATGGCCATGTTGCTTTTATAATTTTATAATGTAAATTATTTTAAAAAGAATTACTTCTCAGTCACCTACCCACATGAGGAGAATACAGAGGAGGAGGCAATTAATTCTGCCAGAATAAATCAGATTGAAAATGAGCCTCTGAGTGAGTTATTCAATCATGGAAAGAACATGAGAAGAAAAGACAGAAATAAGAGGGGAAATGCCAAGACTGGAAGTGCAGGTGCCCAGGGCAGAGTCGGCTGTGGTACCTGAGGCAGTGTTGAGTGGTATCAAGGGCTCAGCTGAGCTGGGAGAAAGAGCTGGGTTGCCAGATCTCAGGTTAGCTGATTGAAGCCAAAAAGGAAAGAAATGGTGAAGCTTTTGATGACTTACTGCCATGGTACAAGCAAGAGTAGATATTGGAGGAAGTCCTGACTCCTCCTGTTCCACTTTCCCCCAATGTGTTGCACATGGGCGAGAGGTCAGGTATCATGGCAGTTGTCTCATTGTTGAGAGAGCCCAGGGAAAAAGGGCCAGAGGTATTATGGGCCCCACTGGGGCAAAATGTCTTCAAGGTGTCTCTTTCCCACCTATCTCATAAGGAGGCCTTGGCAGAGGTACCTAAAGATGACGTCTGCTCAGGCCTCAGATAAAGACATCTAGAAATGAAACACATGGGCCAGGAATGCAAATATGCAGAGCAGGATGGGCCAGAGGGGCCTGAGTCTTTGATTGCAACTTTCCTTGGAAACTGTAGTGCCCTGGCTCTATACCATATCTGATGTGGGGAGGGTACCTTTTCCTCATGAGGCCTGCCAGGTTTTGACTTTTTAATAATATATGGTTAGGACTGAAAAATAAAACATTTTCCAGGAGTTGAACTCCTTCAGTTGAGCTCACACCCTGAAGGCTATCATTGGAATCTGGGGTCTCTGAGATTTTTAATCAGGAAAGTGATACAAAAAAGGATGTTTTAGAAAGATAACTGGTGTGCATTGTGGAGAACAGACGGGAGAGAGTTAAGGGCAGGCACAGTAACACTGCTTCTGTGTTCAGATGTGGGCACGATGAACTCATTTCCAAAAACATAAAGTAGTGTGTAAAGAAACTAAGAGAAAATGAATGACTTGCTGATGAGAATTAAAATGTCTCTTTCTTCTGCTTCTCTGAACTAATTTACATTCATTTTAAAGTTTTGCTTATAATCCCTGATATACCATTAGTACAGTTAAATCTTTCCAGCTGTCTATAAAGTATTTTACTCATTAAGGAAAGTATAGATGAAGTTGAATTTATACTATCTTAATTATGAATCATGTTATTCATTTTCAAAACTAGGTTTCATGGACTAATTTTATAAAAAAAGAAACACATGAAAAATTGCTTAAAGGTTTTCTTGACTAAGTTTGCATTTCTCAAGACATTTCTCAAGAGCAAGCTCAATAATTTGAAAGCCATCTGTTCTATAGACTAAAATAATACAGTCAAAACAAGGAATTGAGAAAAAAACTGGTATTCTCCCCATAGAGAAGAGAAAAATGAAAAAGTGGAATCCCACCAGAAATGTTGAGAACCCTTGCTTATGACAAAGAATCCAATTGGAGAGACACTTACAACGCACATGTCTACAACCACAGACATTAATCAATGTATCATTTCCAGGTTGTGTTTAATATAAGAAGTAACTTGCACTCTCTTTGACATAATATGTTTATTTCACCAATGTCAAGAAACATTGAGTTTAAAATACACTGGTTAGCAAAAACTTTTATCACATGCGTCAAATAATTTTGAAAACCGTATGTAAGATTAAAGGACACCTTTATTTGAAAACTTTATAATTTAATTATTTTCCTATTGTTAGTAAGAAATTACCTTTTAAAATAATAAAATAGACCTGAAACAATGAAAACCTTTAAGAAAAATAATGATCATGAGTTATTAAAAGAATGGGTGGCTTTCAAGAATAAAGTCCAAAAGATTGTCAGGGAAACAGAGACTTCTTAGAAGATTCAAGCATCTTTCATCACCCTGAGTTTGCTTGCACAATGAGCCATTAATCAGTACTGCAGCTAAGAAAGTCCAGTTATTTAAGAGAATGCTTCTTCATTCAGTGAAAGAAGATTCTAAATGCAGCTGTAAGACCAATAACAAAATTCTTTGTGTATCAAAAGGGCTGCACAGACACACTAAATGTTTTGCTCTTCAAAAAAAAGTTGCCTAAAATGAGACATTCTCTTTTCACTAAACATCTGTGTGGACACAGAAAATTCATTCATTAATTTAACAAGTTATTTACTCAGTTGTTCTTATGTACCAGGCAGTGTTCTAGGCCTCACAAATATAGTGATGAGCTAGATAAACCTACTTGGAGCCTGTACTATCATGTAGGGGTAGAGATTAATCTCTGAAAAATAAGTATATAAATGTAATAAGTTCCAAATTAATAAGTATGAGGAAGAAATTAGATAGTGTGGAAGGAAAATAAAATAAAATCTCAGGAACCCAAACTCACTATGCAGAAGGGAAAAGTTAAGCCTGGAAACTGAGTCATGCAAGAAACTGCCTTTCCTTTTCTTACTAAACAGTCAGCTGCAAGATAGATGGGCACATATCTTTCAGGGGACTCCCTTACCATAACAATGAAAATTAACAGTTTATCTTCACAAGTACAGGACAAAAACAAGACCGGAAATTATCCTTTTGCCCCCACTGAGACAAATGCAGATTGACTGAGTAAGAGATGAATGCGTAATTGACTGTTCTCCTACCACTGCCTTTCACATGTAACATATGGATTCAATGATTGCTAGTGAAGGCATGACAGGAATGTGATCACTTATCTCACTACCTTCCCTCCTTTTTTTCCCCTTTCCCCTCCTGGCCTGCTTTTTTCCCCATTTAAATACTGAAGCCCTCAAAATCCTTTCTGGAAAAAGTATGGGACACAGATCCTGTACCTGAACTCAGGTCTAGCTACTCACTGATCAAAAAGCTGAATACACAAGAGATGAGGTATGGTAGAAGGAAAGAAGTTTTATTCAAATGCCAGCAGTTGAAGAGATGGTTAGGCTCATGCATCCAAAAACCATCTCAAATGACTGAGGGGGTTTAAAAAGGGAAACTTGGTATGGGAAACATGAGGGAGTGGTGCAGGGTGCAGGTCTGCATGTTTTGTTTTGAGTGCTATCTTGAGTTATCGTCCACCTAGAGTGCAGGCTGGTGCCATCTTGGTTGTGGCCAGGTTGTAGATTAATGATCTTGAGGTAATCTCCAGGTTGGGGAGAGTTCTGCAGCTTGGTATCCATGGCTGATTTATCTCAAGATTAGCCTCTGACATTTTTTTTTTTTTTTGAGATGGAGTCTTGCTCTGTCACCCAGGCTGGAGTGCAATGGCACAGTCTCGGCTCACTGCAACCTCCACCTCCCGGGTTCAGGCGATTCTCCTGCCTCAGCCTTCCAAGTAGCTGGGACTACAGGCACATGCCACCACGCCCAGCTAATTTTTTGTATTTTTAATAGAGACAGGGTTTCACCGTGTTGGCCAGGATGGTCTCAATCTCCTGACCTTGTGATCCGCCCACCTTGGCCTCCCAAAGTGCTGGGATTACAGGAGTGAGCCACCGTGCCTGGCCCTTAGCCTCTGAAAATTTTAAGTAAGCATCCAATTAGATAAGCATGCATGGTGTAAGGGAGTGTCTGGTAAGAAAGTGAAGGAAACAGAGTATTTCAAAGTACATTTCAAGATTATATTCTAAGACTAGAAAAAAAGGGTTAAAATGCATTTTCAAACTGAAATACTTGATTACAACCCTACTATGACTTGCGTCTCCTTTTCCAGGTATATTCTCAACCTTGACAAAAAGCAAAACAAAACAACAAAACAAAAGCAAAAACAAAAACCTCTAAGTGGATTGAGACCTCTTTCAGATACTGTTTTTAGTTTACAATAGAGATAGGGTGTTGCTGAATGGAAGGGTGGAAGAGGCTGCTTTGTATAGGTTGGCCCAGAAAGATTTCTGAGGAGATGATGAATTCTAAAGATATTTTAAAAATTGAATGGGCACAGGAAATTTCACCACAAAATGTGGCTCTCTGATATAATGAGAACTTTGAATTAAAAATCCTTAGAGATCAACATGAGCTGGAAGAGACTCTTCATCTGTCTGCATAAAGGTAGGACTGACCCATCAAGGAGAACAATTGTCCTTGTTCCCCTCCCTGTTATCTTATTACCCTTTACTGGAAAGAAGACCAAGAATGTAACCACACCAGAATGGGCCTGATACAGTTTGGCTGTGTTCCCACCCAAATCTCATCTTGAATTGTAGCTCCTACAATTCCCGCATGTCATGGGAGGGACCCAGTGGGAGGTAATTGAATCATGGGCATGGGTCTTTCCCATGCTGTTCTCATGATAGTGAATAAGTCTCACAAGATCTGGTGGTTTTATAAAGAGGAGTTCCTCTACACAAGCTTGCTCTTCCCTGCTGCCATGTAAGATGTGACTTGCTCCTCCTTGCCTTCCACCATGATTGTGAGGCCTCCCCAGCCACATGGAACTGTGAGTCCATTAAACCTCTTTTTCCTTATAAATTACCCAATCTCCAGTATGTCTTTATTAGCAGTATGAAAACAGACTACTGCAGGGCCCTAATTTTACAAAATGTGGACTGTCTCCAAGTATCATTTAAATTCCAAAGAGAACTATTTATAAGTAAATTTCTGTTCCCCAATCCAATCATTCTCCCTAGTAATCATTTATTGCCCCCTAGTAGAATTCCTCTTCTCCTGGTCCTATAACCTGTTTTGCCAGGATCCAAGCCCTCAGTCTTTCTGTGACCTTAATATGGTATATAAGCTTTTGGACGCTATTGGGATGTGGAGCAATCACTGTGATTCTCCTCGTGCACACAGTTAAATAAATTTGTATATCTTTTCTTATTAATCTGCCTCATTGTGAGCTGATATTTCAGCAAAACTTCAGATGGCCAAGGGCCTTGCCCCCAACAAAAAGACTTCAGAATTAAAAAAGAAATATTTGTTGACTAGATTTTAGGGGTGAAGAAGAATTAGAGTGACATGTAGGTTTCTGGCTTAAGGAATTGGGTAGAGGGTTGAGTAATATATTACAAAATATGTGAAGCAAAGTAGATTTAAAAGAAAAAGATACTAAGTTGGGTTATGGACACGGAATTTGAAAAGTCCTATACCTAACATTTGCCGAGCGTGTGGCAAGAGTATAAATGGAAACTCACATGCTACATTTCTAAATATCTAAAAGTCAGATGTTAAGCTTAAAAAAAAAAAAAAAAAAACCTGTTTAAAAAGTCCTATAATGCTATCTTAAAAAATATGTCTTATTCAGAGAAAATTTCTATTTCTTGTCTTTTTAATCTTTTTCCTTTCCTGGGCTATACTTTTGTACTTGTTGGTTACTGTCACAATGTTGAACAGTACTCGCTGAATTATGTAAATGATTGAAAATAAAATATAATTCTCTTCAAAGTGTGTGCAGTTTGAATGTATCTTCATAAAAAATGTAAATTAACATGAATTAATGGAAAAAATATTAAAAATATACATTTTAAAAGTTCATTTTCCAAAAAAATCAAAATAATTAAAATTACATGTAAAGTATATTAAATATACAATTTTGAAATAAAATTACAAAATAAAGTTTTAAGAAATGTAATTAGATATTATTAGACATTTTTACAAAAACCAAACTTTTGCCTTTATATGACACTATATTCATCTAATTGTCAGTAAAAATTGGTGTCATGTTTCATGCAAATTGTTTTTATCTACATATTGATAATTCCTTAAGTGTTGTAAATACTATGCTAATTCCTCAGAACCTTCAGAAAGATATTTAAAAAAAGAAAAAAGATACTTGGTAATACTGGGATATGCTACTCTTTTAGATATTCTGAGGTGGGATTTTACAAGAAAATTACATCTTTTTTTTTTCTTATCTAACTGCTTTTACAGCTCAAATCCTTTTTGTCTGAAGCCGTGTCTGACTCTCACTCTAACAGAAGAATGTTCCTACACAGTTGCCTTTTGTTTTGAAGGTACAGGACAGGATAAGAGGAGATGAAATTACCTGGGAACTTTACAGTGTTAGGAGTACAGATGTTTAAGGTGGTAGGTTGTGCTATACAGCACTAAGCAGCCAATCCCAAATGACAGAGGCACTCTTGTGTTTTTTGGTACTCTGTGTGTGTGTGTGTGTGCAAGAGAGAGAGAGAGAGAGAGAGAGAGAGAAAGAGAGAAAGAAGAGGGAGTAGGAGAGATGTGGGATGTTTTAAAGTGCAAGACCCAGGAAAAAGGCTTTTCTGGTCTGGATGTAAATACTGTATTAAATTTTAAATATCTATGGAATAACTGGCTACAAGTTTCTAGAAGGAATTAGCCCTTAGAGATCTAGATTAAGAACACATATTTAGGAGCCACCAATGTATAGGCAGCAACTGAGGGGTTATGTAAAAATAAAATCACTGAGAACTTATAGAATAAGAATAGAAGGACAGAAGGGTATGAAGAAACATAAGGGAACACCAAAATTTTAGAGGGCCAGAGAAGTAAGAAAAGACAAAAGAATAATGGAAGACTTAATAGAGAGATATCAGCAAAATCTACAGAAACATTGATAAGGATGAGACCTGGAAGAAGACAACAATTAGAATGCATCTGTTATTTAAATCTTGTATCTATGAGTTAACCCTTTTGGTACTAGGGTACAAAATTTTAAATAGCTTTAGGCCTGGGGAAGTCTGTTGTAAGAGTCAGGCAAGAAAGAATACATTATTAATCAAAAAGATTTCTGCACCCATTAACTCATCATTTAGCATTAGGTATATCTCCTAATGCTATCCCTCCCCCCTCCCCCCACCCCACAACAGTCCCCGGTGTGTGATGTTCCCCTTCCTGTGTCCATGTGTTCTCATTGTTCAATTCCCACCTATGAGTGAGAACATGTGGTGTCTGGTTTTTTGTCCTTGCGATAGTTTGCTGAGAATGATGGTTTCCAGCTTCATCCACATCCCTACAAAGGACATGAACTCATCATTTTTTGTGGCTGCATAGTATTCCATGGTGTATATGTACCACATTTTCTTAATCCAGTGTATCATTGTTGGACATTTGGGTTGGTTCCAAGTCTTTGCTGTTGTGAATAGTGCCGCAATAAACATACGTGTGCATGTGTCCTTACAGCAGCATGATTTATAATCCTTTGGGTATATACCCAGTAATGGGATGGCTGGGTCAAATGGTATTTCTAGTTCTAGATCCCTGATGTATACATATGTAACAAACCTGCACTTTGTGCACATGTACCCTAAAACTTAAAGTATAATAATAATAAAAAAAAGAAAACCTAAAATGTACTATAATTCTATATCATTCAGAAGAGCAATTTAATATAATAGAAATCTATACTTGTAAAAAAAAAAATTTCTGATGAATGTGTCAAGATAAGTGGAGGAAGATAAAAACAACCTTATTTTTTCCTTATTTCAATCAAAAAATCTAGTAACATAAACAATTAGACCTGATGACATAAAGGATATATAACCAAGTTGTAGCAATCTAGTGCATCCCAAGAAGAGAAGCACTTATTCCCATTTAAGTGGAAACAAGATGACAGTGTTAACTTGCAGCCAGTTAGGCAACTCATGCTATCAAAGTATTGTTAACTGGAGAATGTCAAGGTTTATACATTTGGAAAGGAGAGCTTTAGTTCTTACAAAGTGTTGCAGCCTGCTGTGTGGCCATTCAGACCAGGCTGGGAATAGCATAGCCTCCGGCCAGAAGATGAAAACAGATACTTTGAGGGAACAGCAAAGGGAACAGGAATTTATGCTGATTGGGGTAGCCAAATATGCATATTTAATAAGCCACAAGGGTGTTTTGGGAAGCCAGGGACCCAGAACGGAGGGACCGGGTGGAGCTGAGGCAGAAGAATATAAATTGTGAAGATTTCATGGACATTTATCAGTTCCCAAAATTAATACTTTTACAATTGCTTATACCTGTCTTTACTGCAGTCTCTGAACATAAATTATGAAAATTTCATGGACATTTATCACTTACCCAATCAATACTCTTATAATTTCTTTTGCCTGTCTTTACTTTAATCTCTTAATCATGTTATCTTCGTAAGCTGAAAATGTATGTCACCTTAGGACCACTGTTGTACAAATGGATTGTAAAACATGTGTTTGAACAATATGAAATCAGTGCACCCTGAAAAAGTACAGAATAACAGTGATTTTCAGGGAACAAGGGAAGACAACCATAAGGTCTGACTGCCTGCCAGGTTGGGCAGAATACAGCCATATTTTTCTTCTCTCAGGAAGCCTATAGACGGATGTGCAAGTAGGAGAAATATCACTGAATTCTTTTCCCAGCCAGGAATGACCCTGGGGAAGGAATGCATTCCTGGGGGTAGGTCTATAGATGCCACTCTGGGAGTGTCTGTCTTATGCGGTTGAGATAAGGACTGAAATACACTCTGGTCTCCTGCAGCACCCTCGGGCTTACTAGGATTGGGAAATTCCAGCCTGGTAAATTCTAGTCAGACCGGTTGTCTGCTCTTGAACCCTGTTTCCTGTTAAGATGTTTATCAAGACAATGCGTGCACAGCGGGACATAGACCCTCATCGGTAATTCTAATTTTGCCTTCACCTTGTGAACTTTATTGCCCTTTGAAGCATGTGATCCTTGTGACCTACTCCCTGTTCGTACACTGCCTTCCCTTTTAAAATCCATAATAAAAACTTGCTGGTTTTGCGGCTCGGGGTCGTTATCACAGTCCTACCAATGTGATGACACCCCCAGAGGCCCAGCTCTAAAATTTCTCTCTTTGTACTCTTTCTCTTTATTTCTCAGACCAGCCAACACTTACGGAAAATAGAACCTACGTTGAAATATTGGGGGCTGGTTTCCTCTATACAAGAGGAGTCATGAATATTTATGAAAGGAGAAATCGCACATGCACAGGTGAGCTTTGTGTTTCTTTGTGTGTTGCATGTGCATAAAATGATGTCATTAGGATGATCCCAGGGTGGAGTGTTTGGTTCTCTGATGTCAAAAGGTGAAACAGAGGACGTGAAAATCCTCACTGTGTATCCTCTATAGACTGGCCAGAACCACTCTGTGGCAGGTAGTCTCTTTATCAGGAAGGAATGCCAGATGGTTGTTGTACTGAAACCACAAAAGGAAGAGGCAGTCAGGAGGTTGGTTGAAATCAGTGGTGGAGTCTTTTGAAAGGGTGGTTTCTGTTTAGCCCTTAGGGAAGAAGACCTAATGGTGACTATTGAGAGAGTATAAGCAGGTGTGTTTGACCTCCCATCCTGTCAAGTCCAGCAGCTCAGCTTCCAAGGTTTCTGTGGGATTCCCTTGGCCAATGGACTGTCTGCTCAGTCAGCTGGGCGGGCTTAGAATTTTATTTTTGTTTCTCAATAAAAACCAAAAGATCACTTTCATCTAAATCACTTAGATTATTACGTTCTCCACTACCTATTCTCAATGAAAGTGCCATTATGTCTATTAACCCCACATTATTTACCAAAAAAGGTATAATTACTGTGTGATTAAATAACAAAATAGATTGTTAGTTTCATAACTCTAAGTTATATTAAACCACATCATTTTTGTTTCAGATTCAATTTTAAACTGGTCAGGAGTAAAGACACAACCAGCAAAATTAAAGTGTGCTGTGTTTTTTTGCAGAAGTGGTTGGAAGTTGCTGCGATAGCAAATACATTCTTAAGACTCAGAAGTTCAAAACTCCAATTCTTTTTAATAGAGCTCATAGCAAAATTAATGTTGCAAATGACATTCAAAATTGTATTCTTATCATTAAAATATTATAAAAATTAATATTATTCAAAAGATACATATATAGTATATATATTTTATATACATATTATATATATGCAGTATTAACATTGGATTCCTAACCTTAAGTAAATTTTATCAATTTCTATCTGGCAAAATTAGACATATTCTTTAATTCTTGTTTTTTTAATTCTGGAAGTAATTCACTTTGCTATGCCTCAATTTTCTATACAAAAAAATTTAAAATCTTTACTTGGATAGAGTTATTTTGAGAAGGAAACTAATGATCCATCTTATATAAAATTTTCAGAATCAAAGTTTAATCTTCAAGAATACAGTTTCTAATGGCTGGTAAATGTAATCATCATGAGTATGGTTGAATTTTGTCATTGCAACATTGGCCATTTGTATAAGAACAAAAATGGAATGACCAGACCCTCCAAAGTCCCTATATATACAAAATTGGTAAAAAAAATCCACACTCCTTTGGCAGGAGACTTTCCCACAAAATGACATTTTCTGTTCATGTTTTAGCTAAAAATAGAGAAAGAAGAATTATCTTAGTAGCTTTATAAAAGGGTTTTTTTTCTAATACTATCACAGAAATCAAATGTGAATTAAAAAACAAAAATAACAAAATCCATGTTCATATCTTGCTGCATTTGAAGTTTTCAACATTTATCTCTTAACCATCATTTCCACTTTTATTTCTTAAACATGCCTATAACTTTTCATCATTAAGTTTATTTCTGATAGCAGCAAGTGCTGATTGCTCACCTTGTCAACTTCAGTTTTAATAATATATTTAAAATTGTAAGATTCCACTTGAAGTATATTAGTCTTTCAATAAATAATAGTTTTAGTTATCAATAGTCCCATCTGTTAGGAATCCCTCTCTCCTTGTTCCCACCCCCTGGCAACTTTTGTTTATGTAAACATTTGTTTATGTATTCAGAATATGTTAATTAAATAGAACATATGTCTAATACACAAATTGGAGAAAAATTAACTCATGAGTATAAAAATGATCCCCAAAGGATTGAAAATACCTTTGCAATATCAGAATCTTTATGGGAGAAGTCAATGACAGAAGTCTAAATCTTTAATCCACATTTGTTTGCTCAGTTACTCATTCATTCAACAAACAGAAAACCTACATCTTCTATGATCTCAAGCAGGTATACAATACTAAAGGTGAAATTGTTTTAAGGATGGGGAATACTTGCCAAAGGTATCTTTGTCTCAAATTCAGATAATGCAAACATAGTTGGCTGTGGAGGTGTCCAAGAATCAGACACATATAATCTTTATTTTTTTAATGAAAATACAGGAGTCAAAGTAGAATTTCAGTCTTGTCTATGACAAAAAAGGGATGTGCTTTTATCAGTGAAATTTTAACATTTTAAAACACTTGATCTCTCCAAATAATTAGACTTGTCATAACAAAGAAACCGTATGTCTCTTTATTGTAAGACAAAACAAAATTATAGAAAGACTGGCTTATTCTGATTTAATTAAATTTTCATGTTAATATTGGCCTAAATCCTTATTTTTCTAGGACAATTCATGAGTTCTCTATTTCAACTTATTTAATTTCACCAAGAAGGTAGTGTCACAAGCCCTTAAAATTATTTTGACTGAAATGTTTCTTCTTTGACTATATTTTAGATGAAATATTTGTTAGAAAATTGAGAATTTATTTTTTATTTTACATTAAGTAAAAGACTGTATAATGGAAATGTAATACTCTGTATAAAATAAAATGGATATATAAAGAATTTGAACCTATAAAAGTGATAGTATAGTTATTAAAACATATCATAATTTCAACAAAGATAATGAGAATAGGCCTGGAGGTGGCAGTTGTTGACAGGTGTCTACAAATTTTGTAAGCCAAAATGTTTATAAAGCAATTCCATTATTGGGTATACCCAAAGACAATGAAATCACTATGTTGAAGAAATATCTTCACTCCCATGTTTATACATTACATCATGCTATACAGGGTAAATATATACAATTTGTATTTGTCAATTAAAATTAATGAGTTATTTGTTTTTGTAAAAATGCTTATTGCCAAATGGCATCTGAATTAGCATATGAAGTGAGAGGAAAGCTAAATGCAAAACACTAAGGGGCATGTAAGTTGAGCTCTGTAGATTCACTCTAAACTTCAGAAATTGAAGTTCAGAAGAAACTCTGAAGATCTGAATTGAGAGTAAAGATCAGAATTTGGGAGTAAATTAGTGATAGCTACATAGTAAATTTAGTAAGCAAACAAAAATAGTTAGACAATAAACTCCATCCAGTAAAAAAAAGTAAAAGAAATAAGATATAGTCATTTGGTTTGTTTTAAAAATTATAACTGGTTAATATCCATGTGGATGCTGATTACAGATTCAACTCAAAATTGTAATATAGTTCTGTTGGGAGCATAGAAGGAAGGGAGTATGTTTGACTTTATTTAGGCTTAGTGATAAAGAATGAAATATAAATAAACAGCAGTCAAAACGAGTTATTTTAAAATATAAAAGTAGACTTCTAGTAGGAATGTGACTGAGTAAATCAACAACAGTCTCTCTTCCTCCTCCTGGAAGTTATTCAAAACCAAAAATGATCACAACTCTATAGTCAGCAAAATGAGGAGACACTATAATCCTCAGGTTTTGTATTAGAGGTAAAGGCTGCGAACAGAGCTGAAATTAGGCAGAAGCTGTGCAGTAGGGAATAGAGCTGAGAAGCTATGGAGAGAAATCACAGCATTGAGAGGGACTGGAAACAGTGCATCCCAGAAGCAGTACTAGCACAAAGAAAGCATGTGGGAAACGAAGGACTCTCCGGGAGGTACAAAATCTATACTTTGTTTTCTAACATAAAGATGAAAACTGCGGTGAACTGAGCTGGCACCAGGTGTTTCTCAGGAAACACAATTTTGAGAGCTTGAGGATGTGAGTATAAAAAAATCATCCTGTCAAACTATTGTTTGGCAAATGTAAGGAAAAGAAAAATAAATTAAATGAAGCAACAGGAAGAAGCATTGGGATAACAGATATTGTATGAACCCCAAGAAGGAATATAGAGCGGGGAAATAAGGTACTTGGACAAATAAAATAGCATGTGGAAAGTATTACAATTTTTATGAAGAAAATAATAGCTAAAAAGAAATTCACCAGATTTATAATCCCACTTTTTCAGAATGGATTGGTTCTGGTAGAGATAGCTCTGTTTTGGATCATCAATTGTTTATTTTACAACATGAACCAAGTCTCCTCATCTAAACCATAAGGTTTTTGAGGACATGAATTGTTTTTCATAAATCACCTAGTGGTCTGATACAGAATTATTCATGTAAGTATGTATATGTGTGTACATATATGTATATATATATGCATTGTGTACATATGTGTGTGCATATACACACGTGTGTGCATATACACACGTGTGTGCATATAGTCATACACACACGTGTGTGCATATAGTCATACACACGTGTGTGCATATAGATATACACACACAGAGACAAATACACGTATATATAAATGCAAATATATCAGGGAAGCCTCATATAAATTCACAAATTGAGTTCATAGACCAAAAGACAAATCAGAATCCTGAATTGATAGTTGTTTTTTCCCTTTAAGCAGTTTAAAGATGGTATTCCACTGTCTTTAGCCTCCATAGTTTTTGATACAAAGTTAGTATGCAGTTGTGTGTTTTTGAGCCAGTAAAATAAGCTCGTTGGTTTCATGTTTCTCCTTTGCCAACATGAAGGCTGGTAAAATAGCGTACTTGTCAAAGTGCTAAGGTCTTAATAAATTTAAAATGATTCACAGGTTGTTTTTAAGTTTTTAGAAGAATAATGCAAGAAATGTTAGTGTTAACAATAGTGACTATAATAGTTATTCCTCATAAGTAACATTTTTCTCAGGCTGCTTTCAGTAATTTCTCTTTAGCTTGCATTTTACACAGGTTGACTGCAGTGTACCTGAACATGGGGTTCTTCATCACATCTTTCTGTAAATTCTGTGAATTTATGTCATTCATCAAATTTGATAAGTTCTTATATATTTAAAAAAGTATTGTTCTACTATATTCTCTCTTCTCCTTCTGGAAGATCAATTATATATATTGTAGATATTTTGATAGGCTGATTTTAAAAAGTTGTTTGCTCTTCCTGGTTTTCAGATTCGATCATTTATATGGATCTATCTTCATTTTCACTGTCTCTTTTCTCAGTCATCTCCATTCTGCTATTGAGCTTGTCCAGTGAATTTTTTTGTCTTAAATGTTACATATGTTAGTTCTAAGATTTTCATTGGGTTTTAAAAATTTCTACCTCTCTGCTCTGATTTTTATATTTTTATTTATTTATTTATCTTTGAATATATTTATAATAGCTGCTTTAAATCCTTATGTGCTCATTTCAATGTCTGGGTTATCATGAGGTTGATCCTCATTTATTGTCTCTGCTCTTGAGAATTGAACATGTGTTTTTGTTTCTCCATATATCAGGTAATTTTGCATTATCGCAATCTGGAGACTGCTTACTCTGTTTTATTATTGTAAAGAGTGTTGTTGCTGTTGTGGCTGCAGTAGTTATTGTCTCTTAACAAGTTACTTGGGCTCAAGTGCAAACGTTGTCTGTGGCAGATTGTGTTTCAGTGCAATCTCTGGTTACTTAATATGTAGTTGGAGAAAGCTCAGTGTTAATCATTAACCTATCAAAAGTTAAAACACTGAAAGCAATCAAGGAAAATTAGCTTTCTTAACGAGTTTATTTATAAAGGATTAGTGTATTTTAGCCATATTTTGATTTTGAAAAAATAAAGACACATATTTGAGACAATATATGCAAGGAAAGTTTTTTCCTCGAAGACTGGGTTTTGTATTACTCTACCGTAGAACTTCTTTTGCTCCTCATTGAAGAACTTCAGTATCATTGATAAAAAGGTTTTTCATTCATTTTCAAAACTCAATTAATGTTGGATGAATATATATGTGTTCTCTGAGTTTAATAGATAGTAATCCTTTTTCTTCCCTTGTTCTTGAGTCCAGTTGCTAGCAAAATCAATTTAAGAAATTTCAGTAACAGTTTTATGCACAATGATGTAGAAATTCTTTTCACTTGTGAGTCAACTGGTGACATTTAAATGAGCCAAAGCAGTTAAATTACACCTCTTTGATTTAAATATGTATGTAGACAGGGTCTTGCTCTGTCACCCAGGCTGGAGTGTAATGGAGCAATCATAGCTCACTGCAGTCTTGAACTCACAGGCTCAATGACCTCCAAATAGCTAGAACTACAGGTGTGAGCCACTGCACTCAGTTTTGTATGAGCATTATTTGGACATAAATTTCTTGGGAAAAAATTCTTGACTGAATTTAGAATATGTAGGATTTGCTAGGTAGATAACCTCTTGTTTCACTTTTGATTATCTTAAACCACCAAAAAAGTACATCAAAATACTCAACGTGCCAGACATAATATGGATTTGAAAATATAACCAAAGTAACAAAAGTGCTATTAACTTAACAATTATGTCTGATTCTGAAGGAATGGAATAGTATTAAAACAAAATTGCCAATACAATTTTTTAAACCAATCATATGTCTACGACTAGACCTAGCATAGTTTTGACAGATGAGAAGCTTCAATTTTCTTTAGGTTTTGATTATGCTTTCATGAACATGAACCCTAATTAAGCAGAGTTCAAGTTTTTCCTAAACAATGAACAGCCAGAATGCACCCTAGAATAAGGGAGAAGAGTTGGAAAGCAATTTCAAGATTCTGGCAAATAAATGTGATACAAGACTCAGTCAGGGAGGCAGCAGTGCAAATGGAAAGTGGGTTGGCAATGTTACTTTCCTGCCTTCAGAGTTGTGATCGTCTATATCTGGGTAGTCATATATTTGTGTGTGTGTGTGTGTGTGTGTGTATGTGTGTTATTTATTTGTATATACACACATATGTATATATGTAGATGCACACATATACAAATAGATAACATATGTACACATGCACATATATATACTCACACACACATGCACATATTCTTAACAGTGTTTCCTTTTTACAGAGTATTAAAAAATTAAAGGTTATTGTAATTTAAATTGCTTATGGTTATCTTTTGCCTGTTCACTTTTTTCTCCTACCCTTTGCCTACTGTTTCATTCTTATTTAATATCAGAAGAAGTTACTAGTTAATATAGAAAAATAATTTAAAAAAAACATGTTACAACCAAAGTCAGAAATCATAAAGCATCAATAGTAAATAGAATAATAAAGATTCTAAAAACAAAAGCTAAAAATAAGATAAAACAACTGAGGAGCCTAGTGTTTATGACTTAATATAATTTTATTACCACAAAGAGAAATAGCAAAAGCCAATACAATTCTTTAAATTGGTAAATTATAAAGTCCAAAGATGAATACTAAAGCTAGAAAAGCAATAAACTCATAACTACTGAAAGATTTTCATAAACCTATAAGAGCAATATAAAATTAAGAATGAAAGTAAATTTAATGAAACAGTCAAATGGTCTCCAAAATTAAGAATAGGGGAAGCTTGTATATGCATGAGCTAAAACTGCTTAACAACGCTAAGAGTTAATGCTCAGAGCTGAATTTGCAGTTAGCAGGGTTGTCAAGAAGCTGGGCTGGTAAGAGGGCTGAATTTTTCATCTGAGTGTGTGGTAAGAATACTTCCAATGTTTATAGATGAGGCCAAACAAATTATGTCGGTGTAAACTGTCAAGTTTTTCAATCTGAACCATAGACAATCAAAGGCAAATAGAATAGGTATATTTTAGTAGGTGTAAACTCTATAAGAGTCAAATCTATTATTTCTCTTTCTGCCAAATCACTACAAAAAATCTTTAGGATTTCTAGAGCAAAAATGTTTATTTAGATTAATAGATCATGATATTTTTCCTTCATGATCTCCAATTCTTTAGGAGGCCACGAATTAACTTCCCTAACGTTTCTCAGTTAATATTACATCTGCAGCATGTAATAGTCTTAAAATCAGCTGGGAGTAGTCAGCAGGTCATAGGACAAATGCTCAGCAGTCCATTAGTGAGCCCCCTGTTTTGTCCATTGAGACCCTGAGCCCTAGTTATATTATATAGTTTTTCATTGCATTGCGTTTTTCTCGTGCATTGGAAACTGCCTACCTCTTAAAATTTCAGCTAGTTGACTGGCTTGTTGTGACTACTAAGTAAAGTTATCCAAATTCTTCTTAGAAACATTCTAAACATGTTTTTATACATATATATATATATATATATACACACTATTATATATATACTTATATATATATACTATTTTATATATATATATACTAATATATATATATATATTATACTTTAAGTTCTAGGGTACATGTGCACAATGTGCAGGTTTGTTACGTATGTATACATGTGCCATGTTGGTGTGCTGCACCCATTAACTGGTCATTTACATTAGGTATATCTCCTAATGCTATCCCTCCCCCCTCCCCCCACCCCACAACAGGCCCTGGTGTGTGATGTTCCCCTTCCTGTGTCCAAGTGTTCTCATTGTTCAGTTCCCACCTATGAATGAGAACATGTGGTGTTTGGCTTTTTGTTCTTGCGATAGTTTGCTGAGAATGATGGTTTCCAGCTTCATCCGTGTCCCTACAAAGGACATGAACTCACCATTTTTTATGGCTGCATAGTATTCCATGGTGTATATGTGCCACATTTTCTTAATCCAGTCTATCATTGTTGGACATTTGGGTTGGTTCCAAGTCTTTGCTGTTGTGAGTAGTGCTGCAGTAAACATACGTGTGCATGTGTCTTTATAGCAGCATGATTTATATTCCTTTAGGTATATCTAAACATGTCTATCTTTTTCTCAAAAAAGGTGTTAAATCACAGTCCCAAGTTTACAATAGTTATGAAATCCTGCTGCTACTTCTGGGTCTTCTGTAACGGATTATGCCTGATGTAATCCTTAGACTGTAACTTCTATGAATGGAAGCAACAAGGCTGCTTGGCTTGCCACTGCATTCTTAGCACTAAGCATAGTTCGTAGCACATAGTAGATACTTAAATTTATCTGAGGAACTCATGAATAAGTAATTAGAAAAAGGCCACATTTAAAAATCTTAACATATATAGTTAATGCTGATTGAAAGTCAATAAATATTGTATATAATACTTTTTCTAGTAATGATATATATTTTAAAAATATTTTAAAAATATAATAGCATTTTCATTTAAAAATATCATGTTTTTATTATTCCTACAAAAACTATTATATTGAAGATATTACTTCTTAATGCTTTTATCCTTGGGCTAAGAGCATTTGTTCTTTTTAACCCAATTCCCTGCTCTTAACAGGCATGCAGGGCAGGGGGACTGATACCAAGATTGGTTTGAACATCCTTCCTCCTTTGATACAGTATGTTGATCTTGGGAAGAAGAATTCAGTATCTTTATATTTGGAATTGAAAATAACTAACAGCCTTTGAGTTGAGTGACCATCCTTGGAAAATACGGCACGTGGAATGTAGAACAGAGGCTTAATCTGTCAAATAGGAACATTGGATCCATGATCTAATATGTGGTTGTGTGTTTTTGAGCCAGTAAGATAAGCTCTTTAGTTTCATGTTTCTGCTTTGCCACCATGAAGGCTGGTAAAATAACATACTTGTCAAAGTGCTAAGGCCTTAATAAATGTTAATTACAAATGATTGGCAGATTCTTCTGAAGTTTTAAAAAGAATAAATACAAGAAATATTAATATTAACAATAGTGACTATAAGGCGAATCCTTTGCTTGGCAGGACAGGTTCCATACTCAAAATACCCAAGCATATCAGCTCTGGGAAAAATGGAAGGACTTAGAAAACTAGGTGTGAGAAAAAGAACTAGCTAATGAATTGTTAAACAGGTTTTATATATGATTTATAAAAATCTGTTCTAAATTTTTTGATGTACATCATTAGGCTGTATTTTTCCTTCTCTATCTTTCTCATTTTCTGCATCTGACGAGGTTCTGTCAAAACTTTTCAGAAGTACATAATGTGTTCCCTTTCAATTTCATTTTCCTCACATGTTTAAATATTTCATAGTGAAAATCCTTCTGTTTTCTCATATCCTTGAGTCTTAATAAAATAATATTTACCATGGTATAATGTTAAACCAACCTACTTTTCTTTCTCTTTTCACTTACTAATGCTTTAATCCTTGATAAACATGTGCCAAACACTTGTGTGTCTGCACATTATTTTATAATATTTGGAAATATTTCTTCCTTTGCTGAGTAAACAAGTTCCTTTAGACTTTTAAAAGGGATTTGGAGGCTCCCCATGATTCCTATCCTTAGGTGGATATCCATTTTGTTTAAGAAACAAACAAAAGATAAATTATGTTTATAAATACTTCGAGTTTCAGCAGCTACCTCTGCTGGTAACAGGGGTTGTGGGATAAGTTAGAGGACTTTGGCGTGTTTCATAAGGTTTTTGAGCCCAGGTTCCCTAAATAACAGATTGAGACAATGCTTACTTACTAATACTTTACTGTGGGTTATAATTCTGGGATTTAAGAGAGGTGGGAAAGAACAAATGAGAAAAAAGAGAAAGCCAGTTTGGAGTTATGTGGTTCTGAACAGGGCACATTCTCACAAAAGCACCCAGGTAGTTAATCAGTCACATGATTCAAGTTAAGGGTGAATAAATGGAATCCCTGTTGTCAGGTTGGGGAAGAATGAGTAGTTGGTATGTAGATTCCTTCTTGTCTCATTGCTCCCTAGTCAAAATTTTCCCTATATACTGTTAACTTCCACCACTTCCAGATTCTGTTACTTTGGTTGTTTTAGGAAGTCTCTGGGGATGGTAGAGCTATCATAACTCTGTCTGTAAGACCTGTATATACTGGAACTGAGGTGGGTTTAATGGAGGTATTGCTGAAGGTTAGTCCATGTCCTTGGGAAAGGCTAAGATAATTCATGTTAAAAGATAAGGTGAAATGTATCCCAGGACTTAAAGTATAATTTAAAAAAAAGATGAGGTGAAAGCAGTGGTTGCCAGGGATTATAACTTGACATTACATCTCTCCTGTTGGATAGATCAGAAGGGGAAGCCAAGATCCAGGGAGCAAGTTGCCCTGAGTGGATCTGGTGATACTTGGAAACTGGATCTGGTACAGTGTACACCCTGAACCTTTCAGATAAGCTTATACCCTCTTATGATAACTGTATCACAAGTGAAAACTGAATCTTCCATCTCTAAGAAGGGCAATGCAATTCCAATTCTTCAGAATGGCAGCCATTTAAATGACCTAAAAAAGACTTTAAAGAAGTTAGTTAGCAAATAAACAGAGATGCAATCCCCACTGCTGCATCTGGTCTTGGAACTTCTTTTTATTCACAGTTGACCTGTACTTCAGGCTGTCTGGTAAGACGGACTGAACCTATATTTAAGTCTTTGGGCCCATAAGTGCCTTGTCCTTATCAGGTTATGGTTACTTTGGTTATCCAATCACAGTTATTACTAGGCGTGGAAACAGGAAGTGATGCCAATTGAGCCCTCATTATTCTAGACACACTTCTCCCTATAGCAGTTCCATGCTAACAAGGTCATTTATTCTCATCACTCTAGTTACATAGTCTAGTCATTCTATTGTTTTCTTGTGGGAACACTGGAATGTGAATCCAACATGGCCAGGTGGTAGTCAAATGTTCAGTTCAGCGAAGCTCTTATTGTGTCACCTCAATGATTTTTATCCTAAGTGTCAGAGTCTGTAATCTAGAAGATGCTAAGGATGAATGGATTGGAAGAATAAATTCTGCAAGTGAGTCTCTAAGAGTGATGGTGAGAGGTTCCAATCCTGCTTTTAGCCTTGGTGACAAAGTTCTGGTATTTCAACTATTGGAGACACATGACCATATACCAGCCTTTGGTTCACAACAGTGACCACATTCTGACAGGGTGCTCCAGCTCCTTAAAGTTTTGTCCCTGAGTTGACATCTTAGTTGACCCTTCAATATGCCATTCCACTATTCAATTGGTAGAATAGGCCAACTACTTCTGGGTTATAGAACATGGTAATACAAGTGGATTTCATGTTTATGATCCCATTAACACACTCCTTTTGCCATAAAATGGCAAGGCATGTGTGTATGCGTGCACGTGCATAAAAGAAAAAAAGAGAGAGCTGTATTTTGAAAATGCCATTTCTGAATGCAGTCTGGATATGGAGGTAAATTTGAGAAATACTTAGGGAGTAAAAGTAAAGTCACCGCGATCTTGAGATGAATTGGAAAAGGAGCTGAGAGGGAAGCAGATGTTGGGGAGGACTCAAAGTACTGGTCGTGAGATATGAGATGGATGGTTGATCTATTCACTTGGATTCAAAAAAAGACTACTCTGGGTGTCAGTACATATAAAATTATCTTTTGATGCTTCTAGATGTGAATAGGTTGAGTTTGAAATAGAAAAGAGATGTCAAAGTAGCAATTGTGCATATGTGTTTGGAGCTCAGAGAAGCATCTGCACTAGAATGTCAAATTCTGTATCATTCGCATGGAGGTAAGCCTCAGCATGCATAGACAAGCAAAAATGTACCTGGTGAGAAGAAAGCCTTTCACTGAAGCCAGTGAAATTGCAACAATTGGTTTCTTCTTAGAAGAATATGAGCCTGCAGAAAATACAGTGGTAGTAAAAGTGATCAGAGGCAGAAAGAAAATCAGATTATAAAGGGAAAAAGAATGAAATTCAAAATTTAATAAGAAATAATCAAAGAAATAATCAAATGTCACCTAATACTTTGTTTTTTGGATGGTTCACATTTTATGTGTCAATGTGTTATATAATACATACCTGCCATGAAAAAATGGGATTTATATACATATGGTCATTGCATTCCTATAGTCCTATAGAAATATGCTCGTTTTTCCATTTACTTGTTACTGTAATACAAATTTAGACCTTCTTTCAATGCACATACAACATGCATTTATTATATTTAAATCAATGTTTTTGGTGTTTTCTTTTGTAAAGAAAAATAGTGTTTCACTAGAGAAGAAAATGTATAATGTATGCCATGGGATAGTATAAAACTTAAGTAATTATTGAACCCAGAATAGGAGAGTGAAATTTCAGTGGGTTGACTTTTCCTAGATTATTAAATTTGCTAATATGCAGCTTACACATATTGCCTAGCTTCACGAGTGTTTCAGAGCTTGTTGTTCTGAATTATACTTACTTAGACGTAACGTAAAAGAATTATAAGATACACTTTATTTATATTTTGAAAAGACACTCAAAATCTCTCCCTCTCCCTCCACAAAGCATTCTTTTGGTAAGTCAATCACTTAAATTAATACTTTGACATGAGCTTGTAAAATATATTATTTTGCAAGGGATAAATGTGCAGTGTAATATACATGAGCATAGTAAGTATGACTCCTCATTTAAATAATCAGCAGATAAATTCTCTGACTGTAAAACATCTTATAATTTAGGGATGGTTTAAACATGTTTTTTCCCAAATTGATGAGAACAGCCAAAGGCCAATTAGAGATGTTATGATTTATTTGAGTAATATCTGAAAGTCTCTCGTTGTCATTAATAATGTGTCCTGCAGGTGTTTTAGAATATTAATATGCTAAAAGGATTCTATAAAATTATTTCTCGGCCGGGCGCGGTGGCTCACGCCTGTAATCCCAGCACTTTGGGAGGCCGAGGCGGGTGGATCATGAGGTCAGGAGATCGAGACCATCCTGGCTAACAAGGTGAAACCCCGTCTCTACTAAAAATACAAAAAATTAGCCGGGCGCGGTGGCGGGCGCCTGTAGTCCCAGCTACTCGGGAGGCTGAGGCAGGAGAATGGCGTGAACCCGGGGAAGCGGAGCTTGCAGTGAGCCGAGATTGCGCCACTGCAGTCCGCAGTCTGGCCTGGGCGACAGAGCGAGACTCCGTCTCAAAAAAAAAAAAAAAAAAAAAAAAAAAAAATATTATTTCTCTAGCATCTACTTCATCAGAAATCTTAGTCATTCTCAATAGAAATTGGCTTTATGGACTTCCTGGGGCAATGGGTTTAATACATTTTTGCCGTATATCTAAAGGCATGGTTGGTGATAGTCTCAGTATATTGACTCTGTTCACGCTTGAATGAATATACAGCATTTATGCCTTTTTGCATCTTATATTCTAAGCCTATATATTTAGCATCTGTATGATGTGACATGAAATATGAAAAAATTAACTTCACTTGAAAACATTGTGTATATACTAAAAGCATTTATCTTAACAATGTATTGGAAAAGATTGAAAATAATGATAATGATCACCATTTTGTATAAAATAGAATAATTCTGTTGAAATTTCTTTCAGTTTTTACTAGATTCAATAAGGTATTTTGATAAATTACAACAAAACACTGCTCCTTGGGGATTAAAGAATTTACTTTTTAGTGATACATTTAAAACTTGAGTTGAAATTTTAGTGAGTCTTTATTACTCTTAAAAAATATTTATCCTTTTACTAATTGTGTAGTCTAAGATAAGTTGTTATACTCATTAATTTATTCATTAAATAAATGTATTTTCTGCATACAGTCTACATCGAGAACTAGATATATATATATATAAATGAATAGATATCTGTTGACATTTGTTTCTGGTAGTATAACAAACACAACAGAGAGAAAAGTGAAATGATTAAAAAAATCAAAAAGATGCAAGAAAGAAGACTCAAGGAATCACAAAAATGTAGGACAAATTGAAAGCACAAACTATAGTGATATATGTAAATGCAAACATAAGCATTTACAATAGAGATAAATGGACTAAATGATGTGTATAAAAGACTGTCATAGTGTATTAAAGATAAGTCTGCCACATGCTTTTTTAAAGAGAAAACTTATAAACTTAAGAAAAAAGTAAAGATTGAAAGGAAACAAATGAATACATATACCATGTAAATGCTAAGCAAAGCAAGCTAGAGGAACTATACTAATCTTGGTTAAGATTGCCTTTAAGGTATAAAGCACTACTAGACCTGACCAGTATCTTTATAATGATAAAATATACAATTAATCAAAATGACATAACAGTTTGAATGCATTTTCTAACATAGCCTCAATGGCCTCAAATGCCCAAAAGAATGGGGGGTGGGAAAGAGAGAACTAAAAGAAACAATATATCAAGCAATAATCACATTGGAAAAATTTGGCACACTTCCCTGAACTTGAATAGCATGATTAATAAATTTGTCCTAATGAACACATGTGAAACACATTACACAAATTCTCCAAAATACATATTTTTTCTAAGCACACTCATGTTTTTTAAAATTGATCTTATATTGGTCCATAAATACAAATGCCTACATCTCTGACAACAATATCATTAACCTCTAAAGAAATGATAGAAGAAAACTATTAGAAGTCATAGATTTATAAATTAATGAGCACTGAATAAATAAGAAAAGAAAATACAACATAATAAAACTTGTGGGACACAGGTGATGTGATTCAGAGACAAATTAATTGTTCAAAATGTATATTATTGGGGGGAAATGTTGAAAATAAATGAGCTAAGCCCTTATTTAGCAACAAAAAGAATAATCTCAAAGGAAAGGAAAGAAAATAGTAAAGAGTTGAAATTAATGAAATAGAACTTAAATGTCAGAAAAAAACTCAAATTATAGAATCTACATACTGTAAAAAGTAATTAGATGGCATAATGAATTGTCAAAGTTTGAAGATGTATATGAGGTGAACCAATTCCTAGATAACAAATGACTTTATGAAAACTGACACAAAAACAGAACACACAAATAAAGACTATGATTTAAAATTTTTCCATGAAGGAAACTCCAGGTTCTGGTGGCTTCAACAGTAAAATATTTCAGATATTCAAGGAAAAATAATATAGTCTTACACTAAATCTTCCTGAAAGAAGCAAAAGAATCAATATTCTCCACCTTATTGTAGGTGGCTTACATAACTTGATTACCAAACCTGGCAAGAACAGGGAAGCTACAAAGAAATTTCTTTCCTGTACATAGCTACAAAAGTTCCAGATAAGAATTTGAATTTCAAGTCCACATGATGTAAAACGGATAAAGTATAATGACCAATTTCAATGTATTCCCAGAATTATTTACATTATAGAAATTCATTAATAAAATATAGCACAGTATCACGAAAAGGATACATTGAACTTGTATCACAATCACCTGGTGGGCTTGTTAAAATACAGATTACTTGCCTCCAACCCAGATTTTCTGATTCAATAAGTGGGGTGAGGAATAATAATTCACATTTCTAATAAGTTATCAGATGATGTTGATACTGCTGGTCTTGGGAAGTCATCTTGAGAAGTAGGAGAAGTATTTTGTTAGAAAAATAAAGGACAATAACCTCAATAGGGGCAGTTAAGACAGTTAATAAAAATTCACTATCCATTTATTATATTAACTATTAAATAAAACACCTAGTTACCCAAAGAGGAATGAAATAAAAACATATTTCCCTGATTAACGGAATGTAATATATTAATATATCATTATATTTAATAGAGCACCATATTGAGAACATTTATTTGAGGCCAGGAACAAGACAAGAATGCTTATTTTTACCGCTTATATTCATCTGGGCAATTTATGAAAGGGCCCAGCCAATGAGACGGGACGTTTTTTTTTAGCGGTATAAAGGATAAAAGAAGAAATACTCTGAAGATGGTTTGATTATGTGGGTAGGAAATTAAAAAAAAAAAATTCTGGAGTTAACAAGACAGTTAAGCAAGATTCCTGGATATCAAATCAATATGCAGGAACCAATTATAGCTCTAAACACTTTCAGCAAACAGAAAAGTTCAACAACATAAGATTGGTAACAATCATATGTTGAATTCAAGCTTCCTGCCCTTTATTGCATCTTGCTGCCCCCTGTAAACATCTACTGAGTTATGATTTCAAAGGTATCTTTATTTTTTAATGAGCTTTAATTATAGAATTGTTTTAGATTTACAGAAAAAATCAAAGATGGTACAGAGTTCTCATATACTTTCCACTTGTTTCCCCTATTGTTAAAAATTTATATTCATATGGTACATTTGTTACCATTAACAAAAAAAGTTGTTTTTTTTGTTTTATTCACATTTGCCTAGTTTTTAGTTGGTGTCCTTTTTCTGTTCTAGGACCCCACCCTGGATACCACATTAAGTCAAGTTTTCATGTCTTCTTAAGCTCTTCTTGACTATGACAGTATTTTATACTTTCCTTGTTCTTAATGACCTCAAGCATTTTGAGAATTTCTTGTCAGTTATTTTGTAGAACGTCTTTCCATTTATACTTGCCCGGTGTTTCTCTGATTAGACTGGGGTTATGGGGTTTTAGTAGTGCCATTCTCGTCATATCCTATCAAGGGTGAATACTATCAGCATGACTTATCTTTGCTGATGTCAGCCTGAATCACCCAGCTAAGGTGGTGTTGATCAAGTTTCTCCACTATAAAGTACTTTTTCCTTCCTTTCTGTATTACACTCTTTGAAAGAAAGTCACTATGTGCAGTTATGGCCCAGTTCCTTGAGGTTGGAGTATCTGATTTTTCTGCACAGAGGTGAGTTGTCTATTCTACCCCACTTATTTATTTATCAAATCATTTATTTGTATCAATATGAGCTTAAGAATCTTTTAATTATATATTTTAGGTTATAATCCAATGCTGCTTTTACTTTCCCTCAAATAATACCAGTGTTGGCCAGCGGAAACTTTTCCAGTTGGCTTCTGTGTCCTTTTCATAAGCCTCTTTATCGTGTGTGTGTGTGTGTGTGTGTGTGTGCATGTGTGCAGGTATTTGTGTGTTCTAACCACCACCTTACTTTTAAGAAGTAAGGAGGATACACCAGTATCATCTTGTTATAATTTCTGCCATAACCATAGAATCAGCATTTCTCCAAAATCCGTAGTTCTTTTCATTGGAGTAATATAAACCAAAATTTGAGTCTGAAATGAGCTTGTTGCTACTGGAGTGCCTTTGCTTGTAAGAACTCTCAGCAGAAGGAGCAAGGAAAAACATATATGTATGCTAATGCATATGAATATATATATATATATATATCAATAAATACTTCTGTTTATAACCATTTGTACCTATTCACATTTCCAACTCAAATCCATTATCACACAGATAATTCAAGCCTATTCCCTTTGCTTATCTGTAAACTTCCACTCTAGCAGTGAGAAACCTGACATCCATCATCTACATTCCACTTAATTATTCAATTTCAGTATATGTGTATCATTTTTTAAATAAGTTGTTAATCTGCATGGTAAGTGTTTTTAAAGTTGCATCTGTGTGACTAAAATGTCAGTATCATTTTGGGTTTTGTTCTCAATGGGAAAGGAACAAAGAGACACTGGTGGTGTGAATAAATATTTTATGTTGTGGAGAGAAAATCTTTTCTTCTCACATAAGAGTTGTTCTTCCTTCATGTAAGATTCTTTTGCATTTTGTGAACTATGTAGCTTCCAAAGACAGCATGATTTGGGTCTTGAGTTAGGTGTAGCTCTAGAAAAAGATAGGACTGAAATAAGGGATAGGGAGATACACAGACCATAGCTTCAGATGCGATTACTCTTTCCGAGGATTGTCTAAGGGAAAATTTCTTTTAGGAAGTGGCTTCTATGATATCCAGTGATTATTGGGGAGAGATAATGAAAATTATTCAAGAAGGGAAAGATTAAGCTGATCGTGAACTGTATATCTTCATTAAAATATTAAATATACTTCAATATAGGCTAGATTTAAAGTGCCACATGACTCCACAGGTTTAATATATCACAGAATTTATAGAAACCAACTAAAATAATTTTTCATGTTCTAATCTCATTTCCAGCACAATCTCATTTTTATGACGCAAATTGTAAGTCTTGATAGAAACGTGCAATTTGTAGCTGTCTGTTTTATTTTTGATCAGATTTTCATCTTGACCTATATCTCAGTGAAATGTTATCTTCTATTGTAGCAAGTTGTTTATTTGCTATACTTCTAAGTGGCTGGAGAGGCCCTAGGATAAATTATGTGGTAAATTATTGGCCTTCAGTATCAAACATGTCTTTCAGTAAGCATTTATTAAGTATTTCTATGCTTCAGGCAATATGGCTGGCACTTATACTCAAGCAGCTTACAGGTTACAGGAAGAAATATGTGACTAGATTATTATGATAACATAATAAGCACTACTCTAGAAGTATGGACAACATCCTATAAATAGCAAGAGCTCCTAACTGAGAGTGTGTGTTAGAGAAGGTTTCCTGGCTGTTTTAAGATAAGACCTAAAGTTTTCTTACTTATTTTTATACCTACATCGAGACCTTAGTACATAGACGGTTTACAATAAATATTTGTTGAATGAACTGACGAATGACGTAATATTGAAGTATCTCTTTTGGTTGTAGTGACCTACAAACTTTGGACAAACAGGCCTCATCTATTCTCTTATTCGTTAGTAACTTTATAGAACGTGGTCCACTATATTTTACTCTTATCCCCATCCTTGATTATTTCAGTATCTATATAATTGATCCATTTAATACTTTATCCCTTCAGTTTCTTGACTCATTACCCATTCACATGCCCATAACCTAAAACTGGCTGTTACTTTTGAACATATTCTCAGTATCTCAGTTTCAAATTCTCACTCTTATCATCACCATCTATATTTCCACTTCCTTTCCCCTCTAACGATGATAAACCCTGTAATCTCCATCCCATTGAATCCCATTGACTGTCCAGACTTTTCCAGCACACCCCTGTGGTTTTACTGCTCTCCTTTCTGGGCTTAAATTCCATTGTTCATCATTAAAATTATGCTAATTAATACAACTTTAATACTCTTTTCTTCTTTCTCGCCATTGACTTACCCTAAAACACTACAACCTTGATAAAATTACTTTTCCATTTGATATAGGCCTGTGCAGCCACAGAGGAAAGTGGCTGTATACACAAAAGCAAACATGCTTACATGTCCCAATGAGGCTCTCATCCTGGTTATTCTATTACATTTCCTTATTTCATTCATTTTTCTACTCCCTAAAATTTTTATTTTGTGTCTTTTCATCTCAAATAAAACTTCAGCCTACACTTCCCTTTCCCATATCTTAGTAAATGATTTTTATCTCATTGCACTAGAAAAAAATGGAAGAAATGAAGAAATGTTGTCCTATTGTTAAATTCACCCAATTGCACGTCCACAATACACACTTCTTCACCTTCTACTAAAACGAATGAATTATCTGCACCCTGTTCCTATGAAAAACAAATCTCCCATTTTTATACTGTCTTATCTTCTCTCATCAATGCAAGTATTTCAGACTCTCCCGTATCATCAGTTCCTTTGCCTACAGAATTATTTCATCATCCCATAGTGTATCTCCCATCTTAAAAAGCAGCTCTTCGTCTCACATCCCTTTCCAAATGTAATTATATGTGATAGTATTTGGAAGTTATATATTCCTGAGGTGAGTTTGATTTAAAAAAAAAAACTTAGGTAAATATTTAGATATATTGTCTACATTAAAGCTAAATATACACAAATTTGTCAGAACTTTTCATTTTTTGACTGGATGTTTATTTCATATTTGATGTCATATTTGCAGAATCAGAAAATATTCAAAATGTGGGTAGATATTTAGGAAGAAAAACTACCAATAGGATTTAACAACTTTTGATTAGAACTGGATCTAAATTAATTGCCTTTCTCTTTCCTTCTTTTATCACATAAATATCTCTTCTCCACAAAATGAAACTCACAAAACATGCAGTTCAGTTCCCTGAAGCTCACTTTATCCTTTCCAAATGAAAAATAATACTGATCACTTTTCTTTCCTTACAGAACATTCTAAAGAATTGATTATTTTGTTTCTGAACTTTAAGCTGTTGCACTTTATCTGGAAACCTATCAGAAACTTTTTACTGAATTCCCAAGTAGTTAGATAATTACTGTTACTTAATCTTCTGAAATACCCCTAGCTATTTTTCTTTTCATAATAAATAGCCAGCAATTTACCTGAACATAAATCTTTGATTACAAGTATAGACTTAAGCTGGACCCAATAATTCACTGCTGAACTTTTGAAAACCCATATAGGTTTTTGTCTGTGTGGCAAAGCCAATTTATTAGCATATTGTATATGCTGAGGATTAAAGTACTCATTAATGCTGACTAAATGGATAGAATGTGAGTGTGAAAAATGTTCAAATA
Organism: Homo sapiens; assembly: GCF_000001405.40. NCBI lineage: Eukaryota > Metazoa > Chordata > Mammalia > Primates > Hominidae > Homo > Homo sapiens. The sequence goes on along the minus strand of NC_000008.11, from coordinate 87,730,128 downwards.
ACAGATCATATTCACATTAAAGCAATTCAAGCTATTGGAGGCAGTTTTTAAATCAAGCCATGGGGCTTGTATTAAGTCTTTTAGAAAAACACAAACACATAGAGAAACCCGGTTCAGTGTCCTTCCATAATCTAGACAGCTTCTATATCTAAGTTCTGCAAAATGTACACAAATGTTAAAATACAGAATTAAAGCTATAGTAGTTACAATAATTCTGGGCCATAACCCAAAACAATATAAAAGAAATTTGTTTCCCAGAGCTAAATAGTTCAGGAAAGTGTGTCTTTATGTGGAACAGGGTGTTTATAAAGGCATGATCTTTAATTCAGAATCAGACAGGCCAGAATTTGGATCTAGGGTACTATTACAGACTACCTGAAGGCAAATCATTTAGTCTCTACTCTTCATCTAAAAGAAAAGAAGGCTGGATGTGATGGCTCAAGCCTGTAATCCCAGCACTTTGGGAGGCCAAGGTGGGCGTATCACCTGAGGTCAGGATTTTGAGACCAGTCTGGCCACCATGGTGAAACCCCGTCTTTACTAAAAATACAAAAATTAGCTGGGTGCAGTGGTGGGTGCCTGTAGTCTCAGCTACTAAGGAGGCTGAGAAAGGAGAATCGCTTGAACCCGTAAGGCAGAGGTTGCAATGAGCTCGAGATCATGCCACTGCACTCCAGCCTGGGCAACAGAGTAAGACCCTGTCTAAAAAAATAAAAATAAAAAATACAAATAAATGAAAGAAAAGAAATTAGAGGATAATTATAAAGCATAAATGGACTGTTGTAAAAAAAGTGATATAATCACTTTTTCCTAATTAAGAGATATTTGTTTTTGATATTCTTCAAACCACCACACTTTCCTCCAAATTTATATAAAATTCACTGTGGAATTAAAAATGCAACATTTTGAACAAACGTGTTACTTAAATTTAGTTCTTATAGCTGCAGATCTAGTTACTCAACAGATGATAAAGTCCAAATTCATAACTATTGCTTGATTTATTGTATGCAGAAACACATTCATTTCAGTCATTTATTAGTTGAGGCTCAGAGATTAGTCATCTCCAGAACCACCCTGAGGTGCACAGATTGTATTTTCCTTTATTACAGAGATGACAATGAATAGCTAAATCTTCACCTGGTCACACCTGATCAAAATGTTTCTCAATGTCTGGCACATGTAGCCCCTTGTCAAAGTCACTGGGTTATTGTGATTCATATTAAAAATACAGACTCCGCTGCCCTATTCCAGACCTACTGAAATAGAATCTCTGGGACTGGTGCAGATAATTTGAATTGGTTAAGAGGTTCCCTGGGTTTAGTGCACACTAAAATTAGATACCCTTAAGAAAAGTAGAAAAATACCCTAAGCACAATATAGGTTAATGCAGTCAATAATGTTAAAAGATAAGGTTTACTGGAGTCATATGTATTTATATATTGTAAACATATGCTTTAGGTCTACTGGATCCCTAACTCCAGTTGCCATGATGAGAGAGTTTAGTGTCTATACAGATGCCAGCTGTTTAGCATACCAGCCCCATAATTACTTTTCCGTTGTACTTAAGAGTAACTGTCATTACATTTTTTGGAACCTTCTCTAAACATCATACCCTGAGTCTTGATATCTCTCAGAACTGAAACACCTGAAAAATCTTAGACTTCAGGACACTAATTCCTCACTACAGCTCCTTGTACCTAACAGTCTCATTCTCATCTTCATACCATATCTGCTTCTCAAGCTCATTTACAGCTTAGCCCATTGCTTGTTTTCTTCTATTCCTTAAGCCCTGTGTGGCTTTATCCCTTTCTCTAGCCACAAAAGCCCACAGTACATAACTTAAATTGTTCTGCTTTTCCACCTCTACAATTCCCTTTTTTCCCTTAGATTTGCACCTCATTTGATTAGAACACTCGTAATCCTGGACAGTCCAAAATGCTATTAATTTCCTCTTAATATATGTATTATTTTAGATAGGTGCAAAAGTAATTACAGTTTTTGCCATTGCTTTCTTTTGTTGTTGTTGTTTTGTTTTTTGTTTTGTTTTTGTTTTTTGTTTTTTGTCTTTGAGACGGAGTTTCGCTCTTGTTGCTCAGGCTGGAGTGCAATGGTGCGATCTCGTCTCACCGCAACCTCTGCCTCCTGGGTTAAAATGATTTTCCTACCTCAGGCTCCCAAGTAACTGGGATTACAAGCATGTGCCACCACACCTGGCTAATTTTGTATTTTTAGTAGAGACAGGGTTTCTCCTTGTTGGTCAGGCTGGTTTTGAACTCCCGACCTCAGGTGATCTGCCTGCCTTGGCCTCCCAAAGTGCTGGCATTACAGGTGTGAGCCACCACACCAGGCCTGTTTCTGCCATTACTTTCAATGACAAAACAGCAGTTATTTTGCACCAACTCAGTTTATTTTCACACTGCTAGAAAGAACTTCCCTGACACTGGGTAATTTACAAATGAAGGAAGTTTAATTGATTCACAGTTCCACATAGCAAGGGAGGCCTCAAGAAACTTATAATAATGGCAGAAGGGGAAGCAGACACCTTCTTCACAAGGTGGCAGGAGAGAGAAGAAGAATGAAGGAGGAACTTCCAAACACTTATAACACCATCAGATCTCATGAGAACTCGTTTACTATCATGAGAACAACACGGGGAAACCACCCCCATGATCCAATCACCTTCCTCCCTCAACACAGGGGGATTACAATTCCAGATGAGATTTGGGTGGGGACACACAGCCAAACCATGTCAACATATTTATTGAAAAGTTATGCGCTAGACACTATAGTAAGGATTTTTCTAATCTATACCATTGTTTTATAAAATAGATTTTATTTATATAATTTTACAGAGGAGGAAATTAGGCCTTCAAGAATTCAAATAATTTGCTTTTTGCAACATAGCTGCAAATGAGTCAGAAATCCAAACCCAGGATTGTTTCCACAACTGCTCCTTCCACTCCATGAAGATGCTGCTTTCTAGAACCTCACTGTTCTTGAGTGCTGACAAAGGAAAAATTGTTTAATTCTATATTGGAACTTTAATTTGTAATTTAGTGCTTTTGTTTTAAAAAAATGATCATTTATAAGCTTACTGGCATAATTTATATCAAATTCCTTGCAGCAGTTTTGCCACGCCTCTTCCTTGTTCATGTTCCTAACCCAATAGATGTTTATTAATTAATTTATTTAATTTAAATGTCTAGAAGACTTTTGATTAAACAAAGCATTCATCTCTGCTACCTCAGTAGCCTCTCTAAAATTTGAGTGAAAGTATAAACACAGCATAACCACACAGATAAAAAGAACAGAGGAGGTGACGATGAATGAAATATGACATCAAAAAGTTGTAAGGTAGAATGTAGAAGTGAGAGTAATCATTGACTGAGCCGACTGGCAACAGCTATGTGACAAATTGAAGAAGAAATAAGGAGAACCAAGAGTAAACACAAAAGCAAGTGTTTACAAGCAAATTCACGTAGCAGAAAGCCAGTATTCAGAAGTAGAATCACCAAGGAGGGATTTGAGCATGGCTGAAATAGGAAGGGTAGATGATAGTCTGTGCAAGGAGCAGTTGAGCTCATACACACCATTCCTCCACATAACTAGGTAACCACCCTCACTTCCCTTACTCTGGCAGGAAGTGGACATTTACATTCTGGAAAGGTAGAATGAGAAGGAGACTGAACCTGTGGTCACCAGACTCATGGAATGTTATGACCATAATGAAATCAGAATAATTGTCTCCCTCTCACACAATACCAATGATCCTTTCCCCTACCCTGAGACTTCTCTACCCAGTTGGGTCCCAGAATGCTGACAACCAGCCCTATCTATGCTGACTGGGGAGTAGGGATAGAAATTGCAGAAATGGCTTTCTGGGGAAACTGACCATCTGAAAGACAGCATTTACAGATGCTGATATTTGGTATCTCCCAATAAAAGGGCCAAACATTTGACCAGGAATCCTGCTAGTAAGGCCCACCAATTTATCATCCATACCTCCACACAACAAGCTTCTAATGTATTTTGCAATGCTTCTGCATTAATATGCAAGAACATCCAGTGATCACCAGACATTTGAGAAAAATCACCAGATAATATGGAAAATATAGATAAGCTAAAAAAATCAATAAATAGTATGACAAAGACTTCTTTAGATATATAAAGATAATAATCAGAAGTAACATCTAAAAGATTTGAAAATTGATGCTTCTGAGGAGAAAGATTTAGGGTTGGGGAATGGTGTGTCAGGACCCTGCACTGCTGTTTTTTATTATACAGGACATAGAATAGGATATGGTTTGGTTTTTGTGTCCCTGCCTAAATCTCATGTCAAATTGGAGGAGGGGCCTGGTGGGAGGTGATTGGATCATGGGGGCAGGTTTTCCCCTTGCTGTTCTCCTGATAGTGAGTGAGTTCTCATGAGACCTGATGGTTTAAAAGTGTGTAGCACCTCCCCTTTCACTCTCTCTCTCTCTCCTGCCACCATGTGAAGAAGGTCCTTGCTTCCCCTTCACCTTCCACTATGATTGTAAGTTTCCTGAAGCCTCCCAGTCATGCTTCCTGTTAAACCTGTGGAATTGTGAGTCAAATAAACCTTTTTTCTTCTTAAATCACTCAGTCTCAGGTAGTTCTTTATAACAGTGTGAAAATGGACTACTAAAAATTGTATATATGGCCAGGTGCAGTGGCTTACACCTGTAATCCCAACACTTTGGGAGGCCTAGGCAGGAGGATTGCTTGAGGCCAGGAGTTCAAGACCAGCCTGAGGTACATAGTGAGACCTCATCTCTATAAAAATGAAAATAAAAAAGTTAGCCAGGCATGGTGGTACATACCTACAGTTCCAGCTATTTGAGAGACTGAGGTGGGAGGATCGCTTGAGCCTGGGAGAACAAGGCTGCAGTGAGCTGTGATTGTGCCACTGCACTCCAGCCTGGGCAACAGAGTGAGACCTTGTCTCAAAAGACATACATATACTATTAATTTGATAAAAATTTGTACTTCCTTCTCCTCTTCCTTCACCTGCTCACTGGCATTCACATCTAGACCAGTCTTTTTATTTTTTTTTCACACAGAGAAAGTAATTAGTGGTTCTCAAACACTGCTGCACATTATACTCATCAGAGTGGATTGTAAAAATCTCCCACAGTAATGAGATCAGAATTTCTGTGGGAAGGCTGGGTGCGGTGGCTTATGTCTGTAATCCCAGCACTTTGGGAGGCCGAGAGGAGCGGACCATCTGAGGTCAGGAGTTTGAGACCAGGCTGTGAAATATGGTGAAAGCCCAACTCTACTAAAAATACAAAAATTAGCCAGGCGCAGTGGTGTGTGCCCGTAGTTCTGCTACATGGGAAGCTAATAAAGGAGAATCACTTGAGCCTTGGGGGAAGAGGTTTCAGCGAGCCAAGATTGTGCCATTGCACTCTAGCCTGGGCAACAGAGTGAGACCTTGTCTCAAAAAAAAAAAGAAAAAGAAAAAAGAAAAGAAAAAATTTCTGTGGGAAGAACCCAGGGATTTTTACAGCTATGTTTGAGAACCAGTGGTCTAGTGCCTTGCTAATGTGTGATCTGTGGAACAGCAGCATCAGCACCACTTGGGAGTTCGTGAGAAATAGGGCATCTCAGGTTGCATTCCAGACCTATGGGATACATTTTAACAAGTCTACAGCTATTTTCATCTGAGTTACAATTTAAAGAGTTTGCTCTAGATCTCCCTCATTTCCTTCTCTTCTGGGTCTCTCATTCATCACCTTCCCCACTGAAGCTATCAATTCTTCAATTTCCCTTTCTCCTCTGATTCCTTCCCCAAACACATTAAATTCTTTTGATGTTAAAAACAAAAAACACTAGCAAAGACCTGGAATCAATCTAGATGTCCCTCAACAGTGGGCTGGATAAAGAAAACATCGCTACATATACATCGTGGAATACTATACAGCCATCAGAAGAGTGAAATCATGTCCTTTGCAGCAATATGGATGCAGCTGGAGGCCATTATCCTAAATAAATTAACGCAGGAACAGAAAACCAAACATGTCTCACTTATTAGTGAGAGCTAAATATTGAATACGTTAGGGACAAGCTGCTCCAGGATCCCCCTCCCTCAGTGCAGCTGAACCTTACCCTGACTACTCTGCAGCTGCATTCCTGGACCCTTATCTAGGCGCCACGGCAAGGTCACCAGACTTGCTGAGCAAAATCCTGAATACAGCCCCCCGGGGAACATGGGGGAGGTCACGAGAAACGTGGATAAACCTATGTTATACCCTCTTGTAAATTTCTACAGTCACAAGATGATATGTGGTAAAGTTAACCGGCAACCCCAGGTTCTCTCTCCCCCATATAAACCCCTCATTTTGTAAGCTCAGGGCTGCCTCCTCTGACTATGGTGGAGCAGCCTGGCAGGTTAATAAACTTACTCGCCTGACCTTGAATCTCCCTCTCTCTCCTCCTTTCTCTCGGCTAACCTTACAGAATACGCATGGATATAAAGATGGGACCAATAGACTCTGGGGACTACTAAAGCGAGGAGGGAGTGGAGCATTGGCTAAAAAGCCCATTGTTCTGGACTCCACTCAGCCTCGGGGTGGGGAATAGCCAAGAATGGCAACCTCAGTCTAGAGGCAAGGTCAGAAAGAGGCAGTGCTTCAGAGTTTCCTTTCCAGATACCCCTCCCCGCACTGTGAAATTCCCGATTGCCCTCCTGTTTCACAAAGAGCATTATAGAAAGCTGTGGTGGGCTGGGCCACATAGCCCAGAGGGCTGAGCTTCCTGGCCTGCCTGCCCACCCACCTGGGAGTCCCAGTGGTGGAGCCTGCTAAGGGGAGAGAACAGCTAGAGTTTCTGTTGATGTGAAGAAGTAAGCTCTTGGCCTCCCACTCTCATGATTCTTTGCCTATAAAACTTCCTAGCACCAATTTGAGCTACCTGAGGAGGCAGGGCAGGAAGGGTGAGGGCCTGCCTCTGACCTGCTGTGTCCTTCTCAGGCTCCTGGGGGTGTCCTTTGCAGGAATGGGGTAGGCACCTTTCTATTCTCCACCCACAACCCCAGGCAGGGTTGGAAATGAAGGACTTTTTTTTGTTTGTTTGTTTGTTTTTTTTCAGACGGAGTCTCGCTCTGTCGCCCAGGCTGGAATGCAGTGGCGTGATCTCGGCTCACTGCAAGCTCTGCCTCCCGGGTTCATGCCATTCTCCTGCCTCAGCCTGCCAAGTAGCTGGGACTACAGGCACCCGCCAAGATCCTGGTTGACTTTTTGTATTTTTAGTAGAGATGGGGTTTCACCATGTTAGCCAGGATGGTCTCGATCTCCTGCCCTTGTGAACTGCCAGCCTCAGCCTCCCAAAGTGCTGGGATTACAGGCGTGAGCCACCGTGCATGGCTCTGTGAAGGACTTTTTTAACCTTTGTTTTTGTTTTTTAAAAATAAATCTGTAAAATCTGAAAAAAATAATTGGGTATTATATGCACCACCTTGTGATGGGATCATTCATAACTCCAAGCCTCAGCATCACAAAATATGCCCATGTAACAAACCTTCCTGTGTACCCACTGAGTCCAAAATTTAAACAGAAATGAAAATAAGCAACACTCCTTTGATCCAGTGGCTCTCACGAGTTATCCTGTTTCTCTCCTTTTCTTCACAATTCAGTTTCTTGAATTGTTACACTTGAATGTTAGGTACACTTTCTCTCCTCTTCATCATGAATCCAGCTGTTTCCTCACTGCAACCTGAAATCTTCTGTAGCATGAAAACTGCTCTGCAAAAATGGCCAATGAATTTTAAGGGACTAAAATATCCTTATTTCTTTTTACTATTTGTAACATTTGACATTATTGATATTGAGAGGTGAAGCCAGCTGGACTTCCTGGGTCAAATGGGGACTTGGAGAACTTTTCTGTCTAGCTAGAGGATTGTAAACCCACCAATCAGTGCTCTGTGTCTAGCTAAAGGATTGTAAATGCACCAATCAGCACTCTGTAAAAACACACCAATCAGCACTCTGTGTCTAGCTATAGGATTGTAAATGCACCAATCAGCACTCTGTAAAAACACACCAATCAGCACTCTGTGTCCAGCTAAAGGATTGTAAATGCACCAATCAGTGCTCTGTGTCTAGCTAAAGGATTGTAAGTGCACCAATCAGCACTCTGTAAAATGGACCAATCAGTGCTCCATAAAATAGAACAATCAGCAGGACATGGGTGGGGCCCTTCATTTTTTCACTATATAATATATGCTAATATATATCTATATCTGTACACACTCTCTTATAGCCTACATTATCAAATAGGAACATAACACAAGTGTCTTAAAATGTTGTCATATAATATTTTACAATATCATTTTGATGACTGAAAAAAATCTCATTATATGAATAAACATTTTTTTAGCCAATACGCTTCTTGGACTCAGTTACTTCCACAATTACAGTGTTGTAAACAATATTATCTGAAACATTCTAGTGTGTAATTTCTAATTTACCCTAGGAAATTTATTTGAATTTATATACTGACAAGCAATATATAAATGCACTTTTCTGTATATCCTTATAATAAATGGATTTTTAAAAGAATGTGTATATTTGAAGAGCAAAAATTGTAAAATTATTAATTATAGTCAATGTTAATTGAATACTTTTTGTATTCATAAACAAGGCTGCTGGGAAGTTCAGACTGGATGCAAAACCCACTGCAGTGCGGCAAAGCCACTGTAGCCAGACTGTCTCTCTAGATTCCTCCTCTCTGGGCAGGGCATTTCTGAAAGAAAGGCAGCAGCCCCAGTCAGGGGAGTTTTATAGATAAAACTCCCATCTTTCTGGGACAGAGCACCTGGGGGACTGTGGGCACAGCTTCAGGGGCAGCTTCAGCAGACGTAGACATTCCTGCCTGCCAGCTCTGAAGAGAGCAGCAGATCTCCCAGCACAGTGCTCAAGCTCTGCTAAGGGACAGACTGCCTCCTTAAGTAGGTCCCTGATCCCTGTGCCTCCTGATGGGGAAATACCTCCCAGCAGGTGTTGACTGACACCTCATACGGGAGAGCTCCAGCAGGCATCTGGCAGGTGCCCCCTGGGACAAAGCTTCCAGAGGAAGGAACAGGCAGCAATCTTTGCTGTTCTTCTCAAAAGAAGACATTTATGTGGCCAAAAAACATACGAAAAAAAGCTCATCATCATTGGTCATTAGAGAAATGCAAATCAAAACCACAATGATATACCATCTCATGCCAGTTAGAATGGCGATCATTAAAAAGTCAGGAAACAACAGATGCTGGAGAGGATGTGGAGAAATAGGAATGCTTTTACACTTGTGGTGGGAGTTTAAATTAGTTCAACCATTGTGGAAGACAATGTGGTCTTTCCTCAAGGATCTAGAACCAGATCTTCCATTTGACCAAGCAATCCCATTACTGGGTATATACTCAAAGGATTATAAATCATTCTACTATAAAGACACATGCACACATATGTTTATTGCAGCACTGTTCACAATAGCAAATTGGAACCAACCCAAATGCCATCAATGATAGACTGGATAAAGAAAACGTGACACATACACACCATGGAATACTAAACAGCCATAAAAAAGGATGAGTTCATGTCCTTTGCAGGGTCATGGATGAAGCTGGAAACCATCATTCTCAGCAAACTAACACAGGAACAGAAAACCAAACACTGTGGGTTCTCATTCATAAGTGGGAACTGAACAGTGAGAACACATGGACACAGGGAGGTGAACATCACACACCAGGTCCTGTTGTGGGGGTGGGGGGCTAGGGGAGGGATAGCATTAGGAGAAATACCTAATGTAGATGACGGGTTGATGGGTGCAGCAAACCAACATGGCACATGTACACCTGTGTAACAAACCTGCACACTCTGCACATGTATCCCAGAACTTAAAGTATAATAAAAAATATGATTCCTTTATACACTTTGATTTTTGTATTCTCCCAATCCCACTATATTTCACTTGAGAAAGGGATGGCCTAGGCTATATGGAGCTGAAATGCATGAACTGCTGAGGAAGGCAAAGAAGAAAACAACAGGCTTAAAGTAGTGAGTGTTACAGGATTTCTATTATAGACAAGGTGAGAAAACCTACCACATGACTATGCTTCATGAGACATTGCAGAGGATATTACATTTGCCAAAACAATATGATGAAAGCGATACTACTTTCTTTTGTTGGATTTCTTTTGCCTAGGATTTGTTCTAGGTGATCCTGCTATAGATCTGGACTTAACTAACAGCAATGAGGATTATAGGATCCCAAAACAGGAGGCCATGTGATGGTCCTCAAATATTATAAGCCAGGTAGCCATAATTGTTTTTAGTGAGTATCAATATTAGAATGAATCAACCAATTGATATCAGCACTCTTCCTTAAAAGTCACTTAAGTATTGGTGCAACATTTTTTTTTCATTTCCAATTCTTATTTTAGGTTCAGGGGATACATGTGCAGGTTTGTTACTTGGGTACATTGTGGGTCATGGGAGTTTGGTGTACAGACAATTTAGTCATTCAGGTAATAAGCAAAGTACCTGATAGATGGTTTTTTGATCCTCACCCTCCTTCCACCCACCACCCTCTAGGAGGCCCCGATGTCTATTGTTCCCTTCTTTGTGTTATTGATACAGCTCTTCAGTAGAGTAGTCACAGTGGTTGGGATGGACACTCCAAATGGGACCAGTAACACAGACTCTTACTCATTAAGACTGATCTAGCTACTGCTGGTGCTTCATATTATACTTGTTAACATCAGAAACAAATGCCAGAGTCCCTGATGTAGGATCATCCCTGAAGGAGAACAATAAAGTACTTGGTGGCAAGTTGACTACCTTGGACTTTTTTCATACTGGGGATGCAGTGATTCATTTTGTTGGAAATTGATACTTCTCACTACAGGTTTCCCCTCCTTGGTCACGGGGTCTCAAATAGTACCACTGTCCAAGATCCTGTAGAATTTTTGATTCACTGACATGGCATCCTACATAAAATGACCTTGACCTGAAAGACCCACTTTACAGCAAAAAACAAACAAACAAAAAAATACAGTGGTGGACACAAGACCATGGGATCCATTATCTTGTATAACACTTAATAGAAGCCGAGAGTCTGATAGAATTGTAGGATTTCTGCTGAAGGGCCACCTGTCTATATCTTCTTTCTTTTTTTTTTTTTTTTTGAGATGGAGTCTCACTCTCTCACCAGGCTGGAGTGCAGTGGTGTAATTGCGGCTCACTGCAACCTCGGCCTCCCGGGTTCAAGCAATTCTGCTACCTTAGCCTCCTGAGTAGCTGGGACTACAGGTGTGTACTACCATGCCCAGCTAATTTTTGTATTTTTAGTAGAGATGGGGTTTCACCATGTTGGCCAGGATGGTCTCGATCTCTTGACCTCGTGATCCACCTGCCTCAGCCTCCCAAAGTGCTGGGATTACAGGCATGAGCCACTGTGCCCAGCCCACCTGTCTGTATCTTAAAGATGATATTTTAAAGTATGAGGCACCACCTCCCAGGATGCAATTTGCATTCTAAGTCTATGACATTATATGGTGCTTTCCCCAGAATTCGTTGTAAGCAGGTGGATCTAGGTAGCACACCAGGTAGACTGCAGTGACTGCTGTGCCTTGCTGCTCACATTCATCCTTCAAGACTGAAGGATTTATGCTTCCAGCTCTTTAGTATTCACTCCTCTTTGGGAATTGTTTCAGCTAAAAAGAGCTGCCTTTTCCAAAGACAAGACTGTCTTCTGGATGAGTCTCACCTGATGATTGGTTGCCCTGGGAGTATAAAAGCCCAGCCCCATCACAGCAAAAGAATGTGACTCTAAACAACCATCCTAGCTTCAGCACTCCCAGTGGGGTCAGCAGATGTTCATTTTCTCTCTCTAGCCAATCTTTTTCCTTTTATTGCTACAACAGGTTTTGATCCAAAGAAGACTAGAATACTTCTTATATATTATTTTTTAGCTTAGAATTTGCTTTCTGGGAAACCCAAACTGAAACACTCAAGCCTTCAGTTTTATATACTTATTCAAATATATGCTTTTCCAAGTATAGGAGGACTGCATCTAAGAATGATTTATTTTATTTTTATCTAAACTGCTAAAATACAACATGAGTCACAAATAGTTTTTCCATCATTCTCACAGCATTATCATCTTATCTTAAAGTCAGTAACTTTTACAAATCCAATGATAATTCATAAGACGGTCATTTTAAAGTGAAGATTTGTAAACCAATTTTTACCCATGAGTTACTTTGTTGACTGCTAAGTATAAACAAATATCAATGATGAATAGAAATCCTTACTTGTCAGGATTTGATTTTAAGATAGAATATTTGTGAACCAATACATTGGTGAGTAAATAGCTTTATTTCTGAGAAGATGCTCAAAAACTCCATGAGGATACAGAGAAAGAAAATATTCAGTTTATATTTTCAAACTTTATGCATTTATATGGTATTTATATTATGTCATAGTTTATATATTACTTGTGTCTTCTCTTCTTTGTTAAAAAAAAAAAGGAACAGATACATTTTGTATGTCCAAAGGCCACATGGGTCATAAGAAACATTGTAAGCTTGGGAGTCATGTATATTTGCCACTTACTAGATGGGAAACTTTTGACACATTATCAAGGCTGAACTTGTTTCCTCATCTGTAAAATGAGAAATGTTGGGATTGTTTGGAAGACTTCAAAAGAGATTTATCTCTTACAATCATGGCAGAAGGCAAGAGAGAAGCAAAGGCATGTCTTACATGGCACCAGGTGAAGGGGGAAGAGCCCCTTATAAAGCCATCAGATCTCTGGAGAACTCACTATCACGAGAGCAGCACGGGGGAACCATGCTCATGATCCAGTCACCTCCTACTAGGTCCTGCCGTCCCCTGTGGGGATTATGAGGATTACAATTCAAGGTGAGATTTGGGTGGGGACACTGAGCCAAACCATATTACCTCCACAGTGTAGATCAAATAGAGGAAGTTGAACTTTGTGGCTGAGTCAGTGACAGCATCAGTGAAAAGAGCCCCATACCTTTGCTAAAACTTTCAAACTGACATTGAAATGGTGAGAGAGATTATGAAACATATGCAGTATGGATTATATATGCTCAACCTAAAAACATATTTTTTCTCAAGTGAGAAATCTGAACTTGGAATGGAAGCAATGTCATGACATGATCCAAAATTATTTAAAACAAAACAACAAACTCAAGGCTTCCTAAGCATGAGTAATCACATAAAATCAGCATAACTAATAGAAATAAATCAATGTCCTAGAAAAAAAGTCACTCATAATCACAACATCCAAAGGTAGCAAGAATGAATATTTGCATTATTTTCTATCAGATTTATTATGCATGTATGGAGAATAGAGAAGAGGCCTGAATCTATCCTATGTATTCAGATTTTAATGCTTATGCTTATTTGTTCTGATTCATAATATAAAACTTATGGCAATCATGCAGTTGATGTGGAAACAATTATAATGTTATTTGAATATTGTAAATTGTTTTCTATTTGTCTTCCTATCTCCAGGCCCTTCCTTTGCCCTGGAAGGTTGACCATTGCTGACTATATAATTTAAGCTCCTGTATTCTCTAGATTATAGTTGACTTTGGCCAATAACAGGAGATCAGAGGGCAAGATGTTTATCTTCTGCCCCTGAACACTCCTGACTTCCTTGTTATGCCCTTTCTATATAAACATGGCTGTTACCGCTGAGTGTTAAACCTGCCAATTGAAAATGTCAATGGGGTGTCCAATCATCACTCTCCAGGCAGGGACCAATGAGTCCCCTAATGGCAAATTGATGAGAGGCAGAAAATTGTCCTTATAAGAATATATGCATATTTCAAAATAAAGCTTCCATCTCTGCCTGCATTGCTTCTACCAGCATGACCATTTATGGGCTTGCCTTGTCTATTTTCACTGTAGAGGAAATACATCCTATTTGGTTATTTGTTTTCCTGACAAATATGACCCATGCTTGAAAATATTATATTTAAACCAATATATAGTGTTATTTTTCTGAAGACCAAAATCTGAGGTTCTGAAAATCAAGGGGAGGAGGCGTGAGTCAACCTCCATTATTATATAAAACAACTCATTAGTACAATTTTTACTTCCCATCTCCTTGGCCAAAAGCCATATACATTTGGATGCCATGGTGTCGAGGAAAGTACACTTCTGCTAGTGAACAGAATAAGATTTTCATTTAATTAGAAATTGAGGTTACTTTTGACCCCATTGGATTCTTCCTACCAAAGAGCCAACAGGAAAATATAAGGAACTATACTGGAAAATGATTGATTCAAACTTGTTTGAAGAAATCAGGTTGCTGTTACTCAATGGGGAAAACAAAGATTTTATTGGATTGTTTCTTAATACTTCCACTTTCAGTAGTAATAGTCAATTGGAATCTACAGCAGTATGATAAAGAGTGGACAACAAGTCTTGGATGATTCTACGGGAATAAAGATTTGATTCACCCATCAGTTTAAACAATAATGAAAAACCACCTAGCTGAGATGCTGGAAGAAGATAAGGAAAATATGGAACTATGGTAGAAAAAAGATACTGTGATCTCAATTATCCCTCATGATCATCTACAGATTTTGAAACTGTAGCAACTGTGTTTTATGTTATTTCATTGTGTTACATAGTAGAAATCTACGGGTAACAGCTAACATTACAGTTTCTGTTCCAGGAAAGAACATGGCTGAATTGAGATTACACTGCCATGATACATTGTCTGACAGCACTTCACATTTTCCCTGAGTTGGGGACAGAAATCACACTGCCCAAATACATTATCTGATGGCTCCTCATGTTTCCCAAAAGTTAGGAAAGGAGGTTCTATATACATACATGCACAAGTGCATACACACACACACACATACACACACACACAGTGCTAGATGAGATGTTGAATGACATAAGGAAATGAAAGTTCCATCTCTCTATTCCCTACCCCCTGCATCTGTCCCTTCATATTTTTCTGCCCTCACTGTGTTCTGAGCCCTTCAGAAATTCTTCTCTACAATCTTGCCTCTCACCTTTGGTTTCAGCCAATGAAAGGCACTTATAAAGGGTCCAATGTAGGAGGAGAGTGAAGGCAATTATTTATTCCTCCTGCTACCTTCCTGCCTGGCTAAGGTGAAGGCAATGGCTGAAATTCTTTCTGGTTTGAGAAGGTTCTGTAATACCAATTGTTCTTTAGGACTAAGAGTGGTGGCAATTTCCTTCATTGGCTAGTCCCTGGAGACTTTACCAGCTTTGTTGTTTGGTTTCCTTATTCCTGCTCACTGCCTTTTAAATAGTTTTTTCTTATTATTTTTCTTCAGATAGGCCCATTTGAGTATGTCATCCAGCTAATAAAATTATAAAATGATATCTTGACCCAGTTTAGTATTTTCTATTGCACTCTTTTTACTGACATTAATATATTCAGTGCTGTCTTTTTTCTAATGTTTATTTTAACACAAAATATGAAAACAAACAAATAAATGAAAATGTTATGTATTAGTTATTTTAATTGTGTTCCTTCAAAGCAATAAATATTTAGATAATTGCTTTTTAGCCTGCAAAAATATTTCTTTAAAGAATTTAAACCATTTACATTTGTTTGTTTCTCAACTATTTTCAAAGAAGCCATCTCTTTATGCTTTAGCTTATTTTTGTATTTATCTTTTTTTTAACAAACTTTCACTAAATGCCTCTTTTTAAACCTCTCCTTTTCCAAGTTATGTTTACTTTAATCTTCTCCCATGCTTTGAACAAAAAACACAACCTTGTTTAAATATGAATACATTTATTCTTTCAAACACTGTCTACATTAGCTATTGTTAAAGTTAAAAATTAAATTGTCCCTCGATTTCAATTTGGCAAATATTTATATTTCTTCTCTGTCACTATTTCTTAGTGTTTTAAAAATAATTTGAGATGTTAACATAGGTTTGCTTTTAATTTTAACTTTTTAATTATGTATCTTCCCCTTTGAGAATAACTTTAAATATTTATGTATAGTTTTGAATCTCAATATCCAAGAATGACTTAAATTTGAGATCTATTGATTTCCTCTAGGCTTTTTTTTTTTTTTTTTTTTTGAGATAGAGTTTTGCTCTTGTCACCTAGGCTGGAGTGCAATGGCGATCTTGGCTCACTGCAACCTCTGCCTCCCGTGTTCAAGCGCTTCTCCTGCCTTAGCCTCCCGAGTAGATGGGGATTACAGGCATGCACCACCACGCCCGGCTAATTTTTTTGTAGTTTTAGTGGAGAAGGGATTTCTCCATGTTGGTCAGGCTTGTCTTGAATTCCTGACCTCAGGTGATCCTCCCACCTCGGCCTCCCAAAGTGCTGTGATTACAGGCGTGAGCCACTGTGCCCAGCCGATTTCCTCTAGGCTTTCTATGCCATGGCCTCTCTACCCTTATTAGGGAGCTAAAATTTGTGGGGTTTTTTTTCCTACATGAATCTATTTTGAGATAAATTATTTAATATAGAAACTGATGCTACAGAAGAAATGTTAAAACCAAACAAAAAACTTCTGGGCCAAAATTCTTTATGCTGATACAATAACTGTCACACAATTAGTTAATATATGAAGTAACAAAGTTGTATGGGTTAGAAAATAGTTGTCTTGAGCAGGGGATATGGTAGATGTCGTCAATTATTTAAATGGATGCCATGTATAAATGATTTCCACATTATATTGCTTTATGTATCAAGTTTCAAATCTATCACAAACAAATACTATTAAGTAAGAATGTGTAGAGCAGCAGTCCCCAAACTTTTGGCACCAGGGACTGGTTTCATCAAAGACAGTTTTTCCGTAGCTGGGTGTTGGCAGGGGGTGGTTTTTGGATGATTCAAGTGCATTACATTTATTGTGCACTTTATTTCTGTTATTATTACATTTCATTATATATTACACTGTAATATATAGTGAAATAATTATACAATTCACCATAATGTAGAATCAGTGGGAGCCCTGAGCTTATTTTCCTGCAACTAGATGGTTCCATCTGGGGGTGATGAGAGACAATGTCCCCATCACTGCCATTAGATTCTCATAAGGTACATGCAACCTAGACCCTCACATGTACAGTTCATAATAGTGTTCGAGCTCCTATAAGAATCTAATGTTGCTGCTTACCTGACAGGAGGCTGAGCTCAGGTGGTAATGCCAGTGATGGGAACTGTCTGTAAATACAGATGAAGCTGCACTTGCTTACCACTTACCTCCTGTTCTGTGGCCTGGTTCCTAACAGGCCAAGGATGGGTACTGGTCTGTGGCCTGGGAGTTGGGGACCCCTGATGTGGAGGAAGGCTTTTGTTCAACAAAGGAGAACTTTCTTTTACTTCTGATCTGAGGTCAAAAAGTGCTCTTGGATGCTCAATTTTTCTGATGAGGAAATTGAGCAATGTCTTTATAGATATCTAGAGCAAACATCAGATGGTTATATTACATGTCATACTCTACACATTTCAGCTCAGGTAGTTTTGATTGATCAATGATGTCATAATTTCAAAGGTAAAATTTAAGATTAAAGTCTGTAACAACTGATAGATTCTGGAAATTTACATCAAAACATACACTTCTGGTAATTGCTTATTACTTAGTAACTATCTTTTTATTGTCATAAGAGGCAGAGCTTTCATTTTTGTCTTGTAATAGAGGCTTTCATTAGCCATACTGAGGAAAGTGCTTATTAGGCAATACGAGGTCAGGGAGGGGCAACCCAGTATTTCCACAATCCTTTTCCTCAATTTTGGAATCTCTATAATGTACTGGAATGACTATGAATTTATATCTGCAATTTTACCTTTTATTCTTACAAATTCTCGAAGAGCTTAGCCGGTTTATACTGTTCTGTTGAGGCAACGATCAATTCTTCCAGTCCATTTATATTAGCAATTTTCCTTAGAAGTTGGCTTGCATAGTTTGGATCTTTCAGAGTGAAGCAAATTTTCTCCTGCTAATTACTGAATATTTTTCTTAGTGTATGTTATGCTAAAAGAACCCCCTTCCATAAGGATTCAGAACAGGAGGAGAGAAAACGGCTGAGCATATAATACTTCTCCATTTTGTAAATATTGCCTTGTACATAGTAAAAACATCTGATTTTTCAATGTGATTGATTCTAAATTTAGGAACCGTTGTGAAATGAGTCATTAATAATCAAATATAAAATGGAATTTGACAAGCATGGAGACCTGAATATATCCAAACATCTTTCACAATAATTCTTAAAATTCACAGAGAAATAATAAAATTTAAAAAGTTATTCAAAGTACATCTAAAGTCAGCATAATATGATACAATGTTTTCATTGTATTAATATTATGTGTTAATCAAATGCCAATTTCTCCAGACTTAGACAAATCAAAGCCATATCAGCCAGAACCAAGCAGTAATGTCTTATGCATGAGAAGATAAGAGTTAGTCTGAGGAAGCAATGATGTATCTCCTGTCGCTTTGGACCAACATTACAATCTCCTTTGATCTCTATCTGGCAGAGGTTTGTAAGAACGTGCATGATTGCAGAGTTCCATTGTAGACACAGAATATAATGCTCATAGCACGATCAGCTAAATTCCAATCTCAAAGCTAGCCAAATATGCCTTTAGCTCATTCCTCTTCCTGCTCCATTTCCCCTTATTAATCACATTCCTCTGCTCCCAGGTGTCCAAATTTAATCTTAAATCACTCTGTGTTATTAAATCCAAAACCTCCACTTCCGTTTATATACCA
This sequence comes from Homo sapiens, assembly GCF_000001405.40. Classification (NCBI taxonomy): domain Eukaryota; kingdom Metazoa; phylum Chordata; class Mammalia; order Primates; family Hominidae; genus Homo; species Homo sapiens. Next base: position 87,711,360 of record NC_000008.11, on the reverse strand, counting down.
TCAACTATTTTAACATGTCTTTAGATTAGATCTTTCTTCTGGTTTTCTGACCCATCTAACTTCTCCCATGGATGTCCTTAAGAAACTTAGACTTGACATACGGTGTGACAACCTGATTATCCTTCAGTCCAACCTGTTCCTTTTTCTGTTTTCTGTTTCCTTATATTGGGGGATATGCTTATCTTTCATGACCTGCTCTGTAACTTTTCTGTCACCTGTTTGTCACTGCTTCCTTCTTACTCACTGTGCTCCAGTCAAACTGCTCTGTTTGGTGTATCTAGAAAGACAAGGTACTTTTCTCCCATGGCCAAAAGCTCATGCAAGCTATTGTCTTTGGAATGTCTTATTGGTACTTACCCCTCAACACACTCAATCATTTGTGATTCAGATGAGGTATCACTAGCTTCACACTCTGCGGCTTTCTAAGTGCTGTCATTATTACCCTGTGTGCTAACCATTGTCACAACACTTACTACATTACTTTGGGATTTTTGGTTTCTCCATTGACTGTCTCTCCCTGAACTGGAGATCTGATTCTTATCATTGAATCCCTAACAACTAGCATAGTATCTAGTATATGAAATGTACACAACAATTATTTTATATGTAAGCAAATTAGTAAAAAAATTGCAAATACGATATCAGGAAAGCACCTATAAAACTTACGACGTTGAGTAAAATAGAAAGGAAAACTGACTCCAAATTTGTAACTTTGGGTAAATTATTTAGGAGAAGCTTCAGTGGCCACACATACAATGATGGCATTAATGATAATTTTTAATACTGGGGAAATTATTTTAAATTATAGAATACTAAAGCAATATCAAATAATACAATTATGCTTAGTATATGAATGACTATATTATTACACCCAGAACAATTTGCTCAATATTTTTAATAAAATTTTTTAAATAAAACGTTTAAACAAGTAGGAAAAATAAGGTAATAAAATCGATGTAGCAGTCAGGCAGTTCAACAAAAACCAATCCAAGACCAATCATTTTTTTCTTTTTAAATTTTTATTGATGTATAATATTTTTGCATATTTATGGTGCACATGTGATATTTTGATATAAGCATACAATGTGCAATGATCAAATCTGTGTACATGGGATATCCATCCCCTTAAACATTTATTGTTTCCTTGTGGTAAGAAAATTCCAATTCTACTCCTGTAGTTATTTTAAAATATACAATAAATTATTATTATTTATTTTCGTGGATACATGGTAGGTGTATATATTTACGGGGTACATGATATATTTTGATACAGGCATTCGGTACATAATCATATCAGGTAAATGGGATATCCATCACCCCAAGCATTTGTCCTTTCTTTGTGTTTCAAACAATCCAGTTATACTCTTATTTTGAAATGTACAATAAATTATTGTTGACTGTAGTCAACTTGTTGTGCTATCAAATACTAGATCTTATTCATTCTATCTAACTATAGTATTGCACCCGTTAGCCAACCCCACCTCCCCCACTCGCAATTCCCTTCCCAACCTCCAGTACCATCATTATATTCTCTATCTCTGTGAGTTTAATTGCTTTAATTTTTTAGCTTCCACAAATAAGTGAGAACATGTGAAGTTTGTTTTTCTGTACCTGGCTTATTTCAACTAACATAATGAACTCTAGTTCCATCCATGTTGTTGCAAATGACAGGATCTCATTGTTTTTTAATGTCTGAAAAGAAATCTATTGTGTATATGTACCACATTTTCTTTATCCATTCGTTCTGTTGATGGACATTTTATATACTTCCAAACCTTGATTATTGTGAATAGTGCTGCAATAAACATGGAAGTACAGATATCTTCTCGATATCCTGATTTCCTTTCTTTTGGATATATAGCTAAGAGTGGGATTGCTAGATCATATGCTAGCTCAAATTTTAGTTTTTTTGAGGAATCTCCAAACCGTTTGCCATAGTGGTCATACTAATTTATATTGCCACCAACAGTGTATGAGGGTTCTCTTCTCTATATCCTCACCAGCCTTTGTTATTGCCTGTCTTTTGGATAAAAGCCATTTTAACTTTTATGGGGTTGTATGGTCTCTCATTGTGGTCTCAATTTGCATTTCTCTGATGGCCAATGAGTTGGGAATCTTTTCATATACCTCTTTGCCTTTTGTATATTTTCTTTTGAGAAATGTCATCATATCTTTTGCCTGTTTTAAAATCAGATTATTAGATATTTTCCTATAGAGTTGTTTGAGCACCTTATATATTCTGGTTAATTAGTTTGCAAAAATTTTCTCCCATTCTGTGGGTTGTCTTTTCATTTTGTTGATTATTTCCTTTGCTGTGCAGACGCCTTTTAACTTGATGTGATCCCATTTGTCCATTTCTGCTTTGGTTTCCTGTGCTTATGGGGTATTACTTAAGAACTAATTGCCCAGTCCAGTGTCCTAGAGAGTTTCCCCAATGTTTTCTTTTATTAGCCTCATAGTCTGAAGTATTGGATTTAAGTCTTTGATCCACTTCAGTTCGATTTTTGCACATAATGAGAGAGAGGGGTCTAGTTTCATTCTTCTGCATATGGATGTCCAGTTTTCCCAGTACTGTTTATTGAAGAGATTGTGCTTTACCCAATGTATCATCTTTGCAATTTTGTCAACAATTAGTTCACAGAATGTTGCGGGAAGTCAGGAACCCCGAACAGAGGGACCTGCTGAAGCCATGGCAGAAGAACATAAATTGTGAAGATTTCATGGACATTTATTAGTTACCAAATTAATACTTTTATAATTTCTTACACCTGTCTTTACTGCAATCTCTGAACATAAATTGTGAAGATTTCATGGACACTTATCACTTCCCCAATCAATACCCTTGTGATTTCCTATGCCTGTCTTTACTTTAATCTCTTAATCCTGTCATCTTGTAAGCTGAGGAGGATGTATGTCGCCTCAGGACCCTGTGATGATTGCGTTAACTGCACAAATTGTAGAGCATGTGTGTTTGAACAATGTGAAATCTGGGCACCTTGAAAAAAGAACAGGATAACAGCAATGTTCACAGAACAATTGACTAGACAAGTAAGTGTACTTACTATTACCAGTGAATTTTCCACCTTCAGATGATTTCTTGTTCCAATTGAAGTCCTTTTCTTTCAGATTGGAGAACTACTTTTAGCATTGCGTGTTAGACGGGTCTGGTGTTGATGAAATCCTCCAGCTTATGTTAGTGGGGAAAGTCTTTATTTCTTCTTCATGTTTGAAGGATATCTTTGCTGGATATACTATTGTAGAATAAAAGTTTTTTTACTTCCACACTTTAAATATCTCAGGTCACTCTCCTCTGGCCATAAGGTTTCCACTGAAAAGTCTGCTGCCAGACATATTGGAGCTTCATTGTATACTAGTTGTTTGTTTTGTTTTTTCTCTAGCTCTTTTAGGATCCTTTCTTTATCCTGAATCTTTGGGTGTTTGACTATTGATATAGTCAGGCTTTGAGTCCCCACCCAAATCTCATCTTGAATTATAATCCCCATAACCCCCATAATCCCCACATGTCAAGGAAGAGACCAGGGGGAGGTAAATGAATCATGGGGGCAGTTTTCCCTATGCTGTCCTTGTGATAGTGAATGAGTTCTCATGAGATCTGATGTCTGATGGTTTTTGTTGTGTTGTTGTTGTTGTTGTTTTTTTTTTTTTTTTTTTTTTTTTAGACAGAGTCTCACTCTGTCACCCAGGCTGGAGTGCACTGGCATGATCTTGGCTCACTGCAACCTCCACCTCCTGAGTTCAAGTGATTCTCATGCCTCAGCCTCCCAAGTAGCTGGGACTACAGGTGCCCACCACCATGCTAATTTTTGTATATTTAGTAGATATGGGGTTTCACCATATTGGCCAGGCTGGTCTCGAACTCCTGACATTGTGATCCGCCTGCCTTGGCCTCCCAAAGTGCTGGGATTACAGGCATGAGTCACCGCGCCTGGCTAATCTGAGGGTTTTGTAAGGGGCTTTTCCCCCTTCACTCAACACTTTTCCTTCAGTTCACCTTGTGATGAAGGTGCCTTGCTTCCCCTTCACCTTCCATCATGATTGTAAGATTCCTGAGGCATCCCCAGCCATGCTGAACTGTGAGTCAATTAAACCTCTTTCCTTTATAAATTACCCAGCCTTGGTCAGTTCTTTATAGCACTATGAAAATTGAGCAATACAGTAAATTGGTACCACAGAGAGTGAGATGCTGCTCTAAAGATACCCCAAAATGTGAAAGCTACTTTGGAACTGGGGAACAGGCAGAGGTTGGAACAGTTTGGAGGGCTCAGAAGAAGAAAGGAAGATGTGGGAAAGTTTGCATCTTCCTAGAGACTTGTTGAATGGCTTTGACCAAAATGCTGATAGTGATATGGACAATGAAGTCCAGGCTGAGGTGGTCTCAGATAGAGATGGGAAACTTGTTGGGATCTGGAATAAAGGTGATTCTTGCTATGCTTTAGCAAAGAGACCAGTTGCATTTTGCCCCTTCTCTTTAGATCTGTGAAACTTTGAACTTGAGAGAGAGATTTAGGGTATCTGGGGGAAGAGATGTTTAAGCAGCAAAGCTTCCAAGAGGTGACCTGGGTGCTCTTAAAATCACTCAGTTTCATACATTCACAAATAGATGTTTTGGAATTGGAACTTCCATTTAAAAGGGAAGGAGAGCATAAAAGTTTGAATAATTTGCAGTCTGATGATGTGACTGAAAAGAAAAACCCATTTTCTGAGGAGACATTCAAGCTGGCTGCAGAAATTTGCATAAGTAATAAGAAGCCAAGCATTAATCACCAAAACAATGGGGAAAATGTCTCCAGGGCATGTCAGAAGTCTTCACAGCAGTCCCTCCCATCACAGGCCTGGAGGCCTAGGCAGAAAAAATGTTTTCGTGGGCTGGGGCCAGGGCCTTGCTGCATTGTGCATTCTTGGGACTTGGTGTCCTGCATCCCAGCTGTGGCTAAAAGTGGCCAACATAGAGCTGAGGCTGTTGCTTCAGAGGGTGCAAACCCCAAGCCTTGGCAGCTTCCACATGGAGTAGGGCCTGTGGGTACTCAGAAGTCAAGAATTGGTGTTTGGGAACCTCTGCCTAGATTTTAGAGACCATATGGAAAGCCTGGATGTCCAGGCAGAAGTTTGACGCAGGGGTGGAGCCCTCATGGAGAACCTCTGCTAGGGCAGCACAGAAAGGAGATGTGGAGTCGGAGGCCACACACTTGGAGGCACTGCCTAGTAGAGCTGTGAGAAGAGGACCATCGTCCTCCAGACACCAGAATGGTAGATCCACCGACAGATTGTATTGTGCATGTGGAAAAGTGGCAGACACTCAACGCCAGTCTGTGAAAGCAGCTGGAAGTGAAGCTGTACCCTGCAAAACCACATGAATGGAGCTGCCTAAGACCATGGGAACCCACCTCTTCCATCAGCATGACTTGGGTGTAAGACATGAAGTCAAAAGAAATCATTTCAGATCTTTAAGATTTGATGGCCCTATTGGATTTCAGACTTGCATGGGACCTGTAACCCCTTCATTTTGGCCAATTTCTTCTATTTGGAACGGGTGTATATACCCAACGCCTGTACCCCCACTATATCTAGACAGTAACTAACTTGCTTTTGATTTTACAGGTTCATAGGCAGAAGGGACTTACCTTGCCTCAGGTAAGACATTGGACTTGGAATTTTGGGTTGAAGGTGGAATGAATTAAGACTGGTTTTGAAAGGTGAAAGGGACATGAGAGTTGGGAGGGACCAGGGTTGGAAAGATATGGTTAGGTTTTGTATCCCCACTCAAATTTCATCTTGCATTGTAATTCCTATAATCCCTATCATCCCCACATGTCAAGGGAGAGACCAGGTGGAAGTAATTGAATCAGGGGAGAGGTTTCCTCCATGCTGTTCTCATGAAAGTGAGTGAGTTCTCATGAAATCTGATGGTTTTATAAGGGGCTCTTCCCTCTTCGTTCAGCACTTCTCCTTGCCATCTTGTGAAGAAGGTGCCTTGCTTCCCCTTTGCCATTCACTGTGATTGTAAGTTTCCTGAGCCTTCCCCAGCCATGCTGAACTGTGAGTCAATTAAACGTCTTCCCTTAATAAATTACCCAGTCTTGGGTAGTTTTTTATAGCAATATGAAAATGGGCTAATACAAGTATTAAATGTCTCCAGGTGATCTTCTTTGGGTTAAATCTGCCTTGTGTTTTATAATCTTCTTGTGCTTGAGTATTGTATCTTTCCCTATCTAGGTTTGGGAATTTTTCTGTTATTATTCCTTTGAATAAACCTTCTACCCCTATCTCCCTCTCTACCTCCTCCTTAAGGCTAAACACTCTCAGGTATACCATTTTGAGGCTATGTTCTAGATATTATATGCATGCTTCACTCTTTTAATTCTTTTTTCATTTGTCTCCTTTGACTATGCATTTTCAAGTAGCCTGTTTTTGAGCTCATTAATTTTTTTCTGCTTGAACAGTCTGCTATTAAGAGACTCTGAATGCATTCTTCTGTATGTCAATTATATTTTTCAGTTCTAGAATTTTAGCCTGATGCTTGAAAATTATTTCAATATTTCCATTAATTTATCTGATAAGATTTTGAATTCCTTATTTGTGTTATCTTAAATTCGGTTGAGTTTTCTCAGAACAATTATTTTGGGTTCTCTGTCTAAAAGGTCACACATCTCTGTTTCTCCAAGATTGGTCTCTAGTGCCTTATTTAGTTTATTTCGTGTTGTCATGTTTTCTTGATTAGTCTTCATGCTTGTGAATATCCACCAGTGTCTGCATGTTGAAGACTTCAGTATTCATTGTAGTCTTCACAGTCTGAGTTTGTTTGTACCCATGCTCCTTAGGAAGGTTTTTCAGCTATTCAAGGGAACTTGAGTGCTATAATCTAATTTTAGGTCACTGTAGCCATATCTGAATTAGAGGGCACCTCCAGCCCAATAATGCTGTGGCTCTTGCAGACTCAAAAAGGTACCACCTTGATGGTCTTGACAAAGACCTGGAAGAATTCCCTTGACTACCAGGCAAAGACTCTTGTTCTTTTCCCTTACTCTCTCCCAAACAAACAGAGTTTCTCTCTGTGCTGAGCTGCCTGGAGCTGTGGGGGATGACACAAGCACCTCCATGGCCACCACCACTGGTATTGTGCTGGATCAGACCTGAAACCAGCACAGCATTGTATTTTGCCCAAGTCCCATGGTAACCACTTTCTGGCTACCACCTATGTTCACTCAAGGGCCTAGGTCTCTACAATCAGCAGGTGTCAAAGCCAGCCAGGCTCATGTCCTTCCTTTGAGGACAGTGAGTACCCCCTGCCCTGGGTCCAGAAATGCCATCTGGGAGCAAATGAAAGTTACCTTGGAAATCTTAGGAACCTACTTGCTGCTCTATTCTACTGCAGCTGAGCTGGCACCCAAGCCACAAGACAAAGCCCTTCCTGCTCTTCCCTCATCTTTCCACAAGCCAAGTAGTCTTTTTCCATGGCCACTACTGCACCAGGACCATGGTGAGTACTATCAGGCTACCACTGATGTTCACTCAAGGCCCAAGGGCTCTTTAGTCAGCTTGTGGTAAATGTTGCCTGGCCTGGTACTCTCCCTGCAGGGCAATGGGCTTCTCTCTGGCCAAAAACAGGTCCAGAAATGCCATGCAAGAACCAAAGCCTAACACTGGAGACCCTAAGAGCCTGCCTGGTGCTCTACTCAACTGTGGCCGAGCTGGTACCTAAGCTGCAAGACAAAGTTCCCTTATTCTTCCCTCTCCTTTTCTCAAATAGAAGTGTTCTCTCTCAATAGCCAGCACAGCTGGGAACGTGCTATGTTGAACCTGAAGCCAGCACATCTCTGAGTCTCCCCCAAGGCCCACAGAAAGTACTGCCTGGCTATCACGGCTGACTATTCAGGGCCCAAGGGCTCTTTAGTCAGTAGATGATGAATCCTGCAGACTTGGTCTTTTCCTTCAAGGCAGCAAGTTCCCTTCTGACCCAGGACGTGCCATTTGGGAGCTAGGACCAGGAATGGGACCTCAGTACTCTACCCAGTACACTATACTACTGCGGCTGAGCTGTATTCAAGTTGTAAGACAAAGTCCTCTTTACTCTTTTTGCCCTCTTCTCAAGTGGAAGGAAGGAGTCTCTTTCGAAGCTGCAAATTTTTCTGCCTTGGTTTGGGGACAGGTGATGCACACACTTTCTTGGTTTTCCTGGCTGGCATCTCACTGGGTCATGTGACCACCAAGTTCGTGGTTCTGAGCTCAGCGCTGCATCAGGACTTGCCAAGAAATTGCAGTACCTGTGGCCTAGACTGCCTTTCAGATTTATTCAGAACACCAGAGCACTTTTGCCCACAGTGGCAATGCTTGCCAGAACTCAGGTTCCAACCACTGGGATGGGTGATTCCCCTCTGGCTAGGGCTTGTCTAAATGCTCCTTCTGTGGGTGCCGACTGAGTTCTGCCTTGTGTTGCTTTCTGCTGTGACAGGATAGCACTGAGTTCCAACACAAAGCTCCACAATTTCTGCACTCTCCCATCCCTAAGGGCAAACATTCTCTCTTCCTGCCACAAAGGCACTGCCCAGAGGATGGGCTTTGGGTGGCATCAGTGATTCAAGACTATCTTTCCTATGCTCTTCAGGGCCTCTTTCCAAGATATGAAGTTAAACCAGGTATTGTAATCATTCATCTGATGTTTTTGTTTTATGAAGGTGCTTTTTTTGTGTGGATAGTTGTTCATTATTGTGTTCCTGCAGAGAGGACAATCAGTGGAGGCTTCTTCCCAGTCATCTTGCTCTGTCTCCCAAATTATTGTTAACTATAGTCACCCTATTGTGCTGTCGAATACCAGATTGTATTCTTTCTATCTAACTGTATAATTGTACCCACTAACCAAACCTTCCTTACTACCTTTCCCTGCTTCTGGTAACCATAATTTTACTGTATCTTCATGAGATCAATATTTTTAGTTCTCACATGATATTTGTCTTTCTATGCATGGCTTATTTCACTTAACATAATCACTTCTGCTTGTTGCTCATGTTGTTGCAAATGACAGAATCTCATTGTTTATGGCTGAATAATATTCCATTGTGTATATGCTCAAGATCATTAATGATAAGAAACTGCAAATCAAAACCACAATGAGATATCATCTCACCCCAGTTAAAATGGCTTTTATCAAAAAGACAAAAAAGAATGCATGCTGATGAGGATGTAGAGAAAAAGGAATGTTTGTACACTGTTGGTGGGAATGTGAATCAGTACATCCACTGTGGAAAACAAAAAACTATGCAGGTTCTTCAAAAAACTAAAAATAGAACTACCATAGGAACTAGCAATTTCACTGCTGGATATTTATCCAAAAGAAAGCAAATCAGTATATTGAAAAGATGTTGGCACCCCCATGTTCATTCCAGTACTATTCATAATAGCCAAGACATGGAATCACCCTAAGTGTCTAACAATAGATGAATGGACAAAGAAGACTAATCATTTTTAATTTATATTCTACCTAATTCCCTAACCCATGTTAATTTGAAGTGAATTTTAGACATGAGATCATTGCATCTCTTTTGTCAGTATATATCTCTAAAAAATAAGGCCTCTTTTTCTTTTACAAATAACCACAATGAAATTATCACCTCTTTAAAAATTAGCAATATTTCCTTAATATTCTTAACTATCAAGTCAGTGTTGAAATTTCTAAATGCCTTATACTTTGTACTTAATTAAATTAATTAATTTATTGCAGTTTGTTTGAATTAGAATCCAAATGAGATCTACACGTTACAACTTGTAACTGTGTCTTTTTGTATTGTTTTGTTTTGTTTTGTTTTTTGAGACAGGGTCTTGCTCTGTTGCCCAGGCTGGGGTGCAGTTGCATGATGATCTCGGCTCACCACAACCTCTGCCTCACAGATTCAAGTGATTCTCCTACCTCATCCTCCCAAGTAGCTGGGACTACCAGCATGCACCATCATGCCCAGCTAATTTTTCATATTTTTAGTAGAGATGGGGTTTTGCCATGTTGGCCAGGCTGGTCTTGAACTCCTGGCTTCAAGTGATTCTCCTGCCTTGGCCTTCCAAAATGCTGGAATTACAGCCATGAGCCACCATGCCTGGCCTGTATTTTTTATCCTATGTATTTACTGACTTTCTCTTTTCTCCTAATACATTTGTTAAATAAAATGTATTATTTATTCTGTAAATTTCCCCCCAGTTTGGGATTGCTGATTTTATCCCCATTTAACATACCCTTATTGTTCTGTATTTCCTATATTGAATATTGAGATTCTTACTTTAGGTTTGAAGTTTTGGTAAGACTGCATTACAGATGATATATTCTTCCAACCAGAGGACTGTAAGTGTCTGGCTGCTTCTCTTTTAGTGATATTCAATGTTTAAATCCATTCACTGCTTATAATCATTTGCTTAAATCCATTATGGCAAAATGATTATACTTGATCAGCCCTTCATTTATTAACTATTATACTTCTGTGAAACTTTCCATTTTTTTTTTGCTCAATAATGCAGTTAAGATAAAAAGGCATACTAACTGCTTGTTTTCTTCCCCTTCATTTACCAGTGTTAAAATCAAATGTTAGTTTATTGACATCCACAGTTCCCCTGTCTGAACATCATGTGAATGTAAATTTCTTCTTACTCCTCTGTAATCAATCCATTGAGTTTCTATGGTGTCGCAACCACCATCTTTAGAAGATCTGCTCATTGTAAAATTATAAATATATAATTCTGGAAAACTAAATCCAGAAAGAATCATCCTTGACATTGTTTGTTTCGGTGGGTTTGAGAAACTGGAATATTTTTAGTGTTCTGAAACCATATCTGTTTAATTTTTAGCCAATATTTAAGAATAATACAGAGATATTTAGCATGAAAATTTGACTAGCCTAGATTATTTAAAGTTACTGTGTAAGTCCTACTAACACAAACTGTGGGGGTCCGTTGTGCAGACCCTGACCCAGTGATGGATGAATAATGTACACTGACACAGATATTATGCTTGTCAGTCCAGCTGAGAGTCCGGGCCACTTACAGACTCCTAGGAGAGTGCTGTAACAAGCCTGGACTGGCTGGCTCTCCTGGCATTTATTCAGCACACATTAAATGACAAATGCTTTGAGTCAGCACCGTTAGAGGGTAATCAACCTGGTCGCCTTCTCCTGCTCCTCCCCTTCCCCCCAAAGAGAGCAATCATGCACCCACATGGGCAAAGGTTACTCTTAGAACCACTTAGTAAACAAGCTATTTAGGTAGACTCCTCTACATTCCTATGTTAATTACCCTTGCTATAGCTCAAAGAGGATTATCCATAACTCTATCCTGAGGCTTTTGCAAAAAACTTTTGGCCTTCCAAGAAGGTTTGTGTTTTATTTTATAATTTTCCCCACCATCCTGACTGAAGCCCTACAACAAATCTTAGGTTAAATAAGTTAAAAAATTAACACTACATTTGGATCAAATTATATTTTAACCATTCTTTCATACAACAACAATAGGCCTGAAAATAGTTTTTATGGCTTCACAGATTAGTAATGGGAAGAAGTCTTGCATTTCGGAATTTTAAGGAACTTTTGGACGCTTGGAGACAATATAGTTAGTCTATGTTAAGCAGTAACTCTCGAGAAATAAACAAGGGTAAATGCTATGTTGACATTGTGATTGATCCTCCATTTATAAACATGTCGGTGGGTGGAAAAGGGGAGTGGATGGGTAGTGTTAATTAAAACTAGCTCTAGATGCTTTCTTTCCTGGCACAAGAACAGGATTCTAGCTGGGGAGAAGGGGGTTTGAAAAGGGGAGGGGAAGTGATAAGTTGGTATAATTCTTAACATGACTGAAAAAATAATTTGGGCAATGATTGATAGGGGTGCTTTATATATCTCAAATACCACTAAAGAAACTTCCTTATTTACGTTTGCAAAGTACTTTAGAATTTCATGTTGACCAAACCTACCATGTAGGAAACTACCTTCCCTGTGATGTTGTTATTTTGTTTTTGGCCCTAAACAAACAAAAACAAAAACAGAAAAGAAACCCTTCAGCTTTGTGGTTGCTATGAAACTATTCTGGAACAACAGTGTGGTCCTTTCCGTTATCTTTCCCATCCTTCTTTTCCTCCACCCTTCCTCCTCCATCATTTTGTAGGCAGCATGTGCCTACAAGTAAGATAAAGTGAAGAAGCAAAAGGAAGAAATATAACTCAAAATATCCCACTGATCTTGAACAATAGCACTTTCAAGACATTATATAGAGTTTTCTTGTTATCTAATGAGACTTAATCTTAGGCCAGTAATAGAGAATAGTACAAATCTGTGACATTTTCACAACACTTTGGTTTAAAAATTTGAATACTCTTTAGTCATTTCCTGTTACATAAGATGGATATGATTTGAGTTCCTCAGATTCTTTTTTTTTTTTTCTAGAGGAAAAGGCCTGATGTGTCATGTGTAAGTCAGGTGGTATCTTCTTACAATTAAATTTCCTTCCTCCCTGTTGACATATGTATCGCCTGAAAGTCTCTTGATTAGATGAGACCTCATGGAGACCACAGATGCCGTGGCATTAAATCAGGAACCTACCTTGTCATGTGGATAATTGTAGGATTTAAAGAGTCTTTAAAAAATAGATCAAAGAGCTCTTATACCAAAACACCTTACAGCATTTGGTGGCCTGTTTAATATTTTTATTGCAGGTCACTTGGGTTATTGGGTTAATATTGCTCTTTCAGATTTGTAGAAGATTCTGTAAATGACACACAGTACTATGAGTCAATGGTCTCTAATCTTAACCTCACAGTACAATCTCCTGAGGCACTTTTTAAGTATGCCAATGCCCACCCTAGACCAATTAAGTCTGAATCTCTGAGGGTAAGGCTTGGAAATTGTTACTTAATAAAATTCCCAGGTGATTCTAACATGTAATTAAAATTAGAAGGTACCGCCTTAAGGAAAAAAGGCCAGAAATAAGTATAATCCATGAAAGCACAAACCAATGTTGGTAGGTCTAGAAATTTCTGTTTTTTTCTTTAATAGCATTATTTTCCATTCTATTCTGTTTATAGCCTCTTTGTGGATAGTTCTTTATTTCTTTCTGTAGTAAAAAACAATTGGATTTTCAATGTCTTTCAGAATTCTGTTTTTAAATAGATCCAATAACTTAAGTAAACTATTTGAATAATAAAAAGTGGCTTATGTTCATTGAAGTGCATCAGTACAGAATTGGAAGTAACATAAACTTCCAGTAATGGCTTGGCTTTTCCCATTACATAGTCAACCTGGTAAATCTAAATTTATGGAACATTTGTATCTAGTAGGTGACAAAATTGCTTTGCAAATGATTGCTTTTTTTGTTGTTGAAAAAGCAATGGATACAAATTGTGCAACCCTAGGTGGCCTGAAGCTCATTCATATTTTAGAGTTAGTATGTGCCTCAGCATACCTATAGAATTGGACCCCTATGAAATTGATGCAATAACCCCTAAAACTTAAAAAGTTCATTTCCTTTCTAAAAAGCTCACTCTTGATATACAGAATCTATGGAGAGTTTTTCTGAAGGGTTTTTGAGTATGCATTTTCATTTGATAATAGCATCTTAAAAAAATTAATGTTTGTGGGTACACAGTAGGTGATATTAGCATTTTAAAATAGGATATTAATGCTATAGAAAATTCCAGTTGTAAAGATATTATGAACCAACAGTTTAACCAATGGTGTTGATTTCTGGATCCCCTGATAGTAATTGATTGACTAAGAGCATCAATGATAGCCATATATTGTTATTATTGACCAAAATTAAGTTTTAACACACTTTTCCTCTCTGATAACCCTGGCTGACTTTGGTTCTGGATAATGGCTGCTGCTGGAGATACTTCTCTTACATTTTCTACAATCCCTTATTTACCAGAGTTCCAGATTCCTGGTGGAGTATAATTATTACAGCTAATAAAGTATCTGTAACACATTTGAGAAGCAGTGGTTCATTGCATTCTCCTATAGTTTTTATTTTAAACAAAAGTTAAAATTTCATTGTATAAGATTAATGTGGTGATCAGGTTCAGAAATTTATTTTTCCCCATAAGCATTCAGTTATATTTAGTATTAAGAGTTAATGTATTCCTAGTTAGCTTTTGCAGAAAAGTGACATAGTATTTTTCAGAATACACACTAGGTAGGACTGTTTAATCACTAAAAAACTAATGACGGCCATCTGACAAAGATTTCCTCAACATTTACCCCCTCTGAGTTGACATTTAGATATTGTGGCATAGGTCTTTGTGGTACTTTCTTAAATAATCTTAGTAGCAGTTCACTCTGTTAAAGATATAGATAGCATTTACATTTGAAGTTGCAAATACACAGATGGGCCATTAACAATAGCAAGTTTTATTGACTCATAAGCATCTTTGCAGTGTTAAGGTAGTTTGTTTAATGTTACAGTAGAGCAATAGGGTCATTACTGTTGTTAGAAATCTTAAAAGTCTTTTATTAAAAATTTTACTAAAATATATTAATTATACAACTTTTCTCAAACTCCTAACTAGTGAAAATCTGAAATGGCTACTGAACTCAGTTTTTGTGACTCAGGTCTCTGTACATTTGGCTATACTTTCAAAACCCTGGGACACATTTTAGAAGGTATGCATACCTGTGTCGCAGGTTCAACCAATTGAAATGGAATCATAGGAGTGTAGTTTGGGAATATATATTTTCTTAAAAATTTCCCCAGTTGATTCTAATGCATTGTGGTGATTGAGACCTATGTGTTATTCACATTTCACACCAGATTGTCTCTTCAATATAAGACCAATATCTCACCTGAATGGTGTTTCTATTTTATATATTTGACTCTCTAAACTGGCCAATATCTAAGTTGACTAATGCCATCAATAACAGTCTTAAATGAAATTGAAGCTTACGTGGTAACGAAATGGATGATCACATTTGTTTGCATCCCACAGATGGCCAGAAGCTCAACATATTTCTTTGTGGAATCTTCTATTTGGTTTGCTTCAGCAGAGTGAAAGCATTTTAGCAAATGAATCTCACAGGAAACGGAAAGAGTGGCTTCAAATTTGTCAATATGCTGCAAAACGTCATTTTAATGTTGGGGTCTATTTTTTTCCAGGATATAGAATGTGTCAGTAGCTTAGTCATTTGCTTTGTGAGAGCTGTTGAAAAGCTTTCTCTTTTTTTCAACAATGTCACTTATCCATTGCCAGAGGATGTTGGAGATTTGTAGAACTTTCTAATGCAGTAGTTTTATTGCTTCAGAATCTATGATTTGATACTGCCAACATAAATCACTGAAGCACGTAATTACAGGAATGAAGAGAGAAGAAAAGACAGGAGCACAAAGGGAAAACCAACACAAACATTGCATCATGTTGAATCACAGCATCTCAGAATGCATGGAGTAAACATTTTTATTCTGTGCAGAAATTGCTCCTCATCTCTATATTTCCATTAGATACTTTTTTCCCAAGAAGGATTAACTAATTATAACCTCTGAGAATTTAGATACTATAAAAATGACATGTCTGACATCTTATTTCTTCACATTTTAAGAAGACCTTAAAAGGCTGTCTTAAGAAAAGTATTGCCTGTGTTTCTTAATTATGAAAAATTAAAATTAGGTATTAGTTTTATAAATGATAACCAATTATATAAGTTAATGAGTACTCTATGATTTAAAGCATTTAAAAAAATGCTTTAAAGTTTATTTTGCCCATTAAAATTCCTTACTAGAATCATCATTTATCTAGAAATAATTCCAAATATTCAAAAATGATTTCTAGATTCTAAAGTTAATGACATTTTCATTTCTGATATATTTTAAAATAAATTATTGCCTCTAATACCATTAAGACACTAAGTTCAGAGAATATTTATTTAACATCTACTAAGTATAAAACATTATAATTTCTAGAAGGCATGTGAGAGTACCTTTGGAAGCTCCCCATCTAGTGGTGATAATGGACATATGCAGAGCAACATGCAATATAATACAAACCATAGTAAGCACTGGAATAGAGGTCGTCATAAAATACTATGGGATGTGGATGTCCTTTGAGGGCAGTGTATTAGATCCCAATATGTAAGATACTAGCTCTGGACAGATTCGGAAATGGTCAGTAATTGCATCCAAAATATTTGCATGTTTATTTATGTATTCATATTACTGATTCATTTAACAAACATTTGTGTCAGCATTGTGTTAGAGATATCAAGATTGTGTTATAGAGATATATAAGATGTTCTATTCTGAAATAGCTCAGAGTTTTCTGTGTGATGCAGACAGTATGAAGACGCCTATTATGTGATGTTAACATTATTGACAGTCACAGAATTAGACGTGAAAGGTGGGGAAAAGAACAGTTAATTGTTGTAACCATATGAGACAAAGTACCCTTCTTGGTTCTTGTGTAATTGAACAGCATGTTCACATTCTTAAAAAGTATATACAAACATCTTCATAAAAATAAATCATCATGATTCACTTACATTTGGTGAAAAAGTGTGTTGAATATGAGACTACATTTTAATGTCTAAATGTGGTCTTATTTCCCAATCTTCACAACTTTAGTTCCTTTGTGAATATTTGCAGCCTTTAAATGTTGACTAAACAGAGTGTGGTTAGGTAAAATAGCAAGGGCTAACTAATGCCATCTTCTATTTTATCCTCCGGTTCTTTCAAACACCATTCTCTCTCTCTCTCTCTCTCTCTCTCTCTCTCTCTCTCTCTCTCTCACACACACACACACACACACACACACAAAGACACACATCAGAAAAAAAAAAAAGAAAATCAAAGACCTATCAGAGGGTCATGGAAATCTAGGAATTCCAGAACGTTGTCCTGTGTTCTGGACAGGACAAATAAACTCAGAGAGGAGGCAGTGTTAGAGGAAAACAGTAACTTTTTTTTCTGTCTCTGGTGTTTTCACTTTTTGGGCTCTACCCTGTTGCAGCTTATGAGCCTCAATTATATAGGCATTTTCACTGTGTTGCAATATACACGTTCTTTAAAACCTTGTATGCTACAAAATTACATACTAAAAATGATAAAACTTGAGGGAAAAAAAAGTTAAAAACAGACAACTCAGAATCTATGGAGTGTTGTAACCAGAGCCCCAATGAACATAATACTAACCCCAATAAAAATACTAGCACAGTTAAGAAGACATTTTTAATTTCTTAAAAATAAATAATTATAACAATAAGGCAGGACTGTGTCTTGAAAAAAAAGCGACAGTAGCTCATTGGAATGAAGGGTAAGGAAGAGTTGAAGCTGCTGAGTTATAGAAACAGAGAAAAAAAACCTTCCAAATTGACCACCATACAATAAAAATTCCCTGGACAGAGCACCTGACTGAATTGAACCAAGAAGATTGGAGGTGAATGGGCATCTGGGGACATATTGTACATTCATGACTTGTTATGTTCAACTCGATTTGAATATTTTCTGTTCAATTGCTGTTATTTATGGGACAAAATCCTAACTGGAAAAAATAATACATTTGAACCAATGCAACTTCAGCTTTAATTAAGATTAATTTGACTATTCATCTCAGATTGATCAGGGCATGTGAGCTGATTTGCAATCAAAAACTGTTGTACCAGGAAGTCTACTATTGCACTATTTCTCTTGCGTGGACATCTAGGTTACACAGACCCTTTTCACTTTGCTTTTTACAGGTCTTGATAGATCTTCAATATTTCCTAGCAATTTGATCCTGCCACTTCTTGTCCACTTCCTTTTTGGAGATATTGACCTTTGTAAGTGAGATTGTGGTCTGTGTTTAAATCAGATGAACTCTTTAGAAACTGGGTTGTAAGCCCTTTCTTAAGGCTGGTAATTCTATTTCACTTAAGTCAAAAAATGAAAGATGCTGGTGGTTGTGGAGAAAAATGAACAATTATTCACTCTTGGTGGGAATGTAAATTAGTTCAGCCATTGTGAAAGACAGTGTGATAATTCCTCAAAGACCTAAAGGCAGAGATACCATTTCACCCAGCAATCCCATTACTGGGTATATACCCAAAGGAATATAAATCATTCTATCATAAAGACACATGCATGTATATTTTCATTATAGCATTCACAATAGCAAAGACATGGAATCAGCCTAAATGCCCATCAATAATAGACTGGATAGAGCAAATATGGTACTTATAGACCATGGAATACTATGCAATCATAAAAAAGAACAGGATCATGTCCTTTGCAGGAACATGGGTGGAGCTGGAGGCCATTATCCATAGCAAACTAACATAGAAACAGAAAACCAAATATGGTATGTTCTCACTTATAAGTGAGAGCTAAATGATGAGAACACATGAACTCATAAAAGGGAACAACACACACTTACCTGAGGGTGGAGTGTGGGAGGAGGGAGAGAATCAGGAAAGATAACTAACGGGTACTAGGCTTAATAAGTGGGTGACGAAATGATCTGTACAAAAAACTTCCATGACACAAGTTTACTTATGTAACAAACCTGCACTTGTACTTCTGAACTTAATAAAAGTAAAAAATAAAGAAAAGCAAGGGGAGATTTCTTTCCCCTTCCTCCCCAAGGAATGAAGATTAGTATGTTTAACATTTTTCATAGCATAAAAAAAATCAGAGTATTAGTAAGCCTACAGAGTCATCGAAATTACAGTCTCCTGATTTTAGGTTGCGATTTGTCAGGAAAACTTTCTGATTTTGGAATCAATATTTGCCATTAAGTAAACACAATATGTTTTGGTTCTGGTATACCCATGATCCTGTGCCTAATTTTGTGTCAGGAACTTTTATAGTCAAAGGGTCAGGAAATTGAGTTGTGGAGGAATAATTTTGGAGAATATTAAGGACCATGGCAATTATCAACCAAATGATTGCAAGAGATAAAGAAATGCAGTTTAACTCAATGACCTAGGTATTTTTGGAGATAATGAAGTGTTTGGGGTTTTTGAAGTACTGAAATATTTTCCTTCATGATCTTCTTCAATTTGCAAATGTTAAGAAGGTATTGTCAGCATTCTGTGTTGCTATGCTTACAGGTGTTCATAGAAAACAGAGCTGCATAATGATCAAATTGTTGAATACACTTAATCGGAGGTAATCTATTTTATCATTGTAAATCCTTGCAGCTCCACAATGCTTCAGTCTTGGGGATAACTCTGATTGATTTTTTTTTCTTCCTTGGCCTTGATAACCACAGACAAGTATTGTTTTACTAATCCAAGATACTATAAAAGTTCTCCAGGCTAACTTGTTTCTACTATTATCTTGATTATTACAATGATAGATTTTACTTGTTTAATATTTTAATTATATCTTTGAAAATATAAAGCAATTTGGATTTAAAATAAAAATCCTGATTCCCTTTCACCCTCCACTCTGCTAAAATGATGCTTTGTCAAAGAAAGAGCCCATATGGCACTTAATGGTCTTTCCACTTACACAGCTAATGTTTAAAACCTGTAAACTCTATAGTCAAAAAGCTTAAATCATTTTCACTGTGTTCATAGTTAAAGATTTTATTGGTTTCTTCGGTGGCCTGTTCCACACACTAATAGTCTGCCATCTGAGGAAAGTTTTTCTTACTTCCCAAGCTCTTACTCTTACCTTAGTCAATAGTAACATTTTCATATTTCACTATCCAATTTTGTGACGTTCATTTGTGTGAATTTTCAAATACTCTCATCATCTACATTTCTTTTAAGGCAATAGACATTAAATTAACCTCACCTTTCTGAAATGGTTGTAATCTTTTATTAGCTTAGAGGCTCTTTATAAGATTTGATTTTTAAAGAATTAATCAAGCAATGTTTAGAGTACCAAGTGTACCCATAAGTCTTCTCATTCCATCACATCTCTTCAGTTATAAAATGTTACAAAATATCACGTGAATTAATACTTTGCCAGGATGTAATGAAGACTCTTGTTAAACACCAAGAACATTCACTAAGGGACATCTAAAAATTTTATTCTCCAAAATCTTTTTTTCAAATGTCTGAATTAATTTGTTTCAGAAGTCTACTATTTAGAAACCGAAAAGAGTAAGTCACTTTGCTCTCTTGCCGCAGCAGTTTCTCCATATATCCAGATCATTCTCATTACCATAAAATTCTTCCTTAACATTGTTCATCTTTAAAATTTCAAAACACTAAACCTTCCCTTGACCTTACATTTTATTATAATCACTGCTCCACTTCTCTGTTCCCCTTCAGAGAAACTCCTTGAAGGAATTGCCTTTATGCATTTCTTCACATCTCATTTTTTCTCGACCTATTTAAATCAGGCTGTCCTTCCCTCTTCTTCCATTGAAAGTTCTCACAAATGACCCGCATCTTGCCAAAAGGAATTACCAATCACTTGTCCTCTTCTTACTTGGCCTTTCTGTAGTTTTGACAGTTTGACCATCCTTTACTTCTTGAAATGTTTAATTTCATTTCTAGGCTCACCTAGTCTGCTTTCTACTTTGCTAGTGCATTCACTGGCTACTTTTCTATCTGAACTTTAAATTTTGGCATTTCCCAGGCTTTATTCTTGGTCCTCTTATTTTCTGTATTTATGTTACCTCCTTAGGTGATGCACTGAGTTTTATGACATCAAATAGTATCTATCTGCCAATGTACCTCATATTTGTATCTCATGCTTGAGTATTGGCCTTTTTATCTCAACTTCTTGGTTTGGATGTTGAACTGAATCTCAAACATATTTCCAAAATGGAACACATGATTTCCAACACCCAAATCTGCTTTCTCCCATGTAACCTCTTTTCCATATTCCATCCTGTTCCTCAGATAAAAAGGTATATATTTAGGAATTCATCTACATTCCTGACTCTTCCTTATAGCTCATATCCAGTTCATCAGGCAAGCCCTTTTAGATTCTGTTATCAATATGCAGCTCAAATGTGACCACATATCTTAATATCCATTGTTACAGTGCAAAGACAAGCACCATTATCTGTGACGTAGGCTATTGCAATAGCCACCTACGTGGGACCCTGCCTCCACCCTTAATTTCTAAAATATCTCCTCAATTCAGCAGCCAGAGTGATATTTCTAGAATATAAATCACTGTCTACTTGAAGCACCTTACTAGTATCCTGATATTCTTTGAATAAAATCCAAATATTTTGCCCTAACCTAAAATACTCAAAGTGATATATATTTTTAGAACTCTGAATAGAACAGACATTCTGTTCCAAGGTGCCTTTTATCCTGTTGTCTTGTTTCTCTGCAACATCCTTTCTTCCTTTTCTTAACTCTAGCATAATAATATAAAGATATCAAATCATGTCTACATTTTTGTCCAGGTGGTACACTTTTACCTCTCTTGTCTGCTTTGCTTCTTCCACTCCATATACACACCCCATTCAAGAAACCAGGATATTCTGTATTCGGTGGTGAAGGGGAATAGTAGGAATAAACAGAAATGAGAGAAACCCCTGCACCCACCGGCCTAGAAAATATTCCTCTGAGAAGAATGGGGAGGGTAGATGAGAAAATGGGTGATCATATAAGCATGGAGATTAGTGGGACTTATATGGGAAGACCTGGATGGCAGTCACTATTTCATTTGGTCATAAACGAGTGCTTTGTCCCTTGACTAACCTGAGACTTTGATCAGTCCCTGCCTTTCTTACTTCATATACACAATGTCTTCTGCAAAGACAAGAGAGTGGGCCCTGAATAACAAGCGTGCTGGTGGTGGTGGTAGAGGCAGGTGGTGAAGACCATCTGTGGCACTTGCACTTGGTGGGGAGCCACATAAATCAAACACTAAATCTCCCTTAGGATATGATATATGCTCACCTCTGTAATACATGGATGCTTGTCCAGAATGCTGTTAACTTGTAAATGTGAGTACAAACTAGGCACCATTAGTTGACATAGTAACCCCTCCATACTAGAGTTAGGAATATTTCTTTACAACTTAGTACTATTCAAGAATGCCAATAAATTTCTAGAAAACAAACAAAGGAACAAAATACTGTCAAGCCAATAGAGATTGAACCGTCCCATATGGTATGGGTGGGAGAAATACCTGCCAACAGCAGACTGACTCACACACAATCTATGTAAGTCAGCCAAGGAATTGACCCAAATAGGATTTCTCAAACAAAGAGGAGGGAAATCCTTTCCATAGATTTAAATTTTTCCAAAAATGCCCTTATAACTTGACAGATAAATCCTGGGCTTGGCTTACCTTACATTTTTTTGTGGAAGGGAAGGGTGACTGTTCAATGTCTTCCAGAGAGTGGCCCCCAGTACTAGTATTTTCTCTTGGAAAAATTAGCTCTGCATCACTAGGGCATACCCACAGGGCAAGTATGTATCCTATACCAGAATTAACATTAAGTACTTCCCTGGCATCAGGTAAAAGACTTTTGAACCACAGCTAGGTTATACAGCTAATGTGATGCAAATATCAGTCTGAGAAAAGTTGAATGTTGAGAGAAAGTTTGAAATGTCAACTGTTTGAAGCATTTGTAAATTTCAAGGATGCTTGGAAATCTGAGAGAAAGAGGACAAGGTGAGGTACCCAAATGTGCCTGGATCATGTCTTAGCTTGAGCTGCCATTATAAAATACCACAAATTGAGTGGCTTAAACAACCAGGGTGCTGACACTCTAGTCTCAGCTGGAAGTCTGCTCTAAGTCTGGAAGCTGGTTTCTAAAGAAAGTTCTCTCCTTGAGTTTCAGATGGCCACCTTCTTGCTGTACTCACACGACCTCTTCTTTCTGCAAGCATGGAGACAGCAAGACAGAGACAGACAGGCAGACAGAGAGAGAAAGAGGGAGAGAAAGGGAGAGAGAGAGTATTCAAGTATTCTATTCTTATAAGGGTACTAATCCCATCATGAGTGCCCCATCCTCATGATGTCATCAAACTCCAATTACCTCACAAGGTTCCACCTCCAAATACCATCACCTTGGGGGTTACGGCTTCAACATATGAATTTTGGGAAGACATAAACATTTATCCATAACAGATGACTAGTTGGATCATGACAGTAGGAACGGGGAAGGGCAGTGGGGCATAGGGTGATGGAGCCAATTCGGGAGGACACACATGCTGATGCACACTTGCCTGGAGAGTTTCAGTGCATGATTTAAGACAGGGGTCCCCAACCCCTGGGCTGTGGACTGGTACTGGTCTGTGGCCTGTTAGGAACTGGGCTGCACAACAGGAGGTGAGCAGTGGGTGAGTGAACATTATGGCTTGAGCTCTGCCTCCTGTCAGTTCAGCTGAGGCATTAGATTCTCAAAGGAGCATGTACCCTATTGTGAACTATGCATGCAAGGGATCTAGGTTGCATGCTCCTTATGAGAATCTAACTAATGCTTAATATTCTGAGGTGGGACAGTTTCATCCCCAGACCATCCCCCAACCCCCATCTGTGGAAAAGGTTAGGGACTGCTGACTTAGGAGAAGATATAATATGTTCTGCAGGGCTCCTATAGAGCTTTAAGCACATCTCAATATTGGCCCTTGCTCTAGTATGTGGGAGTTTGTGCATTTGTTACCACTACTACCTATAAAATGCCTTTAGGCAGAGATAATATCTATTTATATTTTTGCCTCCCCTAAAACCTGTCCCCTGAATATATTAGTCAAATATTAGTTGAACTAAATTGAAAGGGCCGTATATGGTCAGGACTCCACCAAGCTGTACTAGATTACTGTTGGCCCTGTATTTGGAATGCTTTCTTAGTTTTATGTTACATTCTTTTCCCATTTTACTGCTCTTCATCTTGAACTATATTTGTAAGGGACAGGTAGATATGGAAAACCTCAAATCAAGAATACAATTTCAAATCCTCAGGTGAATATAGTTAGAAACCTTTTGATAGATCAAGAGGAATATCATATGATAATTATTCTTTGTCTGTAGCAAAAGTATATATAAAAAATAGATTTTTTGCCAGCAGTTTTCACTAAAATTACTATAATTCAGAAGTTATCTTTGATACACTATATTCTTAGTGAATTAAATGATAATTAGTGGATTTCAACTTGAAATATTTCATCTTTTTGAAACATGATTCTAAATTATCAATAATTTTATATACTGAATGACAATTTCACACTCAACATTTGCATTATGATGTTTTTCTACATTAAGATCATACATATTGACATGTTCACACACATATTTGCATTACACTTGTTCATAGACACATACCTCTTAAGAAGCTGGTGCCAATGTAGACATGTAAATAAATTTTTAACAACCTTATCTATCTTTCAGTTTTTGGCAAGTGTTTTGATGTTAACAGGAGTATAAACATTGCTGACACTGGCATCTAGGATGGTATTTTCCTTTTGCTTTTAAAAAGAATTTTTTATGTACCCTGTATAAGATACAAAGTGGCTGTTGGACCAAGTAGATTGTATTCCATTTCAGTGTGTAATGTCAGCTCCCTCACTGGTGATGAGCCATACTCAGAGTCAGGAATTCCTAATGTCCCACTAGCAATCTATTCCCAACTGGGTTCTGAGGACAACACATGAACAACCCTCCAGGAAAATTGTACACTGTTTGTTAAAAATCGAGTTCTGGCAGCATGTCTCTGTGAGGACTTCTGCCTGATGAGATAAGCTGGTCTGTGTGTGTGCAGTGAAGATAACTTTTGTCTCTTCCATGTCTGACTGAAATTAGAGAGAGGGCTCAATCTAATGCTTCTTGTATCCTAATTTAGTGTTGCCTTCAGGACTTGAATCCTCTAATTGTGAAAGGCAAAAGCGGTAGCTGGTGTGAAATTCAGTTTATAAACTCAATCATGAAGAAATCATAAATTTATTTTACTATACCTAAACTTACATTTGATCTTGTGCTCCTATTTTCCTGGATGTTGAAAACCCAATCTTACTGACAATGTTGTATCACCTAGGTTATCGGGGGAACCCACCCCCAGTATTTCAATGTAGGTTCTTTCTATTTTCCGTAAGTGTCAGCCAGCTGAGAAATAAAGAGAAAGAGTACAAAGAGAGGAATTTTACAGCTGGGCTGCTGGCGGTGACATCACATGTCAGTAGGGCCCTGATGCCCACCTAAGCCTCAAACCAGCAAGTTTTTTATTAAGGGTTTCAAAAGGGGAGGGGGTGTAAGAATGGGGAGTAGATCACAAGCTTCAAAGGGCCAATAGGAGAACTACTGATAAGGGTCCAACAAAGATCACAAGGCAAAGGGCAAAAGCAGCACTACTAATAAGGGTCTATGTTCAGCAGTACACGTATTGTCTTGATAAACACCTTAAACAACAGAAAACAGGGTTTGAGAGCAGAGAATCGGTCTGACCACAAATTTACCAGGGTAGAGTTTTTCTGCACTCTAATAAGCCTGAGGGTAATGCAGGAGACCAGGACGTATGTTAGTCCTTATCTCAACCGCATAAGACAGACCTCCCCCCAGGAAGGCATTCCTCTCCCTGGGTATTAATATTAATTTTCCTTGCTAGGAAAAGAATTTAGTGATATCTTCCCTACTCGCATGTCTGTTTATAGGCTCTCTGCAAGAAGAAAAATATGGCTCTTTTTGCCAGACCCCACAGGCAGTCAGACATTATGGTTGTCTTCCCTTGTTCCCTAAAAATTGTTGTTATTATGTTCTTTTTCAAGGTGCACTGATTTCATATTGTTCAAACACTCATGTTTTACAATCAATTTCTATAGTTAACACAATCATCACAGTGGTCCTGAGGTGACTTACATCCTCAGCTTATGAAGATAACACGATTAAGAGATTAAAGTAAAGACAGGCATAAGAAATTATAAAAGTATTATTTGGGAACTGATAAATGTCCATATTAAAATGAAGTCTTCATAATTTATGTTCCTCTGCTGTGGCTCCAGCCAGTCCCTCCGTTCGGGGTCTCTAACTTCCCGCAACACTAGGTGGCATCTAAAGTTCCAAAGAATCTGATAAATACACACATCCTCCCCTTTCCCCCTCTGCTAACTAAAAGTAGAACTACCATTTGATCCAGGAGTCCCACTACTGGGTATCTACCAAGAAAAAAAGAAGTCATTATACGAAAAAGATACTTTCACGTGCATGTTTATAGCAGCACAATTCGCAATTGCAAAAATGTGGAACCAACCCAAATACCCATCAATCAATGAATAAGTAAAGAAACTGTGCTCTCTCTCTCTCTCTCTCTCTATATATATATATATGTATATTTATATATATACACACTACACAGTCATAAAAAGGAATGAATTAATGGCACCTGGATGAGACTGGAGACTATTATTCTAAGTGAAGTAACTCAGGAATGGGAAACCAAACATTGTATGTTCTCACTCATAAGTGGGAGCTAAGCTATGAAGATGCAAAGGCATAAGAATGACACAATGGACTTTGTGGATGCAGAGAAAGGGTGCAAAAGGGGCAAGGGGTAAAAGACTACAAATAGGGTATAGTAAATACTGCTCGGGTAATGGGTGCACCAAAATCTCACAAATTACCACTGAAGAATTTATTAATGTAAGTTACCAAACATCACTTGTTCCCCAATAACCTATGGAAAATAAAATAAAATAAAATAAACAATGAAATTTGTTCAAAGGAAAAAAAATAAAGTTCCAAGGAACTTAGGTAATGCCAGTCCTGGAGTGAGGTAATTTATCCTTAAGATCATAATATACCTTTATAGATTGAGCCTAATCTCTGGCTGATTCTCTCTGGTCATGGCTAACTGCATAGGACTTCTAGATTCATGGATTTATTTTCAGCTGCCACTTCATGCCACTTTAGTGTACATGGGGGATATCCCTCTCTTGTTCTACTGCAGCACTTGCATGAAGGAAACTGGGTGCTAATGCCCAAAACCTCTCGCCTCTTCCATGCCCCTCATGTGTGTCCTTCTATTGTTTCTGCAACACAGGACACATGGGGAAGAGGGGCCACATGGGGCAGAGGAGCCCATGGGACAGAGCTGTGTCTCTGTTCTTATCTAAGTAGATGTCATGATGAGGTCATTTCTCCTTTAGATTCTTTCTTTCAGGCCCTGAACAGGTAAGAGATGTGTGCACAAGTTTGCCTCACTCTTCCTAAGCTTTTTAGGGTTTTATATTTGTCTGCTCCTTACCCCCAGGATTTCATACTTTGAAGAAGACAGAGCACAGGGCTTCTTGTCAAAGATCTTTCAGTAGGAAGCAGGAGGTTTTCTGCTCTTCGTCCCCAAATTCTGCCCACTATTTTGAAGTATAGCTTTTTGAAATTAAACATGATAGTTATTGATTCATTTCTGCTTTGCATTGTATGTTACTTGAAACAGTGAGCACTGAATGTCTTCATCATGTTGCAGAAGATCAAAGGTAATATGTGAGAAACTTTAGTTAATACTACAAAACATAGTAAGATAAAATAAAATGAACAAAACAAAGATAGCACAGGATAAGAAAGCTTAAAGAAAAATAGTTAAAATATCTCACACTGAGCCTCCCTTCCTCTGCACAACACAACTAGTTCTACCTGTGGTATAACTTGCTCTAACTTCACCAGACACAATGGCAGAAAAAGAACACACTTAAAGAAAGATTCATGAAGGACAAAGAGAACACACCACCACAGAGGAGACAATTGTTAAAGATCCATTCCATTTGTAGTCCCCTTTTTTATTTCCATTAAAATTCCTTTTCCAGTTAGCATAGTCCTGTAGCAAAAATATCTTCGCCTTAAAGGTAGAGGAATAGTGGAACTAGAAAGAAAGATTCAATTTTCCCCTAGAGCTTAGAGTGTATTGTCCAACAAGTAAGTTCAAAGAGTACCTTCTGACAATTTTATAAGAACTAAAATATCTAGGTTTACTGAATTCTGATTTTTATTTTTATTTTTTTTGAGACAGAGTCTCATTCTGTCACCAGGCTGGAGTGCAGTGGCACAATCTCAGCTCACTGCAACCTCTATCTCCCGGTTCAAGCAATTCTTCTGCCTCAGCCTCCCGAGTAGCTGGGACTACAGGCATGCACCACCACACCTGGCTAATTTTTTGTATTCTAGTAGAGCCGGGGTTTCAACATGTTGGCCAGGATGGTCTCGATCTCTTGACCTCATGATCCGCCTGTCTAGGCCTCCCAAAATACTGGGACTACAGGCATGAGCCACCACACCTGGCCATTCTGATGGTTTTATCCATCTCTTGCCTTGCATACTTAAAGGACTGCAAAGTAAATGAAACAGTAATTAGTTTTGTGCTCTTCATTGTGTAGGATACAATACAAAAATTAGTTACTTTGATTCATATAACCTTCTAAACCAGACATAACACATTAAACTTATTTAAAGAAGTAGTTTACTCTAAACTACCCTAATGAATTGTTTAACAGTGGGAGAGCTTGCATAATCTGCCTCTGAGCTTGAATTCTCTGATTTATACAATTAAGAAAATATCGATGGAAATTTCATTAACAACCAAATTAATGTTGGTCACTTTTAATTTTATTACTTGTACTTATATCTCTGAAAATTCTTCCCAGTTTTCTTTGTGGACCCCTCTCCCTTTCTCCACTCTTTACATGTCAGCATTTTTAAACAATCTGTCTTTAATACCATTAACTAATACCTATAGACAAATGGCTCAGGCACATCCCAGACCCCTTCTCCTCACTTTCAGAGGCTTAAATTCAGTGGCTTTCTGGTTAGCTCCACCACATGTGCGGCAGCCACTCCAAACTCCACCTGCTCTAATATTAAGGCTCTCTTAAATCTTTTTTTGTCTCCAGATCCCAAAATGCTATTGAATAATGTCACTCCTTATCTCCAGGTTCCTTTAATTTTTTCTTCTCTTACCTTCTACATCATATAGGCTGCCACTTCCTGAAGTTCTATACTATGAGCAACTTTATCCCTGCACCTGTTGCCTTAGTTCAGGACTTTACTAACACTTACTTATTTTATTGCACTTGATACAAAATTTACTTTTCACAGTTTCAGAGACTAGGAAGTTCAAAATCAAGGTGCTAGCAGATTTGGTGTCTGGTGAGGACCTACTCTCTGATTCATAGGTGGCACCTTTTGCTGTGTCCTTACATAGTGGGAGGGGCAAATAAGGTTCCTGGGGTCTCTTATATAAGGGTATTGATTCACGAGGGCACTACTCTCATGACCTAATCATCTCCTAAAGGCCCCACCTCCTAATGCCATCACATTAGTGATTAGATTTCAACATATAAATTTGAAGGGACACACAAACAGCCATATCCATAGCAACCTCTAGTGCATTCTCCACAGGGTCACCAGAGATGAATATAAAATATGAATGTGCTTACTATTCCCCTGAAAATCCTTGATGGCTCTGCAGACCAAAGTCAAACTCTGGCTTTTCATGATTTAATTCAGTCAAACTGCTGGCTCCTCAACTGCTATAATGCCTGCAAAAATGCCACCATGTACTGTATTCCAGACCACTTGCAAATCTACAAACACAGAGTTTGCCTGCATTACTTGCCATAATCCTTGAAGTCCCTTTTCCTACCTTGTCTGCCTGGCAAATAGTTACATCCCCACTCCTTCTTAATCCACTTCAGACTTCTCCCTAAGGATTAGTTATTTTCATTGACAAGAGACACTACTACTAGCATTCCCTTCTTTGTACTCCTCTTATACCCAGTGGAATGTTCCATTATAGCACCTGTGAGTGGACCTTCAATCTCTCCTCTTTGTGCAGCAGTAATGTGATTAAGGGAATTGATCCAGATTAATGAGAGGCTCCTGACAGGTGTAAGCCACCAAATAAAAGTCTCTGTCTTTTTTCCAGGAAAAGACTGGACTAATAATTTTGGGACTTTGAAACTGAGAAAAGATTTCCCTGGGGACCACTTAGAAATAAATTTTCTTATTTTCAAGGGAGAGACATGAAGAAGTAGGTTCCCTATCTCACTGAATTTGAAAAAGGATATATGCTGCTGGCAATGATCTGAAGACAAAGTAGCCACACAAGAGAAGGCAGAAGTAAGAGAATAACAAAATTTGGACAGAAGTTCAATTTGCGACAGAAATTCTGGATGCTGTTATGCCTCTAGACTTTTAATTATGTAAACTGACATAATATATTATTGTTAAGGCAGTTTGAATTTGGATAATTGAGAATGGAGGAAACCAGGAAAACCCAACTGAAATGATCTGCAACAATTTTCTGTATTACTTAATCGAACACCTGCCTTCCCTTTCTATTTTTTTGAAGGCAGGAACTCTGTATACTTTATTTTTTATTTTTTTTAAAATTTTTTTATGGAGTCTGGCTCTGTTGCCTAGGCTGGAGTGCAGTGGCACGATCTCGGCTCACTACACCCTCTGCCTTCCAGGTTCAAGCAATTCTCCTGCCTCAGCCTCCCGAATTGCTGGGATTACAGGTGCGTGCCACCACATCCAACTAATTTTTTATATTTTTGGTAGAGACAGCATTTCACCGTGTTGGCCAGGCTGGTCTCAAACTGCTGACCTTGTGTTCCACCTGCCCTGGCCCCCCAAAGTACTGGGATTACAGGTGTGAGCCACCGTGCCCATGGGACTCTGTATACTTTATTTGTGTAGCCCCAGATCCTAGCTTTGAGCTTGGCAAATTGCATTTGGTTATTTGAAAACTGAAAGAATTAACTTGCTAGATGCCTATTCTTTTTCAGGCATTATTAGAGATTTTCCCCTCCCCACAACTGTTGTCTCATTTAATTTTCATAATTAATTTTACTTTGAAGAAACTGTAAATAATGTTATACAAATACTAGATTATCATGAAATAAATTTGGAAATGTCTGAACCCATCTGATGACATGGAAGGACAGTACACCACAAATTTTATTTTTATTAGTTGACATGCATGGAAGAAGAAGCCTTTAAGAAGAAGATTAAAGTGTAGAGACCTCAGAGCAATGAGAGGGGTGTGAGGAATAAATAATGCCCAAGCCAGGCTTATAAAATTAGAACAAATTCTAGGAACTTCAGCAGGCAAAGACAGAAGTAGCTGTTGACAAAAGAGGGTCTATAGTCTATAATACTAACTTGTTACTGGCCTTTTATACTATCATATGTGGGAGTGTATAGTGAAGTTTTTAGAGGTTACATTACACATAATGATATCTTTTTCTTGATGGCTAATGGAATAGGTGTCTTTGTATTCCTGTGTTTAAAGTGTTTTGTATTAATTTCTAATACATTAAATATCAATAAATATAATGACTGTTGTGTTTTAACTGCCTAAAAACAGAATATCCAGACCAAAAATAATTTTAAAAAACCTGATCTATAGTGTGCACTGATTTTCACTAGAGTAAACACTCCCACAATGGTCAATTTCAAGCAACCTATATGATGCCAGCGAACAGAGAGTTTGAAAAAGTTTCACAAAGTCAACTCTTGAGTGCCAGTGTGAGCTGGAGCCAGTGCATCATTGGAAATAATCCAAGCAAACAAAAGCCTTTTGGGGTCAATAAGTTTAAAAGTGTGAAGGGTTCTGAGATGCAGAAGTTTGGAATGATCTATCATTTCTCTCAATTGATTCACTGGTAGAAGTACTGAAAGGAATGGTTTTCTCAGATACACCAGCCAACCATTTTCATAATTTTGTTTTCTTTCTTGGACTGTGATCTTTCACTAAAACCCACATATTTAATTAGCACTCACTTATAAAGGAAGGATATGCTCCTTCTGCTGTCATCCCAAGGTACTTGTTACCTATCTCAAATACAACAGATAATATTGAATTTAAGTGTGAAAGTGTCTATCTTCCTCATCATATAATAATCTAAAACTTCATCGTTTCCTTTGTATCTGCATTGCTTTATCTGCAAAGTGAATGAATGAATAAATGAATAATAAATATGAATTAATATTTTATGACTTTTGGAGCATTTACATTTGAAAAGAGAAACCAAGATGATGATAATCCAATACACATAGGAAGAAATGGAATTATTAATAGGGAAATTGTATTTTATAAAGTTGAAGTAGTTTTAGGGCATTAGATATGAACATACAGGAAACATTACATAATTTTTACAAGTTGGCCAAATACAGAAATTGAATTTTACTTTCTTATACTTTTTTCTGTTATTAGGAGAAAGCTGATAGTGTGGTAGTATTAAATACTCTATCCGAATAATGTGTAAGAGCTCACATTTTTCCTATCAATGTCTTCAAAGGAATTTACACTATAATATTAACGTGCTGCACATGTGGCTACATTTTATAAACTTTGTAGAAAACTTAGTTCTCTTTTAGACTTTGTATCTTTCTTCAGGATGACTTTTATTACCAGCAGAGAACTTAGCTAAAATAAACCAAAGAAGTAAGAGTGGAGAAAATGTGTAAACAAATTTTTGAATAATAGTGCAACAGGTCCTCTTTGCTCTGGAAATCATAGTATGAAAATGTAAGTGTTTTGTTCAATTTTTTTTGAAAAATTAATGCTTAAACTAGAAGAAAAGTGGGCAACATAGGGAGACACTGTCTCTACAAAAACATTTAAAAATTAGCAGGGCATGGTGGATGTGCACCTGTAGTCCCAGCTCCTCAGGAGGCTGAGGTGGGGAGATCACTTGAGCCTGCACTGGGCTGTGATCGCACCACTGCACTCCAGCCTGAGTGACAAAGCGAGATCCTGTCTCGAAACAAACAAACAAAAAACTACAACAGAATAACATGACATGCCTTGCTGAGAGCTCGAGGAGTTCATTTTTGTTTATCTGATTTAAAAGATGATTTGGTTTAAAGATATTTGGTCATTTTATCCTACCTCTTTGATTCTATGCTGTTATTTATAACATGGATATATCCTTCTACATTTCCCACATAACTCATCACTAACAGATCTTTATTCTCTGGGACCTTTTTTTCTTACTGAGAGCAGTTTTCAGTACGTGAATGTAATAGCTGGATAAGTTTCTCAGGAATGTACAAAGATGCAAATGAAATATGACAGTGAGATAACCAGCCAGAGTGGATAAAGATCATGCTCTTCTTACGTTTTCCAAAATTTGTTCTGTAGAACACAGATTTTAGAAATGTTTAAAAGGTGTTAGATGTAATTATATCTGTGGTCAAATATATTTGGGAGCGTCTTGATTATATCAAATTTAACAAATTGCTGCAGGACTTTCCAGAACAATGGCTGTACTCCTCTGCATTATGAATTGTCAAGAAAAAGTATATAGAAGGTAGCTCTATAATTGTGTTTTATGACAGTGAAACATATTTTTCACAGAATAGTCTGCATGAACACATTTAAGCACATTCTATATATATTCCAACTGGTAAATTTTGAGAGTGAACAAGGGCTTTAAAAATATTAAATACTACTGTTTTGAAATATTAGATAACCAACAAATTGTTCTTTATTGGTAGGCCTATTAAATCACTCTATTTAAATTGATTTTTAAAAATAGAGTTATTAATAAAAATTTAAAAGATTGCGTATTCATGTACACTATAGCCCAAATCCTTTATCTTTACTGATTTTTGAACTTTAAAAATTAACACAAGTAGAATACTTATCTTTCATACATATTCATATTATTTGATCAACTGCTTGGTTGTATTTTTCTCTAATTTCCTTTGTTTTTATAATAAATGTAGTTTTTTCAATTTGGCCTCATGATTTTTTAATATTTTCATAAAATTGGAAAAATGATAAACATATTTGAAATTGTTGAATTTTCAATTGATCCTACCTTGTAAACTATAATATTTCTAATTGAGAAAATAATTCTTCATAGGTACCTTGTCAACTCAACAAATTCTGCCTAATATAACATATCACAATTTTAATTTTGTTTTATATTGAATATGTTGAATATTAGATCAAATGTTTTTCTAGATACTCTTTTTGTCACCATTTTCAGTACTTGCTCTTGACCTGTTTAAAAAAGATTTCATTATATATGCTTTCTCTATATGTGACTCTCTTGAATGTTTTGTCAAAAGTATATGCTGAAAAATTACAGATTTCATCAATTTTACACATTTTTAGTATAGATGATTTGTTGCAGGAAGTCAGGGACCCAGAATGGAGGGACTGGCTGAAGCCATGGCAGAAGAACATAAATTGTGAAGATTTCATGGACATTTATTAGTTCCCCAAATTAATACTTTTATAATTTCTTACACCTGTCTCTACTGCAATCTCTGAACATAAATTGTGAAGATTTCATGGACATTTATCACTTCCCCAATCAATACTCTTGTGATTTCCTACGCTTGTCTTTACTTTAATCTCTTAATCCTGTCATCTTCCTAAGCTGAGGATGTATGTCCACTCAGGACCCTGTGATGATTGTGTTAACTGCACAAATTGTTCCTAAAGCATGTGTGTTTAAACAATATGAAATCTGGGCATCTTGAAAAAAGAACAGGATAACAGCGATGTTCAGGGAACAAGGGAGATAACCGTTAGGTCTGACTGCCTGAGAGCCAGGCGGAACAGAGCCATATTTCTCTTCTTACAAAGCGAATAGGAGAAATATCACTCAATTTTTTTCTCTCAGCAAGGAACAGCCCTGAGAAAGAGAATGCGTCCTAGGGGGAGGTCTCTAAAATGGCCACTCTGGGAATGTCTGTCTTATACAGTTGCTGATAAGGGATGAAATAAGCCCCGGTCTCCTGTAATGCTCCCAGGCCTATTAGGACGAGGAAATTCCCGCCTAGTAAATTTTAGTCAGACCAGTTGTCTGCTCTCAAACCCTGTCTTCTGATAAGATGTTATCAATGACAATGCGTGCCCGAAACTTCATTAGCAATTTTAATTTTGCCCCGGTCCTGTGATCTTGCTCTGTGCCCATTTGCCTTGTGAAGCAGGTGATCTCTGTGACCCACACCCTATTCGTACACTCCCTCCCCTTTGAAAATCACTAATAAAAACTTGCTGGTTTTGCAGCTTGGGGCACATCATGGAACCTGCTGACATATGATGTCTCCCCTGGACACCCAGCTTTAAAATTTCTCTTTTGTACTCTTTCCCTTTATTTCTCAGACCGGCTGACACTTAGGCAAAATAGAAAAGAACCTACATGAAATATTGGGGGTGGTTCCCCGATAATGATCAATTTATACATTTAAAAATAGATGTTCCCTCAAATTTTCTTCCTAAGAATCAAACTATTCCAAAGTGATTATAGAATTTCATGATTAATTTATACTATTTCAGAACTTATTTAATTTATTCAATTTCTTGCTTCTTGATAAATCTAAAATTTTAATATTTTTGAAAAAGTTTTCTAAAAGTCTATTTTCAAATGTGTTTTCAAGAAAGTTTGCTCAAACCTTCAAAAATGGAGTGTTATAAAATTTTTGCTACCCTCTTTGCAGATAGTTTGATTACAAATTTCCAACTTAATTTGAACAAATGCAACTAAAATTTAGAAGACTCATAAAAAATTTAATAATTCATAGGGCACTTTTGACCTACAAGATAACATCTCAAAGGCTCAGCTATGTGTATTTTCTAATTGTTGACAAAACAGCAGAGAGAAAATTCTAGCAAAATACTCTTTCTGAAATTTTTTTGCATTCAGTATCAGCTTCATTTGTAGTTTAGTTCTGTAGTTTAGTCACTGTGAGTATACAGATAAAAAATATGTACAATTTTGACACCATGGTTTCTATTTATATTGGTGGAATATTTCAGATTTTTAACATATAATTAGGACCTTCATGTACATTTCATTTATTAATAATATCTTTATGCATGAAGCTGAATTTACCAAGTTTTGTGTTTATATTATCATTGAAAAACAATTTTATCTTCAATGATAAACTTTGTAACTATTACAGAAACATATTTACAATAATATTAGACATTTACTTTAAATGAAATGAAATTCTAAAAGGTTTATTTGATCTAATTAATTGAGTGAAAAAATGCCAATTTTTGGAATTAAATAGATTTTCTCTTTGAAACATCTAATGAAAGTAATATAAAATTTGTATCATCTAAATGTTTATGCTCATTTTTTTGCTAATGAAGCCATCAAATTAATAGCAATTGCTTTATAATTTGTACATGCATAAGTAAATGAGCAAAATTAATTAAAAAAGCTATCATTTGATCTAAATGAAAATTCTGCTTCACAGAGTATTATTAAATATGAATTCTTCAGTAGTACTTAAATTCTCACCTTAAAAGATAATCTCAAAACATTCACTAACTTTTCAATTAGACATTAATGCTTCTTCAGTTAATCTTGTCTTCATGTGTTCTGTGATGTCACTGTGTCCTGCTACTCCAACCCCCATCTCTTAGTGCATGTTAAATGTATTAAATGATGACAAAAAATTAGGCAAATTACATATCAATTTTCTTCAGAAGTAAAAAGTTTATATTTGTTAAAAATTAAATATATAGTTTTTAGGCTCCTATTGGTACCAAAAACTAATTGCAAAATAAATTTTAGTGAAGAATGAAATAAATTTTAGATTGTAACCATGGAATACATGACCAAACATCTGTAGCAAGATGTACAGTTTGTGTTGTATACAATCTAAAGTAGGTCTGCTCAGCATTTATTCCTTATAAACGTGACACGTTTCCCACTGACACCAAAAACAAGACATACGGCAGTTTTGTGCATATCAGAGAGTTGGCATGGGTCACAGCACAAGTACACCAAATAGCTAGAAGGTGTAGTAGCATTGAACACTTTTCCACCCCCACTGAAGACCAGAAGGTTTTAGCTTTTCCTAGCCTTTTCAGTTGCAGAGCACATCATCAGCCATTCTTGAAAGAGAAGTATTAGTAATGCTAAACCTAGAAACATCAAGAAAAGAGAGCCCAGTTATTTCCTTTGCAGGCTTTCCTATTTAACATAGTGTTAAACTGAGAGCTCCGTTACGATGCACACATCTCACAGGTCATTAGACAAGACTCTGGAAGAACCTGGATATAAAAAATGGAAGCCCATCAAGGACATCTGGGAAGTAAATGGTTAATATTTTGGTCTGCAATCTATATTTTCTCTTACGCAGGGGCAGGCATGCCCGAGAGAGAAAGAGGTTGACCCTGAAACATTTCCTTGTAAACATGGTAATGTAGCCCTACTGGCAAACAAAATAATGTTTTTTGCTGGAAAGTCCTTATCTTTGGAATGCTTTTAGCAGGATGTGTCTTATCTATCTAGAATTGCTTATGGTAAGCAAACCTGGAAACTATTGATTTATGGGATATGGCTTCCTGAGAAATGTTACAGAAGATATGTAATTATATAAGGATGAATGGAAGGTGTTTCCTGACCAAAATGGTTCCTTCTGCGTGATATGACCTCACACATCACTTAGAGACTGCATATTTGACCCCAGAGTGCATTCTGCTATATAGCAAGAAAGGACCTGGGAAGCTGCCTTGGAAGACCTGGACCATTCCTGCTGTGCCAGTGATTTGCAATTGCTTATATCCTTAAAATTGTTGAGTATCTGTATGCTATATAAAAATCTCAGATTGATGTGAGTCTTATTGGAGAATCCTATTCTTTGTATTATCATGTCGTCCCAGACCACTCTATTGCAACTATTAATAATAACATAAAATGCCTACTAATTATAAATATTTAAAATGAAAAACATGGAACAAGGGCTAAACTGGATAGAACTTTGGGAGAGCAGGCATAAACTGGAACTATCCCTTACTTATAGCTGGAAGAGTGCAGAGTTCTAAGACAGTCTGGTCTTCAGGACAGAAATGTGCCACTGGTAGCCACAGACATTCTGACATGCTATTGAGTGCCATTATTCAGAAGGAGGCTTTCCTGTTTCTGGAATAACAGCTGTCTATCTGCATGGAAAGAACTGGATTGGTTGCTGCTTAGCAATATGTGTTAAGCAAGGGTCTGGTATTGGTCTCGCTTTTCATTCACTTTAAAATGCCTGTTGTGACCAATGAGTAGATCTTGAATCCAATTTGGTAATTCTCAACAAGCATTATATTTTACATAAAACAGAAGGGATAGAAGTAGAATAAAATAGATAAAACAGAAAAGAAAAAACATCAGGGAACATTTGCCTACGATAACTTTAGGTATCATTTCCTTATAAATTTATTTTGGTTATTTGTCAGTGTGTTGTATGTGTGTCCGTGTGTGTGTGTGTGTGTGTTTGATGGAGACATAAGATACACAAGACGTGTTTAAGACTGGTCAAGGTAAAAAAAATGGAGTACCATGGCTGTTATTATAATATAATATGGTAGCATCATAAGCAACCTTTGTTGAGTATATTCTTTAATAACTTGGGTCCAATAATCTCGATTGGTATGGAATCTGATATTATATAGTATAAATGTTTTAAGTAGGTAGAGAGTGAGGGAGGAAATTTGAAAGGTTGATGTCAAACATTGGGATTTGACATTTACATCTGAAATTGAACCTTGAGGATTCAGATTAATGTCTGGCTAACAAAAGAAACAATTTATTTAAAATAAAAGTCACCATAAAATTAAAGAAAGTTTTTGAATATCAAAACTGTACCAAATGACAATTTAGTTGAGTACAAATGAGTTATTTACATGTGAAATAAATTTTCTACAGCATATACTTGGGTGTTTAATTAAAAGAAAAGTACTTTATAAAATGCTAATGTGAATTTTGTAGAACCTCAAATATTTGGGGGAAAACCAATTTTATATGCTTGGGTGATGCAACACATGAAAAGGCTTATCTCTCAATATTCACAGTAGCACAAAGGAAAACAAAAACATTAAATGGGCATAGTGGGGAAGAAGAGAATGAAGTTATCCATTTAAAGTTTTGACTCCGACCAAAAGTTCCATCCTGTGTAGTCTGTATTTTCTATAAATTCCATTATTATTTCAACTCAACAAAACAAGTTATTGAAACATTGACCCATAATTATGGCTAATATATTA
Source organism: Homo sapiens (assembly GCF_000001405.40). Lineage (NCBI taxonomy): Eukaryota > Metazoa > Chordata > Mammalia > Primates > Hominidae > Homo > Homo sapiens. The sequence goes on along the minus strand of NC_000008.11, from coordinate 87,672,500 downwards.
AAATCATAATATGTAATATTTAAGAGAGATTTATTCCGTCAGTTCATCAAGACAAGGCTTTCCCAAAACCAAGAGGGAGAAGAATTTTCAAAGATGGTCGTGGAAACCACTCAACCTTCTGCTATTTTGGCATGAGAGCTGAAAGCAGTATGCATATACCATTACTCAAATCAAGCATATTACAGTGCTGATATCGAATGCTAATATTTGCAGATTACATTCTGTAGCTGGGATTCTGTGAAGTGCTTTATGTAGATTATCTCATTTAATGCATGTTACCACCGCCTAAGATATTACTAATTATGATTCCCATCATACAGATAAGTAAACTAGGAAACATATAGCTTGCTCTAGGCTATAGAAAAAAATTGAATATATCAGAATCAACTTAAACCTGTATGGATTAGAAACTGCACACTTTCCCTTATACCATTTTGCCTCAGCAACTCTCCCCTGCCCTCCACCCCCTGTCACCCTGTCTTTTTCTCTTTGTACCTGAAGTTTTAGATTCAATGCTGTCTTATTCAGAGGGCTTAAACTATCTGTTTCTTTCCCTTAACATGTTCTCCACACAGGGAAGTCATGATTCTCTACCTCTGCTGTATAATAACACCTGTCAGTGTCTAAGTCAATGCTGGAGGAATAGCAGTTAAAAATTGAAGATTTCCACAATTGCTTCAAATTACCTTAAATAATATTTTGGTGAGCTACTCATTTAATACTTAAATATTTGTTAGTCAAATGGTCAGCTATTCTAATATTTAAATCTTACTACAGCAGACAGCTTAGCTCTAACTTTGAACATGCCTATTAAAAAACCTTCAGGTTAAAATGAAATGTCATCTTATGGCTTTATTCATTTATTAAACAAATATTTATTGTTTATGATATGCCCATCACTGCTTTAGGTACTGAGGATAAGTCAGTGATCAAAACAAAGATCCCAGAATTTGTGAGATCCTTTACTTTTTACTCAATTAGACTGTAATTAATATATTTACATTCTTTTTGTCATGTGTTCATCTTTCAGATGTTAAAAGATATGTTTTATGTACATCTTTGGTCTTTTTTTCCCCTAAGTCAAGTGTTCTCTGTTAGTTAAAGGAATATTTGTGAAACGTATTTTAAAACCTTGCTACGGTATTTAACACCCTCTGGAAGCTAAATATTCCTCAGAGTAGCACAAAGGGGATGTATCAGAATGGCAAAGTAAAATAGAATATTGATATGCTTAATCCAGAAAAATCCATAAACAAAGTGAACTGTTTGGGTTTCAAATGACCTCTTAGACAAATAAGTCAGCTTTTAAGCATTGATGACTTTGGTGGTTTCTTGGATCCCAAATAATTCCCTAGCTAGGACATGTTTCTTTTATTAATTATTTTATTAATATACTCCTGGCTGGGTGGAGTTTATTCATAATTACTTTCCATTCTCCTTATCCTTCTGCCTATAAGTTATTTCCCCCAGAATTATTCAACTATATTAGGTAAAAGTCCTATGAAGCCTTCGTTGATTTCTTCAAATATATTTGTGGGTAGTCTTGATACTTTATGAAAGGGAGTCAATATCTTTGAGGAATACCTACACTCAATTGTGTTGGGAACAACTTTTCTGCCAATGACTTCATTTTCTTCTGAAGTCACTGCTTATCTAAACTTAACCGAGCCCTTCAGAGGGCTGGATTGAAATGTGAGAGGTGTAGGTATGCAGCAACTACACAGACTGAAGGCATCTTGAAATGACAACTAACGAAATAAGTTGCATTTCTGGTCAGAAATACGGAAACACGTTTGATTAAGGGTTTAATGAAAGTCTGAGATCAAAGCATTTTTGTAAAAGTATAAAAAGGCATTGTGAAGATTTAATTTTTTCATTTCTTTGTTTTTGGAATTATCACTTCTCCACAAAGACTAAATTATGTTAATGACAGTTCACTGCTCTTGCTGGGCCCTCAGTGAATACTGACTGCACTGAGGTGGACTTCATTAAAAGTACTGTCAACCTTTTTTCCCTAATCTTAATAGTAATACAGAGTTCAGAAAAATGCAGTTAAGTGACACTAAGCCATATTCTAGCAGCTTGCAATTTCATTGTCAAAAATTCATGAACATCTCAGTGAAATAATTTTGAAATTAAGATAACAGCCACCACCAGCAAATCTGGAAACTGTCAATATTAAATTGAAAAAAAAAGAGGAGAGAAAATGGTTGTAAACCTTACTTACTACTATCCTTTCATCTTGCTTTGTATATTTCACTTGCCCATCTTATCATCTTTACAAATCATAGAATCTCAGCTGAATATTTGAAAGGTGAAATCTACTTCACTAGGCTCATAAAAGACCTAATGTAGTTCTACTTCTCCCATAATGTCAAGTTCAGTTATTCAGCCCTACATGCTAGAGACTCTTTTAGGAATTTCATCTTATGTTTGAATTGACTCCATAACTGGAAGCTCACTGCTTCATGAGGTGCTCCATTATCATTGTAGACAACAAGAGTTGTGTGTACAAGACTTGCAAATGTAACTAGTTAAAATGAGGTCATACTGGATTAGAATGGGTCCTAAATACAGTGATTCATGCCCTTATAAGAAGGCCATGTGAAGACACAGAGGAGAATGCCATATGGCAACAGAGGCAGAGATCAGAGAGATGCAACTGCAAGCCAATGAATGCCAAAGATTTCTGGCAACTACAAAAAACTAGGAAGAGTCAAGGAAGCATTCTTCCCCAGAGCCTTCAGAGGGAGCATGGCTTGCTCACACCTCACTTTTGGACTTCCAACCTCCAGAACAGTAAGAGAATAAATTTCTGTTGCTTTAAGCCATCCAGCTTGTGATAATTTGTATGGCAGCCCTAGGAGACTAATATACAAGCATACAAACACCTTCTTTATCTTTTACTCTGAAGCATCACAGTACAAGTTTATTCCCTTTTACTTATGACAGCCTATCCAATACCAATATTAATGTTTTAGTCTGGCCTTCCCAAGCTAAAATAAACAGTTCCTTCAAACGTTTTTTGATGTAGCACCATTACACCCTGGTTTCTATACCTCAAAGATTTGTAGTTTGCCAACCCCTTATTAAAATACCACGTCCAAGACTGAATATACTACAGATGTGGGACTTCCAAGGCAAAGTAAAATATGTCTGAATTTAATCATTGAACAGAAAAAGTATATTATTTCTATCTAACATTATGTGAGGCTTTTAAACAGCATCTTTACAGCATTAAAACATATTACAATTATAACCTACTAAAATTTCTAAATCTTTGTTCTGTAAACTTTATCAGTGTCTGACCATATCCAGCATATGCTTGTGCCAGGGATTTATTGGACCAATAAATACATTAATATATGTTCCTGTGAAATTGATCTCAGTTTGAGGCTATGATTTTAGCTACAGTAATATTTTCTAATTTGGATTTTGAATACCAGTGCATAAGATCTTTCCTGTAATTTTGTGTTGCTTGAGAATATGATAAGCCTGCTATCTATATTTTCATTTATGTTGCTGATAGAAATGCCAAACAGGAAAGATAAAGTTCGTAAAAACAAAATCATGGCAGAGTTCAGTGGCATGTAAATATAGTATTTCCTTTAAGTAAATATCAACAAATTATCAATATTCTTTAGGAAACTATTTTACCAGAGAGGAATCCATAAAATAACATTAATACTGTCAATATTTTATCATATAATTCACCAGAAGATCATAAACTGCCTAGAATAGCTTGTGTTCAACAAAACTTTAGCAATGCCTATATTATATTAATCTGCCAATAAAATAATAATTTAAAAATAAAATCAAGTTATTTTGTCATCATTAATAAGTGGCAGAATTTTAATGTTTTTAATGTTTACAAACCATCTATTTGATATGATATTACAGATTTTTCTCTCAACAGATTGCTTACAAATTTATGGTTTCTAAAATGAAACTTTTGTCTCTTCTTCAACATTTACTGACAAAAGTTTTGATTTATCAGCAATTTCAACTGTGGTAACAATAATTAATAGATTTAGTAAATATATTCTCACCTGTCCTGGTATTCCAATTTTCTATTTGTGGTGTTTGTCCTAAACTTTTTGGTATAATGACCACTCTCTTCGAAGGAAAAGGCTAAAGCACAACAGACATTGATTAGATTTTCCTGATGTATTAACTTTACTCTGTTTTCCTGGAGCAAGAATCTCATTTCATCCTAGTTTATTTTTCTGTAAATAGAGCAGACAGTAGCCTTCTTTCAATGGCTTCAAAGAAACTATATCCTTAAGGATCCCTTTTAACACTCGCCTTTGTGGCACTTACATTCACAGCATTTACATAAATAATCTTGCTGTGTTAAGACTTTCTGTTTTCAGGCTGGGTACAGTGGTTTATGCCTGCAATCCCAGCCCAGGCAGGAGGATCACTTGAGGTGCTATTGTACTCTAGCCTGGGCAACAGAGTGAGACCATGTCTCGAAACAACAAAGACTTCTATTTTCAGAAGTCTTCTGAGAAATGCAAATTTTATATTTTTTGTAACTTGTGTCCCGTAAGAAAATTTCCTAAAGTTGTGCAGTGTAGGTTATTAGTGTTTTAAAAGATATTAAATTTATTTTAGGAGAAAATTAAGGCTTCTGCATATAAATATATTTGGGGAATGTCCACTGTAGCTTTTCTCTTGGTGTCTCACTGTATAGTAGCTAATATGTTAAAATTAACAAGGATAACTCCTGCAGCAAAGGAACCCCGTTAACTTTGTGTTTCATAAAATTCCTTGGGCACAAAATATTTTTTCCTCAGAATACCTCCTAACATCTATTCAAAGGAATACATTTGAGAAAGCATTGAATTAAATTATTAACCCTCAGGACTGTGGTATGATCTACTTGATCATATGAGTCAGAATGACACAGAGATGCTCCGTCTAGACCCACCCTCAAAGAATAATTTCTGCCCAGCTGTGGGAAATGCAGTCAGCACATTGCTTCCAGCTGACAGTTCTGAGAGCAGCTGTCCCAGAGTTCACAACACCTAGGGGAGCCATCATGTGGCAACTGAACAACAGGGGGTATAAGGATCTAGTCATTTAGGTCCAATGTAGTACAGCTCTGATGAACAGGATTTGCTTCAGAGTTTCCTGCTAGTTTGGCCAAGGGTTCTTCAGGCCTTTATTTGCAATTCAACTTCTTTTTCTGCCTAATCCTACTTCCTCTCCCTTCTTTTCTCAAGGGCTAATCCCACATCTTGCACATCAAACTACATCCCAGCATCTGTTTCTTGAGAACTGTGATAGATGGAAAGCAGGAATTAAAAAAAATGCATTAAAGCAATTTTCTTTGGAAAAAATATATCTTTGTGAGAGGTGGGAGGAGAAGACAAGCTCAGGGCAGAGGCAGTGTTCGAGTGGCAGCATGGGGAGGTGCACCCCACATGGATATGACACATGGACAGGGAGACCATAACTAGGATTTGTCAAGGCAGAGACAGTAAGAAAGGCAGAGAAGGAAAGAAAATAAATGATACCAAGGACAAATATAGTTGCTACATTATTTTGGTTGGCCTAATGATAGGTCTAAACATGCCATGTTTCTCTGGTCTCAGGGCCAAGGACAAAGCTAGCTTTAATTTTAAACAAGACTATAAATTAGAGTCTGGGCCAGATTGTCAGTCCATTTCATTATCTTGCCTAATTTCAAATCTCTGCTGAAATTGGCGTCATGGCTAGATGCAGGAAGTGGTGATGCTTATTCAGCAAAAATATTTTTGAACTGAGATTTATATCCAGACAAATGAACTAGTCAACTCAAGAGAATATAAAATAGGCTTAAACCAGTTTTTGGGACAAATTGAATTGATTCATTGGGCCACTTAAGCAAGAATGCAACTCCAAAATCTAGCCAAATTGAGCAAGTATTCTGTGAAATTATTTTCAAAATAGACATATACAAAATTATATCTAAAACAGATATAAAATGCTACTTTGGTTAGTACATGTTGAATTAATCACTTAATTTAGTTCTCAGTACATGATGCCCTTGTTTTTTATAATTGCATCCTATTGGCCAATAGAGTCTCTCCTTGACCCCTTCACAGAAACGTCTCTCAAAGAGGCATGTGTTATTCTGAGATATTTGAGAAGACCACATTTTCAATCAAGCTCTTATTTTGAGAGGAGGGCATGTTTTATTTCCTATTTGGTGTGGACACATAGACAATGTAATTTGTAAATTCAGAAAATAAATAAATATGACTTACTTTAAAATACTTCTTCCACTTCAAATCTACGTTCTCTGCCATATTCTATTCTCCAAGGATTTCTGTGTTTTTTGAGTATGAGAAATGATTTATGAAGATTTGTGAAAATGTAAGATATCATAATGCATTGTAATTATTTGCTGTTATAGTTGAACCTAGGTTCATCTCCAGGAAAGACCCTTTCTTTCTTTTGATAGTGGAGTTTGAATGCTTTGATTGTTGTTCTAGGAAACAGTTAGAGACCAATACTTCTTGGGGAGATGGTAAAACCCCAGGAACCTACATGGGCTTCTCAGAGAATTACTTGGAAGAAGAAAAATGTTATTCTATTTACGATGATGGATGAGGTATTCTGTTAGCATGACACTAACATAGAATGAAGAAGAAATTAATATGTTACTACAGTCTTCAAGATTCTCTTCTGGGTGTGTTACATATGTTGATTCAGTATACTTGTCCATTGTAATCAGTTAGATAGTTGTTAAACTAATTTTTTTTTAGGTAAGAAATTTAAGTTGCATAATATTCCCAAGACCTCTATTTTCTAACTTGTAGAGATTTAACTTGAACTTTAAGTTGTGAAGTCTATTTTTTCCACTTCATTAAAATGCCTCCCTCAGTAATGTGCCTTCCATCAATATTTAGTTTGTGTAGCATTTTACATTTTAGAACCAGTTTTTATATTTACATTCATGTAGAATTATTTTCAGATTAAACACAGAGAAAAAACATGGTAGAATTTTAGAGTTGTTGAAATAAGACTCTGAAGAGAAGGCATATTTTATATTAGTACTTTCAAAACAGTGTTTTGTTATTCATTGGTAGTCCATGAACAACATAAGGGTTTGAACGAGCATACTTGTAAGTTCATTTTTTGATTCACAGAGATTTCATGAATACTTAGGCTTATTTCACTGATAGTTTGGCTATGTTGAAACTGGAATATAAACTGGCTTGGTATACCCTTTCATCCTTAGTGCCAGCTAGGCCGAACCAAAATTGAACACGGTTGTTCCAGTCAGTGGGTGGACCTCAACTGTTCTTACAGCTCTGGCCAGTGCCCTTGTTGGAGAACCTTATTACATTTGTAATGACCTTTGAACTCTTGCCAGTGGCCTCACTGTTTGGTCTGCCACTTGGAAAATGAAAGACTAGCAGATTAAAGATACTTTTCTTTGGTCTGCAAACTATGGGAACAAATAGTGGAAACTAATCAAACCATTTGAATCATGCATTTAGATGCCCACAGTAATGGCTCATTCTCTGATGAGCCCAACTAAAGTTAAGTTGCTTGAGTCTGCATCACTAAGATTGCCACCATTGCTTCCTGAATTTGTCATCATCTTGCACTTGGCAACACATGCTCCATCAGTCTGGGAAGACCTTCTTCAATGAAAGACTCAATGTGTTTGAGATAGAGACCACTGCATGCCAGACTTATATCTCCTGACAGAAGCTGAGCATTTGTTCTCACTGTGAGGGAAACCACATTGCATGGCTCATGGTCTCTGCCCACACCTGGCATATTGACCACCTGAGATCTTTGACACCCTCTCAATGCTATTGATGATACCATTCCACTGTCAACTTTCCGGTTATAATTTACCACTCCAGTCATATAAACCAAATCCTAAACCACACTGTGGCCTTTGAAACTAATCTATGTCATGTTTTTGGCTTTCTCAATTATTTGTATTCTGACAGTCATGTGCTATTTATTGCAAAAGATACTCAACAATAAGTTGATAGTCAAAGTATTTAATTGACCTTTCATGCCTCCTACCATCCATAGGCAGTGGGCTTCATCTAGTGTTGAAAAAGTTTATTCAAAAATAAAAGAGGATAAAAGATAAAATTTAAATCTATTTTCCTGACCTCTTTCTGGTCCACATACTTTAGTAAGGTACTTTTAATTTTTCATTGAATACAACTGTCCTCAGAAGCAGGTGAAGGGTTTTATAGGCCTATTTAAAATTTTGGAGATTGTAGGTCAAATTTCTGGGGGTAATATTTTTTTCCCCTAATGGCAGCTCTAGGCCAGTCTGATTACTAAACTGAGTACAGCCAAAACAAACCTAGGGTATTCATAGTAATTCTGGTTCAGCCAACTGGATTCTCTTTTTAAACTGACATGCTTCTAGATCATGATAATGATCAGTTGGCTGAGTACACTGCGCACCAAGTCTCCCAATAGTGATTTGTGCAGGCCAATGTGGTGGGCATAATGTGTCTCTGTAAGTTTTATATAAACTTTGTCCTTTTTGTACATGACCCTTCTGAACAAAATTCTGGGTTCAAGTAAGAGAATTTTGAAGAAAACGTTAAGTTATAGATGCTGGAATGAGACATAACAATTTTTGGGGCAGATAGAAGGAGAAAAACATAATGATGGTACCTAAGGAGGAAGAACCTTAGACCCCAGAAGGTATGATGATGGGAGGGACATTAATGATCCTTGTCTCTCAGAAACACCCCTGAAGACTTTCTCATTAAGGAAAACACTCTGATGTGGCTCCCCTAAACTGCAGCATCAAGTGCCATAATTTAGATGACTGCTCTCATCTGTCAGACAGCTCTGATAGTAATTTGATTATCACTCTCCCTAATCTCACCTAAAGGGCTATCAGAAACTGAAGAGTATGGCCTCTTCTATCTTCCATGTAATAACAGCTGTCAGTATCTTCAGATATCTTTCCAAACCCCAATCCCATAACAGTTGCTTATTCATTCCTTGGGTGAACAAATGCTTCCTGGATGGTGGCATGGACAACAACAAAAAAGGTAGACTGGTTCTGCCTAGGAAATCCCATCCAAAACAAGATTTAGTCATAATTATTTGAACATAAATGGAACTGTAACATCTACCAGCTGACTGGGAGGTCATAATAAAGGTACTGTTAACCCGAGCCCCCTATTGACAGATCATACTCGGGGTTCTAATAATTGTAAAAGTACCTTTATTTCTAAGGACATCATGTACAGCCCTAATACTGCACTTCTTATGCAGTAGTCAGACATTGACTTGACTTCCTTCCCAAATCATGGTGATGTATACATTAGTGAGGTTACAAAAGACTTTAATGTGTTAAAGAAATGTCAGTAGATTATGGAACCTTCAGATGACTACAGAGGTCTCTCCAAAATGAAGCTACACTTGATTACTCACAGGAGCTTTCAGGGGTATAACTAACTTGATATATATTAGAGAAGTCATGCCTATAATGGCCGTCATCCAATTAGAAATGATGGTATAAAATTTGTCTTTGACTTTAGTTGAGGTGATACCACCTTGGCCATGAAAGACATTCAAGTCAGTGTCAACTTACTGTCCTAGAATGTTTTATGGATGATAATATTTCCCTAGGCATTCTTGCATGCCAAGGCAGAGTCAGTGTAATTACTAATACAAACTGCTGTACTTGGATTAATGCCTCAGGAAAAGTGAAAAGGTAAATAGAGCAACTTCAGGAGAAAGCAATCTGGCTTCCTAAAACAGGCCCTGATGGCTTATGAAATTTGCTCACCTGGTTGAGTACGGAATGCTAGGGGCATACTTAATGTCACTGCTGCAGGTTGACCTCATCCTGTTGCTTGGAGTCCTATTGATCATATCTTTAATTAAATGTTATATGAAAAAGTTACATAAATTTGATCTTAAACCCTATCAGTCATATTAATCAGAGTGCCTGATGGAGTAGGAAGCTAGGATGGTATATAGAAGATGATGTAAAAATGAGAGGTGGATATTTTTGGGAAATGGATATTTTACACAAATCTTTCACATTTTTGCTTATGTTGTGAGCAGAGGCACTGACACCTGTTATTCCTGACTATCTTTCTAAGGATGTTTTTATACTGAACAGCATTGGAAGATAAGACAGTGCTTCCTTCTGGAGCAAAGAGGTGATTTGCTGACAGCCTTAGAAGGTACAGAGAATCCCCCTCTGGAACCAAGAATAACTTGCTTACTGACTGCTATAAAATGTTGAGATACCCTAAGATCAGGGTTCTTCTCCTTTAACATGTGTCACTTTGCCCTCGCTAGGTGACCACGTAGAAATTGTGGCTTGAGAAACTGGCAAGAGAAGATACTGATACTCTTGCTACTTCCATTGCTCCTTTAGCTAACCTTTTTGTCAATGGCCCAAGAACCTTGTGTCTTTTGTTAGCACCCATACATCAGAATATATCACATATATCTAGAGAGAGAGATAATTTTTTTCTTTTTTTTTCTTTTTTTTTTTTTTTTTGAGACAGAGTTTTGCTCTTGTTGCCCAGGCTGGAGTGAAATGGCGCAATCTTGGCTCACCACAACCTCTGCCTCCTGGGTTTAAGAGATTCTATTGCCTCAGCCTCCCGAGTCGCTGGGATTACAGGCATGCGCCACCATGCCCAGCTAGTTTTATATTTTTAGTGGAGACGGGGTTTCTCCATATTGTCAGGCTGGTCTTGAACTCCCGACCTGAAGTGATCCGCCCACCTCAGCCTCTCAAAGTGCTGGGATTACAGGCATGAACCACTGCGCCCGGCTGAGAGAGAGAATTTAGTAGGGGAATTGGCTCATACAATTATGGAGGCTGAGGAGCTCCATGACAGGCCATCTATAAACTAGAGAATTTGGGAGGCTGGTGACTGCCTCAGTCCAAGTCTAAAAGGCCAAAAGCCAATTGTATAACTCTTAGTTCAAGGCTGAAAGCCTGAGAACCCAGTTGGGGGTTGGGGGCACTGGGGTAAGTTCCAGAACCCCAAGGCAAGAGAAGCTGAAGTTCTGATTTCCAAGGGTTGGAAAAACAGGATGTCTCTGCTCCAGCAGGAGACAGAAAGAGAGAGAGACAGAGAGAGAGAGAGAGAGAGAGACAGAGACAGAGACAGAGAGACAGAGAGACAGCGAGAGAGAGAGCACACTAATTCACTTTTCCTTTGCCTTTTTGTTCTATTTGGGTCCCCATCTGATTGGATGGAGCCCACCTACATTGAGTGTGTACCTTCCTCTCTCAGTTCAGGGACTCATACGCCAGCCTCCTCTGGAAACTAGAGATATACTCCAACAGCTTCCTATTATTACTACTAAGTAAGAATGGTTAGTAGAGATACTATCAGCAGGGCAATATGCTGTGGAACAGAAGAATGGGTGTGCATGCCTAAATCAACTAACAAAAGTTGTCGCCAGATTAAGTAATAAAGCTGGTTGCCACCATTTTGATGAATGAATTTCAGGGAAGTAAACTTTTAATCAGGTCACTGTTAAGACAAACTGAGCATTCAGAGGTTATTTTCTGTAAGTAAAAATATGAACCCTAAAACAAAGAAACAACTTTCCATTGAAGACTGCCATAAAAAATTGTGGGACACAATGAAGATTAACAACTAGTCTAGAACAATCTAGGGCATGAGAAGTCCCAACTCGAATTTCTACAGGAATAATTCCATTAATCATACTAATTGATGGTTATCTTCAATACAGAGAGAAAAGGAACTGAAAATTATAAACATTGAAAAATATATTTGAGTCGTATATAGTTTTGCTTAAGTTATTTGTATTTTTTACCAAAGAAGTTAGATTTAGTCATTTTCAGCAAATTGGCTTGCTATCTTCATAAAGATGAGAATTAAAGAGCTCCTCCATTTCTTGCCATGCATAGGCATCTTATGACCAGAATGGGCACAATCAGATAAGCAAAATGGTGTCTCACACTAACTCATTGCTGGCTTCTTAATCAACTCAAATGATTACTTGATGTCAGCCAACTGAAATATGCAGGTTGTGAAAAATAATTGAATGCCACACTGTCACCAATTTTGGGTCTACTGTGTTTTAAGATTGGCTATCTATATCCACTGCACTTTTTTTCTTGCTTAACAGTGATGATGAGAAACTTGAATTAAGGGATTTATTATTAATTATGAGATTTATGATTGGCATGCTGCTTTCCTGAAGCATTTTTGTAATATTTTGGTAGTATCATCAGACTAAATATATTATAGGTTTACATTTGTTTTGGGGCCATATGCTTAAATTACATTTGCATTTTTTAGCATATTTCCCTGTATCTCCTTAATGATGATTTTGAAGTCACTTTTCACAGTATTTTTTCTCACATAAAAATGCTGTGCTTATCTTTCTTCTTCCATTTGCATATATATAAAAATGCCAATGGAGGAAAAAAATGACTTGTAGTATTGTGGAAATATCACTGAATTAACTGTAAAAAAAAAAAAAAAAAAAAAAAAAAAAGAGAGTGAGAGAAAGGCATTTCTGCCTTTCTCTTACCAGGTAACCAATTTTAAAATTGTACTTGACTGCTTTGAGGTAATATTAGCCTCTTTTAATTGCCTCACAGGGTCATTGTAGAGATCAAATTATATAACATATGTAAAAGCATTCTCTAATGTGCTGTATAAATATGTGAGAGTATTATGACATACAAGAAATAAGAGAATTTCTTTTTTGCCTCAGAGCTGATTGGGGGGACATTTTCAAAAAATCCCCTCGCCTTCTCTTTAGTTGGGAATTCTTCATGAATTAGATTTTATAAAGATTATTTTCACCTAAATTTTTCTATATTATTATATTGGTGTTGACAGTGTTAAGCACTAGTCTTTTCCATCAATAAGGGGTTATCAGATTTTCAGAAAAGAATTACTGAAGTGAAAAATAATATTTACCCAATTTCAAATTACAAAATAAAAATAAAAAATACCCAATTGCTCTATTATCTTCAAGGACAATGTCATCTATCCTAATGTTCACAAGTTTAGAATTCTTTTAATATATGAATATTTGCCATCATATTCAAAGAAGTATTTTAATGCATTTGCAACTGAAAGTGGAACAAATTATTCATTGTAGACATAAAAAATCATTTAAGCTTCTATTTTACCAATTTGAAATGAAACACGAGTATAGAATCCTTAGACAAAATTTCTGCTCACTCTAAATGAAGCTTCAGTGAACAAACCTTTGTGTTTTTGTAAATGTGTAGTATAAATAATTGCAAGTTAAACATATTGATTTAAATTACCTCAATTGGTTTTCTTCAGGCTACTCAGTATTGATCACTTGTTTTTCCTGGATAATCAGAAAATGATGAAATTGCAATAATTGCATAATCTAGAGAAAATGTCTTTGTGCGATAAAAGAAATGGAAATCTTTATCTGTAATACTAATCAACCATGATGGTTATAAACAAATAAATCCAAGGAGAAAATATATTTTAAAACAATAATTTGTTTAAAAATTTATGACGTCTTGTTTATTTTTGGTAACATAAAAACTTGAAATATTCTTATTCTATATATAAGATGATTCTGTTTCACCCAGCTCTGCTCTAATATGATCATCATTATCAAAATCATACCAAAATTAACATCTATAGCCCCCAACAGAAACAGCTGCAAATACCTTGCATGACTGGACGGTCTATGATCACCTCAAGAGTTAATATTTTTTGTGTTATTTTATTACAATAACTTTGGCAGATAGATGTTATCCTTATTTAATAGAAATAAACCAGGTGACATGACTCATTAAAGGTTTCTCAGCTAAGACTTTATATATTTCCAACCTGGAAGTCAAAGATTCAAATTTAGTTTGGCCTTGCTTCATACTCTATGATTCTTTTTATTATAGCATGCAACCTCTTGTGTGTAAAGCCATTTTTCTTCCCATCCACTGTTAGATATTTGCTACAAATTAAATTCTCACTATACACTGCATGAATGAAGGCAATCTTAAAAGCATATAACTTATAATCTTAGTCATAATCATAAGCATTGGAGTGAAATGGATTCTCTCTGTTATGCTCTGGCTATTGAGAGCATATCTTAGTTACCAAAAAGAGATAGGTTAAGTATCCAAAGTGGAAAAAATAGAGTATTGTATGGAGTTTCCAGGGTCCTTGCTTTTTCTTTTTCTCATGTCTGTTATCTATTGTGACTACCCCTGATCAATGGTTCACTTTCTCTTGATAGAAATGGCATTACAACCAAATTTATCTGTTAATTAATTAATTCATTTATTCATTGGCCACATACAATTCTTGATTTTAGAGAATTAATTAATGATAATTAATTATGGATGATTATCTCTGTGGGAGAAAATAGACATTAAGTATTTGAGAAAATAGACATAGTGCTTTGAGATCATGTAAGAACATGTAATGGGGTAATAAAAATATTATATTTTCAAATATAGGTATTTGAATACCTATACCTAAATACCTAAATATAGGTATTTGAATACCTAGTTTAAATAAATATATTTGAAAATATAAGCCTGAGGTTTGAACTAGATCTAAAAGAAGAAGGTGCTCTTTCAAAAGAGTTAGTGGTAAGAGAAAAACTTCCCAGGAAGAGGACACATCATGTACAATGTCCCCGTGGCAGGGAGTTTCTGATGTTCAGAAAGTAAGGGCTGTGTGATAGACGCCAGAGAGTGCATGAGAGAGTATGGTGTGAGATGTGAAATATACTGGGTTTCAGCTAAAAACAATGACAAACTCTTCTAATATTTTGAAGGTGAAAACAGTGAAGAGATCAGAAGTTGTTCACATTTGTGTTTCAAAATGATTACTCTAATTTGGAAGGTGAAGGGTAGCAGAGGTAGACATTAAGAGATTAGTCAGAGATGCTTGTATTGAAGCTGGAACATTTTGGGCAGAGAAGAATTCTGCCTTTCTAATTATATTCTGCTTAGATATTTCAAAGATATTTGTAGCCTCAGGGTATAGACACAGAGTACAAGTCTGGATTTAATTCATTTAGTTTTACTGAGAAAGTAATTCCCTAGAAATCAACAGTTATGGAATATTAGGTACACTGATATATTTTTAAGAAGTTCTGCAATTGTTTTTTTTACTTTATCTTACTTTAAGTGATGTATTTGATGTGAAAAATATTTCAGCCCAATAACTGACAAGCAATCTGATAAAAGAAGTGGTACTTTAGTAACAGGACTATGGATAACATAGGTTACAGTGTTAAGGAGAAAAAGAACTCGTTCAACATGTGGGACACCATATTTAGATTCTGAAGAATAGACACTGAGAAGAAGAAGTCTGGTTGGATAAAGAGCTTGACATAAAGTGGGACACCCGTAAATGAACAGGATGAGCTTTAGGTTGTTTTATCACAAATACACTAAGATCAGTAGAAAAAAATGTATTCAGCGGTACTATTATTTTCTACCTGAATGGTGATAAATAACACATTTATCAGGATTGATTTTTCATATCCTACAGACATAGACTCTGGCAACAAAAAAGGTAAAAATCAGCCAATCGGAACTAGTTAAAAATGTAGAAAGCACTGAAGTATACTGCATTAAAAGTAGTTTAAGTTAGATTTTAATGACAATGGAGAGCCAAAGGAATTCCTGGAAGAAAAGATGACTTGCCAATACTGTCAGGCATAAAACAAAACTATTTCATTAAAGAATTAAATTAAGTAATCTGTCAAAGAATTTTCACTGGTAAGTGAGAACAATTGGTTTTCATTGATCAGTCAATTAATAGCTTCTAAAAGTTAATTAGGTATAATGAGAAATTGTTTAAAAGTCCATTTAAGGAAATTTATTATTTTATTCATCCAAGTTCTTTTTAGTCAAAAGTTGATAATGTCTTGATGATAATTTTCACTTTGTTGACTTGTGGGTTAGTTGTATCAGTACTCTAAGCAATAGCACCAATATGTAAAGAAGAGGTCAGGCATCTTTTTCTAAGGATTCTAGAAGACCGAGTTCATGTGTATTTTATCACGTACTCATTTCTATGGCTTTCACTACTTATCTACTTTTGTGTGTGTTTGAAAAGGTGGATATGTGGAATCAAATAGACCTGGGGTCAAATATGTCATTACTAACTGTATGATTTGGGGGAAAATAAGGCACTTCTATAAACTGCAGTGCTGGGAATAGCATAGGCAAGTCTTGTCAGACCAGATGGAGTGATCTGGCTAAACAACTGAGAGGTGGCCTTGGTGCACAGAGAACAAGGGAATTGGAATGAGAATTAATGTTGGAGAATACAGTAATGGTCAAATTAGGCAGAAGTTTGTAGCATTTTTGACAATCTCAAAATGATGCAGTACCCGAAGCACAGGAATGGCAAAATCAGGTTTGTGGCAGCATATATTTATTTCTCAATAAATGTTACCTAGTATTTTTATCCATTTCCATGTAGCAAAAATTTCTGTAAGACATGCGACATGTTTACCAGCACCAAGAAATGCACATTTTGTGATAAGTAATGGAGTATGACATGGCAAAGAATACATTAATCAGTCAGAACCATTGCATTCACTATGCTGACCAAAGAACCTTCACGGTATGTAATCCTGCATTCCCAGACATCTCCAACATTCAAAGAATGCTGTTTCAGCATTAACACTGAGGGTGTCATTAGCAGCTTTGTTCTGTCATGAACCACTTTTCTAGGCTCTTCTTTGCTTGTACCTTGAGTTTATTTTCTTTTGTGGAAAATAAGAATCTACTCAAGTGCTTAATAAGAATTATATATAAAAAAGGCTTTCGAGGTGACTGATGAATGGGAATGGGAAGGGTAAAAATACAACAGGTTTATGTTTTCGCATAAATTTAGGGTTAGTATAAATTAGTGAAATATTTCCTATAGAAAAGCAGAAATCAGAATTTAAAGGTGCAGTCATAAAAGTGTATTAACTTTCTCTTTTTGAATACAGAAATGTGGCAGGAAAAGTGTTTGAACCTATATAAAGGTAGACATTATAGAAAGTGATAGTATAGGAAGGCATGACATTTCAGAAAATAAATTCAAAAGATAATAGAACAAGCTTAAATTTCTAAGTTCAAATAAGAGAAAAGTGTAGGTCAGATAGAAAAAAAACCCACTATATTTACATGACTAATTGGAATTTAGAAAAGGTTATAAGTGCATAGTACTTTCTTATTTATTTTTCATAGTAATGTTCAGAAAAAATTATTAAGAATGATATTACAGGTTTTATGAAAAATTGCTACTGGCCAAATGAAACAATTTAAGAAGTCACTCAGAAGTTTCTTTTACCAATGATAATTCTTTAATATAATCTATTCAGTTCTATATTTTATAAATAGCCTTTTTGCTAAGGCAAATACAAAATGGAACCACAAAACACAAAGAGGAAAGTAAACTGTCTAAACTCCTTGAGTAGAGAATTACCTATGGATAGGAGCCTAGGCCAAAATGTATTCTAAGGACCTGTGTGGCCTTATCAGTTTGTAAGTCTGTGGAGCACCACATTCAGCTCTAAGTGGCTCTCAAATCTCAAGTGAATTATCCCTGAAAACAGCAGCTAAAAATTATTGTGATCAACTTGTACTTTTGTTCTTGACCTTGCAAATGGGATAAAAATTACCAGCATTGGCCTCAAGTGAGTTCTTGCCTGCTCCCAGATAGAGTTTAGATTCAATACATGCATCACACTTCATTGTTCTTGCAGGAAAAGAACTGGAAAACATTTATCATCATTGTCTTTTACCTGCATTATTGCGGCACTCTAAACTTATCTGCCTATATCCATCCTTGACCTATTTCAATTTATTTTCAATACCAACAGCAAGAAGTCATTACAATGGCTACAAGGTCTACGCAATTTATTTTTCTCCCATTGCCTCTCTGACCTTACCCATTCTCTCATGGTCTCCTATCCTTTCTTAGTCATGCAAGGTAAAGCCTTCTCTCATGGTTGCACTTATTTTCCCTTCTAGCTGGAATGTTCTTCTCCTAGAGGGATTAAACATGGCTCTGTTTTTCAACTCTTTTATGTCTCTACTCAAACATAATCTTACTGAAGTCTTCTCCCTGGCTACCTTACCTACAAATTCAATCATTCCTTCCCAGTATATTCTGTATCTGACAACCCAGCTTTATTTTTCTCCATTGCATGTAGCAAAGGAGAAAATTTACTATGTCTTTACTTATTGAGCTTGTTTGTACATTTCCTGCATGAGAATAAAGGCTACGTGAGACTTGGGTACTTTCCTAGCATCTAGAGAGTGTTTGGTACACATTAGACACTGGATTTTTTTTCTTTTTTTTTATTATACTTAAAGTTTTAGGGTACATGTGCACAATGTGCAGGTTTGTTACATATGTATACATGTGCCATGTTGGTGTGCTGCACCCAGTAACTCATCATTTAACATTAGGTATATCTCCTAATGCTATCCCTCCCCTCTTCCCCCACCCCATAACAGGGCCCAGTGTGTGATGTTCCCCTTCCTGTGTCCATGTGTTCTCATTGTTCAATTCCCACCTATGAGTGAGAACATGCGGTGTTTGGTTTTTTGTCCTTGCGATAGTTTGCTGAGAATGATGGTTTCCAGCTTCATCCATGTCCCTACAAAGGACATGAACTCATCATTTTTTATGGCTGTATAGTATTCCATGGTGTATATGTGCTACATTGTCTTAATCCAGTCTATCATTGTTGGACATTTGGGTTGGTTCCAAGTCTTTGCTATTGTGAATAGTGCCACAATAAACATACATGTGCATGTGTCTTTATAGCAGCATGTTTTATAATCCTTTGGGTATATACCCATTAATGGGATGGCTGGGTCAAATGGTTTTTCTAGTTCTAGATCCCTGAGGAATCACCATACTGATATCCACAATGGTTGAACTAGTTTACAGTCCCACCAATAGTGTAAAAGTAAGAAAAGTTCCTATTTCTCCACATCCTCTCCAGCACCTGTTGTTTCCTGACTTTTTAATGATCGCCATTCTAACTGGTATGAGATGGTATCTCATTGTGGTTTTGATTGGCATTTCTCTGATGGCCAGTGATGATGAGCATTTTTTCATGTGTCTTTTAGCTGCATAAATGTCTTCTTTTGAGAAGTGTCTGTTTATATCCTTCGCCCAGTTTTTGATGGGGTTGTTTGTTTTTTTCTTGTAAATTTGTTTGTTTGAGTTCTTTGTAGATTCTGGATATTAGTCCTTTGTCAGATGAGTAGATTGCAAAAATTTTCTCCCATTCTGTAGGTTGCCTGTTCACTCTGATGGTAGTTTCTTTTGCTGTGCAGAAGCTCTTTAGTTTAATTAGATCCCATTTGTCACTTTTGGCTTTTGTTGCCATTGCTTTTGGTGTTTTAGACATGAAGTCCTTGCCCATGCCTATGTCCTGAATGGTATTGCTTCTGTTTTCTTCTAGGGTTTTTATGGTTTTAGGTCTAACATTTAAGTCTTTAATCCATCTTGAATTAATTTTTGTATAAGGTGTAAGGAAGGGATCCAGTTTCAGCTTTCTACATATGGCTAGCCAGTTTTCCCAGCACCATTTATTAAATAGGGAATCCTTTCCCCATTGCTTGTTTTTCTCAGGTTTGTCAAAGATCAGATAGTTGTAGATATGCAGCATTATTTATGAGGGCTCTGTTCTGTTCTATTGGTCTATATCTCTGTTTTGGTACCAGTACCATGCTGTTTTGGTTACTGTAGCCTTGTAGTATAGTTTGAAGTCAGGTAGCATGATGCCTCCAGCTTTGTTCTTTTGGCTTAGGATTGACTTGGCAATGCGGGCTCTTTTTTGGTTCCATATGAACTGTAAAGTAGTTTTTTCCAATTCTGTGAAGAAAGTCATTGGTAGCTTGGTGGGGATGGCATTGAATCTATCAATTACCTTGGGCAGTATGGCCATTTTCATGATATTGATTCTTCCTACCCATGAGCATGGAATGTTCTTCCATTTGTTTGTACCCTCTTTTATTTCATTGAGCAGTGGTTTGTAGTTCTCCTTGAAGAGATCCTTCACATCCCTTGTAAGTTGGATTCCTAGGTATTTTATTCTCTTTGAAGCAATTGTGAATGGGAATTCACTCATGATTTGGCTCTCTGTCTGTTATCGGTGTATAAGAATGCTTGTGATTTTTGCACATTGATTTTGTATCCTGAGACTTTGCTGAAGTTGCTTATCAGCTTAAGGAGATTTTGGGTGGAAACGATGGGGTTTTCTAGATATACAATCATGTCATCTGCAAACAGGGACAATTTGACTTCCTCTTTTCCTAATTGAATACCCTTTATTTCCTTCTCCTGCCTAATTGCCCTGGCCAGAACTTCCAACACTATGTTGAATAGGAGTGGTGAGAAAGGGCATCCCTGTCTTGTGCCAGTTTTCAAAGGGAATGCTTCCAGTTTTTGCCCATTCAGTATGATATTGGCTGTGGGTTTGTCATAGATAGCTCTTATTATTTTGAGATACATCCCATCAATACCTAATTTATTGAGAGTTTTTAGCATGAAGGTTGTTGAATTTTGTCAAAGGCCTTTCCTGCATCTATTGAGATAATCAAGTGGTTTTTGTTGTTGGCTCTGTTTATACACTGGATTACATTTATTGATTTGCATATGTTGAACCAGCCTTGCATCCCAGGGATGAAGCCCACTTGATCATGGTGTATACGCTTTTTGATGTGCTGCTGGATTCAATTTGCCAGTACTTTATTGAGGATTGTTGCATCAATGCTCATCAGGGATATTGGTCTAAAATTCCCATTTTTTGTTGTGTCTCTGCCAGGCTTTGGTATCAGGATGATGCTGGCCTCATAAAATGTGTTAGGGAGGATTCCCTCTTTTTCTATTGATTGGAATAATTTCAGAAGGAATGGTACCAGCTCCTCCTTGTACCTCTGGTAGAATTCACCTATGAATCCATCTGGTCCTGGACTTTTTTTGGTTGGTAAGCTATTAATTATTGCCTCAATTTCAGAGCCTGTTATTGGCCTATTCAGAGATTCAACTTCTTCCTGGTTTAGTCTTGGGAGTGTGTATGTGTCGAGGAATTTATCCATTTCTTCTAGATTTTCTAGTTTATTTGCGTAGAGGTGTTTATAGTATTCTCTGATGGTAATTTGTATTTCTGTGTGATTGGTGGTGATATCCCCTTTATTATTTTTTATTGCATCTATTTGATTCTTCTCTCTTTTCTTCTTTATTGGTCTTGCTAGCGGTCTATCGATTTTGTTGATCTTTTCAAAAAACCAGCTCCTGGATTCATTGATTTTTGGAAGAGTTTTTTTGTTTCTCTATTTCCTTCAGTTCTGCTCTGATCTTAGTTATTTCTTGTCTTCTGCTAGCTTTTGAATGTGTTTTCTCTTGCTTCTCTAGCCCTTTTAATTGTGATGTGAGGTTGTCAATTTTAAATCTTCCCTGCTTTCTCTTGTGGGCATTTAGTGCTATAAATTTCCCTCTACACACTGCTTTGAATGCGTCCCAGAGATTCTGGTATGTTGTGTCTTTGTTCTCATTGGTTTCAAAGAACATCTTTATTTCTGCCTTCATTTCGTTATGTACCCAGTAGTCATTCAGGAGCAGGTTGTTCATTTTCCATGTAGTTGAGCGGTTTTGAGTGAGTTTCTTAACCCTGAGTTCTAGTTTGATTGCACTGTGGTCTGAGAGATAGTTTGTTATAATTTCTGTTCTTTTACATTTGCTGATGAGTGCTTTACTTCCAACTATGTGGTCAATTTTGGAATAGGTGTGGTGTGGTGCTCAAAAGAATGTTTATTCTGTTGATTTGGGGTGGAGAGTTCTGTAGATGTCTATTAGGTTCGCTTGGTGCAGAGCTGAGTTCAATTCCTGGATATCCTTGTTAACTTTCTGTCTCATTGATCTGTCTAATGTTGACAGTGGGGTGTTAAAGTCTCCCATTATTATTGTGTGGGAGTCTAAGTCTCTTTGTAGGTCTCTAAGGACTTGCTTTATGAATCTGGGTGCTCCTGTATTGGGTGCATATATATTTAGGATAGTTAGCTCTTCTTGTTAAATTGATCCCTTTACCAATATGTAATGGCCTTCTTTGTCTCTTTTGATTTTTGTTGGTTTAAAGTCTGTTTTATCAGAGACTAGGATTGCAACCCCTGCCTTTTTTTGTTTTCCATTTTCTTGGTAGATCTTCCTCCATCCCTTTGTTTTGAGCCTATGTGTGTCTCTGCATGTGAGATGGGTTTCCTGAATACAGCACACTGATGGGTCTTGACTCTTTATCCAATTTGCCAGTCTGTGTCTTTTAATTGGAATGTTTAGCCCAGTTATATTTAAGGTTAATATTGTTATCTGTGAATTTGATCCTGTCATTATGACGTTAGCTGGTTATTTTGCTCGTTAGTTGATGCATTTTCTTCCTAGCCTCGATGGTCTTTACAATTTGGCATGTTTTTGCAGTGGCTGGTACTGGTTGTTCCTTTCCATGTTTAGTGCTTCCTTCAGGAGCTCTTTTAGGGCAGGTCTGGTGGTGACAAAATCTCTCAGCATTTGCTTGTCTATAAAGTATTTTATTTCTCCTTCACTTATGTAGCTTATTTTGGCTGGATATGAAATTCTGGTTTGAAAATTCTTTTCTTTAAGAATGTTGAATATTGGCCCCCACTTTCTTCTGGCTTGTAGAGTTTCTGCCGAGAGATCAGCTGTTAGTCTGATGGGCTTCCCTTTGTGGGTAACCCGACTTTTCTCTCTGACTGCCCTTAGCATTTTTTCCTTCATTTCAACTTTGGTGAATCTGACAATTATGTGTACTTTGGTGAATCTGACAATTATGTGTCTTGGAGTTGCTCTTCTCGAGGAGTATCTTTGTGGTGTTCTCTGTATTTCCTGAATTTGAAAGTTGGCCTGCCTTGCTAGATTGAGGAAGTTCTCCTGGATAATATCCTGCAGAGTGTTTTCCAACTTGGTTTCATTCTCCCCGTCACTTTCAGGTACACCAATCAGACATAGATTTGGTCTCTTCACATAGTCCCATATTTCTTGGAGGCTTTGTTCGTTTCTTTTTATTCTTTTTTCTCTAAACTTCTCTTCTCACTTCATTTCATTCATTTGATCTTCCATCACTGATACTCTTTCTTCCAGTTGATTGAATTGGCTACTGAGGCTTGTGCATTCGTCACGTAGTTCTCATGCCTTTGTTTTCAGCTCCATCAGGTCCTTTAAGGACTTCTCTGCATTGGTTATTCTAGTTAGCCATTCGTCTAATTTTTTTTCAAGGTTTTTAACTTCTTTGACTGGGTTCGAACTTCCTGCTTTAGCTCGGAGTAGTTTGATCATCTGAAGCCTTCATCTCTCAACTCATCAAAGTCATTCTCCATCCAGCTTTGTTCCATTGCTGGTGAGGAGCTGCATTCCTTTGGAGGAGGAGAAGTGCTCTGATTTTTAGAGTTTTTCTGCTCTGTTTTTTCCCCATCTTTGTGGTTTTATCTACCTTTGGTCTTTGATGATGGTGACATACAGATGGGGTTTTGGTGTGGATGTCCTTTCTGTTTGTTAGTTTTCCTTCTAACAAACAGTCAGGACCCTCAGCTGCAGGTCTGTTGGAGTTTGCTGGAGGTCCACTCCAGACCCTGTTTGCCTGGGTATCAGCAGCGGAGGCTGCAGAACAGCGGATATTGGTGAACAGCAAATATGGCTGCCTGATCGTTCCTCTGGAAGTTTTGTCTCAGAGGAGTACTCGGCCGTGTGAAGTGTCAGTCTGGCCCTACTGGGGGGGTGCCTCCCAGTTAGGCTACTTGGGAGTCACGGACCCACTTGAGGAGGCATTCTGTCTGTTCTCAGATCTCCAGCTGTGTGCTGGGAAAACCACTACTCTCTTCAAAGCTGTCAGACAGGGACATTTAAGACACTGGATTTTCTTCTGAAAGTATTTGCTTGACAGTGAAATAGGGAAATTGTCACATACTGGGGATTTCTTTCAACTTCTTCCAGTCAAACACGGGGACTTTTAACTTTATTTCTGTCCAGGAGGTCTGTATGTCGGAAGAACAGAACTGAGTAGGATTCAGATCAGACTCTTCCTTCCCTTGTCTATATCTCACCTCTCTACTTGCTGATTAATAAAACTGAAGCATTGAGGCCTTGGGATTTTATGTTAATCATTTTTATTTGTTGTAGTCTTCACGATATTTACAGTACACTGTTTTGCTATTTGTTTTTTTTTTAACTCTGCTTTCTAGTCCCTTTATTAGGTTACTATATAGTTTTCTTACTTTAGGTTTACAGAAGAGCTTATAGTCTTTTCCTTTGTTAAGTGGCTGAAAGGTTAATTTATATGTACATGGTACCTGAATAGAGGTAACCATTGCTATTAAAGATTAAGTCTCTGCATGAAATGGGTAAAGTAGCTACAAAATGAAGTTTTAATGTTTAAAAAATAACAGAATCATATAATACACACAAGTATAATTAATTTTATTTTTCCAAGAACGTATTTCATTTCATCAAAGACCAATAGAAATATCTTTAGGACCCTGTGTTTATACACAAAAATACTTTTGTATTATTAATGTAGATAGATACCCATTTTAAAAACTACTATATTCACCAAATGCTGGTGGATCAGTGATGAATAAATTATTATGTTAGTACACATTGACATAGGTACAAAAACAACTAAAAGTGGGATTATATTCTTGTATTAATTTGCTAGGGTTACTGTAACAAAACAGCACAAACTGTATGGCTTAAACAACACAATATATTGTCTCACATTCTAGAGGCTAGAAGTTTAAGATCAAGGTTTTGGCAGAGTTAGTCCCTTTTGAGGGTTATGAGAGAAAATATATTCTAAGCCTCTTGCCTGGTTTCTGGTAGTTTTCTGGCAATCTTTAATGTTCCATGCAGAGGTATCATTCCAATCTCTATCTTCATTTCACATGACATTCTACCTGTGTGTGTCTATCTCCAAATTATATTGTATTAGGGCCCATCCTAATGACCTCATTTTAACTTGTTGACTTCTTTGCTGACTTTGTCTCCAAATAAGTTCAAAATCTCAGGTAACAAAAGTTAGGATTTCAATTTACTTTTTTTTTTGGAAGGGGGACACAATTTAACCCATAACAATCTTGTAATGGAGTTATGCATAAACTTCTTGGGAATCTTTGCCTAGGGATATTAATAAAAAGTTTCTAGTAGACTTGACGGTTGGATTGGACTAGAGAGAATAAATGCAGATTGACTGTGTGAAAACAATTGTTCCAGGCAGAAGTATTGATAAATATGATAAATACATGGGATGGCTATACTGTTGGGATATAGATGAAGTGATGGGGTTGAGATTTTTGAGATAACTAGGAGGTATATTGTGAAGGAACTTGAAAATCATACTAAGGACTTACAAATTTATCTTTTGGATAATAAGACACTCTCAAAGACTTGCAAACAGTTGATTACATTTTTTTTCTTTAAACTGCTTGCTACTGTGGCTACAGTATGAATGATGGATAACAGAACCAGAGACTGGGAACATGGAGGCCAAGGGGGAACTCCTCGGGAGCTGCAACTGACACACAAAGGAAATTTTAAGCAAGGCAGTGGAAATGAGGTATCATTCAGAAATATTCACTGGTAGATCAGACATAACTTTCTATCTAATTAATGTGGGACATAAATGCAGAGTTTCATTGCAGGTGACTGAAACCTGCAATGAAAGGAGATAATACTTTCTAGGACAACATATTCTGTTTTCCTTGTTCTCACTGTTACTTTCTTCTCAGTCTTCTTTACTAGTTTCTTCTCACCTCTCTTAAGTTTAATGTGTACTTGAGTCCTTCAGCTTAGTCCTTCTTCCTCTTTTCTTGTCTACCTACGCTCACGATCTTGATAACTTTGTTTAGTCTTCTGGCTTTAAATAACATTCTTATGCTATAACTCCCAAATTCAGATTAGATATGTTTCCCAAACATTTGATTTAATATTTGAGTACTTAATTTCTTCACTTGGATGTCTATTTTAAACAACTTGTCCAAAACTGAGAGAATTCCTGGTTTCTACATCCAAACCCAAACCTACTATACACTTATCCTTTTCATTCATTTGGAAACTCTATCCTTCCAGTCCCTCACACAAACAACTTTGGAATCAGCTTTGCCTTCTCTATTGCTCTAACATATAATATCCAGTTCACTAGGAGATCATCATCTCTTTACCTTCAAAATATATCCAGAATCTATCAGTGTTCTGTAACATTTTCATTTTTGTTCTAAAAACGCATATTGTAAACCATAGAATGACCACTAAGATAATTAAAGAAGTATAGTTAATAAACCAATAGTGGTATTAAATGAAGCACTTATAATAAAAACAAAAAACAATTCAAATTTCCTTCTAAAAGAAGGAAAGGAAAATAGAAAAAAAATACAGAAATAATATATGGAAAAAATAAATTACAGGTATATTTTAACTAAATCTTGTCAAATTTTCATTAAATGTAAGTGGTCTAAAAACACCAATCAGAAGGCTAATCTTGGCAGACTAAACCTTTAAAAGTGAGATCCAGCTATATGGTGTCACAAGAAACTCATTTATGTATAAATGCACAGATGGATTCAAAATAAAAGATGAATAAAAAGTGTACCATGCAAACACTAAGAATAATAAAGCTGTAATGACTACATAAATATGAGATTAAAAGAAATATTACCAGCATATATAGGGATACTTTAAAGAGCTAGGTTGCATTTATTAAAAAGATATAAATAAGGATGCAACTAACAATAGAGCTTAAAATACATTAAGTAAAATGGACAGAACTAACAGGAGAAATCGATCAGTTTGCAATTATAATTGGAGATTTAGATACTCATCTCTCAGTTATTGATAAATAAGTAATCAGAATATAATAGACCCACTCAACAACAGCAGAATATGTCATTTTTTAAAGTGATCTAGAATTCTGGCCAATGCAAACTGGGATATGCTGTTAATAACTTAATAGAGTTAAAATCATATAGAGTATGTTCTTTTATCACAACTACAAGTCAATAACAGGGTTAACTGAAAAAAATCACAAATTTTTGGAAATTAAACCGTACAATTCAAAATAATCCATGGAGAGAAAAAAACAACATAAGCATTTCAGAGTATTTTGAAACTAGTGAAAAATGAAACAACCACACATGAAAAATGTGTAGTGCAACTTAAACAGCAGTTAGAAAGAATTGTATAATTTAATGCTTATTTTCAGAATCAGGAAATGTCTAAAGCAAATGACTTAAATTGACACCACAAGAAGTTAGTTAATGAAGACTAAATTAAGCCCAAAATAAGTAGAAAAAAGGAAATTACAATAACAAAGACAGAAAGCAATGCAAGAAAAACAAATAATTTAAAAAAATCTTTGAAGGCAAAACCTAGTTATTTGTAAATATCTCAATCTGACTGATTAAGTAAAACAGAGGAGACAAATGATCAATATCAGGATGAGAGGGAGATGATGCTATAAATTCTATAGATGTTAATGACAATAAGGAATCATATGAATGACTTTACATCAATAAATCTAATACCGAGATAAAATAAAGAAGTTGTTTTTCAAAGATGCAATTTACCAAAATTGAATCAAGAAGAAGTAAAATTTAAAAATCCTTATATCTGTTTTAAAAATGTAATCTTAATTAAAAACCTATTATTAAAGAAAACTCCAGGCCAACTGGTCTCTGCTGGTGAATGCTATAAAATAGTTAATGAAAAATAATAGCAAAATTAACATAAAATCTTGCAAAAAATAGAAGAGATTAAAATACCTCCTTACTCATTGTATTAAGCAAGAATAATCTTGGTCTTTAAACCAGACAGAAACAGTATAAGAAAACAAAATCCCTCATGAACATAGCTGTAAGAACCATTAAAATAATCATAAATCAAATACAGCAATATATAAGATATCATGAACAAATGTGTTCACTCCCCTGCCCCCACACTGCCACCTCGGCCCCATGGAATGAAATATTGGATTAATATTTAGGAGTAAATCATTATACTTTACCATTTAGTCAAAATAAAAGAGAACAAAATCTTATGGTCAACTAAAAAAATGTCAAAAATTCGACACTTATGATAAAATCACTCAGCCAAGTAGGAATGGAAGGAAAGTTACTCATTCTTTTAACGATCATGTAAGTAAAGCTTATAGCTAAAGTCACACTTGATGCTAAAAGACTGAGCTCTTTTCCCCTAAGATTGCAAACAAGACAAGAATACTTACTCTAAACATTTTTATTGTACAGCAGAACCTAGACACTAATATATAACAAGAGAAATAAATAAAAGCATGTGGATTAGAAAGAAAAAAGAAACACACTGTTCACAGATGACATGATTGTATACATAAAAAATAAACAAATCTACAAATAGCTACTAAATAGGGAAAGGATGTTACTAACTTCATTGAATACAGGGACAATAAGGATTTTTGGCATTTCCAAAACACTAAAACCAAATGACTGAATATTGAAATTAATAAACCAATAACATTTATAATAACATCCCAAACTGTGTAATACTAGAAATAAATTCAACACTGAAATCTGCAAAACTTTGCAGTTAAAGACCTTAATAAATGACACTACATATTGTCTTTGATCAGAAAATCTAATATTGTTAAAACATTAATTTTCTCCAAATTGGTTTACAATTTCAATAAAATTAAATTTCAAATGATAGTAGTCTCTTTTGTAAATATTAATAAGCTGATTCTAACATTTATGTGGTAATACAAGGACCTCCAACAAGATAAGTAATTTGAAAAATAAAGAAGCATGCTGTGTAACTTATATTACTTGATTTCAAGACTTATTACAAAGCTACAGTAATCAAGTGTAATATTGTAAGAATAAACATATAAATCAATGGAAAATAACTGATTATACATAAATACATTATATAGGATGAGAACATAATAACTTCATGTATAATTCATCTAGGAATCCATACATAAATATAGAAAAGATCCAAGCGTGAAAGTCTGGGATGCTCAGACCTTTAGAATTTGGAGCTATGAGAAGGAACCAACAAAAGCGCCTGGGAAAGGGCATCCAAGGATCAGCCAGTTAAGAAAAAAAAAACCAAGAAAAAAAAAAAAAAACAGGAATGACTTCACTCCAAGCAAGGTGTAATTTCAAGTTATTTCAAGGAATTGTTAATTTTCAGCTGTGTAAATACTGGTCAAATTAAAATATTAGAAGACATGACAACTACTCAATGAATTTGGTTATGTAAATGTTGAGGACCTTGACAAAGGCAGTTTTGACAAAATGGTAGATAAAAAAACAAGATAAATTAAGCCCATGAGTTAATGAAAAGAATGCAACTGGAGACCTTGCTCATAAACTCACTTCACAAATATATCTATGATTAGAAAGGATGATAGGAGGGCAAGTATATTTCTGCAAAATAAAATGATCAGAAGGCAAAAGGCCCAAATTTTAGTTATAATCATCCTTTGATGATCAGATTACAGTGTTTTGTTTTTCCACTTTTAATTTTTTCTGTAAATGGCAAATTATCTTTAATGAATATGTATTATTTTAGATTTAGGAAAATAAATTGTTTAAAAAATAAAAAAGAATGCCAACAGTTAATTCTAAGATAACAGTAATTTGTTAGATTGCTGTTGGAAGAATTTCAAGCTGCGGTTGATAAAAATGGGGATGTGGAAGAGACACATCTTCTAAGAAGTTTAACAACCATAAGATTAAAATGGACTATTTACCTGAGAATGAGGCAGATTCTTCGGGGTAAATTTTCTAGACAATCTCAGACTTAAAGGAAACTTGTGAGTGCAATGCAAAACACTTATTTTTCTGAACTGTTTGAAAGTAGATTGTCAACCTGATGCCACATCACCTCTGAATTCCTTAGTAGGTTTTTCTTATAAACAAAAACATTCTCCTATATAGTAACAATTTAACCATCAAACCACATAATTAATATTGACACATGATTGCCATTTAACTCTAATCCCATTTAACTTTTACAAAATGTCACAATAACCTTCAATACAGCAAAAATATTCAGTTTGAAATCATGCATTCCTTTTAGTTTTCAGAAATCTTTACTTTCATTCATTCTGAAACAGTTTCTCAGTCTTTCTTTGATTTTATTATCTTTTCTTTATTGAGGATTACAGTTAAAATATTCTGTAGTATGTCTCTCAGTTTTCCCATTGTTAGGGTCAAGTGCCACTTCTTTAGTAGAATAGACGTTATGCCATATTCTCATTCTAGTAGGTGGGCACACTTGTAATTTTTCCCATTATTTATGGTGTCCACTTTGATCACTAGATTGAAGTGGTGTTGTCTATGTCTATGACGTGGAGTTATGTTTTCTTTTTATACTTAATATTTTTGTTGGAAGATATTTTGAAGCTATATAAAACTGTATTCATTAAACTTGTAATTAATTAATTGACTTATATCTATACAAATTCCTATTGTTTGATGAGTTATAATTTACTACTTCCACTATTTATCTTGATTCTCAACTTGTTCCAGAAATGGGGAGTGAGATCCTTTTCATTCTGGCTCCTGTGCCCTTTTGCCCTCTCCTCATCATTCTTGATAATGTCTCCACTTCGTGGTGCAAGATATTGCAGACTTATTGTACTTTCCCTCCTGCTGACCTCAAAGTAGTCATCTCTTCAAAGAGTCTCAGTTTCTTTTAATGCAAAATAGTATTTATAAGCTTAAATTTGGTGCCTAGTTATGCTAAATATATGTATTTACATGTTGTCTGTATACATGATGAAAACTATGAGTTCACTTCACATAGGTATTTCCATTGCCAGCTAATCACTACAGTTTAATGGTCCTACTTTGTGTTACTCTTCTCTTGCAGTAAGATAGTAAGATATATGGCTCTTATTACCTTTTATATAGTTACTTTCTTTTAAATCAAATACCCCTAACATGTTACCAGTTTTCCATTGCTACTGCTACCCCTTTGTCTGTGTGACTATCCTCATCACACTTGGGTTCTGATACCTCACGCTGTTTCTCCCTCCAGGAGGATGCTCTCCTTGCCTTGTTCAGATTCTACCAGCTGAACTCACATCAGGAAACTTCAGGGGGGATTTTTCTGTTTTTTTCTTTTTGTAACTGGGACATATGAGACTTTTTCTTGGAATCAGTCTTCTCTCTCGGAGGGATATCCCATTCTGCCATTTTTTCTGTGTCAAGAGGCCTTGATTAGCTGTAATCCTGGCCTGTCCTCTCACACTAGCGTCTCCCAAAAAATTCCAGTGGCATTTTTGGGGCTACAAATTAGCATTTGCAGATAAGATCTGTTTCCTCTTTCCTACTTCTTGAGAACTCGCTGCCCAGAGTATGCAGCTCTGGTCTGGTCAGTTTTGTCCCTTGCTCTTGTAAGTTTTAAGGAAGTATCTTAACATGGAGAAGCCTGGGTTTTTCCATTGTAAGCTGTACTTTGTTCATTATTCTGACAAATTCTGGAGTTTAGAATCAGAAGATAGATTATAGTCACAGACTTAAGCTTCAATTGCTAATATAAATATCAGCTTTATTAATACAGGTAATTGTTTCATGTCCAACTGCCTAACTCTTGACCTACTTTTTTCGTTTTAATTTTCTTAAAAGGCTTTAGTTTTTAGAATAATTTTGGATTTACAAAAAATTGAGCAGAGAGTAAAGAGAGTTCCCATGTCTCGCTCCCCCCATACACACAGTTTAACCTATTATTAAGATCTTACATTTTTATGGTATATATGTTACCTATACTGAGACATTATTATTAACGAAAGACCATACTTTATTCAGATTATCTTAATTTTTGCCTAATGCCCCCATTCTCGTCCAAGATTCCATCCAGGACATCACCTTATATTTAGTCATCATGTATCTTTAGCTACTCTTGACCGTGATAATTTTTCAGACTTTCCTTGTTTTGGATGACCTTGCCAGTTTAGGACAGTACAGTTCCTCATAGTTTAAAACGGCATGGGCTTGGGGAAGGAAGACTAAAGAAGTAAAGTGCTACTTCACTATATCACATCAAAGTTACATACCATCAACATGATTTATGACTGTTGGAGCTGACCTTGGTCACCTAATTTAAGTAAGGTTTATCACGTTTCTCAATTGTAAAGTTACTCCCTCTTCAAGGGTGAATTTTAAATATTAATATTTTCTTTTGAATGGGGGGATACTTAACATATTTCTAGGATGATTGACAGGAACAAATGATGAAGGTGAGTAAGGGAGAAGATAATAAGGTTGCAAATTCAGAGGAGAATGGAAGGGTTTCTTGGCAATGACACAAGTGGGCAAGATTACCTTGGCTTGAGATGGAGACTATAGAAAAGATGCCAGGAAATGTGGCCCTGTGGTTATATTTGAGCATATTTCAAGTATTCATTTTTTTAATGGGATAGTTTATGTTGTTTGTTTAGTTTAGTTTGGTTTGGCTGAGTGAAAGGAAGTGGCTAAGACTAGCCACAGAAGAAAATAGAAAAGTTAAACAACTAGAAACTTGTGCAAAGACCATCAAGCAACAGTTGAGGGTCTATTTGAAGTTAAGAACTATTGGTTTTTCCAGATTACATAATTTTATTCAGATAATACAAATAGACCATTGGTTTTAACCATGGTTGGGAATTGTCAAGATCAAGTACAGTGGAAGGTTGTGGGGATATGAGGTTTTAGTGAAAGGAGAGCCGAACTATCTGAAAAAAAATAAAGAAACTGAAAGCCCTGAAGGAACTGGAAGAGCATGATACTTATGAAGATTTAACAAACTGATAGATTTCCTGTATTTGAAGTGTGAATTCAGTGGAATGATTGAAATAGTGGTAAAAGAAGGATGTGAAAAGAGAAATTTCATGTATCAATATGTGGGACACATTATGGGGGAAAATGCATCAAGTTTAGTTTGTGGTCATATAAAAATTATACCAAAGTAGAAAGGTGGTTAAACTACAACAAACATTAAATTACAGGAACTTAACTTTAGATGATGTATGTTGGTGATAATCATGCATATTGATATACTCGTGATGGTAGAATATGAAGGTGAAAAGAAAGTGAGTCAGGTGCTATAGTCTTTTAAAAATAGCATCATCTTATGACTCTAATAGATAATTGTAACAAGGATAAGAAGGTGGTGTGCTTGGAGTTTCATGGGAGGAGTGATAGTTGGAAGACAGTGTGGAACCTGAGGAATGTTAGAACCTTCTGAACTTTATGGTGAAGGAAAAAATGAGGAAGTGAGTGGCCTTCTTGTAAGAGAAAAGCAAGATGCATGAGAAATGTAAGTTTTAGCTAATAAGAGAATGGGTGAAATTAGAGGAGGTATATTTTTAACACAAATCAAAATGACAAAAATGTATAGACAATGTGGAAATTTACATTCTTTTCTTTAGTTATCAATATAGATATAGTATTCTGGAATATAATTTCCTCCTCCTAGATATTGAGTAATAAAATTTGTAAAACATGAGAGTGAAAGTTTTGATGATACTGTGATAATAAATTTTTGGGAGGTGCAGAATATAAGCAGAAGAAACAATGGCAAAAGGAAGTAAAATTAGGGTGATAGGCTGTGGCCCTAAATTCCAAAACTTACCATTCATCAAAAGGCTGCATATGTGCAAGATTGGAAAGAGAATTTATGCTCCTTACAAGTTTGAATTTGGTTTATCAGAAATAGGCCCTGAGCCTACGAAACATTTGAACTGCTTGTGTTTCCTAATGCTAAATATATTCCAATCAATATCCTGGAATATGATTAGTATTTGTCCATCTTTCAGAGGAGGTTTCTTATGCTAATTCATTTGCATTTCATATTAGTGACATATGAATATTATTAATTTTTATTTCTTAACTCCTACCCATTTCACTGTAACTTTATTTGGAAACCTTGTGTATTAAAAATTTCTCTCTATAAAAATCAAACAAAAGTACTCTATTTTCCATGTGTAAGAAATGATGAATTACTATATGAGGACTTTTGGAATTCTTTACTTAATATTTCAATAACTTTAAAAGTTCCAAATGTTTGAAATTGTAGGGTTTTGTTTAAAATACACACCACCTATGAGGAAGACATTTCACTTCTGGATATACAGCCAAAGAAATTTAATTTCATGTACAACAAAAGTCATGGGCAAGAACTTTAAAAGCAGCATTATGTGTATTACTCCATAATGGGAAACAAGTAAAAACCCCATTATTAGGGTTATAAATGGAAAACTATACAACAATGAAAGGGTGCAAATATTGTTATATCCTACAGTATGAAAGATTTTCACAAAAAAAATTTGAGTAAAAAGAGCAGCATAAAATAGAGTACACACTGTATTAATCCATTTACATAAAGTTTAAAAATAGTCAATATAACTAAATAAATGTGTGGTGACAGATATAAAAATAATACTTACCTTTGGGCTCAGGATATGAAGGAGGCTACTGGTATGTGAATAATGGTCAGGCTCTTTTTCTGGTTATACTCATGTATACTTATGGTTTATACACTTATCTATATGTATGTCATAATAAAAGTTTATGTATTCAAACATCATTTGTACATAAGGCTGTATTAGCTGGCTACTGCATAAAATGGCAGTTTTAATGCAAACATTGACCTCCAATCCCACCAGAAGCCCTTATAAGATAATTTTTTACAAAATATATAAAACCATAATGATGAAGAGGAAAGTCTGATAGTAGCAATCCAGTTTTAGAACATGGAAAACAGATTAATGAAGGATAAGTAACTCATCAGATTTTAAAAGCTATAAACCAGAAACAGTTGTAGTAAACTAAAAAGCGAGCTGATACCAAAGGCTCACCAATCTGGCAGCAGTTGTATTTCCTGTGTTCCCTTACATTCTGTTCATCTGGATGGGCGGCCTATTTCAACCTCTCCATGAATGCAGCATGTAGGTAATTCTCAGGACATTGTCAAAGAGACAATCTATGCATTGAAGGATAACAAGTACAATGGAGGCTAGATGTATTATGTTCAAAATAGGGACATTAAGTGACTATTTACACACTAAACCTTGAAATCTTTATTTTTCTTAGTGCATCTGGTTCAAAGATTACTATCAGCCAAAATTACACCCTCCAGGCAGGAAATTGGGGAAGACATTTCTGGGATGTCTGACAATCCCAAAACACAGGAACTGAAGATAATAACAATATCAGTTCCAAATTAATCTAAGTTATCTTACTCTAAAGGTGATAGCCAAAGAGGCCCTCTCACACACGAAGAGCTACTAATAATTTTGTAGTCCCTGATATAAGAAGAAGGTTACTATAGATAATATCTAATAAAATACAGAGACAGAAAGCTAAAACAAAAACAAAAACCCAGCTACTTGGAGGAAGTAATATGAAAGGATAATTTAAAAAAATTAAAGACTATCCTGACCAGTAAGGCAGAATTTGTTTTCATATGATAAGAAAAGGATACTTTTAAATAGATTGTTCTATTTAAAATGATAATTTATAAAGAATTTAGAAGAGCACTTGGATGTGAAAACCCTGTTACCAGACACAAAAGTACTAATAGAAGTATTGAAGTCAAATTTGAGCAAAATTAAGCAAAAGGAGAACAAATGAAAAAGAAAAATATGAACAGTTCAGAAAGAAATATATAGCAGTATTACAGGACTAGTCTATGTGGTTCAGTATCAAAATACTAGTAGTTTCAAAACAATCAAATGGAGAAAATGGAGTTGAACACATTAGTGACAAAGTGATTCAAGAATATTTCCTGGGACTGTTATAAATAAAGTTTCAGTGCCACAAAAGAAATAGCACTAAAATATCACATTTTCTTTTTTTCTTCTCAGCAAGGCAATTTACTTCTATAGAAGGGTGCGCCCTCACAGATGGAGCAATGGTGAGTGCACACCTGGACAAGGGAGGGGAAGGAGTTCTTATTCTTGACACCCGTGGCCCCTGCTGCTGTGTCGTTTCCCTATTGGCTAGGGTTAGACTGCACAGGCTAAACTAATTCTGATTGGCTAATTTAAAGAGAGTGATGGGGTGAGTGGTTTGGCAGGAAAAATGGTTATAGCAGAGCACGAAATTGGAATGAGTCAGGGTGGAGCAGGTAATCGGAATGACTCGGGGTGGAGCAGATGATTGAAAAAGGTTGCTTTATGAGGAAGTTAAGTTTAAAAGTAGAGGGCAAAGAATTGAGCACACTGACATATTGATTCTTTGAAGAGAAATTTAGAATTCATATCTAACAGGACCAAACACCTACTGAATTCTCAACAAAATAGAAAATAGAAGACCTTCACCAAGACACGTTATCATAATACTTCCCATTTTTGGAGCAAATAAAATAAAAATTTAAACACAGTTCAGAGAGAAAAGAATCAAGAATGAAAATGGCACCGGAGTTTGTCAACCCAAGTCTGAGAAGTAGGTGGTGCCAGAGAAATGCTTTCTAGATCCTGAGGGCAGATATTTTCAATCTGGTATTCCATACCCAGGAAAACTAATATTTGACTTGAATGTACCTCAGAATTTGTAGACTTGCAAGGTCTAAGACATTTATATCACATGATTCTATTCTTTGGAGGTGACTGGAACAAACTCCATTAAAATAAAGGAGCAATCTAAGAGAGAGCTGTAGGATATAGAAAATTGAAAGACCAAGAAGAGAATGGGGAAGGTTAGTCTCAAGATTATGGTGAATGGCAATTCGGGGGTAACAAATTCTATGAGAAGTCTAGGATTTAACAAATTAAGTTCAGAGCAGGCCAGAAAATTCTACAGAGACTTCCTGAAGGATGAACCTGATACAATTCCTATTATGTTCGAACATAGCAAGAAGAGATCTACATATTTGACACGAAGTGTGCAGCTAAGATAATAGTTCATGAAAACTGTACAAAAAGTGAGAGAAAACTAAATAAGTTTTAATCCCTGTGAAAGCAACAATTTTAACATTCATACATTTGTTTCTGGAGGATAGGGGAAATGAAAAATGAAAGTTACAGGCAGAAGTGTGCATATATTGGTATATAAAACAGATTTAGGTGTTTCTCTTTAATAGAAGAAGAGAGTGATAATTCTCTGAGTTTAGTACACAGACCCCTGGGGAATCCCAAAGACATTCTTAGGTGGTCTATGGACTCAACACTATTTTTAGAATAATGCTTAGTGTTATTTGCCTGTTCCATTGCACACGGTGTTAAAACTGCTGATCAACAGTGCATCAACACAAAGAAAGGAGTAGACTCCAAGATGTCCTTGTCATTGTATACTTCAAAAAAAATTTTTAGAGTATTACTGAAGAATTTACCTGATGAGGTAAAAATATTAATTTTATTACGTTGTAACCATTGGGTACACATTTTTAAAATATTCTGTGGGATGAAATGGTAAGTCCACATACAACACTTCCCCCAGACACTGACTGCAATGGTTGTTTTGAAAAAGTGTACTTATGCAATTGAGTTGTGATCTAAACCTTTTACATGGAATGCTGTTTTTATTAAAGCAAAAAACTGCTATACAAATATGAGTATTCATATTTGGACATTTGATAGACATTTTCTCAAAAATAAACAAAGTGAGCCTGTCAATTCAATAGACAGTATTTATTGTCAGTGATAAAATTTGAATTTTCAAACAAAGATGAGAATTTTTGCAACTTTTTTAATGACTTGACAGCCTCCAAATACTTAAAGACTTTTCACATGTGGTCACTGGTGGTACTAATGAACATGAATTTTTGATATTAAAAAGGGAAGTGTGTCAACACTGGATGACCTGCATCATAGCCAATGTTTTCCAAATGTCCAAATGTATGCATGTTATCAAATCACCTATATTTGGGTAAAAGATCCTCAAGGTACAAGAGAGACCAGTAGATTTTAATGTAAGAGTTTAATATAGTTTCAGGTTTTAAATTGCAGCTAAATGTTAAGAAAGTGCTATTGTCTAGTTTTTATTTAGTATCAAAGAAAAATATCCACAATTGTGTGATAGAATTTCTCTTTCTCAAGTATATGCGTTGTGAGGCTGGATTTTCTTCATATACTTCAAAACAATGTTTTGTGACAGACAGTACAGAAGTAGGTGTGAGAATCCAGTTATTCTCTATTAAGTAGACATTAAAGATATTTGCAAAAATGTAAAGCAAGCCACTCTTCTTACTAAGTATTTTTGTTTCAGAAAATGCTGTTATTTTTCATAGAAAGATGTTATTGGTGTAATTTGCATACATTATTATTACACCAAAATGTAATAAACAACTTGTAAAATTTCTAAGTTTTAATTTGTAGTATGGTAAATATATACATATACATATACTTCTCTTTTCCATTCACCAAGTAGTTACAAGCAGGGTTCAGATTCTATCTGTGCCACTTCCATGGAAACTGAGAAACCTGAGCAAGTTATTTGTCCCCTCTGAGCTCATTTCCCATTTGAAATATAGACTTGGTATTATGGGTCTTGAAGGGTTGTTGTGAGGTTTAGAGATAATATCTAATGTAAATATGATACATGTAAACATATGACATAATATGTCCAGCACATTGCAGATACTTAATAAACAATAGCATTTGGTATCCAGAAAAAAATCAATAGATATAACCCATTTAAAGAAAAGTTCTTTGGAGGTCCTTCTTAATTTTTAAAGTGCAAAGGGGTCCTGAGATGAAAATGTTTGCGGACACTTGGAGTATACAATGCTCAGAATTGAAAAATCAAAATGTAGTAATGTAGCAATTTAAGCGTTATTGAAGTTATGTTTAGGGAGGATATGCTGAAGAATTATTTGACCCTTAAAGATGTTTATAATTTTAAAATTATCCCACTACATAAAATGTAATATAGATAAAAAAATGTACACTTATGATAATGATTTGTGAATTGTGGCTTGTATAAAATTTGCAGTGAACTCATTTTCCCATTAATAATAATAGTTAATAAAGGTTATGTTATTACTTTACAGATTTTGTATCAGAAGTATAAAGTATATAAGGCCTAGTGTTTGGCACATTATGAGTCTTGCTGTTTTTAATTGTTTATAATTGTCATAATGATTGAAGAGGAAAATGGTGATCTGAGAAAATAAGATCCAAAATAGGTAGAATGTGTGTTTTTTTCCTGCTGTACTATCCACGACTCTGATTTTCTACTATGCTATATGGAATGTTGGAAGTATGTTTCACAGAAGGAACTCATGGGCCCTAAGGTGATCTAATGGCATAATACCACAAACTACCTAGCCTTAGTTAGCCACTTTCTCATCGGTTTGTATAGATTATCCATGACGACATTTAATATATTTTTTTAAAAACACTTTGTTGCTAAAATATTTTAAAACTACTCATCTAGTCGAATTCAGCTTCTACTGAAGAACTTGCAGTCATTGTTTTACTATAAATATCTAATTGATTAAGAAAAAATGACATTATACCTTCTAAACTGATAAACTTTTGTTTTTACTATTAAATCTTCGTTTCTTCATTTTTTAAATTAAATCTATTCCCAAGAAATTCTTTTTTTTTTTTTTTTTTTTTGAGATGGAGTCTCACTCTGTCGCCCAGGCTGGAGTGCAGTGGCGTGATCTCTGCTCACTGCAATCTCTGCCTCTTAGGTTCAAGCGATTCTCCTGCCTCAGTCTCTTGAGTAGCTGGGATTACAGGCACGCACCACTATGCCTGGCTAATTTTTTTGTATTTTTAGTAGAGACGGGGTTTCACCCTGTTGGTCAGGCTGGTCTTGAACTCCTAACCTTGTGATCCACCAGCCTCAGCCTCCAAAAGTGCTGGCATTACAGGCATGAGCCACAGTGCCCTGCCAAGAAATTCTTATCTTTCAAATATAATGTTGCCATTCGTAACTCATTTGATCAAAATACATTCTCAAACTCAGAACATTGGAATGCACTCATTTGCTCATCTACTTGTGAGCTCTAGAAATCTCCATCACAATCACTTGGCTCTTTGGAATGAGTTCAGAGGATACAGAAAGTGAGAAAACCACAAAGCTATGTGATATCTGGGCTTGGATTTATCTTCTCTATAATCACGGATTGATGAAATATGGCTCCAAAAGAATTGCCTGACCTTTTAATATCCATCTTGGATGTACAAAGCCCATAAGATAGTACCAATTGGATGAGTTACCCTTAGAAAAAATTGTTTTTTCCCAACATAAACAACGTGTTTTCATTTACCAATCATAGCCCCCCTTTCTCTCTATGTATATTCAAAACCTGTTTGGATTATAGACATTAATCAGATGGCAATTCAACAGTAAAGTTAAAATGGGCCTGGCAGGTGGCTCACGCCTGTAATCTCAGCACTTTGGGATGCCAAGGAGGAGGAGGAATCCTTTGAGCCCAGGAGTTGGAGACCAGCCTGTGCAACGTGGTGAAACCCCATCTCTACGAAATATAGAAAAATAGGCCAGGTGTGGTGGCTCACGCCTGTAATCCCAGCACTTTGGAAGGCCGAGGCAGGCTTATCACTAGAGGTCAGGAGTTCGAGACCAGCCTGGCCAACATGGTGAAACCCTGTCTCTACTGAAAACACAAAAATTAGCTGGGCATGGTGGTGTGTGCCTGTAGTCCTAGCTACTCAGGGGGCTGAGCCAGGAGAATTACTTGGAGAACCTTGGAGGTGGAGCTTGCAGTGAGCTGAGATCGGGCCACCACACTTCAGTCTGGATGACAGAGCTAGACTCCGTCCTCCCCCCGAAAAAAGAAAGAAAAGAAAAGGAAAAAGAAATATATATATGTATACACACACACACAAATAGCCCAGCAGCATGGTGTTGCTCCTGCAGTCCCAGCTACTCAGGAGGCTGAGGTAGGAGAATTGCTTGAGCTTGGAAGGCAGAGGTTGCAGTGAGCTGAGATCTTGTCACTGAACTCTAGCCTGGGCAACAGAGCGGGGACCCTGTCTTAAAAAAAAAAAAAAAAAAGGAGTAAGTTAAAATGTAGCCCTATGACGAAATACTTCTTGAGACTAGGCAATGAGACGTTTCCATGAAGAGACTGCATTTGCTGGACAGATGCATCCCTAGTCACCTCCAAGAGGAATGACCCCCGCACATTTATTAAGCTTTAAGAGAAGAAACAAAGAGAGATGGCTGTTTGGACGGCTTTTTAGTAATCAGGCTCTGAACCCTGACCCAGGAATATTTCCACATGGAAACAGCAGTTAAACCTGGATTACATGCAGGCTAGGCCAAAAAGAAATGCAGAAGAGGCTGAGCTATGTGTACATATTGAAAGAATTGCATTCTTTCAATTTCTGCAAATACGTGTCACTTATTTCCATGAGGAGGAGTGAATGAAGTAAAGAGAGAAGAACCTACTTCCCAAATGCTTCCTAAGATGATAGTTTTTTTTTTTTTTTGGTACTTACAAGAGAGTAGAGAAAAGCTTTTCCCTAAAATAATTGCTTAAGATTCCCAGTCTTTAAAAGTGAGGATGCCACTGTATATAAGCAGATTATATAATTACCTACTTGCCTCAAATATTCTCTTATCCAGGGTTTCTAGTTCTAAAATCACAAAGCATTTTAAAATAAATAAATGATTTTAGTGCCTATTAAGTGGCAAATACTTTCCCCTATGTTGTTGTATTGCTTAATTTTCTTTATATATATATATATATATATATATATATATATTTTAATATACTTTCCAAGGTTTAGGGTACATGTGCACATTGTGCAGGTTAGTTACATATGTATACATGCGCCATGCTGGTGTGCTGCAACCACTAACTCGTCATCTAGCATTAGGTATATCTCCTGATGCTATCCCTCCCCCCTCCCCCCACCCCACAACAGTCCCCAGAGTGTGATATTCCCCTTCCAGTGTCCATGTGATCTCATTGTTCAGTTCCCACCTATGAGTGAGAATATGCGGTGTTTGGTTTTTTGTTCTTTCGATAGTTTACTGAGAATGATGATTTCCAATTTCATCCATGTCCCTATAAAGGACATGAACTCATCATTTTTTATGGCTGCATAGTATTCCACGGTGTATATGTGCCACATTTTCTTAATCCAGTCTATCATTGTTGGACATTTGGGTTGGTTCCAAGTCTTTGCTATTGTGAATAATGCCGCAATAAACATACGTGTTCATGTGTCTTTATAGCAGCATGATTTATAGTCCTTTGGGTATATACCCAGTAATGGGATGGCTGGGTCAAATGGTATTTCCAGTTCTAGATCCCTGAGGAATCGCCACACTGACTTCCACAGTGGTTGAACTAGTTTACAGTCCCACCAACAGTGTAAAAGTGTTCCTATTTCTCCACATCCTCTCCAGCACCTGTTGTTTCCTGACTTTTTAATGATTGCCATTCTAACTGGTGTGAGATGGTATCTCACTGTGGTTTGATTTGCATTTCTCTGATGGCCAGTGATGATGAGCATTTGTTCATGTGTTTTTTGGCTGCATAAATGTCTTCTTATGAGAAGTGTCTGTTCATGTCCTTCGCCCACTTTTTGATGGGGTTGTTTGTTTTTTTCTTGTAAATTTGTTTGAGTTCTTTGCAGCTTCTGGATATTAGCCCTTTGTCAGATGAGTAGGTTACGAAAATTGTCTCCCATTTTGTAGGTTGCCTGTTCACTCTGATGGTAGTTTCTTTTGCTGTGCAGAAGCTCTTTAGTTTAATTAGATCCCATTTGTCAATTTTGTCTTTTGTTGCCATTGCTTTTGGTGTTTTAGACATGAAGTCCTTGCCCATGCCTATGTCCTGAATGGTATTGCCTAGGTTTTCTTCTAGGGCTTTTATGGCTTTAGGTCTAATGTTTAAGTCTTTAATCCATCTTGAATTGATTTTTGTATAAGGTGTAAGGAAGGGATCCAGTTTCAGCTTTCTACATATGGCTAGCCAGTTTTCCCAGCACCATTTATTAAATAGGGAATCCTTTCCCCATTGCTTGTTTTTCTCAGGTTTGTCAAAGATCAGATAGTTGTAGATATGCGGCGTTATTTCTGAGGGCTCTGTTCTGTTCCATTGATCTATATCTCT
Organism: Homo sapiens; assembly: GCF_000001405.40. NCBI lineage: Eukaryota > Metazoa > Chordata > Mammalia > Primates > Hominidae > Homo > Homo sapiens. The sequence continues at coordinate 87,629,475 of NC_000008.11, read as the reverse complement.
GTTTTGGTACCAGTACCATGCTGTTTTGGTTACTGTAGCCTTGTAGTATAGTTTGAAGTCAGGTAGTGTGATGCCTCCAGCTTTGTTCTTTTGGCTTAGGATTGACTTGGCAATGCGGGCTCCTTTTTGGTTCCATATGAACTTTAAAGTAGTTTTTTTCCAATTCTGTGAAGAAAGTCATTGGTAGCTTGATGGGGATGGCACTGAATCTGTAAATTACCTTGGGCAGTATGGCCATTTTCACGATATTGATTCTTCCTACCCATGAGCATGGAATGTTCTTCCATTTGTTTGTATCCTCTTTTATTTCCTTGAGCAGTGGTTTGTAGTTCTCCTTGAAGAGGTCCTTCACATCCCTTGTAAGTTGGATTCCTAGGTATTTTATTCTCTTTGAAGCAATTGTGAATGGGAGTTCACTCATGATTTGGCTCTCTGTTTGTCTGTTGTTGGTGTATAAGAATGCTTGTGATTTTTGTACATTGATTTTGTATCCTGAGACTTTGCTGAAGTTGCTTATCAGCTTAAGGAGATTTTGGGTGGAAACGATGGGGTTTTCTAGATATACAATCATGTCATCTGCAAACAGGGACAATTTGACTTCCTCTTTTCCTAATTGAATACCCTTTATTTCCTTCTCCTGCCTAATTGCCCTGGCCAGAACTTCCAACACTATGTTGAATAGGAGTGGTGAGAGAGGGCATCTCTGTCTTGTGCCAGTTTTCAAAGGGAATGCTTCCAGTTTTTGCCCATTCAGTATGATATTGGCTGTGGGTTTGTCATAGATAGCTGTTATTATTTTGAGATACATCCCGTCAATACCTAATTTATTGAGAGTTTTTAGCATGAAGGGTTGTTGAATTTTGTCAAAGGCTTTTTCTTCATCTATTGAGATAATCATGTGGTTTTTGTCTTTGGCTCTGTTTATATGCTGGATTACATTTATTGATTTATGTATATTGAACCAGCCTTGCATCCCAGGGATGAAGCCCACTTGATCATGGTGTATAAGCTTTTTGATGTGTTGCTGGATTCGTTTTGCCAGTATTTTATTGAGGATTTTTGCATCAATGTTCATCAAGGATATTGGTCTAAAATTCTCTTTTTTGGTTGTGTCTCTGCTGGGCTTTGGTATCAGAATGATGCTGGCCTCATAAAATGAGTTAGGGAGGATTCCCTCTTTTTCTATTGATTGGAATAGTTTCAGAAGGAATGGTACCAGCTCCTCCTTGTACCTCTGGTAGAATTCGGCTGTGAATCCATCTGGTTCTGGACTCTTTTTGATTGGTAAGCTATTGATTATTGCCACAATTTCAACTCCTGTTATTGGTCTATTCAGAGATTCAACTTCTTCCTGGTTTAGTCTTGGGAGAGTGTATGTGTCCAGGAATTTATCCATTTCTTCTAGATTTTCTAGTTTATTTGCATAGAGGGTTTGTAGTATTCCCTGATGGTAGTTTGTATTTCTGTGGGATCGGTGGTGATATCCCCTTTGTCATTTTTTATTGCGTCTATTTGATTCTTCTCTCTTTTTTTCTTTATTAGTCTTGCTAGCGGTCTATCTCTTTTGTTGATCCTTTCAAAAAAACAGCTCCTGGATTTATTAATTTTTTGAAGGGTTTTTTTGTGTCTCTATTTCCTTCAGTTCTGCTCTGATTTTAGTTATTTCTTGCCTTCTGCTAGCTTTTGAATGTGTTTGCTCTTGCTTTTCTAGTTCTTTTAATTGTGATGTTAGGGTGTCAATTTTGGATCTTTCCTGCTTTCTCTTGTGGGCATTTAGTGCTATAAATTTCCCTCTACACACTGCTTTGAATGCATCCCAGAGATTCTGGTATGTTGTGTCTTTGTTCTCGTTGGTTTCCAAGAACATCTTTATTTCTGCCTTCATTTCGTTATGTACCCAGTAGTCATTCAGGAGCAGGTTGTTCAGTTTCCATGTAGTTGAGCGGTTTTGAGTGAGATTCTTAATCCTGAGTTCTAGTTTGATCGCACTGTGGTCTGAGAAATAGTTTGTTATAATTTCTGTTCTTTTACATTTGCTGAGGAGAGCTTTACTTCCCAGTATGTGGTCAATTTTGGAATAGGTGTGGTGTGGTGCTGAAAAAATGTATATTCTGTTGATTTGGGGTGGAGAGTTCTGTAGATGTCTATTAGGTCCGCTTGGTGCAGAGCTGAGTTCAATTCCTTGGTATCCTTGTTGACTTTCTGTCTCGTTGATCTGTCTAATGTTGACAGTGGTGTGTTAAAGTCTCCCATTATTAATGTGTGGGAGTCTAATTCTCTTTGTAGGTCACTCACGACTTGCTTTATGAATCTTGGTGCTCCTGTATTGGGTGCATATATATTTAGGATAGTTAGTTCTTCTTGTTGAATTGATCCCTTTACCATTATGTAATGGCCTTCTTTGTGTCTTTTGACCTTTGTTGGTTTAAAGTCTGTTTTATCAGAGACTAGGATTGCAACCCCTGCCTTTTTTGTTTTCCATTGGCTTGGTAGATCTTCCTCCATCCTTTTATTTTGAGCCTATGTGTGTCTCTGCATGTGAGATGGGTTTCCTGAATACAGCACACTGATGGGTCTTGACTCTTTATCCAATTTGCCAGTCTGTGTCTTTTAGTTGGAGCATTTAGTCCATTTACATTTAAAGTTAATATTGTTATGTGTGAATTTGATCCTGTCATTATGATGTTAGCTGGTTATTTTGCTCGTTAGTTGATGCAGTTTCTTCCTAGTCTCGATGGTCTTTACATTTTGGCATGATTTTGCAGCGGCTGGTACCGGTTGTTCCTTTCCATGTTTAGTGCTTCCTTCAGGAGCTCTTGTAAGGCAGGCGTGGTGGTGACAAAATCTCTCAGCATTTGCTTGTCTGTAAAGTATTTTATTTCTCCTTCACTTATGAAGCTTAGTTTGGCTGGATATGAAATTCTGGGTTGAAAATTCTTTTCTTTAAGAATGTTGAATATTGGCCCCCACTCTCTTCTGGCTTGTAGGGTTTCTGCCGAGAGATCAGCTGTTAGTCTGATGGGCTTCCCTTTGAGGGTAACCCGACCTTTCTCTCTGGCTGCCCTTAACATTTTTTCCTTCATTTCAACTTCGGTGAATCTGACAATTATGTGTCTTGGAGTTGCTCTTCTCCAGGAGTATCTTTGTGGCGTTCTCTGTATTTCCTGAATCTGAACGTTGGCCTGCCTTGCTAGATTGGGGAAGTTCTCCTGGATAACATCCTGCAGAGTGTTTTCCAACTTGGTTCCATTCTCCCCATCACTTTCAGGTACACCAATCAGACGTAGATTTGGTCTTTTCACATAGTCCCATATTTCTTGGAGGCTTTGCTCATTTCTTTTTATTCTTTTTTCTCTAGACTTCCCTTCTTGCTTCATGTCATTCATTTCATCTTCCATCGCTGATACCCTTTCTTCCAGTTGATCGCATCGGCTCCTGAGGCTTCTGCATTCTTCACATAGTTCTCGAGCCTTGGTTTTCAGCTCCATCAGCTCCTTTAAGCACTTCTCTGTATTGGTTATTCTAGTTATACATTCTTCTAAATTTTTTTCAAAGTTTTCAACTTCTTTGCCTTTGGTTTGAATGTCCTCCCATAGCTCAGAGTAATTTGATCGTTTGAAGCCTTCTGCTCTCAGCTCGTCAAAGTCAAAGTCATTCTCCATCCAGCTTTGTTCCGTTGCTGGTGAGGAACTGCGTTCCTTTGGAGGAGGAGAGGCGCTCTGCTTTTTAGAGTTTCCAGTTTTTCTGTTCTGTTTTTTCCCCGTCTTTGTGGTTTTATCTACTTTTGGTCTTTGATGATGGTGATGTACAGATGGGTTTTTGGTGTGGATGTCCTTTCTGTTTGTTAGTTTTCCTTCTAACAGAGAGGACCCTCAGCTGCAGGTCTGTTTGAGTACCCTGCCGTGTGAGGTGTCAGTGTGCCCCTGCTGGGGGGTGCCTCCCAGTTAGGCTGCTCGGGGGTCAGGGGTCAGGGACCCACTTGAGGAGGCAGTCCGCCCGTTCTCAGATCTCCAGCTGCGTGCTGGGAGAACCACTGCTCTCTTCAAAGCTGTCAGACAGGGACACTTAAGTCTGCAGAGGTTACTGCTGTCTTTTTGTTTGTCTGTGCCCTGCCCCAGAGGTGGAGCCTACAGAGGCAGGCAGGCCTCCTTGATCTGTGGTGGGCTCCACCCACTTCGAGCTTCCCAGCTGCTTTGTTTACCTAATCAAGCCTGGGCAATGGCGGGCGCCCCTCCCCCAGCCTCCCTGCTGCCTTGCAGTTTGATCTCAGACTGCTGTGCTAGCAATCAGCGAGACTCCGTGGGGTAGGACCCTCCGAGCCAGGTGTGGGATATAATCTTGTGGTGCGAGCGCAGTATTCGGGTGGGAGTGACCCGATTTTCCAGGTGCCCTCCGTCACCCCTTTCTTTGACTCAGAAAGGGAACTCCCTGACCCCTTGCGCTTCCCAGGTGAGGCAATGCCTCGCCCTGCTTCGCCTCACCCATGGTGCGCGCACCCACTGACCTGCGCCCACTGTCTGGCACTCCCTAGTGAGATGAACCCAGTACCTCAGATGGAAATGCAGAAATCACCTGTCTTCTGTGTCGCTCATGCTGGGAGCTGTAGACTGGAGCTGTTCCTATTCGGCCATCTTGGCTCCTCCCCTTATTGCTTAATTTTCATAATAAAGACAGAAAGTCTTCAAGTAAGATATTGAGAATATGCATAAAATTAAGTAATATGTAAATATTGCCCAATAAAAATGAAAGGTAAAATTTTAACTCACATCTCTCGTATTCCATGCTCCCTCTTGTATGACACATGTAAGTTTTACCAAGATTCCTAGAGAATGACTGTGAGGAATGTGGAAAATTATCATTGAATCAATTCACTCTAGCATCAATTTTCACTTAATTGTCATATATTCTCATCTGGTGGAAAGAATTGGAGAAGTGTCCATCTTAAAGGACTGATTCCCTGGACTATGGCTGAAGTAAAATAAACTCAGAAAGTCAATGAAGGACTTCAGAGACAGTATTTTTTTTTAACTTTACCAACTGTCTTAGGGTTGGTCCTTTTCAAAATGTGAAATACATTTTACCTCTAGAATGTCAATGCTGAGGTTCTGTATACTGGAGACAACAGTGATTTGTTAACTTACACGGGGAAGAAAAAAAGAGAACTTGTTATTCACATTCACTGCTGCTTGCTGCTGTTGGTTGGCTCTGTGGTATACCAAGGACCAAATTCCAAGTTTGGCTGACGGGATCTTCAACGGCTTTCAAACAACATAACAACAACAAAAACCTTAGCCAGTTCCCTTATTATTCAAACCATGTTATTACTAAAATATAAAAAGGGGGAGTATCTTATTGAAAAAAACAGGATTGTCTAATTCTTCAAACTGTTACAGACTTTTTCTGCTTAAGACAATGATACAAACTGCTGTTCTATTACTTTCATATAGAACCAACAAAAGCCATTGTCTAAAGAGTCCACACATATGGTATTTATAAGTTTGGTTTACTTCATATGATTTTACTTTGGACTTCCTGCAACTCAAATATTCTTCCTTTTCAATTACTGAAGGTAATTTAATAATGCTGTTTTGCTTAGACAAAGAACTATTCATTGTTTAAAAATCAAAGAATGACTTCGAGAACTTCAAGGATGAATGAATTCCAATTTTAGCTTTTAGAAATTTGTCTGTCACATTTTATGATACCAGGCCTTAGCTGATAAAGTGGCCTCTGTCTTTAGCTTCAGAGACTATGAAGGAACCGGCATCATTTTAAAAATTAAATATTTCATTCTATTAAAAATCTCCACTGATAAAATATTAAATTAAAAGATAAAACTCTGAAATCCCTTCCTAAAAATTCAGGAATATGCCCATGGGTAAAAATAAATGTAGTTGGAATATCCAGGATGTGAGACCAAGCAGAGATTTACAGAAAGAGTTGCAGTAGTTGTATAATCTGGGAATTAAATTATGTAATGCACTATTTCTAGAGAGGAGCTATAACTTAACTCCACATTAACTATGGAGAAACATATTTAAACTGTGAGGACTTAGAAATGGCAGCAGAAGGAAATATCTGTCCAGACCAGGAGAGCCACATTAACAGATGTATTATAGAACAAAAATATGTGTGAGGTTATCTCATGGCAGCATCCAGTTTGATTGTGATGTTGATCAAAGAGATGATTCACACTCATTAAGTGACAAAAATTGGACATGTATAGGTTGTCATTCTTTCAAGGATGAATAAAACGGAGAAAAATTATTTAGGTGGCAACCACAACAAAGAGTAAGTGATTGACTTTAATATAGGTGCAGAATAAATTTTAAGTATGTAAAGGCTTTCTACAAAAACAAAAAAATGTTTTAAATACATATGCATGTTTCTTCAATAAATATTACATAACAAAGAAAAACGAGATGAAAATAGAGCTATCTTGAGATACAGAATAAAATTTTAAAAAGTTAACAGATATTGAGAATAAGAGCAACTAAAAGCACAATAGCAAATTTTGTTTTTAATTTTTTTTTTTTTTTTTTTTGAGATGGAATCTCACTCTGTTGCCCAGGCTGGAGTGCAGTGGCATGATCCCCACTCACTGCACCTCTGCCTCCCGGGTTCAAGCAATTCTCCTGCCTCAGCCTCCCGAGTACTTGTTATTACTGGTGTGCGCCACTATGCCCAGCTAATTTTTGTATTTTTAGTACAGACAGGGTTTTGTCATGTTGGCCAGGCTGGTTTCAAACTCCTGACCTCAGGTGATCTGCCCGCCTTGCCCTCCCAAAGTGCTGGGATTACAGGCATGAGCCACCAGCCAACAACAGCAAATTAAAATGTGCTTTAGAGGTACCAAGAAGAGAAAGTATATAATTATATCATATACAATTATATCAGTGATATTGGGGAATAGAGAATCTCCTTAAGAGTAAAAGAGAAAAAACATACAGGAGAAAATGATCAGAAAGATGGTAACTGTGGAGAGAAGAGAGATGATCCAATTTATAGATGATCGGAATTGAGAAAGAACCAGAACAAAACTGCCAAGTAATAAACAAACATAGAATAAACTGATAACACCCAAATCTTTACAGCAAAACCATCCACTTTGATGCAATGACAAATTTTTAAAGCTGCTTGCTAAAATTTTTGGTTTATGAGAATAAAAAAAGTTCTTCAAGAAAATAAGCTTGAAAATAAACCATAGTGCTATTATATGTGGGATGCATTCAATTAAAATTAACACATTATTTTAAAATATATGTTACCAATTGGATAATATGCAGTTTACAAGTTGGTTTCTTCCAGGAATGCAAGGGTAGCTCAACTCTAGAAAACCCACTGAAGTAAACTGTAGTATCTCTAAGTCAATGAAAACAAATCTCATGGCAAGAGCAGTACTTTTTGAGGCTCTTCTGATTCCAGGGCCACCTGGACTTTATAAAGGGAGAGTCTGCTGGAATCAGGCTCAGCCCCTCTTGGAGCAGCACTTACTCGCAGGGTTCTTCTTTCCTGTATTGGGCCTAACAGTGGAGAGATATATGGGCAAAAGGCTGAAGTGTTGTTTGCTCAAAACTGTACGAGGAGAAAGACTTCTGTAGTTTGGGGAAAGGCAATTGTCAAAAGTACAGTTTGCTGACTTAAGAGAAAAGAACAATTTTTAACTGTTTGTTCCCTTTACACTTACATAGAACCAAATGTTTTTCACCAATCTGGGTTGAATTTTGTATTTCTAAATAAGATTGGAGTCAGTAGGACTTTGAATTTCTTCATGTCTCATCATCAAATTTTCACTGAGCAGTCTCATTGCAATTATCATTCAACACACAGAGGCAGTTTAATTACATTTCCCAATATAGCTACATTATCATTTCATATAGCTGTCATCTTGATCCTAAAATAACCATAGTCTCTTTCCTGTGAATGTTAACATATCATAAACAATAACTCCCATAAAGTGACCTTTTCTTGACACAAAGCTGAAAAGAAATAGTGGTATGTAGTTTCATGCTCAAAAAGCCCTTTTGAAAATTAGCAAACTCTTTAGAATAAAAGCTTTTGTTAGTGGCCATTGTCACAAATCACACTGTGTATGGTCCACAAAATTGGCATAAATTTACTGCAACAGACAAGCAAACTTATATCCACAAGAAGTTACAAAATATGGCCTTGTCCCATTATTTTCACTTAGTACACAATCTATTTAAGAATTTGAATTATTAGATACCATTAGAAAACCTGAAGATTTATGAATTTGAATACCAGCCCCACCTGTGCTTCCTGCAGTGATTATTTATCTGAATATCGGTGCAAAATTATAACCACATACTGTCTAGTATTTCTTTATGTCACCAGGCAAGCTAGTTTATTTTGCATAGATGACTCACTAGAATTTGCTTATTATTTTACTTTCATTTTAGTAAACATATTTAGGAAGGGAAAATCTACTGCAAATGAGCCCCAACAAAGAAAGCTATATTTAATATACCTACCTTCTAGTGCATTAAAAAATCATTTTTATCTCCCATTACTTTTTGATTATACAAGAATAAAGAGAAAAATTTTAAGATACAGAAATATTTGTTTATGACTTTTAATAATGTGGGAGTGTAATTCAATAAAGATATTGAACATAGAATTACAGAGCATAAAAAGTGACTTTCTTTGTTGCTTCCAATATTAAAATAAAAATTTGGGTCAAATAAAGTTTTTTGTTAGTTTATCATCTTCCCTTTTGTTTTAATGAGCTCTTTTTTCATATTATTTCCATAAGCCTAAAAATCAGAAGCAAATGAAGACCACAGTTGGGAATTTCTTGACTCTTCATTTTTTTTTTTTTTTTTTGAGATGGAGTCTCACTCTGTCACCCAGGCTAGAGTGCAGTGGTGCGATCTTGGCTCACTGCAACTTCCACCTCCCAGGTTCAAGCCATTCTCCTGCCTCAGCCTCCCGAATAGCTGGGATTACAGGCGCCTGCCACCATGCCCAGCCAATTTTTGTATTTTTAGTAGTAACAGGTTTCACCATGTTGGCCAGGCCTGTCTCGAACTCCTGACCTCATCATCCGCCCACCTCGGCCTCTCAAAGTGCTGGGATTACAGGCGTGAGCCACTGCGCCCAGCCGACTCTTAGTACTCTTGATTTCTCAATATTTTATTCTTTTATTTAGTTTCTTCTTTGCCCTCACACATAGCCTGTTGAGTTAACCATACATTCCAATTAATACTACATTATCATAGTTATCTATATCAAGAAGTTTCTCTTTTTATTTTCTTCTCCTTCATTCCCATGTGATGTCATACTTCCTTTGCTTGTTGCCTCATGGGTACTACTCTATTGTGTTTGCTATGTCTTTAAATTCTCATGGGCTTTGGTATAAAACATTGCTTTGTATTGTGTGTATATATTTTTTAATTCCATAAATGTTATCGATCTTTGTACATATAAACCATTTTTTCTTTTTTCACACAATACTGTTTTTATAATCTATGTTAGTGTGTGTATATATATTATATATACATCTACATATATATGTACAGCCTCTAATTGCTGCATAATATTCTATAATTTAGTCCACTACATTTTAATTATGTTTCTCTTAGAGTGGATATTTACTACAAACAAATGAGAAGCAATTATTAGAATTGAATGTGCATATATCCCTAGCAGTGGAATTTCTGAGTCCAAAGTTATATACATAGTTTTACATAGTTCTGCAAGAGCACTTTTTAGAATGGCAGTAACTTTAACTCTCAATAGAATATTTGACCTTCAATATTTTCAAATTCTCACCAACATATGGCATTTTTCTATTTTTAGCATTCTTAGTTCCAAAATTTACATTGACAAACTTCCTATAGAAGTAGAGTATCAAATATTAATCATTTGGTGATTCTCTGTTTTGAATTACACATTCCTGTCATTGCCCATAGTTTTTATTAGTTTTCCCGTATTTTTCTTGTTGACTTGTAGGAGTTCATTTTGTTTCTGTTGTTATTGTTTATTTAGTTATTTTGGTTTTAGACATGAGGTCACCTTTTTCTAGCCTTTGGTTACAGTGAGTATCCTTTATTGATATGTGTAATAGGATGGAACAGGCTACGCTGCAGTAACAGGTGACCCATGTTTTTTGCAATTCTGGTCGGTCTCCAGAACAATCTCTTCAGAATGGAGACTTAAGGATCTAAAAGTCTTCCATCTGTGGCTCTACCATCTAAATATGGCTTTTACTGTTTCAGAGGAAGGGAAAATAAAGAGCATGGTTTGACCTTACAATCTTACCTAAGTATCTTTGATGAGAAGTAACTCTATCATTTTTGCTTGTACTCCACTGGCCAGAATGACATAGTTTCCCAATCTAGCTACATGAGAGGCCAAAACACTTTTTTTATAGTTATGTAGGATAGCAATCCTTATCTCTGTCAAAAAAATCTTAAATTTGACATAACTTAATCCACCACATTTTCACCTCATGGTTTTTGTTTCCGAAATTTTGATGATTTCTCTACCATGAAGGTATTTTCCTATGTTTTCTTTCATTAAGGCATTCTCTCATATTGTTTTCTCTTACCTTTATAGTTAGGTCTGAAATCTACTAGAAGATTCATGTTTGTTAGAGTGTAATGTAAGTGTCTTCTTACATTTATTATCCAGATTTTCCAACACTATTGTATGTACAAGTTCTTCTTTCCTCATTGCTCTGTACTACCTGATTTGCCATGTATCAAGTTGCTGTATCAAAGGCTTAATTTTAAGGTCTTTTTTCTATATTTTATTAAACCACTTTTAATTTCAGTGTTAATACTGTAATGTCCAAACAGCTTAAATTCCTTGACTTAAAAATACTCATTATTTTGTTAATTAATTTATTAAACAAATATTCAGTGAAACTTTGCATATTCCAAGAATTGCATAGGCATAAGGAATAAATAGTTGAACTAGGTATGACTCTTCTTAAAAAATTCATAGTTCAATAAAAGGGCAGACATATCAAGAAAACACAAGTTCATATAAATTTTCTAAGAGCACAGATTACATGTGATGATAGCACTGAGGACTGAGTGAGAACTGTATAAAGGAGTGACCAGGAAGAATACATCAGAAAGAAATCATAGCCTTAAATATATATATGAGAAAAAATGGCAGGAAGAAAATTAATGAGCCACAAATCTATATCCAGAAATTTTAAAATAAAAATGAATTAAATAAGAAGTATAAAGATAATAAAATAAGTACAAAAATGAACATTGCAGAAAACAAAGACATACTAGAAAGAATTTTAAAAAGCAAATGTTTATATTTGGAAAAGATCTTTAAAGTAGGCAAACAGTGATCAACAAAAAAGAGAGAAGTCAAAAGTAAATATTAGAAATGGAAACTGGGATTCTTTTTATGTATAAATGATACTGAAATATCAAAGACAATAATGCATTAAAACATTTGCAGTAGATTTTAAAAATTAATAGAACTGTTAAACTCCTATTAAAATGTATCTTAACCAAACAGGTTAAAAAAGAAATCGAGAAATTGTTTAAACATTCTATGACCATGAACGTAGTTGTGTAGGTAAAAATCTCCCCACAAAGAAAGTGACAGGTCCAGCTGGTTTTATAAATGAATTCTACTAATGTTTTAAAGGAAAACTTATTCCAATCTTCTACAAACCCCTTTTCAGAGAATACAAAAATGGTGACCATTCCTCAACACATCTGTGAGAGCAGCAGAATTTTACCAAAGCCAATATCAAAGTCAACAGAGGAAAGAAAATAAAACAAACAAACAAGAGTCAAACCAGAATTATTAAGGTTACCAAAAGAAAGAAAAAAGACATAATGTCCAACTTGGATATATCTCAGAAGGTTAATAGTAGAGAAAAAGTAAGTGTACTACATCACAGGAACATATTAAAAGGGGAAAAACATGCACTCTTCTTTGTAGATCCAGAATTTTTTATATAAAATGCAACAACCATTTATAATTCTTAGCAAGTTAGAAAAGGAGGGAGATATTCTTATCTTAATAAAGAGTGTCTATTAAATTCCTGTAAAACATAATTTTTGGCAAACAGTTTTATATGCATTCCCTTAATATTAGGAAATAACACAAAGTTCTCATTATCGTCACTTCTATTGTACATTGAAATGAAACCCCAAGTCACTATGTAACACCAAATAATAATAAATAGTAAAATTAAAATTGAAATATTAACTTGTAAAGAAGAAAAATGTAATTATTTACAGATTGTACATAGAAAACCTGAAGAATCTTCTAATTAATAGAATCAATATAAATATATAGCAATATAGCTAGACATCAAATTAATGTACAAAAATCAGTCTTATAGCTCTGCATCAGCTACATTTACAAAGTGTAGTGGGAAATATATTTTGTGTCACTTAACAGTGTGTAGAGTTTAATTTGTTATGAAAACATATCAAACAAATATATATAGTCGGAAGGAGGTAAGCTGACTTTTTGCACTTACGTGCAGGCTCAAAATTCTCATTATAGGAACATTTAGAAATCGACTTATTTATACAAAAGGCTATTATGGCTGGTCTGAGGCAGGGGGATTGCTTGAGCCCAGAAGTTGGGGGCTACAGTGAGTTCAGCCTAGGTGACAGAGAGAGACTCTGTTTCTATATATATATATATATATATATATATATATATTTTTTTTTTTTTTTTTTTTTTTTTTTAAAAAGCTCTTAAGCCTCCAAAGTTCTGCTTTATATATCATATGGAGAATTTTGCTGGAAATAAAATGTGAATCAACTCACATAGGTCAAAATAAAAATCAATAAAAAAACAAAGCATCAGTAGAATGCCTATGTTTGTGCAATACTATTTGTATTAGTTTCCAAAGTAAACTAATTAGGGTAGGTGAATAGGGAGAGTGATTTTCTTAATCAACAGAAGCAAAGTTCCATTGACAAGAGTCCTTGGGTGGATGGTCATAACCTAGCTGTCATGGCAGTATTGACACTCAGTCAGAGGCCTCTGGCTTGATCAGTGATACCCTCTGCTGCTGTTCTCCATGTGTGATTTGGAACAAAATCAACTCAGGATATTACACTTTTGACAACATAGATGAAGAACAGTCAGGAGACGATCAGTTGCTCATTTGGGTTGAGAGAGATGAGGAATCCACATTAAACTGACTGGTTACTCCATGATTCCTTATTATTTGACCTATTTGTATTTAATGGTTATCCAACACATACTGCCTTTTTAAAAATATGTGTTCACTGGAATTTTGGGATGTTACTTATTTCCTCTCATACACTGTCTTTATGAAGGACTTTTTACTTTAATGTTATTTACCCAGGACAAGACCAGACTTTAGGCATATTTACCTGTCAAATAACATTCTGTTATTATTATAATATGGTTATTATTTGATTTAAATTTTCCATTGCAAATTCCTATTTCAATAATAATGTAACTGATATTGATGGTGGACAGCAATGCAGGGCATATTTGTTATAAATAGTAAGGAGTATTTGGAGGATGAGAGCTTCCTAGAATCCTTTTTATAGCTGGTTACGGACAGAAGTACCACGTGTCCATTAGGCCTTCTCCTAGGTTGAATAAATATCTATAGTTGCATCCATTTTATTTTGTCTATTTTTTTAAAGAATTATCCTCAGGGAATGGCGGTGCTATAGAACTAAGAATTCCTTATGAGAAACACTAACTTAAAAAGTGAACATACTACATTGGCATTAATATTGAACTAGGAACTAGGTCTACAATTTTTAAAAAGTAAAGTGTTATATTTTTTAAAATGTAGAGGCAAGGTGTGGTGGCTCACGCCTGTAATCCCAGCACTTTGGGAGGCTGAGATGGGTGGATCACCTGAGGTCAGGAGTTTGAGACCAGCCTGACCAACATGGTGAAACCCTGTCTCTACTAAAAATACAAAAAGTAGCCGAGCATGGTGGCACATGCCTGTAATCCCAGCTACTCGGGAAGCTGGGGCAGGAGAATTGCTTGAGCCTGGGAGGCGGAGGTTGCAGTGAGCCAAGACCGTGCCATTGCACTCCAGCCTGGGCAACAAGGGCGAAACTGTCTCAAAAAATAAATAAATAAATAAATAAAGTAGCTAATGAGACAAGTCTATTTCCTGGAAGTTCATATAGATATACAGGTATGTAAAGATCAACACCCATTATTTATAGAGTGGTCTTTGTGGTAGGCAGAGTTTTAAAATGATCTCTGTTTTCAGCTGCTATAACAAATGACCATAAAGCAGATGACCTAAACAACAGATTTTTTTTTTTTTTTCTCGTTCTGGAGGCTGGGAAGTCTGAAATCAAGTTGCCAGCATGGTCAGATTCTGGTGAGGGCTGTCTTCCTAGCTTGTAGATTTTTGTCTTCTTGCTGTATCCTCTGGTGGTGAAGGGTAAAGAGAGAGGAAACTCTTTTTTTGTCTCTTCTTATAAGAGCACAAATCCCATCATGAGGGCTCCACCTTCATGACATAATTACTTCCCAAAGGGTCCACCTCCTAATACCATCCCACTGGGGGTTAGGGTTTCAACATATGAATTTTGGGGGCTACATACATACACTCCACAACAATGTCCAAGATCACCAGCCCCTGGGGATATACACACTCTATGTAACCCTGAGGACTGTGAATATAATGGATTTTACTCCATGATTGGTTTATCTTATAAGGCACAGTTGATGATCGTCCTTCTTAAAGGACTTGAACTAATCAGGTGAGCTTTAGAAAAGAACTGGGCTCTTCCTGAAGTCAGATATATTTGAATCCTGAGAGCAATTCGATGTGAGAGATACTCTCCATTGCTAGCATCAAAGATGAAAGAAGCCTCGTGGCAAGGACTTGATAGTAGCCACTTAGAACTGAGATTAACTCTGACCAACAACTAGCAAAGAAACATGGACCTCACTGTCTTTCTAATAAACATTGATAACATTGATTGCTCCCTTTTACTCTCTCCTACATAGAATAACAATACCTAGAATGTTCTCTTTAATTATTAAAGCCAATATTCTTAATGTTGTTCATATATAAGTTCTACCTGACCATGTTTACTTGCTGTATACATCCCTGCATTTTTGCCCATTGGACTCTATCTCATTAACTCTTTATATATGTGTTTTCACTACCTGATTGTGCATTTTTTGTAATATAAGGAATTTCTATAAGCTCCTGTGCCTAAAACTGTGCTTTACATTTTATATATGTCTAATATTGAACTACAAATATAAAAATTCCACCTTAATATTCTTTGCATCTAACACTATTTTTGTATATAAAACGTATTTAATGGTGACTGTGGATAAATTGTTCAGCCTTTTTTTAAATTTTTTTTGTGTGTGTTGTTTTTTGAGACAGGAAAGATCTTACAGAATGAGACCAGGTTAGAGTAAAGCGGCATGATCACGGCTCACTGAAGCTTTGACCACTCTGGCTCAAGCAATCCTCCTGCCTCAGCCTCTTGAGTAGCTGGGATTAGAGTCATGTGCCACCATGCCTGGCCAATTTTTTAAATTTTTTGTAGAGATGGGGGTCCCACTATGTTGGTCAAGTTGGTCTCAAACTGCTGAGCTCAAGTGATTCCCCTGCCTCAGCCTCCCAAACTGTTGGGATTACAGGCATGAGCCACTGCACCTGGACTCATTTAGCCTTTCAATGCCCCAGTTTTCTGAAAGGAAACTGTTCTCATAATTTGGTTGGGAAAATTAAATAGAGCATTCATAAATTGTCTAGTATATAATACATTTTAATTAAATGTTAGCTACTGTCAGTATATCTATTGTTATCACTGCTTCTATTGGTAGATTTTTACCAAAAGCCCTACCTTTAGAGTTTTTACCTTCTATTTTTCATATGAATAATTAATCAATGGTCTTCTGGTTTTGCTTGAGTTAAAATGTTTAAAAAAAAACTTGATAAATTCTCAAATAAACAAAAATTGAGCACCAAGAATTAAGGCAGAAATTCCAAAAGGAATTCGTGACAAATGAAACAGCAAAGCAGCAGGTGAAACAAAACCTAACAAATCATGCAGAGTGCAGCAAACTGCACCTAACACTTGGTGGCCTTTAAGAAATGGTCACTACGAATCTCCAAACCCTTTTTCTACTTCCCCAAGGAAAGTGAAAAATGCTTCTTTACCCGATTTAAAAGAGAAGTAAGCATCTATGCAGCTATGATAAATACTAGGTAAATAAGTGACGGAAAACTCTGGTAGACTAAAATCCCTTCCACTCTGTTTTATATTTAATCCTCATTATAAGAAAGAATGATATGATAGATTATATTTTCCCCACTGGGAGATTTTATTGGTAATCTTTTTCTTAAAATTACTATTGTGACATTAATCTTAACATAAGTATTTTAAAATGTGTGAAGCCCCAAATTTAATGCCATACACACTGGGTTGTAAAAAAGCGTATGAGCTTCAAAATCATATTGAAAACTATAGTGACTGAATAATCCTCATTTTAAGCTAGGGTACTTATTGCTCTTTGCCTACTGAACCTATGATTCTTTTTAAGTTTCCTACTGCTAAGTAATATAAATTAGAAACACAGAACAATTTTCCTGGATTAAAGATGAAAGCACATAAAAAACAAACATATAATTTAAGACCTGTTTGAAAATGTTATGCTTGTCTATTAGAATGCCACTTTTCAGTTTCTGATGACCTTTCAATCTGCATATAAAGCAATCTTTTAAAAATAGTTGTAATATATTTGAGCTAGAAACTTTTCACTGCCATTTACTCATTTTTAGGAGTATAAGACAATATTTATATTATCCTATGACAAATATATTTTTTATTTGAGGGAAGCCTAGATTTTTCAAGTTAATAACATGATTTGCTTTATTTTTTTAAGTTATGTGAACTGAAATATATCAGATCTAGTCAATGAAGAGAATACTCAGAGTGAAGCGTAACCCATAAGGCGAGAAACCTAAAAAGATTATAAGCATCAAGAACAAAAGAAACAGTGGCAGTTTTATTTCCTTTTAACTAGTGTGTTACACCACATCTAAAACAAACAAAAAATTAACCTATTTTCCTCCCTGATGTCATTGATTTGTCTTAACAAAGCAGTCATTACTGCATTATAGTGCTGACCTGTACCTGTTCTACTAATTTTTACAACATATAATTACCACAAAACACATATGGAGAAAGCATGTTGACCTCATAGGTTTCCCTAACTTGCTTATTTGATTGACTGTTTTGAATGGTAACTATTCAATCTTGTCCAAAGGCGAAATTAGGACTCACACTGGGAGTTTAAAAAAAAAAAAAAAAAAAAAAAAAGAGAGAGAGAGAAATAGAGTCATTAGAAAGAATTTGGAATACTGACATGCCTAACAAAGGTATCGGTACCTTTTGTTACTAGACCAGTGAATTTTCTTGCTCATTCCAAGTGAATAAGGATGCTGTTATTCTTAATTCTTTTGGTGATTCTCTCTAAACTGAGAATTGAATTAAAAAAAAAATAAGACCAGGGAAGAATGAGGAAGTTTTTTTCATGTTATTGTTTGTGTTTCAAGTAGTTCAAGTAGACTTGCATCTCCAGGAGTGACTTTCTGGCAGTTTCACAGGAGCTAAATTTATTCATGAAAAACAACAGGCGACCACTAAGGGCAATATACAACTATCTGGTAAAAGATAAATATAAATACTTCCAATGATATAAACTTTAAAAGTGGTTCTAAGTCTAGTTCAAAAGACTTTCATAAATTTCACTTAACTCAGTGCAAGTTATTTTTCCAAATGGTTCACACATCTGTAGTTCCCATTTGAATGTCTTTTTATTCCTTGTTGGATGCATTTTGGTTTTGCTGCCAAGGAAAACAGAAACCCTCTTTCAGCTCTATCCATTTGAAAGAGGAGTGACATCTAATGACCAGTTAAGTTGAGGGTATTTATTCCGTAGGAGTCATAGTTACAGCTCTTCCCTAGAGAAAGCTATATTTGAAAGTGATATTAATTTTTTGTGTACTATAAAGTGAATTTTTGAAAAACACATCTTGAAAAATCAGCAGGGACGCTGAATTTCATTTCAGGGTAATATTTGAGCCTTTGGACCAAATATAGCAAGTCTATTTGAATATGCAACAAAATGTGATAATTCTCTCCTCAGTACAATACAACTGCTCATTTCACCCCTCCTGTGAATAGTGATATAGGGAAGGACTATGAGAGTTAACGCTGAGTTTTCTTCTTGGCATTGCTGGAAACATATTAGTTTTCAATGGAGTGAGAGATGATCGGTAAATGAAACACATTAGCATTTTCAGTGCAGATGAAAAGTCTCCAAATAGAAAGAAAAGACTCAAGGAAATTTCTTCGAACAGTTTCTATTATTTTTCCCTTTTAAGTGATGAGGTTAAAAAGAAATTAGGAAATAGAATCAAAATGTGCTATCACTTGGGGAATTTGAGCCATGATTTCCTACCTTACAAAATGAACCTATGAGTGTTAGATATTACAAGTTCTTCTGTTTTAGTGTTATTTTATCCCATATATGCAATGCTGGTCATCTACAATTTCACTTTCCTCTACCTCCCTAACTAAAATTTTTATCTATTTTGTGCTCTGAGTCTAGTACTTACCTTGGTGCCAGTCACTTGAAAGGCACTCAGTGAGAATTTGTTATATAGTGTTATTCCTATAGTTAATACAAAGGCAATATATATACTCTACAGAATATAATTTTGGAAAGAAATGCAATACAATGTGGTATAATCTTACAACTATATACAAATGTCTTAGGGGAACTATTTAATTTCCATTTCCATTACTCTGAAATTTAATTTGTAAAAAATATCATTTTTATGAAAACTGTATTAACTATTATTGTATTTCAAGAAAATATTGAGGAAAATGTGATACTTACTGTGCAATTTTTGGTAAGGTAAAATTATCTTGATGTTTTTCTAGAATTTTGAAAAAAGGCAATGAGGATTGGCAGTTAATTCATTTACTTTCATCATGCAGTTGGATGAAATTAGTAACGTCTTTCAATGCAGAAAGTTCTTCAATTTTAGTCACTATATGCATGCCAATGTCATCAAGGTATAATTCCTAAGCTGTAAAATTTCAAAGGCTTCTGAAATTCATGAAATGTTGGAAATATTTTCTTGCCAAACAAAATTTTAGCTAGAACAAAAATCTACTAATTTCTACTCTGTACATAAAGGTAGAATTTGAGATGCTTAATATTGCATTTGGTAAAAACATTCATTCCAGTATGCCATAGTGACTCATTCGTTTTTCTATATGCATTTATACAAAGACTTTACTTATTACTGAAAGAGACTTCATGATTATGAGGGCCTTGAATTACCATTTTTACCTTAGATGTACAGTTACAGAAAGAAAACAGAACTTGATGTCCTCTCTTTACACAGAAATTCACTGATTTCCCCAAGGATAATTCTTTTAAGTATTTTCAGTGAACAATGAAAATCCCCTACTTTCCCATAACCTTATCTTGTTTCTTGTTGTTTTTATTAAGAAAAAAAAAGTAGTAATAGGGAAGTCGTCACTCATTATTTGATTTACTCATCATTTTCAGCTGAAAAAGTGAGATATAGCTACAAACAAATGTCTATACTCACCATAGAGACAAATGAAATCTGTTATTTCTTTTGTCCATGATGCAATCTGAAAGAATGAAGATGAGACATATTAGAATTTTCGGTGTTGAAGACAATATCTCTTCATGAAAATGGTGAGAATTACAAAGTCTGGTTAATTTTCCTGCAGGGAGAACACTGACAAATACCTTAAAGTTCGTTAAGGGTTATTGGTCAGGAAAATTTTAAATTGTTTTCTTGCTGGCATCAATGATACACAATTTGCCAAAGGTAACTGCATTGATTTGACGGCAAAGTTAATAAATTCTTCTCCCTTCAACCTAATCTTGGAATATCCTAATATTCCAAGATTGGAATAGACAAAGTAAACTATGAAATCTCGAATTTGTTTTGCATTTATTACAAACAAAATCAGAATTTAATATTGATAGAAATTTAGAGATGATTTGCTGATTGACACATACAACATAATTCCTCAAAGTTATTTTCTTATTCATGCCAAATAGTACATCTTTCCATTGTAATTGATTTTAAAATATTTTACTTACTTTTTTATTTGCTCAGAAATTTCCTGGCTAGTTTTTGTGTTCTGGTCTTCATTATAATATCATACTCTTGAGAAGAAACTGTTGAAAACTCTGTCTAAAGTAGACTCACTTTTTCTCTCTTGTTGTCATCTATTAGTTCGAATATTCTATTTTATTTCAGAAATTCAGGGTCTAAATTTAAAATCTAATAGCAATAACTTAACTCTATTCTGAAAAAAAATTTATAATTTCCTTATTACCTGACAAATTCAGGGTGAAATGATACATTGAAGTGCCACTGAACACAGGACCAGCTGGTGTTTTCATACTCACTTTGTTGCTCACATGTTGAAAATATGTTTTAACATTTGTACATATGATAGCTTTTATTTCTTTTCAGAATTTTGGAAGCTAATAGTCTAACGTCTTGACAACAAAAAAGAAACTTTTATGTAAATACATGTCAGGTCTTGGCAACTTAGCAACTCAATAAGAACGACTGTAAATCTTTACTTACACCTTTTATAGAAACAATTTGCCTCAGCTAAGTTATGGAAGTTTTATGGTGCTCTCAAAGATATTTGTTTGTTAGTTCAAGTTGTTTACTGAAAGAGAATTGTACTGAAAGAGAAATAAATCTACTCTGTGCCATTGTGATTATTTGTAACAGCTTGCCGTTTTAGCATGGTTGACTTTGGGGTTGGCAAATACTGTTGAAATGAGTACATTTTGTTAAAATCCAAATGCCCTTGCTTCTGAGAATAAATCAAGAAAATGTCATTTTTCTTCCCCAAAGTACAACATCCTAGGTGCATTGTTCAGAGCAATCAATATCATTTAACAAAAATTAAGAGCAATGAAACATAAACCAACTTCATTCAAGATTAGAGTAGGTTAAGTATTTTGGGTGACTCTTAAATGAGTCTACATCTAAGTTTGGGAAACCTTTGATTTTGGGGTTTTTTTTTTTCTTTTTTTTTTGTAATTACGTGTTCTCTGACAGACACCTAGGATCTTTCCCCAGTGCAACCCAAATTTCAGTTGTATTCAAACGATGTAAGCTTTGATGTACTATTTATAACTATTTGATGGGCAAGACATGTAATTAATTACTGTTCTACTTTGACTGCCTGCAATGTTTTTGATATCAAGTTTTTAGTAGTTCATTCTTTTATGAATCTTGATGTGTTGACTGCTGTGCCGGATGTAACCAGAGCAGAAATTTAGTAAAGTTCAATACAGATCAGGACATTTTAAAACCAGCTTGCATAGTAAGCTAAAGAAGTGTAAGTTCCCTTTGTTTGCAATTTAAGCTGCATGCTTTGAAGTGGAATCTTATCAAGGAAAGCCCCTGGGGCCTCCTGAACAGAAGAGATCAATTGTAAACTGGTAGATTATTTAAAGGTCATTTTGTCAGAAGGATTTTTGAAGTGGATTCAACCCTACATTTCTCCCCCTCTCTCTTTGAGGTGATACAGACATTTTCTTATGATTTTTGTTTTTTTATTATTATTTTCTGGAAGAACTTGTTCCTTTATTCATCTTGAGCACTTAATTAGAATTCCAAACTGTTAACTAATCAAAATGAAGAGACTTGCTTTCACAATAAATACAGTACGTGGCTGATTTTAAAAAAGAAAAATGAAAAAAAAAACCAACAACACTCGTTTCTAAAAAGGGATTTCTTGCCAGGAAATGATAGTTTAGAAATTATAGTTTTGAGGTGTGGGTAGTATAATTGTCATTATCTTTAGACCAATCTAAACAAAGACATTTCCTACAATACCATGGCTCTGCAAAGGAACATGAATTAGATGTGGTGGAAAGAAGATAAAGTAGCATAGTAATTAGGCCTTAATTTTTTAGAAATTGTACAATTACATGTTTTGAGTATGTAAAACAATAACTTTGTGTCACAGTCATATGTCTCTGTCATTTTACCGAAGTTAACTGTTCAGTAAAACAGTTACATATATTATCTCGTCATATATATTTTTTAACTTATACCACCACTTTTATCCTATCAGAATAAAATAAAAGAAGAAAATAAAAATAAACTGTCATTCATGGACATTTGCAATGACAGATTTAACTAGTATGAAAGGTAAATTAAGTAAAATTAGTGCAATTATTAAATACGAGTATTTTCTGTTCTTGAGCTTTTATTATAGTTGATTGAATTCTAGCACTCTTACTACTTTGACATTTCTCTGCTGTCATGCAGAATAACTGTCCTAGATATGTATTCTTATTTACTAGGTATACACCATTAAACCCTGCATGGATATACGCACTTTAAATTGCCAAAAAATTAAAATAAAACATTTAAATGCACTGATATAGATTAACGTGTTTACTGACTTTACTTGCAATTGAAGACTTTCACAATTTCAAAGGAAAGGATAAATAGACTACATGACTTTGTGAATATTAGAAATACTGGAAGCCATTTTCCAACATTAAGAAATATGGGAACCTTTTAAACATTTCCAAAATATCACAAAATAATCAAGGGAACATTCCACAGTCATATTTATCATAAAAAATGTTCTTTGTTTATGAGATATTTTTAAATATTTTGGCAGCTAAATCCAAGTAAAAACATAACTATTCATAATATGATTCTTCCAGTTATATTATTTGATTCCCAGATGAGTTGTTTTTTTTCCAAAGTAAAATTCCATGATACTATTGTCCCCTGAGATACTGTCCCTTACCTAATCACCCAGACTCCTGTCCAAACAAAAAAATGAGTTCTTGATCATATTCTTTTAGGAAATAGTGCATGCTCTATCAACCTCCTGGGGGCTTGCAAAGCATCTAAAGGCTATAAAAAGTCTTTCAGTGAAGAAGCATCATTCATTTTGTATAGCTTAATGTTTTCTAAACTTAACCATAGAAATGAAAGAAAAAAAAACAGGAAACAAGTCTTTATTGACATTTCAGAGAACTATTTTTCTCAGGAAACAAATCTGGAAAATGCCATACAATATCAATGAAAGTCATGGGGGTTGGTTGCCAACTATAAAAGAGAGGAATAGCGAAGGTGGTTTATAGTTGGATTTTCCTTCAAAATTATCTCCAATTGGCCATGAAAGACAAAGGAGTGATAAAGACACTCTATTGTTATCGCAGAGCCCTGCCCCAGTTAATTGGTTTAAATTTTTTCAGATTATACTTTGAAATCAATAAAAATTTTAAATGTGGATAAAATGGGGTTAAAAACCTATGATGTGGCTTTTTAAATAACCACATTATTCCATAGCTACAAAGAGGAACTAAGACTATTCTTTGTGTTTCCATTCTCTTCTTCCTGTCTGCGACACAGGTAAATAAGGGCATACCATTTTTTACTGCTTTGGGATGGAAAATGTTATAGTAAAAGAAAAATAAGACTAAAGTCAAATACTACGGCCTACGATTCTTATAACAGCTATACTGAGAAACTCACAAATCAAATCCACAACAATTAAAAATGGGAAATTAATCATTCAATTAGGCAAGTTTTGTAGAATTGCTCTTATTTTTTATTTGTTTTACTAAATAGCATTATTGGGTTTTGTTGTTGTTTTAAGAATGTATGCCCCCCACCCCCTGCCACCCTCCCCCCTGCCCTCCCCCCCACCTTCCCCCTGCCACCACCCTCCAGGGATTTACTCCCCACTCCTGCTTTAGGCTGTTTATGCTCACCAGGTGTCATCCCAGCAGCCCAGGGGATGTCAGTGGAAATACAATATTGTATACTTACAACTCATAAGACTGACGATGTGGGCAATTCTTTGTTAGCTGATAAAACCTCCTCTCACCTTACCAAAACTGTACATATTTTGCTGATATTCTTTAAAGTTGAAGTATCATACCACAATTCATTTTCATGTAGAGTGAAAAGGAAATTCATAAAAGTTAACTCATGCTGTCATCTTTCCTGAAGCCCCACAAATCACTGCTGAACTCTAGGCACAAAGGATCATGCCAACTTTCACTGTGTCATTATTAGCTACTGTAAATTCTATTTATAAGGACTTAGTTCAACTTAATTTATTGACTGCTGTGTGCCAAAAGAGCCATTGAAAAGGCTTGAAACTTTTTCTGTTTATAAGGATGTGCTCTTAGACCGGTGCGGTGGCTCACGCCTCTAATCCCAGCACAAGGTCAGGAGATCGAGACCATCCTGGCCAACATGGTGAAACCCCGTCTCTACTAAAAATGCAAAAATTAGCTGGGCGTGGTGGCATGTGCCTGTAGTCCCAGCTACTTGGGAGGCTGAGGCAGGAGAGTCGCTTGAACCGGGGAGGCAGAGGTTACAGTGAGCTGAGATCGCACCACTGCACTCCAGCCTGGTGACAGAACGGGACTCCATCTCAAAATAAATAAATAAATAAATAAATAAATAAATAAATAAATAATAAAGATGTGCTCTCATCAGTATATAATGGGAGTTTAACTGCAGACATGGCTACATCATTGTCAGGGTACCACTGTATAGAAAGGTTGGTGTGGAGGCACTCAATATAAAAGCCTGCTTTTGCCAGTTTCACTAGTATGTTATGAGCTACACATAAGATTATTGCTGGTGTCATTATTAATAATTGATGTGCAGGACACAGGTGAGGTTAATATTAATTCATTATAACTTTATAAACAGTATCACTGTACTGATTTTCATGTATAATGAAAGAAAACTTTCTGTTGCAAGAGTATTAGCTAATGATATCCACTTCAAGCTCATTCAAGAACATGTTCAATCATATGATGAACTCATTGCTAGCCTCTCTTAATAATCTCTCTTAAAATGTCCTACAGATAGAAAAAAAGGAGAAAATATACCAAAATGTCTACCATTATTATGTCTCTGAGACAGATAAGAGATTCCTACAACCTATATATACTGCATTTCTAATTACAAGAGATCAATAAATTTTATTTTAAAAATGTTTTCTTTTTTA
Organism: Homo sapiens; assembly: GCF_000001405.40. Classification (NCBI taxonomy): domain Eukaryota; kingdom Metazoa; phylum Chordata; class Mammalia; order Primates; family Hominidae; genus Homo; species Homo sapiens. Next base: position 87,604,402 of record NC_000008.11, on the reverse strand, counting down.
TTTTTAAGATAGTTTAGAGATAGTTTTAAAATCAATGTTTCTGCTGTTTCTAATCTTGATTTTACTGAGTATATGTATGTACGTGCCTGTGTATGCGTGTACGTGTGTGTGTGTGTGTGTGTTGAGAGGGATTTAGGGAACAGTTGAATAATTTAGGAAAAAAAGAGATAGAGAACCCCAAAAAATATATATCACCATAATTACAAATTTAGTTTGCTTCATTTTTGTATTCTGTAATATTTGGGAAACATCTATGGCTTCCTTTCTTTACTCAGTTATAATTTATTCAAGAATATTGAATGTCAGCTGTGTTCCTGGGCCTGTTATAGCCACTATAAATACAAAGATTAATATGAGTCTTTGTAGTGGGGAAAGAAAGCATATAAACAAGCATAATATAATGTGATAAATCCAGTGAGAGAGATATACACAAAGTTGTAGTTGTATCAATAATATATAAGTTTGAAAATTTAGTATACAGGAAATGAGGGAAAACAATACTAATTGTTCCACAGTATTTGGGACATGAAAATGTTTAATAATTAGAAGCGATGTTTCATTATTTATACTCCAGTCTAATCTCAGAAAACTGCTTTGTAAATGTAACTAAAATACAATTTGGCATAAAATTATTTAGCTAAGCTAGTAAATTATTAACTTGCGTGTCCTTATATAGTTACATAAGGCTATCCAATCTTTTGTTACTCTGTGCTCAAGAACTATACTTTACAATATTGACTTGGTTTTTAATATTGATACTAATTATGGTAAGTATGGTTTCTGGACCACAGTAAACCTTATGGTAAGTAAGGCTTACTGTGAGTCTACTAACTAGAAGAGTACTTCACAGTTAACTGACTGCCATTGTAATCCACAGTTTGTTTTCTCTGAGTTTGATTACAGTATAGGATTCCATCAGATATTGCTCAAAAGAGAAGGAATTATTCACTAGCTATCTGGACTAGAGTTAAGAAATTAATTCTTGCTGATTTGACATGTATGTCTTTATTACATATATTTTGTATCATCCAGTATAGTGTCTTACACATAGTAGGGACATAATATTTATTAAGTAAAGGTTCATTTAAGATTATTATTTGTGGCCAGGCACGGTGGCTCACGCCTGTAATCCCAGCACTTTGGGAGGCTGATGCGGGCGGATCACGAGGTCAGGAGATTGAGACCATCCTGGCTAACACGGTGAAACCCCGTCTCTACTACAAATACAAAAAATTAGCTGGGCGTGGTGGTGGGCGCCTGTAGTCCCAGCTACGCAGGAGGCTGAGGCAGGAGAATGGCGTGAACCTGGGAGGCAGAGCTTGCAGTGAGCTGAGACTGCACCACTGCACTCCAGCCTGGGCAACAGAGTGAGACTCCGTTTCAAAAAAAAAAATTATTTTTTGTATGATCTATTTTATTTCAATCTCTCATTAACACTATCAAAGATTAAAATATTCATGACTAGTCTTAGAATTGAAACTAGATGATACCTGATGTATAAGTGATAGGTAAGTTTTCTAACATGAAATATCAAATTATCATACACGGAACTAGAGGTTAGAAAACATTAATTTAAGTCCTAAGTCCTAAGTGTTTCTCAGAGTGTGACCATGAATAAGTCATTTTACTTCTCTTAAACTGAGTTTTATCATTTTCAATACTGAATTAATAATTTCTGTTTTACTAAGTTGTAATGAGATTTTTTAAAGATAATGTATGTGAATGCATATTTAAAACTGCAAAGCACTGTATGTTAGTTATGGATGAAAATCATACTATAACATTGTTTGGGATAATAGTCTACTAAGAGCTATATTGTAGATATGGTAATATTATGTAAGTGGTGAGGAAAAGGTGGATGAGGGGAGAAAGAAAGAGAAGATATCAAAGATAATCGATTTTTAAAGGGTACCATGTCTGCATTTGACCAAATTAACTCTCAAAAGAAGATTTCTAAAACTTTCTTCTACCTCTGAGAAATAATATTCCTTATCCTAATATGAAACAAGCAAATTAGTTATGTAATATTTAAACATGAGTTTTAATTAATAAGTTACTAAACCCATTTTGGAAATATCAGGTTGACTTAGAGTAATGTACTGAATGACTTTAGCTAAGCTTAACTTACCATTTTTGGTACTGAGTTCATTCATTAAAAAAAAAAAATCATAGGAGAAACAAGCCAATGTGAGCACAATAGCAGAAACAAAAAGAGTAAAACTAATAAGTAGAGTTATTTACATTGTATAAAATAATCATTTTTAACAGACATAAAATGTGACAGGAAACAATAATAGGAAAGACACATTTTTAAAAGAAAGAAATAGAATTTAATGGTATGAAAAGTGTAATTGTTGAAACTAAAATTTCAATGCATAAGACATGCACTTTCATTTCCATCTATATTGAAGCAACCAGTAATTGATGGAAACACCACAATAAAAGAGATGATGTAATGAGCAAAGATTTAAAATACCTACTGGAAGTATACATAAAACTGTAGAAAAAATTAACAAAATAGTTATTAAAAAGAAAGCTATAAACATAATCTATAGGATTTTTTAGTGAGGAAAAATAAAATATCTGAAATGGAAAATTCACTGGAAGTTCCTTCTGTCCCTCGTGTAAGTGCGTGCACTCTAGGCAGGGCTTGTAGAGATCCTCTGGGGTCCCAGCTCCCCAGGGACAGGACAGGACCTGAGGACCAAGTGTTTGAGTTGAGATTGAGGGCATCCAGCCATGCCTTGGAGCTGTCCCATCGATGACCAGCTGCTGCCTGCAATCTGTGAAAGCCGCCTCACCTTCCCTGTCAGCCAGGATGGCAAGGGATGACGGTGAGGCTTCTGCTGAATTCAGTCACCAGGGCTAGGAACCAACTGCTGAACCTGAATAATGACAAATATAGGGACATGGAGCCTCAGACTAGCTTCTTCAAGAAGCTGCTGGGCCACCAGCAGCCCCACATGGAGATAAAGATCCACTGGGGTTTATTGGCTGAAAATATAATTGAAGCAACCTCTAAAAATGTGGCTTTTCAGGACCTTAGTAATGACAAAGAGAAAGGAAAGACAGAGTTTAATCTTCATGATTGATATCCTTCTGCAAGCGATAGGCCTCCTGTTAGATATGCCTAATGTAATATTTTGAAAGACATAGCCAACCAATACCAGATGATGAAAAGTTCTCAAATACATTTTGTGCCATGCTGGGGTTGTTATGGGGTTACTCATTGAAAAAAAAAAAAAGTATTATCAGAACTTTATGAAAAAGCTCAGAATCTTTCAGCTGTGGAAGTTAGGGAGAAAAGTCAGTTCATTTGCTAAAGCAGCCATTGAGAAGCAGAAATCAACCTTTATTCATTGAAGAACAATAGAGGAATAGAATAATTGCTGCTATACTATGATGGAAAATGTGAAGCCAAATATTGATAATTTCCCATCAAATATTATAATGACTTGGCTTATTGATCATACAAACCTGTGTTTTGATCTCCTCATCAAGGACTGCATTGGCTAAAGCAGGATTTGAATAAAACATCAGTCATTCTATATATGTAAATTTATCTCTTTCGAAGCTTTCTTCTGAGTTGATACCTCTTTAAGATGATGATTCTTCTATTAGTTTTTTAGTCTGGACCACACAGCCCCGGACAATTCCATTTATCATGCTGTTTACTGTATTCCAGGATCAAAGTATGCTGTTGTGAAGTATTTCAATTTTGGAGACATCTACATACAGTACTTGCTGCAGATAAAGTAAAATCTGTCACCTCTAATTTGGAAACATTTGAAGTTATTTCAACATTTTCAGGTGTATTTTTGAAAAATGGTACTTGTACTCATCCTATAATTCCTGATAAAATCTCCCCTCTTTTACCTGCAAATTGTATAACCATGACAAAAGGGAAAGAATTGATTTACACAGTCCCAGTTCATGTTGTGGAAGATAACAGTGTGACTTCTCAAACAACCTGTCAATTGATTGTTTAGTGGATGAAGACAGAATTTTCACGAATGTTTCAGGTTATGAACTTTAAGACCAAACTTGAAGCGGGAACTGTTGTGGTTATAAAGATGCTTTCAGCTGCAGAGAATTTGTTGAAGCAGACTGCAGAGAATTTGTTGAAGCAGAAAAAATCGGTACATAACTATCCCTATGATGGGAGGGCTAAGAAAACAGATTATTTGTGCCAGCCAGTAGTGGCTTATAAACACAATGGATACTAAAACCACAGCCAAAAAATTGTCTAAAAAGGTAAAATTTACTTCTATATCAGCACTGAATGTCAAGGTCAAAATTATGGACAGATAAATATATTGGTGCACAAAAATGCAAGGAGTTTGGAGTGCTTCAATTCTTTTATTTCACTGTAATACAAAAGATGAATCCTTGACCAAGAGCCAAACCATTGAGCATATTGTTAAATTAGTGGAACAAGGCAATGATACCTGGTATATTCTTCCCCAGGAGCAATATCTTCCAAAATAAGTCTTATCTCAGATTAATGGGCCCTGACGCCTTGAAATATGAGATATTTTGGACTGGGTGCAGTGGCTCACACCTGTAATCCCAGCACTTTGGGAGGCTGAGGCGGGCAGATCACTTGAGCCTAGGAGTTTGAGACCAGCCTGGGAAACATGGTGAAATCCCATCTTTACAAGAAATGCAAAAAATCAGTCGGGCATGGTGGCACACACCTGTGGTCCCAGCCACTTGGGAGGCTGAGGTGGGAGGATTGCTTGAGCCCCAGAGGCAGAGGTTGCAGTGAGCCGAGATTGCACCACTGCACTCCAACCTGGGTGACAGAGGCGAGACCCCATCTTAAAAAAACAAACAAATAAACAAAACAGAAAAAAATAATATTTTTGGGCATCTGGTTTGATGGTAGATTTTTATGTCTTCATTTTCTTCTGAATACTGCCCAAACAGTAGATTTGTACTTGGAAGAAAAAGACCTGCTTAAGGGGTGGTTTTAGTCTTCTTTGGCTAGCAAATATAGCAACAAGAAAAACCTCACTTTATAAGACAGAGGTTGTTCATGGACTTACCCTTGGAGCAAAGGGAGAACAGATATTCTAGACACGCAGGAATGTTGCTAAGCCTGATGTCTTCAGCGGAGGACAAGATCAAAGCAAAGAGCATCTCCATAGTGTTGATGTCCTTTGCAGGTAGCTGAGTCCAATGTCTTCACTGAAGTGAAAATTGGTTCAATTATATGCTGCCACAGATGAGATTGGCAAGACCAAATTTAGGAATACACCCTGCTTATTTTTGTTGTTGTTGTTGGGGCAGGGTTCTAATCCAGAAAGAGATTTCCTCCCTGCTAAGGATAGAGGCTAGGTATATCATAGATCAGTATACACTAAACACAACTGTAGGATTTTGCAAATACTGAGTCAGGTAAACAATGTGATCTTAGAAGAGCTGTTAGCTATTACGAACATTTTATAGCACAGAATACTCTAACTTTTATTTCAGTATAATCAAAGATAGATTTCATTGTGAAAATGAACATGATCTCAAATGACTCGTCAGACTTCATTAGCCAAAACTTTGGAGGCAATACTTCATTCTTTTGCTTTTGTTCTTCCTCACATGGCTAAATATGTATTCCAGCACATACTTTACTTTTAAAAACAAAAGAATGGCTAAAGAACCAAAGAAATGCTACAAAGTGAAGAGACATCCAGTACCTCTCTGTTGAATGAATTAATGATGGCTTCCTGGACAACTTTACTCCTCCAAGAACCATAAGAGGTACCTGCGGATGTAACTGAGCTTAAAGGGATATTCTTAATTAATTTAGGAGGTGGTAGTATTTTTGAATAGTGTTAATATAAAGTAATTGTCATTCCAGCTACCAAAGAAAAATGCCCTTCTTGTTATAAATGTACAGCTTAGTCTGCCAAAACGCCTTATCCAGAAGTTGCTGGTCAAAAGTAGTACTTCACTTTGGTGTTAATGCCTCTCTGAGAAAGAATTCCCTTGACAGTACTGACTGGCCTTTTAAATAGATTATTTATAATATTGGAAATGAATCCAAGATTTAGGTGGAAAAGTAAATGCTGGAAGATAAAGGTCAAATCCTATTTACAAAAGAAGTAAGAAAAGCAGAACAAAAGTATTCCCTGACCTGGAAAAACAATATACACCTACATATATACACATGCATTTAGATGTATATACAAAAAAACCTGTAAGCAGTTGTGTAGCATGTGTGCAAGGATGAATAAATAAGTAAATGGAACACAATAGAGATTCCTACATAACCAAGCATATAGGAGCACTTGATTTATGACAAAAGTAGCCCTCCAGAACAATGAGGAAAGAAAAATCTTTTCAGGGATGGTGCAGTGACCCACGCCTGTAATCCAGGACTTTGGGAGGCCAAGGTAGGTGGATCACTTGAGCTCAGGAGTTTTAGACCAGCCTGGACAACATGGTGAAACCCTGTCTCTACAAAATAATACAAAAATTAGCCAGGTGTGGTGGTGTGGGCCTGTAGTCCCAGCTATTCTGGAGGCTGAGGTGGGCAGATTGCTTGAACCTAAGAGGTCAGGGCTGTAGTGAGCCGAAATTTTGCCACTGCACTCCAGCCTGGGTGACAGAGTGAGACCCTGTCTCAAAATAAAACAAAAATCCTTTCAATAAATGGTGTTACCATATTGAATATACAATGTGAATACCTATATGGTATAAAACATGAAAAAAAAGAAAATGATTTTGACTCTTATCTCACAACATGCACAAAAAATCATTACAAGTACATTTCAGAATCCAAGTGTGAAAAGTAAAATTATAAAGTGATTAGAAGAAAATATTAAATAATATCTTCCTGACCTTTGGGAATACTATTAAGCAATGCACATATATAAATTATAGCTACATGCAGCAATGGGGGTGAAACTCACAAAAGTAATTTTGAGTGAAAAATCCAGACATAAACTATGAGCACATTTACAATAAACCTACCCAAAATGTTTGCTATGCATGTTTAAGTGGTTATATGTTAAAGAAAAGGGAGGAAGTGACTATTATAAAAGCTAGAATAGTGATTAATTTTGTATGTTCGTGTAATTGGAAGTATAATTGCTAAGAAACAGAGAGGGTTTATAAGATGGAGACATTATTCTATTGATTGATCTGGATGATGATTACATGGATTTTCACTGTAAATAATAAGCTGTATATAGATACATATTTTTTCTACACAATTGAAAAATAAAAGGTTAAAAATGAAGTTAAATGGGAAGATAGTAGAGCCCACAAATAGTGTACTAGGAAAGATCATTTATTCGAATGCTAGTCTAAGAAAAGTAGAGTATATGTTTCCATACTGCCCAGTCCCTCTCAACTAGGGAAGTGTTCAGTTAGTTAGTGGTACAGAGCAAGTTTTACCCAGAAATAAAGTATGTCTGCTATTTGTGATATCCTTTGTGTCATATTCCTGGGACAGTTACTATATATTATAAAATAATTTATAATATTTTATATATTATATATCACATATTTGTGTATTACACATATATACTTGTTTATATTATAATTACCCAATAGGATATTAAACTAGTGAAAATGATTAACTTCCCTTATAAATAACATGGATGTATCTTAGAACAATAATAAGGAATGGAAAAAGCAAGTTGCATAAGATTACAAACAGCCTAACATTATTTCATACAACTAATAAGCAAAACTACACCATGTCCTGGACACAATAAGGCACATACTGATACACATACACATTTATATGTCATAAAACTAAAGGACAAACCTAGCTGGGCACGGTGGCTGATGCCTGTAATCCCAGCACTTTGGGAGGCCAAGGCAGATGGATCACCTGAGGTCAGGAGTTTGAGAGCGGCCTGGCCAACATGCGAAACCCCGTCTCTACTAAAAATACAAAAATTAGCTTGGCGTGGTGGCACACGCCTGTAATCCCAGCTACTCGGGAGGCTGAGGCACCAGAAGCAGTTGAACCTGGGAGGCGGAGTTTCCAGTGAGCCAAGATTGCATCACTGCATTCCAACCTGGGCAACAGAGTGAGACTGTCTCAAAAACAAACAAACAAACAAACAAAACTAAAGAACAAACCTAATGAGTGCAAAATTTAGGCTAGTTGTTGCCTTGATAAAGGAAAATTAGGAGGGTGGCATAAAGAGCATACAGGTAGAAAGGCAAGGGTTTTGAAGATATTCTAGTTCTGGTGTTAAGTGGTGGGTTCACTGGTGTTTTTCCACTGTAATGGAAAATGCATGTATAACATGTAAAGAAATAAATACAGTTTTTCCTGTATCAAATATTTCATGTTGAAAGTTTAAAAACAGCAAGCAAAACTAACAATATATTGCTTCATAATAGAAACATATATGCTAAAACTTTTAAGAAAAACACAAGTATGACAAATGTAAAATACAGAATTTTGGTGTGGGATATAGCTCAGTGGTAGAGCCTTTGACTGCAGAATTTTGCTTACCTTGAAAAAGGCAGGGAGAGGAAGAATTAGAATAGGAAAAGGTCAAATGAGAACTTCAAAAATAATGGTATAAACAACAAATGAGATACCACTATACACCTATTAGAGGGGCCAAAATCCAGAACACTGACAACACCAAATGCTGGTGAGGCTGTGGAGCAACAGGAACTCTCATTTATCGGTGGTGAGAATGCAGAATGGTACAGACACTTTGGAAGACACTTTGGCCGATTCTTACAAAACTAAATATATTCTCATCACGATCCAGCAACCATACTCCTTCAGCCCAAAGGAGTTGAAAACTTAACGTGTACACATACACCTGCACATAAGTGCTTATAGGAGCTTTATTCTTAATTTCTAAAACTTAGAAGCAACCAAGATGCCCTGCAGTAAGTGAATGAATAAATAAATTCTGGCACATCTGGAGAATTCAAAAAGTTTATGGAAAATGCATGTTATGAAAAACTTTGAATGGATTTTTAATTTCTTACATATTAGTGATTTGTTATAATATGTCTGAATAGGATTTAGTTTGAGGCACTAAGAATGTTAATACATTAGTTTGAAAAGAGCTCATATAGCAACATGAATTCTGCTAAAATTGAAGCAAGAACGAACATCAAGTTTATGGTGAAGCTCGGGTGGAAGAATGTTGAAATCATTGATGGTTTACAAAAAGTTGAGAAAATAACCCAGAGAAATCAGTGGTTTACAAATGGATAACTTGCTTTCAGAAGGGACAAGACAATGTTGAGAATGGAGCCTGCAGCAGCAGACCACACCATTTGCATGGAAAAAATTCATCCTGTTTATGCCATAATTAAAGAGGACCAATGACTAATAGCAGAAACAATAGCCAGCAGCATAGACATCTCAATTGGTCCAGCTTACCCAATTGTGACTGAAAAAGTTGAGCAAATTTTCACTTGATAGGTGCCAAAACCATTGTCTGCAGATCGGCTGCAAACAAGAGCAGAGCTTTCAATGGAAATATTAAACCAGTGGGATCAAGATCCTGAAGTATTTCTTCAAAGAGTTGTAACAGGAGATGAAACACGGCTTGACTTGTGCAATCTTGAAGACACAATGTAATCAAAGCAATGGCTACCAAGAGGTGGAAGTGGTCCAGTCAAAGCAAAAGCTGACCAGTAAAGAGCAAAGGTCATGGCAACAGTATTTGGGGATGTTCAAGGCATTTTGCTTGATGACTTTCTAGGATGCCAAAGTGTGGTAACATCTTGTTATTATGAGTGTTTTGAGAAAGCCAAAGCTTTAGCAGAAAAAACCTGAAAAGCTTCACCAGAAACTTCTTCACTACAAATTTCCCGCTCATTCTTACCATTAAGCAAGGACACTTTTACAAGAGTTTCTATGGGAAATCATTAGGCATTTACCTTACAGTCCTTATTTGGCTCCTTCTGACTTCTTTTTGTTTCCTAATCTTAGAAAAAATCTTTAAACGGCCCTCATATTTCTTCATTTAATAATGTAAAAAGGACTCCATTAACATGGTTAACTGCTAGGACTCTCAGTTCTTTAGAGATGAACATGATGGAGCTTATGGTGAGAATTAAAGTTTATACTTTCAAAAAAACTTATAATTTAATTTTTCCACAAACTTTTAGAAGTTCCCTTATATTATTCAGTGCTAAAAAGCAATGAGCTATGAAGCCATGAAAAGAGGAGGAAACTTAAATGCATATTATAAAATGAAAGAAGTCAGTCTGAAAAGGCTGTATGATTACAACTATATGACATTCGGGAAAAGATAAAACTATAGTGGTAGAAAAAAGATCCTTGGTTGCTGGGGGTCAGAAGGGAAGGGAGGGATAAATAGGCAAAGCACAGAAGATTTTTAGAGCAGTGAAAATAGTCCATATGATACTTAAATGGTAGAGACATGTCGTTATACGTTCATTCAAGCCTACAGAATACACAACACCAAGAATGAACCGTAATGTAAAATATGGGCTTTGTGTGATATTTTTGTGTAAATGTAGGCACATCAGTTGTAACAAATGTGTCACACTGGTGGGGGATGTTTATAATGGGAGAGGTACTCATATGTGGGGGCAGAGTATAAATGAGAAATTTGTGTACCTTCCTTTCAATTCTGATGTGAACCTAAAACTGCTATAAAAAATAGTCTTTAAAAAATAATAATGACATTATTCAGTGTTTCAAATGGGATGGTTGGCACACAGGTGATAAGTGATGCTGTTTTTTGCAAATTAAATAAATAGATTTTATAAATATTATTTTATATCTGTTCTGAAATAGAAACAAAGTAAGTAATTTAACCTTTTGTATGGCCATGAGGAAACTCTTAAACTCACCATCTGAGAGCTATGTCACTTCACTTCCTGTCAGTCACCCTGAGCATTATATGGCAAGACAAACTCACCAGCACCACTGTAGAACTTAACAAAGTCATTTGTCACGTTGGTAACAATGCTTACTCCACTACTAGACTGCTTGTTTAATGGGTGAGAAAACTGATAGCAGCATGTTACTTAAGGTAGCTGCTGAATTTAGATGACTGTAGGCCAGATAGGCAAAGACAGGTCAAAATGGCACACGTTAGCTTTATAATACAGAGTCATGGTTTTGTAATATTTAAAATCAAAACACTAGTGCAGCCTGTTATGCAGAAATTTGGTAGGCCTTTTTTATTTATCTCCCACTAATGGTACTCATCTTCCTACCATAGGAGAGGTTTTAGCAGTGTGTCCCATAGACCTTTATTACCACTTTAACCAAATGATAATTTTTCCAAGTTCTCTATTGGAAGAGGCCTCCTGGTCATTGACCTTTTCAGTAAGACCCAACTATATGAAATAACATCTTTTTAGTTAACTTCTTTAAAAGGCCCAATAAATGGTTAAATGCAAAATTAATTATTTAAAAATCAGCTTTCTCACAAATGGTATTATCTTACTACTGGGAAGTGGAAAAAAATCAACTTACTCTTATAAAAAAATCTTCATGGAAATATTGAATGTTTTCACATTATTAGTGAAGAATATACATATACTTTCACATTGTAATAAATTAATAATCATTTTTAAAATGTTTTATATTCCCTGATCAACCTTAGTGATATCTCCCTGTCCAGTAAATGAAAAAGATAGTAGGGAAATTATACTTGACTTATTTTAAATCAAGAACATTTATTAAGGAATCTCAAAAGAGGAAATTCAAAGGACCAAAAGTATGGAGAAATATTTCATTTCAGAAAACACTAAAGGAAGATAAAGTAATATAGTGCCATTTTCCCCAAGGTATTAGAAAAATTATAAAATAATATGTCTGTGACTTGAGTTATTGAAACTGGTGTTCTATGCATTGCTTACCACTATGAAACTTAGTGTCATCATCTTGGGAAAAAAGTTTAGAAATCAAAAGGTTAATAACAACGTATTCTTTCATAAGGAACTCATCCAAAATGTTAATATAAAATAGTGACTGAGAAGTTCCCCATATTGATGTTTATAACATGAAAGCAAGATAGAAGTGATTTAGGCGACCTGAAAGAGAGAAATAACTATATAAAATATAAAATAAAGCATATCCACTGTCTGGAATATAATGAAAGCACTGTGGTAATAGAGTAGTATGTAGAAATATAAATGTCTGTTATGATATAAGGAAAGATTTTTTTAAAAATTACAGAATAAATGCTTTATAAAATTATAACTGTAATTAGGTAAAATATATCTGTAAAAACACGTTGAGTGGAAGTAAGGCAAAAAATTCTAATACTCTTTGTGTACATAATATAACTTTTTTCCTGCAACTGTAACACCACATTACTTTTATATAAATTCCTTAAAAATTATTGAAAATGAATTATAAGCATTCCAAATGAATTATAAGCATTCCACATAGGATGAGTTTTAATAAGATGCCCATTTCTTGCATCAAGTTTAAATAAGAGAAAATAAATCTTATAATATTTTCTAATTCCCTGTGCCTCAAGGAATATTCATATGTGATTTCATTTTACCTAATGCCTCACAAAATATAATTGAATGTTTTCTTAATTTTAGTCTGTGTCTAAAATGAAATTTATTTTTAACACCTACTGTGTGAGAGTATTTGTAAAATAAACTGTAGACATAGGCTAATAATTTAGTAAGGCCAGAGAAGGAGGAAAGCAGCTAGACAGAGTGGAAATGTGATGGTGCCTCCTGAGAGAGTTGTATCAAGAAAGTGAGTGGGCCATTGCATTAATGCAGCAAGTTTACAAGTACTTGTCCTTGCGTCTCAAAGGCAGGGATTGACGATTCATCTTTATAGTCTCACCTCCTAGCGGAATGGTTCAAAGGGAGTAAGTAGTCACAAATTCATGCTGAGCATATGTATATACAATTAGTTGAAAACTAAGTAAGTAATAAGCTTCTGCTTTTCATATATATATATATTTTTTTATTTAATGGACTAGTAAACTTTCAACAAACATTTCCATTTTATGCCTGTTGTCCCAGTATGGGGTTAACTATTTCCTCTTTATCTCTCAAAAGTGTCCTCATTGGGTAATATATTGTCCATGATTTCAAGCCTATCCAGTTACAGGAAGTAAGGCACAAAAAACTTTTCTGATAAACCCTGAGGTTTGCCATAAAGTTGTCTTACCACAATGTAAAATCTGAGGATACACTGATGTCATAAAGCAGAGGGATGACATATTATATTCATCTTTTAAAAATTAGTTCTGCAGGCAGCGCGGAAAATCAATTGCAGTAAGGAGAAAGTCATGGTTGGATGCTCGCTTTTTAAAATTACTATCTCACAAAAAGTTTTACATGTGTTGAAAACTTTTTTTGCATATAGCATTGTAATTTTGGATACTTTTATTAGACAAAGGAACATTGATTCTAATTATTTCTCATTTTTGGCTCATCACATAGAATTAATTTTATAGAAGCTAACTGAGGAGAGAAAAACACGATAAAATTTTTGCAAGAAAGCAGTCATCATTTCAGTTCTCTTAATACAAGTAAATTTTTCAGTGATGATTTTACAAGCTGAGGAACTGACAAAGTCAGATTTTAATCATTTTTATAGAAAAGTTTAATTAGTTAAATTCTAAAATTATTTCAGATCATTTTCGTCTAGGACAATAGAACATTTATTTGCAAATAAGAAGCTACATGCAAATAGACAGTCTACTTCCTGTGAAATGAAATCACATTAAATTGTGCAGCCAAAATTATTTATTCCATGTACATATGTAGACAAAAGACAAATGAGGAAGAAATACTAGATAACTATAGGTAAGGACTGAATCTTCCAAAACGTGGAATATTAATTATTCATAATATTTATGCAGGTAATATATATATGGCAGGTCTATGTACATTGCAGTCACCATTTTAAATCTCATTATAAAATATGGCTCAAAAGAAACTAAGCATACAGGCTTCCAGTTTGAATCACCCAGAAGGAAAATTTGGAACATATGTTTAGAAACTTTAAATAATCCACATACTTCCATAAAACTTTTTAAAGTTTACAGCAATGGCTACATTACATCTTTGTAATTAGGCATCATGGGAGAAAACATTTTTCAAATATATCACATTATAATTTGTCCTTTATAGGAAGGACTGAACAGCAGACTGTAAATCCTTCTCTTGCCTCTTAGAGCCTAAACAGTTGGGTCAGGAGACCCAGGGGGTACCTTCACAAAATGTTTCTATCTCAAGGCTATTATCCTGTACAAAGTAGATGAAAATGGGAATGTTGTGATCTGCTTTTTTTCCCCTCAGAAGATTTCAGCATGAAACCAAGGGCATGTTTAACTCAATGAAGAAAGGAAGCCAGCCTATAGTACCGTAATGTACATTAGCGCAAAATTTCACTCTGAGGTGTAATTTTAATTTAAGTTTAATGGCCCCACAATGTATTCTTCTGTCCCTGCTGTGCATAATCGTATTGGAAAAGAACATGTACATTGTACTGTCTGATTTGGACATATCTTAGATTAGGAGAATTATGTGGCTGCCTGATCTGCAGCAAAATTAAGTGCAAAACTTAGAGTGTTAGTATTCTTCCTGGATAGGGTCATATATAACAAGCTACTATTTATTCTCCCCTTTCTTCTTAAGTGTCTGAATATGGATAATTTTTCCTCTCAGGGATTCAATGGATCACAAAAAGGCTCTCTTTTTTTGTCTTTGTAATACAAACAGATAAACAATTTAAGCAAACAAGATGGAATAAAACAAAAAAAAAACCCTACAAATTATTTCAAGAGATGTTTCAAAATGTTACTCATTAAACAAACATCCTTTGAACATAAACTGCATCCAGCTCCATACTAGCTGCAAAAATCATTTCTAGTAATTCCCCAAAAATAATTTGTTTATGTGAGTTCTCAGTTGGATGACTGGGTAGGCTTATATTTCAAAAGATTTCCCATTTCTTTGATACTGGTACCTTCTCAGTCTTTGCAACTAAGACCCTGCTCACCTTTCAACTAAATCTTTGGTACTTTAGTTGCAAGTGCAATTTTAGTCTAATTCAAGTCAACTGAAATTTTGTGACTGTACGTATAAGTAATTTCGTTTCTGGTTTCTAGGAGGGTAATAAAAAATGTTAGTTTTCTTATCTAATGATTTTGCCACTGTGGTCTATAAGAAGAGGGAAAAGAAATACCAGGAGTCTCAGAATGAAATCTAAGAGTCACTCCAAAGTTTCTCATATTCCCTGGGCTCATGGAACTTGAGTATGAGACTAGGTTCTAAAAGACAAGCCTTTGTGTTTCACAGCACATGCATGCGTATAGCAGGAATCACAACCTCAGATGCCCATGAAGACCAAGTA
Source organism: Homo sapiens (assembly GCF_000001405.40). NCBI lineage: Eukaryota > Metazoa > Chordata > Mammalia > Primates > Hominidae > Homo > Homo sapiens. The sequence goes on along the minus strand of NC_000008.11, from coordinate 87,589,095 downwards.
AGTAACCTGTAAATGAGTGGAAAGGAGTGGGAAGGGTTGTGGATCACATGTGATGTGCCTGGAAAGTGGCTACTACTCCTTGTCTCCATGACATTGTGGCTTTGATAGATTGAATAATGGCCCCTAAAGATGACATATCCTAATTCCCAGAACCTGTGAATATATTGTATGACACGGCAAAGGAGAATTATAGTAGTAGATGGAAATAAGGTTAGCAATCAACTAATTTTAAAATAAAGATGTTATCCTGTATTATCTAGGTGAGCCCAACATAAATATAAGGGCTCTTAAATGTGGAAAAGGAAGGCAGAAGTGTCAGTGTCACAATGATGCAATGTAAGCGAGACTCCAGAGCCTATGGTTGGCTTTGAAGGTGGAAAGAGAAAGGAATGCAAGCAGTCTCTAGAAGCTGGAAGAAAACAAGAAATGGGCTTCTTCCCTGGTGCCTACAGAACAGAATGAAGCCTGCAATACCTTATGGGTCTCCATTGAGAACCATTCAGACTTCCAACCTGCAGAAATGTAGGATAATACATTGTATTCTGCTATGGCACTGAATTTGTGGTAATGTTATGACAGTAACATAAATTTAATACAGTAGTCATGTGCACCCTGGTGTTGATCTTAATAGATCTTCCAGTTTTTCAAAAGAAGGCTGAGGTACAGATCCTCTTATGAAAGCTTTCATTTTAAAAAACTTGACAGTTAATTCAAACGTTATCATTAGTTTTTAAGCTGTGTAGGGTAAATGAGAGAAGCTGTGTGTTGTTAGTAATTCCTGATGCATATAATTGTATATCTCTTGGTGGTGGTGGTAGTAGTAGTAGTAGTAGTAGTAGTAGTAGTAGCAGTAGTGTGTGTACCCCAAAATCACTAAGCCATGGGAAAAGTCGAGCTGGGAGCCTGCCTTCCATTTTAATTCCTAAATAAGACAGCTAAAAAGGTAAAAGAGTTACATAACCTCCCTCACAATTTGCCCACAAGGAATTTCCATCTGGACCTCACGATCTTTACCTTAAAACACTTCTGTTGAATTTCACCATGGCAATGTAAACTAATAGCTTGTCATCACAGGTGTGGGATAGAAAGTCATCCCTCTGCTCGCTTGAGACAAATGCATATCTGATAGCTTCCTCTGCCCTGTTGTTTATGTAAAAATACTGGTTCATTGAGCCAGACTCAATTGTGTATTCAGGGAAAAGCTGATCAAGGACTCAAAATAATGCAATCTTTTGTCTCTTATCTACCTATGACTTGGAAGCCCTGCTTCGAGTTGTCCCACCTTACTGGACTGAACCAATATACATTTTACACATATTGATTGGTGTCTCATGTCTCCCTAAAATGTATAGAAGCAAGTTGTACCCCGACTACCTTGGACACATGTCATCAGGACCTCCTGAGGCATGTCACGAGTGCATCCTTAACCTTGGCAAAAATAAACTTTCTAAATTGGTTGAGACCTGTCTCAGATATTTTGGGTTCACACAAATAATCTTTCATATTGAGAATTTACTACACATCCTATAGGAAGTGTAGTTAGGGTATGCATGGTCAATTAATGAAAATAATTGATTAATTTTCAGATTAATTCTAGATACTATATTATTGAGCAACTACTGTTCATTGACTACCATGTTAGATGCCTAGTATACAAGCCGTAATGAAGTACAGAGCAATGAGATTCAGGCAAAGGAGATACAAAAGTCTATAAAAGTTACGATCTTCAGGTAAGAAGCTATGAGAACAAGTTAGGGCCTCTTGCCTTTTTCAGCAATGATTTAATACGTGTGATGATTCATGTGTCAACTTGGCTAAAACATGGTACCAGATATTGGATCAAAACTTATTCAGGATGAAGGTGTTTTTTGGAAGAGATTAACACTTAAATAGGTGGACTTTGAGTATGGGAGATTGCCCTCCAGAATATGGGTGGGCCACAACAAATCAGTCGAAATCCTTAATAGAATGAGGTCTGACTTCTCTTCACCCCCAGGCAAGAAAAAACTGCCAGCAGATGGCCTTCAGACTTGAATCACAACTTTGGCTCTTCCCTGAGTCTTCAGCCTGTTGTCCTATCCTACGGATTTTGGACTTGCCAGTCATAATCTCATGGGCCAATTCCTTAAAATCTCTCTCTCTCTCTCTCTCTCTCTCTCTCTCTCTCTCCCTCTCCCTCTCTCTCCCCACGTGTGTGTGTGTGTGTGTGTGTGTGTGTATAAATATAAATGTAAATACACACACATACACACACACCTCCTATTGGTTTTGTCTCTGGGGAACCCTGAGTAGCACTCTGCTCAACAAAACTATCTCTTTACTTTAAGTGTGCATAAAAAGTTGCTTGTCCATCTGCAGATTTTTCCCATGGTCAAATTTTATCAGTGCCCTCCCTTTGGTACTTTTTGCACATACTTTCTCACCTATAAACTTGCACCCTGGTCATCACTATCTCGCTTCTAAAAGCAACCATTCAAGGTGAGCCCCCTCCTTCTGGAATAAACAATAAGTGTAGAAATCTGGGGTCCACCTTCATTTGCTCCCTACTAACTATTTGTACTCACTACAGCCTTGCTATGAAGCTACTGCTTTTTTTGGTTAAAGTCCTCTCTCATTTGTGAAGTTTCAATTATAAAATGTACACTTTAAAATTTAGTTTTTCATGTGCAAATGACAATTCTTCTACTAAAATACTATAATATGTGTGTCTATTTTGTCCTTTGTGCTGGGAACTCAGATTTTTTTTCTTCTGGAAATTCAAGCCCTCTCTATCTAGGAAATTATTTGGTATGTGTTGTCAACCTAAATAACAGAAAGAGGTTGTCTGAAAGAAAAAGATACTTATTTGGGACAGAGCATTGCAATTGGAGTACGTATGCCATCGTAAACTATGCAAGTACTCAGCCAGAGAAAGGAAGACAAAAAACGTTAAAGAAAAAAATGAGGATGATTAAATAATTGTTTTGAAATAATTATCCTTGGTTACAAAAATCAATAACAAAGGTGCTTGTTTGTACCCATCCTTGGTGGGGAGGCTTTCCAGTATTCTAAAGGACTTGGGTGTTGTGGGATAAGCTGTATCTGCTTTAGGGGGAACTGCAAGCCTAGTATCACTGTGGTTCTTGCAGACTCATAGAGGTACTGCCTTGATGGTCATGAACAAGCCCTGGAAAAATTATCTGGATTACCAGGCAGAGACTGTTGTTCTCTTTCCTTACTTTCTCCCAAAGTCTCTCTCTCTCTTTGCCCTGAGCCACCCGGAGCTTCATTGGAATATCCTTTTTAGTGTGTAGATAGTTGTTAAATCGGTGGTGTCCTTGTGGGGTGATAATTGGTGGAGTCTTCTATTCCTCCATCTTGCTCCAGGTCTCAGTAATTCAATTTTCAAAAATCAATAATAAAGGCGATGGCAGTCTGAGGTTGGACAGGCAGTTGTTGGATAGATAAATGTCCTTGCAGAAGTATATTTGTGTAAGATTGTGATGGCCTTTGTGCAAGGTTGTACTATTTGCCGTGCATTTTGTGATAGTTTTTGTTATCAGGCAAGCAAGCATAACAATCTTCTCTTCATAGCTTTCCCTGGCTCTATTTGTCAAGATTTTGGTGTTGTTGTTTTAACACTAGTGACTCCATTTTGATTCTGACGACTCTCATAGTTTTCACTGATGACTTCCTTCCCTCCTTGCTTTCAAAATTTTCTCCTTCAGCATCTTTTATTTTTTCTCCTTTTTTCTCTAAATTTCTTCTATTTCTTTCTGTTTCCTTCCTATCTTACTAATAAAACAGTAACAATATTAATTGTTGATGTTGACCTAAGGCTTATCAAGAACTTTTCTATTTGCTCAATAACTTCACACAACTTTATGAGGTAGGAAGTTTTATTGTCTTTATTTTAGAGATGAGAACAATTAGGTGTAAATAGATTAACCAACTTGCCTAAGGTACCCATATAGTAAATTGTAAAGCTGTGATTTCTTTTTTTTTTTTTTGAGACGAGTCTCACTCTGTCGCCCAGGCTCGTGTGCAGTGGTGCGATCTCGGCTCACTGCAAGCTCCGCCTCCTGGCTTCACGCCATTCTCCCACCTCAGCCTCCCAAGTAGCTGGGACTACAGGCGCCCACCACCATGACTGGTTAATTTTTTATTTTTATTATTTTATTTTATTTTATTTTAGTAGAGATGGGGTTTCACCATGTTAACCAGGATGGTCTCGATCTCCTGACCTCGTGATCCACCCACCCCGGCCTCCCAAAGTGCTGGGATTACAGGCGTGAGCCACAGCGCCCAGCTTAAAGCTGTGATTTTAATCCAAGCAGTATAGATCTAAAATCTACCGTCTTAACCATTATAGTATTGTTTCTTAGATGACAGGTAGTACTTGGCTGTGTACTCATAAAGGTGGAGAACTAAATCCAGTTTGGAGGCTGTGGATGTGTAGTGTGACTTGTCAATTTACCCTTCACTGGAAGATCATCTGACAGGGCCAGTTGTTGGAAACCCCAAATGCCAATATCTTTATTGGGCTAGAAGACTCTTATATCCTACCTCAACTGTGCTGCTCTGGCTCTCAGTGTTCTGGGAGCTGAGAGAGCAAAGAGGGCTGGGTGTGGGTTTAGCATTCAACATTCTTTTGACAAAACCAAGAGTCTCTGAAATGGAAGTCACCAGGCAAAATTTGAGGCCTAGACAGTAAAGGAAAACTAGGTGATCTTATACACCATTTCTTTGTGTTCTCCTCTTACCAAAATTCTGTGTCAAATTATTCACCACCGCTCCTCAGCCCATTGTGTCCTCAACTCATTTTGATATGCTTCAGTCCCACAACTCCTTTAAAATTTGTCTCGAAGGTCATTGGGACATTCGTGTTGTCAATGTCAATGGCCCCTCTCCTCTCAACTTTCCCTACTCAAAGCCATTTTTGACATGGGGAACAATTTCTTCTTTTTTATAACTTTCTTGTTTGCTGTAAAATCACACTTTACTTATTTTCTTCTAACTTTACAGCCAATATGTATTAATCATGTTTTCTATTTTCCGTTTCTTTTCTGATACTTTGACATTGTTGACCTTTTGTGATCTGGGAGAGACTGCCCCTACCAGGATTAGCAAATTCTTAGAATCCAAAGCCCGTAAACCACAACCACTTCCTTTATTAGGTTCCCACAGGGCTCTAACATTTCAGATTTATATTCCCCTGCCCTAATCACTCAGGGTCAAATACCAGACAACTGGGGACAACCCCTGAGCTCACAAAAAATTTTCAAACTCACCAATCTTATGACTATTTACGCTGCCTTGACCATTTCTTCCTCTTAAAACCATACAAAGATGTTTGCCTATGTTTCCCTCTACTCCTTTTGCCTTCTAACCAATCCTAGTGCGTGGCCCAGCATGGCAGGCTATGCCTCCTGTTTCTAGGGATCTGTGAGTACAAAAACTTCCTTCTTCATGACAGTCATTTCTGTGTCTATGTGTCTTATCTGATTAAAACAAATCCCATGTACATTTCAATTCAATATATATTCACAAATTCCTTTTACGGAGTTCTTATCATCTCTCTAAGCAGCAAATGTTGGCACGATCACAAGATTGCTCCTAAAGTTTTATCTTTTTTTCTTTCAACAGGTAATTTCCCTTCACGAATCTCCATTCTAAACTTTTCCAAATCTCTACTCTTAATTTTTCCCTATAGCTTCACACCCAACTATTTAATTGACAACTCCATTTGGAGGTCTAATAGGGATTTGAAATGTAACATGATCAAAATTGGAGTCTTGATTTTCCCTCAAGTGTACTTTTCTTCCGGAGTTTCCTTAATAAATTTTACCCTGGTACACTTCACCAAGGCCTTTGCACTGGATGATTTTTTTCTGCTGGGTGACTATTCCCTGCAAAACTTCATATGATCTTTTCCTCTTGGACATGCATACCTTAACCTAAAATAAGCCCTTCAAAGTCTCTCCTGTGACCGTTTTTTTTTGTTTGTTTGTTTTTCTTTTATCACTTATTATTTTCAAAAATTATTTGAAGTCTTTACTTGACAAATGTCCATAGAACCCAATATAAGCTAAATTACCTGTGTTCTGTGACCTTATTTTAACCTTTGTATCTCCAGTGTACAGAACAGGGATTACCACAGAGTAAGTTCTTAATAAAGTTTGAAGACAATAAATAAACTACAAATACAGGTATCTCATGTCAAATGCACCTCGATTTCAGTAAGTTTAAACCTCGAATCTTGTATGCATTGTGGTTTGGTATGGAGGATTTATTGAGATTGAAGCATCCATTTTAATGCTTATGCCTTGCTTAAAATTTTTAATATACTGGCATTTTCTGACATTTGAAAATTCCTTTTCAATTTGTTCAAATTCATTCAATTCTTAAACAGAAAGTCCAATGTAGTTGCTTTATGATTCCACAATCTCTTTCTTATTCACAGATCCATATTTCTTTTCTATCAGGCTTGGTTTTTGAATAAGACAGTTTTAGAGAGGTAACATATATTTTAAAAAATTATAGTAAGCATTGTTAGATGTTTAAAACACTTCCATTAATGTTACAAATCCATGCAGAAAACAGGACACGAATGCAGGAAGTTTTAAAAATGACTTTTCAATGCATAATCTTTCTAATTGACATTTTCCTACAGTTTCAGTACTGAAGTACTGATATTAAGGCTTATATCTTTGAAATATCTTGAAGGGGCTTTCTTAACTTAAAGCATTTTGGTTACAGAATAAAAATGAAATAATTATGTAGTATTTGTGTTGCAATAGAATCCATACGTACATATTCTTAAACCTGTAATTAAAAGGGAGAGCACTAATTCGATTGTACAGTGAAGATTCAACTTTATCTTGTGGAACCTCCACACATTTAGATAGCTAAAGGGGAAGAAAGAGCTATTCTGCAGTATAGCAAAGTTTTGGGGACAATAAACTTTTTTGGAAATTAGATACCTTATCTAATTTGCATTGCAATTTGAAATCTGAGTGCCACCTAGTGGCCATCCTGACCCCCTGAGGGGTGATGAGGCAGATATGGCCTCCTAAGAGGACCCAATCTTCATATATATGTATATATATATATAATATATAATTATGTATATAATTAATATATAAATATATAATATAATATATAATTATGTATATAATTAATATATAATATATAATATATTTATATAATTATATTATATATATTTATAATATATAAAATATATAAATTATATAAAATATATGTATTTATATAATTTATATAATTATATAAATACATATAATATATAATATATAATTATGTATTATATATTTATATATAATACATATTTATATAATATATAATATATATAAGTATGTATGTTTAAAAAAGTAATGGCATCCGTATACTTGCTCATTGTTTTCTCATCATCTGTAAATTACAAATATAGACATAGAGAAGTTGGAACGTAGAAATAGACGGTGTGCCAAGAAATATTTTAATTATAAGAACTTTCTTAGTTTTGCTATTCATCCTAAAAACTTGTAATGTTTACCACAAAAAATTCAGATGCTTAAAACTCAACAGGATCTATGTGAAAAAAGCCTGCTTTTTGAAGTATTTCCTAAATGTTGAACTACAACTTTCAATTCTTTCTAAGATTGTCAAGTTCTAAAGGGGTTTTCTTCTAAAAAGAGCAACAACAGCATGACTATAGGCCTGAAGTATACCAAGTCTACAAAGAGGGTGGAAAATTAAGGGTTAACCCTTGCATAGTGCATACGCAATGTGACTGACACACTTCTAAGCCTTCTAAGCACGTTACACATGTTACTGTAATTAATACTCTAAATTGCCTAATGGTGCAAGCACATTAACATGCCCACTTTAGAGATGGGGAAAGTGAAGCCCCAATGAGATTAAATAAGTGGCATAAGACATACAGCTGATGTTCATTGCAGAGAGGTTTATGAATCCAGACAATCTGGTGCTAGAACTCAAGCTCTATCCCCCACACTGTTATAGCTCTAAATCCTCTTCCTTCCTCTGTCCCTACCTCCGTGCGTCATTTACTCACTGTTTTTATTTACTAAGCCCTAAGGACTAATCTGATAAAGAGGATTTATGAAACTTTTTCCACTCATTGACAGATCCAGAAATGGACCGAATCTAGCAAACTCAGTTGTACGATTAATTACTTACTGTAGTATCTTGCTTGTGGAGTATTGCATTTTACCAGAAAATTCTTAAGCAAAGATTTAGTTTCTAATATTTTGAATTAGCTGAATTTAGGCAAGCTGATTGTGGATATATTTTTATTAACATGATTATTTTGACTCTGCTCCCCAAATTAAAACAAATTAAACCTATATATGTTTTGCCCTCTATAAATCTATCAGCTATTATATTATTATTTCCCATTCATTGACTCATTCATTCAATAAAAATAGTTTTCTATATCCATCACGTACTACTGTAGACAATGCTTTTGAACACAAAGGTGGACAAAACTAGACATTATGCCCATGCTTATATCACTGATGTTATTTAGTGGAACACTGATATTCACAAAATAACCATTCAAATACTAGTGAGATCCTGACATAATAAATACTACAGAATGGAGAAGGACCTTAAACTATGATAAGTTTTAAGTGGGAGATTCACATTTGTTTGAAAGGTAAGAAAAGGTTCCTCTGCATAAGTGACCACTGAGCTGACATCTGAGAAATAGGAGTCAACCATCTCTCTGAGTGCTTATTGCTGTTGTGTGGTCCATGCATAGAAATAACTTAATTTTAAATAGTCACCTCAGTGTCTTGGCTTCTACAAATGAACAGTTCTTCAATGTACATTTCTTATTTATGATATCAAAACTACATTAATTATATGCATCAACTCATCAATGATTTTCCCCTACGAGTGATGCACTAATATTCTATTTAGAAAATAATTGCCCTGATGTATTAGGGTCCAGTCTACTGGATCTGAAAGGTGGAAATTCCTCCAGGAGACTGTCTTCCAAGAGGATAGATATCAAATCTGGTATCTCAGGACCACTGGTCCTCTGTGACCCTCATAGCCATAAAGATGTGGGATTAAAGAGATGACAATTGTATGCATATATCTGCTCTTTTATGTTACACCATTTGCTGAAGTTGCAGGCGTAGCTCTTGAATGAAAATGTCAGATAGAAACATAAAGCAAGTCTCAGGGTTGTACCAATTCTCTTGACCCAAGTCTTGCAAACCTGTGGTGTATCACCCACAGTGTACAGAGTATTAAATATTGTAACATCAAGAAACAAGTAGCTTTACCCATTGCACTATGAATAAGTCTTATAAAAATTGACTGTATATTTTACTGCGGTCAAGCTGTTACAGTTCAGAGAGTCTATTAGTCTTTTTTTTTCCTACAGATATGACATTTACTCACAAAACAATTCTCCAAATGCCTTTTGGGTGGCATTTTCAGTTTAAACCTCTTTAGACATAAACTTGAAGATATTTTTCTGCTATTAGTCACTTGTCAGGATCTCTCTACACCAAGACCAGTTCTTTTCTTATTTCTTCCTTCCTTTCTTCCTCCCACCCTCCCTCCTTTCTGTCTCTCTCTGTCTCTTGTCAAATGGGTGTTCATCCCTAAACATAAAATTTATCCTGGCTAAAGTTTTTTCATGGTCTTTGACTTAATATCAGTGAAATAATTATATTTGATAAGTAGATGAAGGTCAAACATGAAGCTAGGTTAAATTTTGGCCAAGAGCGCAGGATAACTCATCCAAGATGAAATAAGGATAAATCCTTATTTCTGTTCTAAGGCATCTGAGATGCTCACCCAGTAGCCACAGTAGGAAAATACTTATTCTGTTTTACTAAGTGAAATAAGGTTATCCTCAGTATCATAATTAAATACAAATGTGAAACGTATGACCTTAGAGTATGGACAGCAAGTCCAAGACTGAAGCCCTGAAAACCCTTACCCCTCTCAACCTCAGTCCTCTACTCCTGGCCAGCTCTGACTTAATATTATGGCTTAAGCATTACTCACTCAGAGATATTTTATCAGCACCTCCACCCCACCCTATTCCTGCCTTCTACATAAGATTTTCTATCATCTGCTTTCACAGTATTTCTACTTCTCTTCAGCAGCATTAATTACCCTTTTAATTAGTTACCTGGTGTCTGTATTTCCTACTAGATTAAAAACTCCATTAAGGCCTGGATCTTGGCTGGCATGTATTTAATACCCTATCCTTAGCACCTAGTATAAAGTGTCCTTTGACATAGGAAGTGGACAATAATGTTTTGTTGAATAGTAAGTGACTTAATGAATGAGTTGACATGGACGCCAGAAAAAGTCTTTCTTCAATGAGGTTTGCCTTCTGTTCCTGGTCAATATTTTTAAAAAATACATTTTCCTAATAATTGATGCTAAATATTGGCATTGACCTCATTTAGCCTAGGTCTCTCAGTGCTTTTTACTTTTGTTCTTTTTGAAATCCATTTTGCATTTGAAAGATAATTTCTACAAAATTATACTTGGTAGTTGGTAGTATATAGGGTTGCCCTTATATTATAAGAAGGATCACTATCTTAAAATAAGGGAAGGATAGAATTTCAGGATTGACCTAGCAAAGGCATTGGGCAACTATGGACCACTGCCCAAAATTAGCCAGACACCTGTCTTTGTGAATAAAGGAACGTGGTAATGCCCATTTGTTTACTTATGACTACTATGGCTGCTTTTACATGAATACAGCATTGTTGAATGGCTGCTACAAAGATTATACGGCCTGCAAAGCCTAAAATATTTACTTTCTGGCTGTTTACAGAAAACAGTTTGCTGACACCTGATAGAAGTTTAAAGACTTGTTTTATGTAGCCTTCTAATAATTCCTATATTCATATCATTTAAATGGTTTTTCCACCTGCCTTCAGAAAAGACTGGCTCTAAGTGATGTAAAAAATACTAGCACTTGCTACTCAGCTTTAAAATAGTTGAATAAAGGTGTTATCAACAGGCAGGGACAAACTGGGATTTTGCACAATCTTCCACACAGCCACAGAATTAGTAGGCAGTGCAAATGGTATGATAAAACTAAATGGGGATGCTGAAAATCAAATTTAAGATTTTCAGGTAGGCTGTAAACAGTTCCATTAAATACTCCAAATGGGCTCTGTTGTGTGGAGTGAAATGAAATATGTATTCTTTCAAGTGATTTGCCAAAATTATTTCCAGTCTTTTCTTCGCTAGGAATATATAGCCTATAATAAAGAACACCCAAGATAGTGTAACTCAGGCATATTATTGAACAAATTTTTTATCACTGATAATAGTGATTAGGAGCCCTTTTCATCCTTCCTGAACTTATACCCTTTGAGGATAATGGAAGGGAAGGGGATATGAGGGGTCCATTCTTCTTCATTCACATTTAAAAGTTGTTCTAAACGCTATCAGTTTTCAGGCAGATCAGACTCAAAGTTGTTTGAAAAATAATCTAGCGTCTTTTTTGTCTGAAAATGATGCCTACTATTGCTTTACAGAAACTCATAGCTCCTTCTTAGTGTTTCCTTTTTTAACAACTCTTTGTTTATCCCAAGGCTATAAATACATTCTGATCTCATTAATTCAGATATTTATTATAAAAATTTGACCTTTTACATTTGTATCCGAACTAATCTTGGAATTAGGTTTTGAATGTGATGTGAAGAGTGAGTCAAGAGTTACCTTTTCTCTAAGCATTTCTGTAGGACCTGGTACAATTTATTGAAAAGATCTTACTTCCCTCACTGGCAGTGTTATGTTTGTCACAGGCCAAGTGGTAACATGCACTCAAGTATGTTTTTAAACTCTCTAGCCCATGGCAGGCAAACTTTCTGAAAGAACGGATATTAAATATTTCAAGCATTGTGCATCATATGGTCTCTGCACAACTACTCAACTTATCCATTGTAATGCAAAAGCAACCATAGACAATATGTCAATGAATGGTTATAGTTCCATTCCAATAAAACTTTATTTATAAAAGCAGAATCCAGCTCACAGGTCATGGTTTGCCATCTATTGCTCTAGTCATCTCCATTACTGTATTTGTCTATTGTTGCATAATATCAGCTTGTATCAGTCACTGGCATTTCTTGATGTTTAGATGTACAATGTTTCTAATCTGATTCTTTGTCTTCAAATCATCTTGGCTACTCTTAGAGCATTCAATTCCATATACATTGTAGGATCAACCTATCAAATTGCCCCTATGATTTCCATCAATCAATAGAACAATTTCAGGAAAAGTAATGTCTTTAATATATTATTTCCCATCCATGTTGATAATATAGTTTAAGGTTTTACATTTATTTCTAAATGTTTCTAAAACATTTTGTAATTTTTTTGACTACATATCTTAAATTTCATGTATCGTGCCATAGTAAAGGTATCTTTTCTTAAATTAGATTTTCTAACTGCCAGTACATACAAGTAAAATGGATCTTTATATTGGCTGAATTCAAAATCTTTGCTATATCACTTATTCATTCCAGTAACTTATTTTTGTTTTTTATTTTTATTCATAAAAATATGATCTGCAGAGGAAATGGTGATTTCTGGAATAGAGATGTTCATGATTGCTCTACTGTCCCCACTTCCTCCCCAGTTTAAGAGCATACAGCATCATATGAAAACAGCTCAGGAGCATGACAAGCCGGACCCCGCGGTGCTCTATTACTGTTGTTTCTATGCAATGCAAACCAGAATGAAGACTGATAGTAAAACTCCTGAGAGTTGTACATTTTTATCAAAGCTAATGGATCAGTTAGAAATACTTATGAAACAGTTGGGTGATCATGAAGCTATTAGGCAAGAAAATACTTAGTCCTGCCCATTTGGAGAACTATGCTTAGAAAATGTTTTTATACTCAGACAATGATCATGCTGGGTGATTTCACAAGATGATCAAGCCCTTTTTATACTCCACAGTTTTAAATAGATGCCATAATAATATTAGGACAACTCACTGATGAAAATGTGAAACACAGAAAGTATGTAAGATGAAAAGCAAAATATATTCATATTTGTTTAAAGAATGGGGAGCTGCCTCAACTAGTATCTGCTGGAATTGAAGAAGATAACAATATAACAATATTGCAGAAAATGAAAATGCTGAAGCAACCTATCTGTCCACTGAGCCATGTCAGCCACCATCTTCAACTTATGACCCAAGCCACATGCCATAAAGGAGCTATAATAGAATACAGATTCCTCCCAGTGCACACACTCCAGCTAATACATCAGTAGAAGTGCATCACAATGCAGATGTAACAAATCTAATCTACTCCAAAGACAATTCAGCAATTGAGCCCACATTTTTAGTAGTTTCTTAAAGTGATATCCATCTAACACTAGAGGACTTTGTTAGTGATCAGAAATACAGCAAATAATAGGCTGGCAGTGCCTTGTCATATGAAGATGTCATTTATCCTGTGAATTAAAACTTCTGGAGATAGATAATTAAATGTAAAAATAGAGATTTTAAATATTGTTTTTATTTTCTAACATGCATTTAAGGTATAAAATTTCCTCCAGACATTATTTTACCCCAATCTCACAAGTTTCACGTGGCATATTGAAGATAATGAATTAGCTCAGTTTTTATTGGCTTGAAAGTGTCTTTCTTTAGCTTTTCTTATGACCAGTATTTTTTCTGGGTTATTTTATTTGTCTTTGCCTCTTTAGAAATGTCATTCCATTTTCTTCTGGCCACGATCATTTTTGTTTAAAAGTCAACTGTCAGTGTTGTTTCTCCTTTGAAGGTAAAATCATCTTAATCCAGTCAGAGATTGAGTTGATTAAAGACTGTGCTTCAGTTCTGTTGTTGTTTATTTTTTAAGGCTTCTATATTTTTGTTTGTTCTTACTTATAGAGTGTGGCCCTTTCCTTTCTTATCTTTATTTTCTTTCTTCCTTCCAATTGTTTATCTTTTAGAAGCTTTTTATTCTTACCTGTGATTTTAATTTTATTTATCTTTTTACACAGGACATAGAGCTTCTTTTATCTGTGGCTTAATGTTTTTTAGCTTGGAAAAGTTGTGGTCACTATATTTTCAAATATTGTTTTCATTTTTCTGAATATGAATTACACATATGTTAAAAATAATTATGTTTTACTTGGTCCTGATGCACAGTTCTGTATTTGTACCCTTTTTACTCCCTCTGAGTTAGTTTGGATTTTTCCAACTGCTCTATCTAATTAGAATGCTGTTAAACATTTTATTGATTTCTTAACTTCATTTATGATGTTTTTCAGTTCTAGTATTCCTATTTAATTCTTCTTTGTGGATTATACTTTTCAGGTATAACTTTCCACCTTGTCTTCTATTTTTAAAATACTTGAATCATAGCTTTCATGGTACCTTTATCATTTTAGCCATTAATGCATTGATACCAGATTTGCACAGTGTCTAATATCCTAGTATCTGAATAGCCTGTAGATCAATTTTAATTTTATCGTGTTTTTTTTTAACATCTTGATTTTCAGCTATTTGGTTTTATCTCTTAGCACAGCTTGTGTGTTTTAAAATAAAATTTTGGACATTTTGCATAAAGAAAGCAATTTAGCCTTTGAATGATGCCAATCTTATTTCGAGGAGATTTAGGTTTCTTTGGAAAACAGTTACATTGATTAAAAAAATCACCTTAATTCAGTCAGAGATTGAGTTGATTAAAGACTGTGCTTCAGTTTGGTTGTTGTTTATTTTTTAAGGTTTCTCTATTTTTGTTTTTTCTTACTTATAGAGTGTTGTCCTTAGCATACCAATCAATTGAAAGTCTGGGTTTGATTACCAGTGCCTATTTTCTTTGAAAAACAATAAGCTCCAATTTTGTCTCTTCATCCATTTGGGACTACTGAAGTCCCTGATTTATTTTTTAGACATTTACACGTCAATTTCTGCTTAAGTTCTCAGTATCTTATGCACACTTTAGGGATCAGTAGAATGCCTTGAGGGAAAACAAAATGCACAAAATATCAGACTTATACTTCTACACATTACTTTGTTTTGGATCTTGACTTTTAATGTGATGGCTGCCATGGTAACCCTAAACTCCAAGTTTTGCCTACTCAGCCTTATGAGACTGCACAAATCACTGAGCTGCAGTTTTCTGCTTGGTTGAAAATGCTTGGATGGGAAAGTGTCAGATAATTTGGGACTTGCCATGATGTATTTCCCTTCTTCCTGGGGTCCTGGCCACTTAAATATCATTGTTTCTTTTCACTGCCTTAAAACAGCTTATTTATTGTTTGTTGTTGTTGGTTGTGGTCTTGTGAGTGTTGTATGCATGTTTTCTAGCTTTCAATTTTTTTTCTTGGTGGAAACATTGACCTAATATAAGCTAGTTTTTTTATAGCTGTACCTACGCAAACAAAATAGATATAAACCCCCATCCTACCTGTCACAAAATGTATTCCTAATTTTTAGGGCTTCTTTTTTCCATAATTTTTGGGGGTCTTATGGGTTATCCAAATCGTCAGTCTTAGTTACTCTCATTTCAGATAAAGAAGGAAATCCTTCAGAGAGCTGTGAAGATAATTCTTGTTATCATGCTTACAGAATTGTATTTGAAGTCCTGAGTTCGATGCTATATGTTCTTTACCATATGCCCTACCACCAGTAATAAACAAAATATACTTCAGTTTTTATTGGCTAAAATACAATGTGCAGAATTATTCTATTTCTAGTATACTAGTTAAAAGAATGTAACAAATTCTAAGAAATAGAATGTCAAAAAAAAAAAAGAAAGAATAAGGATGCCATATGTAAGTGTGGCATACATGCTTTACTCAGTACTAACATAGGAGGGATTGGTCAAGGAAGCTTAGAGGACATCTGAGGATTAGCCCTAAGTCTTCTCTGAAAGTGTTTCTGGAAATAAATTCTTAGTTTATGCAGGTACAATCTTGTGGTGGATCATCCACTTCCCCTTGATGTAGTCTATTCTACTTCCTGAAATCTCTAGTTATTAGAAAAATATTGACTTTAAATTGAAAAAAAATTTTCTCTTTGGTCTGAGAACTGTCCCTTGAGACTACATGGATCAGGTCTAAATGTTCTTTATCTGATATTCTGTAGATATTTTAAGACGGCTATCACATTCCCTATATGTTTATCTCCACAAGACACACAGTTCTGATTTCAGAACTGGCACAGTGTCAGACTTTTCATCCTCAGGTTTATTCTCTTCTGGAAATGTTTCAGCTTAAATGTGCCCTTCTTGTTACTGTGTCCAGAATTGTACTTTATATTCAGGTATGGAAGGAACAGCCCAGAGTGCCACACTCCGCACATTTTTTAAGGAATATTCTCTATATGATGCTATTCATTCAAATTAGGTTGTAATTAGCATCTGGCTATTACACTACCACCAAATCCTCCTATCAGCTTAAGAAAATTAAATAGATGTTTCCATTAAAATACTATGTCCTTATACTGTCTCTTCATATTTTTAAAATCACATTATCCCTATTAAATGTCACCTTCCAATAATTAGTTTATTATTCCTGTCCACTAAGGTATTTTCAGGGCTTCAGTTTCTCATAAGCATTTTAAATAGCCAAGAAATCTCATTACCTTTTTAAAACTTCCTAATAAACATGTTTTTGTCATTGGTATTATTACAAGTTGCTATGTGATGTTAATGCAAATGATTCAAAAGTGATCTTTGCTTTTGCTCTTCCTGTCTCCCTTTAGAACTCAGTTTTTTGTTGTTACTGGATTTTTTTTTACAAACTTAATAAAAATGACTGGTTGTAATAACTTTATATACACATAGAATAAACCTACTTTAGAAATTTGCACTGGTGTTAAAATGAAAACAAAGTCATCTTTTAATAATATCCATAGTTCATATGATTCATTGAAATTATTAGTATTCGTTTCAACATCTATAATATAAAAATGCTAATCATTGTATTAGGACATTTATGTGATAGGAAAATAAACTTGTTTTATTTAAATCATTATTATTTTTAGTCTCTATTATTCACAGCTAAACCTAATCGGTAGGCAGATATAGGAGATGGTAGGCAGAAATAATGACCCTCCAAAGGTATCCACACTCTAATTCCCAGAACCTGTAAATTATGTTACCTTACATGGCAAAAGAAAATTAAGACTGCACATGCAATAAATGTTTCTAATGGGCTAAACTTGAGATTGGCAGATTATGCTGAATTACCAAGTGGGTCCAATCTGATCACGTTAATTTAAAAGTGGAAAAAGAGGAGGGCAGAAGAGTAGTTCAGAGAGATATGACATAAGGACTTAGTCAAATGTTCCTGGCTTTGCAGAGGAAGGAAAGGCCATGAGCCAAGAAATAAGGGCAGCCTATAGAAGCTGGAAAAGGCAAGAAAAAAACTCTCCCATAGAGCCTTCTGAAAGGAACCCTGCCCTGCAAATAACTTGATCTTAGCCTGGCAGGATCTCTGTTGAACTTCTGACCTCCAATACTGTAAGACAATAAATTCATTTGTGGGTTTTGGGGGATGGTGAGTTTAAGCCAGTAAATTTATGGTACTCTGTATTGCCAAATAGGAAATACATATATATTCTTAAGCAAAATAGCACAAAATCCAATGTGAGTGTGTGATGAGAAATAACTGTAAAAATGAACCCCAGATATGAAGAAGCCAAGTAGGCATGCAACTTTCTTTGAATGGCACCTTTACAAATGTCAACAAAACGTTAATTATATGTAAGACAAAAATGGGCTTGGCTCTTTCTGATAGTTCTCTAAGCTGTATACCAGAAAATAAGAGCAGAAACTTTAATTCTGTTAGAATTCAATATGTATCCTGCACATGGTTTGACTGTCACTAATGCCTGACACATCCAAATAAAATATCAATTATATTACAAAAATCTTCACCAGGCATGGTAGATAATGCCTGTAATCACAGCACCTTGGGAGGCTGAGACAGAAGGATTGCTTGAGTGAGTCCAGGAGTTTGAGACCAGTCTAGGCAACATAGTGAGACCCTGCCTCATAAATTTTTTTTTTAAAAATTACAAAAATCTTAAAAAATTAATATAAGCCTTACTGAAGGTTTTTTTTTAATTTTTACTTAATTTTTTAAAGGACAGTGAAGTAGATGCCTAACAAACATCATATGCTACTCTTCATTCTCCTCCTCCTTCTCTTACCATGCTGCTCAGGCCCAGGCTACCAAAGGCTAAATTGATCCTCTTTTTATAGTCCCTGAAGAGAAATCGTGTTGATTTTCCATTTTAACTTACTGATTGTATTAGTCTGTTCTCATGCTGCTAATAAAGATATAACTGAGACTGAGTAACATATAAAGAAAAGAGGTTTAATTGACTCAGTTCAGCATGGGTAGGGAGGCCTCAGGAAGCTTACAATCATGGCAGAAAGCAAAGGGGATGCAAGGCACCTTCTTCACAAGGAGGCAAGAAGGAGAAGTGCTGAGCAAAGGGGGGAAAAGCCCCTTATAAAACCATCAGACCTTGTGAGAACTCACTATCACAAGAACAGCATGAGGATAACTGCACCATGATTCAATTACCTCTCACCACCCCAAGGATTATGTGAACTACAATTCAACATGAGATTTGGGTGGGGACACAGGCAAACCATATCATTCTTCCCTTAGCCCCTCCCAGATCTCATGTCCTCACATTTCAAAACAAAATCATGCCCTTCTAACAGTCCCCCAAAGCCTTAACTCATTCCAGCATTAACCCAAAAGTCCAAGTCCAAAGATACATCTGAGACAAGGCAACTTCCTCCCACCTATGAGCCTGTAAAATCAAAAGCAAGTTAGTTACTTCCTACATACAATGGGGGTACAGGCATTGGGCAAAGATACCCATTCCAAATGGGAGTAATTGCCCAAAACAAAGTGGCTACAGGCCCCATGCAAGTCTAAAATCCAATAGCGTAGTCATTAAACCTTAAAGTTCCAGAATGATCCCCTTTGACTCCGTGTCTCACATCTAGGTGAGGCTGATGCAAGAGGTAGGTTCCTATGGATTTGGGTAGCTCCACCCCTGTGCTTTTACAGGGTACACACCCTCTCCTGGCTGGTGTCACAGGCTGGCATTGAGTCTGTGGCTTTTACAGGTGCACAGTGCAAACTGTTGGTGGATCTACCATTCTGAGGCCTGGAGCATGGTGGCCCTCTTCTCATGGCTTCATTACACAGTGCCTCAGTGGGGACCCAGTGTGGGGCCTCTGACCCCACTTTTCCTATCTGTATTGATCTAGCAGAGATGCTCCATGAGGGCTCCACCTCAGCACATACTTCTACCTGGACATCCAGGCATTTCCATACATCCTCTGAAATCTAGGCAGAGGTTCCCAAATCTCAGTTCTTGACCTCTGTGCCCCCTCGGGCCCAACACCACATGTAAGCCACCAAGGTTAGGGACTTGCATCCTCTGAAGCAACAGCCTGAGCTGTATGTTGGCCTCTTTTAGCCACAGCTGAGATGCAGGGCACAAAACAGCAAGGCCTTGTGCTTGGCTCACAAAACAATTTTTTCCTCCTAGTTCTCTAGGCCTATAAGGGGAGGGGCTTCCGCGAAGGTCTCAGACATGTCCAGAGACATTTTCTCCATTGTCTTGGTGATTAACATTTGGCTGCTCATTACTTATGCAAGTTTCTGCAGTGGGCTTGAATTTCTCCCTAAAAACTGGGCTTTTCTTTTCTATTGCCTCATCAGGTTGCAAGTTTTCCAAACTTTTATGTTCTGCTTCCTCTTGAATGATTTCCCACTTAGAAATTTCTTCTGCCAGATACCCTAAATTATCTCTCTCAAGTTCAAAATTCCACAGATCTCTAGGGCAGGGCAAAATTCCACCAGTCTCTTTGCTAAAGCATAACAAAAGTCATCTTTGCTCCAGTTTCCAAGAAGTTCCTCATGTCCATCTTAGACCACCTCAGCCTGGACTTCATTGTCCACATCGCTATCAGCATTTTGGTCAAAGCCATTCAACAAGTCTAGGAAGTTCCAAATGTCCCCACATTTTCCTGTCTTCCTCTAAGCCCTCCAAACTTTTCCAATGTCTCTCCCTGTTACCCAGTTCTAAAGTTGCTTCCATATTTTTGTGTATCTTTAAAGCAGCACTGTACTACCCAGTGTCAATCTACTGTATTAGTCTGTTCTCACCCTCCGAATAAAGACATACCTGAGAATGAGTATATTATAAAGGAAAGAGATTTAATTGACTCACAGTTCCCTAGGCCTGGGGAGGCCTCAGGAAACTTACAATCATGGCAGAAGGCAAAGGGGAAGCAAGGCACCTTCTTCACATGTGACAAGAAGGAGAAGTGCTGAGCAAAGTGGCAAAAACCCCTTATAAAGCCATCAGATGTTGTGAGAACTCACTAACTATCATGACAACATCATGGGGGTAACTAACTGCCCCCATGATTCAATTACCTCTCACTGGGTCCCTCCCACAGCATGTGGGGATTATGGGAACTACAATTCAAGATGAAATTTGGATGGGTACGCAGCCAAACCATACCACTGATTTTTCATTTTCTCTTCTTGCTCATTATGTATTGGCCTGAGAATGCTAGAACACCTTAAATGTGAGACAATAATGATGTAAGCTGCTTCACTTATTTTTGTAAGGATTTTGCTAGAAACAAAATAATGTTGCTGATATCATGCAAAGTTGATAATGTAGTTAAGAGCAATCAGAAGTGTTTGTGCTACCCAGATGGTCAGGTAAGTTCTAACTGCAGATCCTTACTGCTGATGATAGAAGTGAGAAAGAACACAGTGTGACTCTTAGAATTCAGGTTCAGTATACCACCTGAGTTTGAGAAAAGGCAACTTTCTATTTGTAAACACAGAAAAGCCATTGACAGAGAATACATATAATTGTATTTTCAAGCAAATTCATTTAACCATTTTTATTGACTAAAATAATAATATATAAATATGAATTTTTAAAGGACTACTTAATATCTACAATTGAAAGGCTAATTTTAGCCTTTGCTATAGAAAAATGCCATAAATTCCCATATTACTGCAAATGACTATTTAAAATTAATTGATGATTTTTTAACATCTCAAGGAATTATAAATTTAAAGAGAAATGGGGAAAAATTACACTACCAAGTGACATATCTAATTCTACAAATCTCTGAAGCCCATGTTTATTTATCAGAAAGCAATATCCCACACGGGCAAATAATCATTTTGACTTTCAGTAAGATGAATGTCCTAAATAGCCTTCTGATTTGAGAAGGGCTCTGCTTCACAACTTGAGATGAGAGAAAAAGAGACAATGCATGTGTCCTTATTTATGAGTTTCTATAAAAATCATTATTCTTAATATCAGCACATAAACACCATACCTCTGGATTCAGTGTCTTTACAACCACAACTTGGATCAATCTTTCAGCTTTAAACAAAATGTGAACATTTTTGAAGATGTATTATTGATATGAGAAACCACAAAGTGAACTAGCAGTGAGCTAGCCCACAGTTTTTACCCAGTTATTAGAGTAATTATTAAAGAGCTGCCAAATCAATTAACAGGTGTTACTAATCTGCCTCATGCAAAATTAGCTCTGAGAATATTAGCCCTTTGAAGATTTCTTAAAACACAGCTGCCATATTCTGATCTAGCTAATTTTATATCTAAAAATAAATTGTGTATGCCTTTAATATTTATTCATAATTAAAAAATGGAAAATACATAAAAGTAGTGGAAGACTTAAAATAATATTCAGTGATGAATTTATAAATCTAATGTGAGTAATGTGAGTTTCAGAATATGACATGAATATCTCTTTTTGTCATTTTAGGGCTCACAATACATTTTATAATAAGGCATTTCTAACTTTTCTTTAAAATATCAGCAAATGGCCCGGCATTTCCTTAGACATACTTCACCAGTATATTCTTATAGGTTGGTTGCAATGCTTAAAAAATAATTTCATGGAAAATACATGTAAACTGAGTTCCTAACTTGTGTCACTGATAAAAAGCTATCAGATGATGTATTTAAAAAGACAATTCTAACTTGATAATGTATGGTCAGTCAAGATATAGCCCAAAGTTTGGAATATAGTAAAACCTAATAAATAAAAGTTTTTTTTTTTAAATTTAGAATGTGAATTCGAATTGTTGCAGAATGTCAAAGGAGAACTCTTCCTGCTGTCTCAGAATTTCAGCTGGAGCTACAGAGATCAAAGAGAGGTTGTTAAATACCCACTAATTTGAAAGCGAGTTGACAGGCCAGCTGTGCAGAACATGCTAAGGGGTAACCCCAAAAGACAGATAAGCCTTTGTCTATGACGTGCCTCAAGCCAATACAAGGAGAAAAAAGAAGAGCAATAAAGGAAAGACCATGAGGATGGGTTTCTGTGAGAAGAGCTGTAGATTTTTCCTTTCTTCTCCATACCTTGAGCCAAGTTGGGAGGTTGTAAAAATCCTCTGACAGAGCTTGGGTGTGCTTCCTGCCAGGAGGAAGACTAACCTGGAACAAGCGGGTGGGGAGAGACCTTCAGAGAATTTGGACTCCCTACAGTCGGGGGCACAGGGTTTTGTGTTGACTTGCACTTGTAGAAGTCCGATGCCAGCCGGGCGCGGTGGCTCACGCCTGTAATCCTAGCACTTTGGGAGGCTGAGGCGGGTGGATCACGAGGTCAGGAGATCGAGACCATTCTGGCTAACACTGTGAAACCCCGTCTCTACTAAAAAAAAAATGCAAATTAGCCAGGTGTGGTGGCGGCGCCTGTAGTCCCAGTTACTCGGGAGGCTGAGGCAGGAGAATGGCGTGAACCCGGGAAGCGGAGCTTGTAGTGAGCCGAGATTGCACCACTGCACTCCAGCCTGGGCGACAGAGCGAGACTCTGTCAAAAAAAAAAAAAGAAAAAAGAAAAAAAAGAAAGAAAGAAGGAAAGAAAAAATTCCGATGCCAATAGGCTGGGCTGCCTGTAGTGGGCCTTATAGAAGGAAGAGCCAAGAGGCTTTTGATGGAAGTGAATTCTATTTTTGCTCATCCCAAACCAAGGGTACTATTTCCAGAGGTCTCTTGGAACTCTAGAAGCTATCTGGCCTTCGATTGTTTGGAAAATGATCCCACCCCAAAGGGCTTCCTGCTGAGGAAAGATGAATCTGGTTGAAAGAGGCTGGTCTGTACTGTCGGATGCAGAAGGAAAGGCAAAGGATGGAAGGAGCAAAGCTTTTAAGCTGCCAGTAAGAGACTGTATTATCACCACAGGCAAGAGGAGTGCTGAGTAAGGTCTGCAGCAAGAGGTGCGGTTGGATTTCTGAGGAGCCCACCGTACTCCAAGGAGCAGAAGAACTGGCCCTGTGGCATCAGCTGCACCATTTCAGATTATAACATTCCAGTCTAACATTCCATTTGATTCTTTGTTCTCTTTCCCAGCTTCAAGCTTGAAGAGCTGGAGACAGCAGAGAGAGTGGAAGAGTGGGAGGAACAGGAGATCAGTAAAGTAGATAAACAGGAAAGAAAGAAACCCTACTTCTTTCTCCAGTGCAGACTTCTGAGACTGATCAGCCTCTATGTGGGGCTACAAAAATTGTAGGCTTTAACAGTTGAATATGAAACTATTTATTAAACTTCAAGGTGAAGATAAAAGATATGGGAACCTCATAAGCTTTCATGCAGAGAGGGATGAATTGACAAAGTGGTTTTAATAGGATAGCAGGGAGGGGGGAAGGAAACAGCTGCTTTCTATTTGTACTGACTCCCTCATTAAAGTCACTGCATTACATTCATCAGAATTAGGGATATTTGGAATGAAAGTAATAACTCCAATTTTATTTCTTCAAATGTGAATTTATATGTTAGTTTGGGTTCCTCCAAAACAAGCTGAGATAAAGATTAAGATGCAATTTATTTTGGGTGTGATTCTCAAAAACAGCAGCAGAGGAATGTGGAATGAAGGCAGCTAACAAAGAATTCATTTTAAAGCAAGTTATATGGTTGGTTAGTAGAGCTCAACACCACTGGAAGAACTCTGGAAGTCAGGATAGGGCACATGCTTCAGAGTTATCCCAATGAAGACAAAAGAGAACTGTGATGTTCCTAAATCAACTGCTGTTAGTCTTTGTTAGAGATCTACACTTGGAGAGGCATTCATTCTCTGGCACTTCTAGACTGCAATATAGATGGCAAGAAGACACTGCCAGCAAGAATAGCTCTCAGGCAATATATATGCATGCTGGCAAGAGCTGCACTGCAATAGGGCAAGAAAATGTAAACAGGGAACTGACAAAATCAAGTATGTACCATGGATCATATATTAAGATGGGAGAGTAAAACATAGCTCCATCTTTTCTATTGGGGAATTTTAAGAATAGACGTAAGTTCTCTCTTGGGAAGCTTTATGTGTAATGTGTCTGAAGCAAAGAATATTGAACAAGTCCTGTGCGTTTCTATCAGAGCTATTACATATAGTTATAAAAAGGAGACATTTTTATTTGTACTAGAGGTCAGACTTCTCAAGTTTTAAAGTTTAGAAATGTTTTAAAGGAACAAAAGCCCCATTTTGAATAAGAATAGAATTTTCTCTGATACTTAAAGACCAGTAGGAGTTAACTCAGGTCTTTCTAATTGTTGTATATGTGATAAAAAAGAAGCTAATGCACTATTCAAAGTTTAAACATTATATAATGCTCACTGACACTGTTTTTAAGCAATTATTTACATAACAACTACTTAAGATAATCTATGGAATAATTTTATATTCAAGAAATGAACATATTTAGGAAACATATTAACATTCAGTAATTGTTTATTAATTTCTATCAGGTGTTCTTATATACTAGACACAAGCCATGCAGCAGGGCATAAGGCAGGAGGCAGGATTCTTGCTCTCTAGTGGGGAAGTTCAATATAAAAGGGAAGAAAATAAATGACCTAATTTCACACAGTCACATAATAAATATATAATTACAAACTGAAAATGCTACAGAGGAAAAATGGAGTATACTTGGGAAGTTTAAGTTTTAAGATGGATTTTAATTTTTCATATAACTTTCTCTTTTTTTGAATTCTCCCACATATCATGTTAATATGACAAAATTGACACATACTCAAGCTCATGGCTGAAAGTATATTTGAAAAGTCAAATACATAGAAACAGAAAGTAGAATTTTGGTTACTAGGCACAGGGAAGGGGAGGAAATGGGGAGATAAAGGCCAAAGGGTACAAACATGCAATTTGTGGACTACGAGGACTGTAGTTAATAATACTGTTTACTGAAAATTTGCTAAGAGAGTAGATTTTAGGGGCTTTTACTATAAAATAGGTAACTATGGTAATATATAAGTTAATTTGCTTGACTGTAGCAATTATTTCACTATGTATATCAAAACATCATGTTATATACCCCAAGTATAGACAATAAAATTAAAAACAGCACATGTCAACAGAATTGAGCAGTGTGAAAAATCAGATTACCTTTTAGAAAGAACACTTGTACAGCATTCAGAATGACTAAAATTAAAAAAAATAGCAACAACACAAATGCTGGTGAGGATGTAGAGAAACTGGATCACTCATGCATTGCTGGTGGGAATGCGAAATTGTTCAGCCATTCTGGAAAAGTAGTTTGCTTGTTTCTTAAAGAAAACTCAACATGCAACTACTATATGATTCAACAATTATACTCGAGGGTATGTAACCC
Organism: Homo sapiens; assembly: GCF_000001405.40. Taxonomy (NCBI): domain Eukaryota; kingdom Metazoa; phylum Chordata; class Mammalia; order Primates; family Hominidae; genus Homo; species Homo sapiens. The sequence continues at coordinate 87,563,430 of NC_000008.11, read as the reverse complement.
AGGGAAACAAAAACTTATGTTCTCACAAAACCTGCATATAAATGTTTGCAGTAGATTTAGTAGATTTGCTAGTCATGTCTAAAACTGGAAACAACCCAGATGTTTTTCAGAGTGAATGGTTAAACACATATGGTCCTACCATATCACGGAATACTACTCAGCAATAAGAAAGAACAAACAATACAACCAGGAATCTCCAGAGAATTATGTTAATTGTAAAAGCCAATCCTAAAAGGTGGCTTATTATATGATTTCATTTATATGACAGTCTTTAAAATGCAAAGTTATAAAAATGGAAAATAGATTACTGGTTGTTTGGGGTTTAGGAGGGAGTGGAAGTGGGAGAGAGGTGAGGGCAATTATAAAAGAGCAACATAAGGAAGCCTTGTGATGATGGAAACGTTCTGTATCTTGACTGTGCCATTATCAATGTCCCAATTGTGATATTTTACTATAGTATTGCAAGATGCTATCATTGAGGAAAACGGGGTAAAGGGTACAGGGGGTCACACTGTATTATTTCTTACAAGGGCATGTGAATTTTCAATTATCTCAAAGTAAAAGTTTCAATTAAATAGATAGCATCTTTTAAATGCAAGAATAGGAGGTTATTTTGTGTACTGGTGGCAGGCAAAAGTTTCTTTTTTCTTAATATAGTTTATAAAGAAAATAGATACATTAAATATCAAAATTAATACCTTTTGTTGATCAAAATAAATATACCCTTAAGAAAATGAATAGGCAAGGCAGAATTTGTAGAAAACAAATCAAACAAAACGTATATCCACAATCTATGTCTATACCTATACTTCATTTTTTATTTTTCATAAATAAAAATAAAACAATAAAAGGTGGGCAGAATAACTGGCAAGAAACTTTATGAACATTTATGAATGCCCAAAAAAAGACATACAAGTCTTTATCCTCATCATTTATTGAATAAATACAAATGGAAATCAAAGTCAAATACCACTAGATACTTATTAGAATAGATAAAATCTAAAAACTGAAAACATTGAATGTTGGCCAGCTTGTGGCACACCTGGAACTCTCATGTGTTGTTGGTGGGAATGTCAAAGTCTACCGCTTGTCAAAATCTTTCTTTGAAAGTTCGGAGATCTTAGCTTACTTACAAATAACAAATTAGTCTGCCAAGGTTTCATGGATGCTGGTAGGAGACAGTAGACTCTGGGTCATAGGACAATAATGTGTTTTTACTCACAGCAATAGCAGTAGCTTGAGTGGCAACATTTTCCCATGGCTTCTCAGAAGGTGATGTGAACAGGACTAGATGATATCTGCACAGACAGTGGGTTGCATATGGGCTAGGAACCCTGAGCTTAGGGAACTTGGATCTTTTATAATTGACAGTAAGCTCGCTCTTTGCTCTGGAGAAATACATTGTCTCTATCTTCCAAGGCTGTGCGCTATACAAACATCTTGTAAAAATAGCCTGGATCAAAGAGCAGTTAATGCCTCAGTTGCTCTATTTGTGTAGAAATACAAGAGTCCCACAGACATTTATCTGTCAACATCACAACTAGCTTTGGTATATTCATAAAATGGAAACTTTTGTTTTGCTTTGTTTTGTTTTGAGACAGAGTCTCCCTCTGTTGCCAGGTTGGAGTGCAGTGGTGTGATCTCGGCTCACTGCAATCTCCGCCTCCTGGTTCAAGTGATTCTCCTGCCTCAGCCTCCCCAGTAGCTGAGACTACAGACGCACACCACCACGCCCAGCTAATTTTTTGTATTTTAGTAAAGATGGGGATTCACCTTGTTGGCCAGGATGGTCTCAATCTCCTGACCTCATGATCTGCCCGCCTTGGCCTCCCAAAGTGCTGGGATTACAGGCCTGAGCCACCGCGCTGGCCAGAAAAGTTACTTAGCAATTAAAAAAAAAGTAGTACCTACTGATATGAGCAATGGCATTAATGAATCTTGACAATATTACCTTTAGTGAATTATGCCATACATCCAAAAAATTTATATCTGTGATTCAGTTTTAATGATAAGCTAAAACAGGCAATATTAATCTATGCTAGAAAAAAATCAGAACCGTCCATTTTTTTCTAGGTATGAGTGCAGGAATTTATTGGGAAGGGAAGAGAAAATTTTTGGAGGTGAAGTTGTGGCTAAACTCAGAAAATATGTACCCATGCATTTCAATCTATTTTGCTTTGCATAAAAATACTATGAACAAATGAAGTGTCTATTTAGTGACATAAATGTTAAGTATTTATTAACATAAATACTTATGTTGCTTTCAATTTACTTTGAAATGCATTTTTAAAAGCTGATGAATAAATGTATAGAAAAATGAATACTTTGATAGGTATAAGATAAAGTAAGTCAAATAGAATCCAGGTGGTGGGTATAAGGCCTTTATAAAGTTCTTTCAATTTTTCTTTTTGTTTTAAATATTTTACAATGTTGGAAAAAATTCTAACACAATAAACAAACAATGGAGCTAGAAGCCTTCATATAGATTAGTGAAAGTATACATAATTATAAAGTAAATCTTTTTTTAAAATTATTAATTTTTATATCAGTATCGGGGGAGGTGAGTAACCTTACCTTTTTCTCACATCCTCTAACCTCAAGACCATAAGTCTCGGAGAGCTTAAGTATCCTCTTTCCAGAGCAACTTAGTTTGCTCATTATTTTACTGCCATTGATTTGTATTTCATGACAGCTTGGATCCTCAGTGTCTAATATGATTGTCAGTTTATAGTATTTTATTAATAAATTTTGTATTTAAAATGGAATTTAAACAGTCATTCACTTTCATTAATTGCTCACATATTATCTACCTTCACTTTCTGTACACACTCATAGAGTATGCAGCATATCCTCCACATAGAAGTATTGGTCAGAAAACTTTTGTACATTTCAGCAAAATGTGCTTAGAAGGGTTACAAAATAATCTCGATATAAAAACGAAACTTTGGTTAAAAGGTGGCCGTCATCTTTCTCTTAATAAGATAATTAACTTTTGTTTTACAACCACTAGGGGGCAGTCAATAAGACATTTATAAAGTTACGTAAATTGGGTCATTTTTAATTTTAAAATTTTGTGCGGTAGATTAACTATCTAAGTAGAATGCTAAGCAAAAATAAGTAATCAAAATTGTATTATTTAATTAAAACATGTATTCAATCAGTGTTTACTGAATACTTACTACTACTCATCTGAGGCAGTTTGTCAATTCTTAACTAATGTTAAGTCTTATTTCATAATTATCTAATATGTACTGTTGTTAAGATTAACATAACATTCATAATAGATTTTTTTTAATTTAAAACACAGAACTCATAGAAATAATGTGAGCCATTTTCCACTTGGACAATTAATGTGCTAAGCTATGAACATTTAGGTCCTTTCTCTAACAATGTGCACTGCTCTTACTTTGTAACTTCTCTAAGCAAAAGGTTCATCTAATTCTGCCAGTTGGCAGTGTGAAACATATTTTCTGTGCTCAATAAATCTTAAATTACAAGTTATTGTAATGTTCTTCACAGCATTCTGTCTATAATCTCATGGAATCCATAAGGCATTAACTAGCATTGTTTTCTATAAAAATGAAAATATGATTACATTTTTTGAAACAAAAATTCTACAGAGGATTTACTCATAATGTGAGTTAATTTGTCTTGCTTTACTAAAAGCTGAATGTTATCAGAACCATGGCATATGTGGGGGCAAAATGCCTCTCACTCCTCAACCGAATTCTCAGCAGGCCTCTCACTATTCAAAAGGCAATTTATGTTCACATGTGGTTATGATAATAGAGTCATAATATGAAATCTTTAGTATCTTTATCTTTCTTTCTTTCTTTCTTTCTCTCTGTGTCTCTGTGACTGTCTCTGTCTCCCTCTCTCTCTCTCTTCAGAAATAGTTATTCTAGTTTGATTGGACACATCATACTCAAACCTAGCCCAGTAATCTTTAGTTACTACTTCAGGCTTCAGAATATCAGTATATAGCACTCAAAATCCATGAATTTGGAAGATAAAATGAAATGATTTTTTTTTTTTTTTTTTTTTGCCAATCTAAAGTCTTCAGGCCTTCCAGTCTTGCATAAAAATAGGGTCTTCTACCCAGGCAATACCATTCTGGACATAGGAATTGTCAAAGATTTTATGACAAAGACACCAAAAGCAATTGCAACAAAAGCAAAAATTGACAAATGGGATCTAATCAAGCTAAAGAACTTCCGCACAGTACAGGAAATATCAAATGAGTGAACAGATAGCCTACAGAATGGGAGAAAATTTTTTCAAATTATGCATGTGACAAAGGTCTAATATTCAGCATCTATAAGGAATTTAAACGAATTTACAAGAAAAAAATCACCATTAAAAAGTGGGCAAAGGACATGAACAGACACTTCTCAAAAGAAGACATGCAGGCAACCAACAGTCATATGAAAAAAAGCTCAACATTACTGATCATTAGAGAAATGCAAATCAAAACCACAATGAGATACCATCTCACACCAGTCAGACTGCCTATTATAAAAAGTTACAAAATAACAGATGCTGGCCAGATTGAGGAGAAAAAGCAACACTTATACACTGTTCCTGGGAGTGTAAATTAGTTCAGCCATTGTGAAAGACCATATGGTGATTCCTCAAAGACCTAAAGATAGAAATACCATTTGACCCAGCAATCCCACTACTGGGTATATACCCAAAGGAATATAAATCATTCTATTGTAAAGACACATGCTTGTGTACATTCATTACGGCACTATTCAAAATAGCAAAGACATGGTATCAACCTAAATGCTCATGAATGATAGACTGTGTAAAGAAAATGTGGCATATTTACACTATAGAATAGTATGCAGCCATAAAAAAAGAAGAAGATCATGTCCTTTGCAGGGACATGGATGAAGCTGGAGGCCATTATCCTTAGCAAATTAACACACGCACAGAAAATCAAATACCTCATGTTCCCACTTAAAAGTGGGAGCTAAATGATGAGAACACATGGATACACACACTGAGGCCTACTTGAGGGTAGAGTGTCGGAGGAGAAGGAGGATCAGGAAAAATAACTAATGGGTATTAGACTTAATACGTGGGTGATGAAATAATCTGTACAACAAACCCCCATGACACAAGTTTACCTATGTAACAAAACTGCACATGTATCCCTGAAATTAAAAGTTAAAAAACAAAGAAAGGGGAGATTTCTTTCCCCTTCCTCCCCATGTAATGAAAATTCATATTTTTAATTTTTTTCATAACATAAAAAAACAGAGTATTAACAAGCTTACAGAGTCATCAAAATTATGCAATCTCCTGATTTTAGCTTTCAGTTTCTCAGGAAAACTTCCTGATTTTGGAATCAGTATTTGCCATTAAGTAAATTCAATGTTTTGGTTCTGGTATACCAGTTGTCCTGTGCCTAATTATGTGTCAGGACCTTTTATAGTCAAAGGCTCAGGAAATTGGGTTAGGGATGAATAATTTTTTAGAATATTAAGGACCATGGCAATTATCAAACAAATGATTGCAAGATATAAAAACATGCAGTTTAACTCAATGACCTGGATATTTTGGGAGATAAATGGAGCATTTGGGGTTCTTGAAGTACTATTTTCCTTCATAATCTTCTTCAATTTGCAATTGTTAAGAAGGTATTGTCAGCATTCTGTGTTGCCATGCTTAGAGGTGTTCATAGAAAACTGAGATGCATCATGATCAAATTGTTGAATACACTTAATCGGAGGTAACCTATATTATCATTGTAAATCCTTGCAGTTCCACCATGCTTCAGCCCTGTGTACCCTTGAATTTAAAATAAAAGTTCAATAAACATTAAGATAAATGGGATCTCTTTAGCATTTGTGTTGGTTAAACTAGTTAAGCTCCTCCTTGTTAACATCTTTCCTTTATTCTCCTTGCAAACTCCTTCTGTGACCCCTTAAAAAGATACTCAAGCAGTTTCATGTGTTCAAAGATCTTGTAGTGATTGTCATTTTTTAAAACATTATAAATACTTTATGTTGAAATTTTATTTAGAATAACAAATATATAAAACATTTTTAAAAATTATGAATTCCTTGGAAAGTTTAAATCTTCATTCAGAATAATTGTATATGAAACCCCTTAAAAATTTTCCCAGGAGCCCTAGGCTTCTTCAAAGCAACCTAAAAACCACTCCATGTCTCATAATAGAAAGTTCGTAGTTCAAGAATTAGTGTTGATGAAGCTATGCATGGCACAGTTCCTAAAAGTTCACAGAGAATTTCAAGGCAGGACTCATACTCTTTCTCTATTTGTAGGATTTATTCAATTCACCCATTCACTTACTTGTTTGTTTGGTTAACAAAAAAAGGCAGGCGTTGCAATCCTAGTCTCTGATAAAACAGACTTTAAACCAACAAAGATCAAAAGACACAAAGAAGGCCATTACATAATGGTAAACGGATCAATTCAACAAGAAGAGCAAACTATCCTAAATATATATGCACCCAATACAGGAGCACCCAGATTCATAAAGCAAGTTCTGAGTGACCTACAAAGAGACTTAGACTCCCACACAATAACAATGGGAGACTTTAACACCCCACTGTCAACATTAGACAGATCAACGAGACAGAAAGTTAACAAGGATACCCAGGAATTGAACTCAGCTCTGCACCAAGCGGACCTAACAGACATCTACAGAACTCTCCACCCCAAATCAACAGAATATACATTTTTTCAGCACCACACCACACCTATTCCAAAATTGACCACATACTGGGAAGTAAAGCTCTCCTCAGCAAATGTAAAAGATCAGAAATTATAACAAACTGTCTCTCAGACCACAGTGCAATCAAACTAGAACTCAGGATTAAGAAACTCACTCAAAACCGCTCAACTACATGGAAAATGAACAACCTGCTCCTGAATGACTACTGGGTACATAATGAAATGAAGGCAGAAATAAAGATGTTCTTGGAAACCAATGAGAACAAAGACACAACATACCAGAATCTCTGGGACGCATTCAAAGCAGTGTGAAGAGGGAAATTTATAGCACTAAATGCCCACAAGAGAAAGCAGGAAAGATCCAAAATTGACACCCTAACATCACAATTAAAAGAACTAGAAAAGCACGAGCAAACACATTCAAAAGCTAGCAGAAGGCAAGAAATAACTAAAATCAGAGCAGAACTGAAGGAAATAGAGACACAAAAAACCCGCCAAAAATTAGTGAATCCAGGAGCTGGTTTTTTGAAAGGATCAACAAAATAGATAGACCGCTAGCAAGACTAATAAAGAAGAAAAGAGAGAAGAATCAAATAGATGCAATAAAAAATGATAAAGGTGATATCACCACTGATCCCACAGAAATACAAACTACCATCAGAAAACACTACAAACACCTCTACGCAAATAAACTAGAAAATCTAGAAGAAATGGATAAATTCCTCAACACAAACACCCTCCCAAGACTAAACCAGGAAGAAGTTGACTCTCTGAATAGACCAATAACAGGATCTGAAATTGTGGCAATAGTCAATAGCTTACCAACCAAAAAGAGTCCAGGACCAGATGGATTCACAGCCGAATTCTACCAGAGGTACAAGGAGGAACTGGTACGATTCCTTCTGGAACTATTCCAATCAATAGAAAAAGAGGGAATCCTCCCTAACTCATTTTATGAGGCCAGCATCATCCTGATACCAAAGCCTGGCAGAGACACAACCAAAAAAGAGAATTTTAGACCAATATCCTTCATGAATATTGATGCAAAAATCCTCAATAAAATACTGGCAAACTGAATCCAGCAGCACATCAAAAAGCTTACCCACCATGATCAAGTGGGCTTCATCCCTGGGATGCAAGGCTGGTTCAATATAGGCAAATCAATAAATGTAATCCAGCATATAAACAGAACCAAAAACAAAAACCACATGATTATCTCAGTTGCAGAAAAGGCCTTTGACAAAATTCAAGAACACTTCATGCTAAACACTCTCAGTAAATTAGGTATTGATGAGACGTATCTCAAAATAATAAGAGCTATCTATGACAAACCCACAGCCAATATTATACTGAATGGGCAAACACTGGAAGCATTCCCTTTGGAAACTGGCACAAGACAGGGATGCCCTCTCTCACCACTCCTATTCAACATAGTGTTGGAAGTTCTGGCCAGGGCAATCAGGCAGGAGAAGGAAATAAAGTGTATTCAATTAGGAAAATAGGAAGTCAAATTGTCCCTGTTTGCAGATGACATGATTGTATATCTAGAAAACCCCATTGCCTCAGCCCAAAATCTCCTTAAGCTGATAAGCAACTTCAGCAAAGTCTCAGGATACAAAATCAATGTGCAAAAATCACAAGCATTCTTATACACCAATAACAGACAGAGAGCCAAATCATGAGTGAACTCCCATTCATAATTGCTTCAAAGAGAATAAAATACCTAGGAATCCAACTTACAAAGGATGTGAAGGACCTCTTCAAGGAGAACTACAAACCACTGCTCAAGGAAATAAAAGAGGATAAAAACAAATGGAAGAACATTCCATGCTCATGGGTAGGAAGAATCAACATCATGAAAATGGCCATACTGCCCAAGGTAATTTATAGATTCAATGCCATCCCCATCAAGCTACCAATGACTTTCTTCATAGAATTGGAAAAAACTACTTTAAAGTTCATATGGAACCAAAAAAGAGCCCTCATCGCCAAGTCAATCCTAAGCCAAATGAACAGAGCTGGAGGCATCATGCTCCCTGACTTCAAACTATACTACATGGCTACAGTAACCAAAACAGCATGGTACTGGTACCAAAACAGAGATATAGATCAATGGAACAGAACAGAGCCCTCAGAAATAACGCCGCATATCTACAACTATCTGATCTTTGACAAACCGGAGAAAAACAAGAAATGGGGAAAGGATTCCCTATTTAATAAATGGTGCTGGGAAAACTGGCTAGCCATATGTAGAAAGCTGAAACTGGATCCCTTCCTTACACCTTACACAAAAATTAATTCAAGATGGATTAAAGACTTAAACGTTAGACCTAAAACCATAAAAACCCTAGAAGAAAACCTAGGCATTACCATTCAGGACACAGGCATGGGCAAGGACTTCATGTCTAAAACACCAAAAGCAATGGCAACAAAAGCCAAAATTGACAAATGGGATCTCATTAAACTAAAGAGCTTCTGCACAGCAAAAGAAACTACCATTAGAGTGAACAGGCAACCTACAAAATGGGAGAAAATTTTCGCAACCTACTCATCTGACAAAGGGCTAATATCCAGAATCTACAATGAACTCAAACAAATTTACAAGAAAAAAACAAACAACCCCATCAAAAAGTGGGCAAAGGACATGAACAGACACTTCTCAAAAGAAGACATTTATGCAGCCAAAAAACACATGAAAAAATGCTCACCATCACTGGCCATCAGAGAAATGCAAATCAAAACCACAATGAGATACCACCTCACGCCAGTTAGAATGGCAATCATTAAAAAGTCAGGAAACAACAGGTGCTGGAGAGGATGTGGTGAAATAGGAATACTTTTACACATTGGTGGGACTGTAAACTAGTTCAACCATTGTGGAAGACAGTGTGGCGATTCCTCAGGGATCTAGAACTAGAAATACCATTTGACCCAGCCATCCCATTACTGGGTATATACCCAAAGGACTATAAATCATGCTGCTATAAAGACACATGCACACGTATGTTTATTGCGGCACTTTTGACAATAGCAAAGACTTGGAAACAACCCAAATGTCCAACAATGATAGACTAGATTAATAAAATGTGGCACATATACAACATGGAATACTATGCAGCCATAAAAAATGATGAGTTCATGTCCTTTGTAGGGACATGGATGAAATTGGAAATCATCATTCTCAGTAAACTATCGCAAGAACAAAAAACCAAACACTGCATATTCTCACTTATAGGTGGGAATTGAACAATGAGAACACATGGACACAGGAAGGGGAACATCACACTCTGGGGACTGTTGTGGGGTGGGGGGAGGGGGGAGGGATAGCATTAGGAGATATACCTAATGCTTAATGACGAGTTAATGGGTGCAGCACACCAGCATGGCACATGTATACTTATGTAACTAAACTAATCTGCACATTGTGCACTACCCTAAAACTTAAAGTATAATGATAATAAAATAAAAATAAAAATAAAAAGTTAATAAAAAAAAAAACAGTTTTTGAGCTTGCATTACACTCCATCCTCTGTACTAGCATTTCTGTTTTTATTATGACCAGTGACAACTGAATGTCTCTTTCTCTAATGTTAGGTCAGAACAAACAAAAATTGTCTTATTCGTTACTCACAAAATATAACTTCCAGATTTGTTTGAAAGAATGAAATAATGACATTCATTTGAATTATTGCAGTTGATCCAAAACACTGAGTGTTGGAACATGTCTTTCAAACTTGATAAGATATTAGAAAAATAATAACAATTTCTAAATTTTTTCCAATCGTCTAAATTCTAAATTCAAAACATGTGTCTCATCATAGAATTTCTGACTCATGAACTATCGTTTATTCTGATTGATTTGAAGATAGATTTTCTAAGAGCACCATGAGTCCATTACATATGTACCCAGGCAGGGGATTTATTTGTGTAAGAAAAACCTTTGTTGATTTGATTTTAGTTAGTTCCACATGTATCAATAAATCCCTAGCACCAGAATGTTATTATTTTTCCTTACTTGTACCTGTAGGACACAATTCCTGGGGCTGCTCTATAAACATAATCTGCTTTTACTTCTATATTTCCTTTTAAAATTTTTTATCTAGAATATATGATATAGGTGGAGATGTGTCTAAGGTGGAGAGGCAGTGTCCAGGAATGTCTCGAAATTCCTAAACCTCCAATGAAAACATTTAAAAAACCCCTTTCTAAGGATAACATATTGCATTATTTTACCTCCCACTACTTCAAAGAGTAAAGGGGTACTTATTTTCCTTGTTCTGGACTCATCTCTTCAAGGCATCAAGACTTTCCCCTTTGTTCTACTTATCTACAGTTGTGTGAATAGTTACCTATTTACCAAATATTTTCATTTAAAAGCTCAAGCTATTTATGAGTTCTTCTTATCTTCTCACATTGAATGATGAATGTAATTGTAAATACTGAGATTTTAGTTTCTCCTCAACAAGAAAGTTTCTTCATTCATCGTATTATCCTATTATCATCTGGACCATTTCTGGTCCATCATTTTTTTTAATATTTGTTAAAAGTTCCAGTGTTAACCAGGTGTAATTTTTCTTTCCTTGCTGAGTGTGTAACATTCCTTTGTAAACAGTAATGAAATCTTCAGACAGAACCTAGAGGAGCTGAACACCTTGGTGCTAGAGTCTAAGGGACACAAGTTGGCAACTTAGCTCCATCCCGTCATAACTGTATAAATTTGGGAGAATTATATGACTTTTCCAGGCCTCAATTTCTTCTCTCCTTTGCTTGAAGAAGAGATTAAATAAACTCAAGGCGGGATTTAACCCTCAGTCAGAGACAGACTCAGCTGAAGCTTTAGGAACTTAAGTGTCAGGGTGCTTTACTCAGAAGTGCCCAACTCCTAGTGACAGGCCATTTTGTATTAGTAATTTCTCATGCCAAGTTGTGCTAAAGCGCAGTGGGAATGCTATTCTTTAATCTGTACATGCTCTCTTTTAAATGGCCCACATTTTATGACTTTCAGACCCCACAAAATCTGAGTCTGTTCATTCAAAAGGCAAACCTTATTTACTATTAGAAAACTCATTCAAAATAATACTGCATGAAGTCTCCTCTCCCTTCCTTCTTCTTTCCTCTTTTCTTTCCTTTCTTCTTTTGTTCTTCCTCACTTTGTTCCTTCCTTTCTTTCTGTATGTGTCTTAAAGACCTAATTTTGTGGCCATTATACTAACTTTCATCAGTCTTTGAGACACAAATCTTCTGTTTCCTCTCAAAAAAGATGGGATATGAGGGTGAAAAAGAGGCAGTTTGGATAGTGAATACGACATCGAGAATGTCAAATTCAAACTTGACCTATTCCAGCATGATTTCAACTACATAAAGACAGTTGAACTTAGCAAGTGTTTGCTTTCCCTGACCAAGGTTGCTTGACTTTTTACTTGAATGACAAGTGAGGAGAATACTATGTTAATGAGGACTGGTTACATACAGGAATTTAAAATAAGTAAGCATGGATCTTCTAGGTCCTGATATAAGGTAGTAGAACTAAGACACACCACCTTAGTTTTGAAATTGTGGCAGCAAAATTTAAAAAATTAAAATGCTGAAAAAAGTAAGTAAACAATAATTATAATCACAAATACTTTGTTATCAAATGTCTATGGCTTTATTAGTAATTATCACATGATCACATGTTTGCCTTTTATCATCGACCTCACATATACTCAGAAAACAAAATTCTCAAGTATTCCAGCAAACACACAACATTCTTTAATGGTAGGCCTGGAGTTATAATTCCAAAACTTACTAGCTGTGTAATGTAAAAACTACTTAAGGCCGGGCGCGATGGCTCACGACTGTAATCCCAACACTTTGGGAGGCTGAGATGGGTGGTTCATGAGGTCAGGAGTTCGAGACAAGTCTGGCCAATATGGTGAAACCCTGTCTCTACTAAAAATACAAAAATTAGCCTAGCATGGTAGCGTGTGCCTGTAATCCCCGCTACTTGGGAAGCTGAAGCAGGAAAATTGTTTGAACCCAGGAGTTGGAGGTTGCAGTGAGCTGAGATTGCACCATTGCACTCCAGCCTAGGCGACACAGCGAGACTCTGTCTCAAAAAACAAAACAAAACAAAAAACTACTTAAAACTATCTAGACTCCAGATTTCTCATCTGAAAAAATAATAATATCAGGAAATCCTAGCCAGAGCAATCAGGCAAGACAAAGAAATCCAGAGCATCTAAATTGGAAAAGAGGAAGTGAAACTATCTCTGTTTGTCTTTGATTAATTTTATACCTAGAAAAACCCGAAGCCTCTTCCAATAGGCTCCTAGATTTGATTCATGAATTTAGTAGTCTTAGGTTACAAAATTAAGGTACAGAAATCAGTAGCACTGCTATGCACCAACAATGACCCATCTAAGAATCCAATCAATCAAGAACTCAATATCTTTTTTAAATAGCTACAAAAAAAAATAAAGTACTTAGAAATATACTTAACCAAGGAGGTGAAAGATCTTTACAAGGAAAACTACAAAACACTCCTGAAAGAAATTGTAGATGACACAAACAAATGGAAATACATCCTATGTTCAAGGATTGGGAGAATCAATATTGTGAAAATGACCATATAGCCCAAAGCAATCTACAGATTAAATGCAATTCCTATGAAAATACCAATGTTATTCTCCATGGAATTAGCAAAAACATTCCTAAAATTAATATGGAACCAAAAAAGAGCCTGAATAACCAAAGCAATCCTAAGCAAAAAGAACAAACTTGGAGGCATTACCTTACCCAATTTTGCTTATACTATGAGACTACAGTAAACAAAACAGCATGTTACTGGCATAAAAGTAGACACATAGACCAGTGAAACAGAATAGAGCACCCAGAAATAAAGCCAAATACTTACAACCAACTGATCTTTGACAAAGCAAACAGAAACATAAATTGGGAAAGGGACACCCTATTCAATAAATGGTGTTGGGAAAATTGGATAGCCACATGCAGAAAAATGAAACTGGATATGTATCTCTCACCATACACAAAAATTAACTCAAAATGCAATAAAGACTTAAGTCTAAAACCTTAAACCATAAGAATTCTAGGAGATAATTAGGAAAAAATTCTTCTGGGCATTGGCCTAAGTAAAGTATTTATGATAAAGATCCCCAAAGCAAATGCAACAAAAACAAATATAAATAAATAAGACCTAATTAAACCAAATCCTTCTGGACAGCAAAAGAAATAATCATGAGAGCATACAGACAAGCTACAGAATAAGAGAATGATTACAAACTATGCATCTGACAAAGGACTAATATCCAAACTCTACAAGGATCTCAAACAAATCAGCAAGAAAAAAACAGTTTCGCTAAAAGGTGAGCAAATGACATGAATAGACATATAGGTCAGCAAATACATGAAAAAAATGCTCGACATCACTCATCATTAGAGAAATGCAAATAAAAACCATAATGAGATACCACCTTACCCAAGTCAGAATGGCTTTTTTTTTTTTTTTTTTTTTGAGATAGATTCTCACACTGTTGCCCAGACTGGAGTGAAGTGGCACAATCTTTGCTCAGTGCAACCTCTGCCTCCTGGGTTCAAGCAATCCTCCAGCCTCAGCCTCCCTAGTAGCTGGGATTATAGGTGAGTGTCACCACACCAAGCTAATTTCTGTATTTTTAGTAGAGATGGGGGTTTCACCATGTTGGCCAGGCTGGTCTCAAACTCCTGACCTCAGGTGATCTGCCTGCCTCGGCCACCCAAAGTGCTGGGATTACAGCTGTGAGCCACTATGCCCAGCCCAGAATGGCCATTTTTAGAAAGTCAAAACCAATAGATGTTGGCACGGATGTGGTGAAAAGGGAATGTTTATACACTGCTGGTGGGAATGTAAATTAGTACAACCTCTGTGGAAAACAGTATAGAGATTTCTCAAAGAACTAAAAGTAGATCTACTATTTGGTCCAGCAGTCCTACTGGTATCAACCCAAAGGAAAAAAAATTATCATATCAAAAACACACCTTTATGCCTATGTTTATTGCAGCACGCTTCATAATTACAAAGATATGGAATAACACTAAGTGCCCGTTTGTGCAAATGTCTGAATTACATAAGAATTTTTTTACATGTACATAATGTGTAATGATCAAGTCAGGATATTCAGGTTGTCCATCACTCAAGTATAATACATTTGTTAAGGTATGGTCATCCCACTCTGCTATCAAATTGAATTTATTTCTTCTATTTTACTGTATGTGTGTACCCTTTAACCCACTTCTGTTCATTCCCCCATCTCTCCTCCACTTACTCTTCCCAATCTCTGTTTTCTATTTTTCCACTCTCTATCTCCATGTGTTCAAAGGAAAATAATTGTTTTGAGACATGGTGTCGTGCCTTCACCCCAGTTTAAGTGCAGTGACACAATCATAGCTCACTGTATCCTCAAACTCCTGGGCGCAAGCAATCCTCCCACCTCAGCCTCCTGAGTATCTGGAACTACAGGTATGCACCACTGCACTAGGCCTGTTCAAATATTTTAGCTACTACATATGAGTAAAAACATGGAATATTTGTATGATTATTTTTAAAATCAGCATTGATTAAACAAATCTTTCTCTCCTCCGGAGATACAGAGATTTTCCCAGAAAACTCAGAACAAATAAATATATAAAATAAACTTTACTTCAGAATAATCCTCAAGTATGAGACTGCTTGCATTAAAAAAATCATTTCTACTCATCTTATTTTAATGAAATTCACAGGCTGTTAAGCCATTTTTCAAGAAGTATAGATAAATGGTAGATAGATGATAGATAGCTGTGTGTATGTATTTATTTTTATATATATATATATATATTTCCTTCTGCAAAATTGTATTCAATTTTCAATCCAGCATTTCATATCAAGACAAATAAACACTTGGAAGTTAGATGAAAATGAAGCTTTATAAAAGCTTCAGCTTTATAAAAATACAGAAAGGCGTCCAAGAATTGATGTAGAGTGTACTAGAATAAATCTCTTTTAGCTATTCAGAAAGCCCCAAAGTAATAGCTTCTTCCCCAACCCGATCTTAATGTCTCAGTTCAACAACTGTTTAAGCTGAACCATGGGGCCTTATCTCAGCTTTCCAGATGGACCCTTTAGGTGCTTCTTTGACCCTATAAAGGGTAATTGCTTAACATTTGAGGGGGGTGGCACATGTGGCAACAAGAAGTTTAAAAGAACAATATAAGAAGGAATAATAGGATCTGGATTTTAATAATTCATAAGATTACTTAACAGGCAAGATTTAATTACATCTCTATCAGCTGTCCCTTTCAAATTCCAGCACAGCACAACAATAAATAGCCTAACACTTCTAACTCCAACACACTATGGACACATCATTTGAAAACGCATTTCATGCTTTTTTTTTTTTAACTAAAAGCCTGTGAGCCAGAATGGATCCTCATATGTTATAGGATAATGTTAAAATATAAGCTTTTTTGACAGTGGGCTTTTTAATACAAGCAAATTATTGAATTAGATTTTCATGGCTATTATATTAGATTTAAAAGATCTATGAAGCAAAATTATATAATTTGCTATGAACCAGATCATTCACAGTAGAACACTGTTGGCTGGTTTCTACTACATCCTCAAATAATTTTGCATTCTAAATGTACTTCATAGCCAATTATATAATTTTGGTTTCATAGGTCTTTTTAATATAATAGCCATGAAAATCTAATTCAATAATTTGCTTGTATTAAACAATCTTCTTCCACTTTGATTGTTGTTCTATAAACACAGGTTATATTTGAAGTAGATGCATGATATTTACTTCATTTCCTTTTTTTCATACCTTGGAGAAAGACTTGAGAATTTCCTGGTGTTGACACTTTTAATTGTGCATTGGGATGTTAGGGTTGGGGCTGTGTTTTAATCACTTCTCTGATTTTAGCACTTAACAGAGTACATGAGATATAGTACATAAGCCCAATCAATGTCTTCTATTGGGTAATGAGACTGAAATTCTGGTCCCAAAACCAACTTCATAATTATCATAGATCATTCCTAATTATGCCAAAACACGTGGCGAAAAAGTGAAATCAATCAGCTGATTGCTTTGTCTACATAATACCAAAACATTAATACAAATGCTGCTATGTCAAAGCCATCCAAGTAACTGATTATTTGGCATTACTAAATGCTTTGGGGAAGATTCTAAACTTAGACCTATTTCCTTTCAGGGTTGTGTGTATGAAATGGGAGTGTGTTTGAATGTTGGGTTATTTGTAGTGTCACCAAACAATCATGAGTGAATGTTTGAGTATCTTTTATTTTCCTTTTACTTTGTGAGCTCTTAGCATGTTTAATTTGGTTTCATGTTAATGAAAAGTTTGTTGGTGCATATAGAAGATTGTCTTTTAGGAATATTTTGGCATTGAAAAACAGAAAACCTAATTAAAACTGTCTTGGAAAAATGAGAACATCATCACTATTATCATCATTATTTTCGTCACTGAAGAAAAAGGTCAGAAGTAAAGGAGGCTCTAGTCCTGGTGTTATCTGAAGTTTATTGATCCCATCAAGAACCCCAATTTCTTCCCCTCTGTCTACCCTTCCATCCTTAGGGTCAAATATCTGCCCTGGATATTTATTCTTCTAAGAGTTACAAAATAGCTGCAGTAGTTCAAGGTATCATTTCCCAGGACAGCAACCTCCAAAGGAGAAAGAGAGTTTGACTTCTTTTAGTCTCTTGAAAAAGAAAAGAAAAAAGAAACATGTCTTCAAAGACTCCAAGGAGAATTCTCATCTCATCTCACTGACCACAGTTGGAGTTCATGTTCAACCCTAAACCAGACACATGTGAGGAAACGGAATTTCCATGAATGGCCTAGATGGATTAGATCTGTCCTCTGGATTTGGAATCTGCCAATTCCCATGAAACCTGGCCTGCGTGATGAGAAGGAGTTGAAATTGGAAATCATTGATAGGCAAATTGTGATGTTGATAAAAATAATACTTCTTAAATGTATTTAAAAAGGTGTTCTAATTCATCTATTTACTTAGATTTATTTTATTTATTCCTGCATCTACATCCTACAAGAAATAGGCTTTGGAAAACTTAATTGTAAATAATAGTAACTTCTATCTGAAAGTTATAGATCTTCTATTGCAGTTACAGATTCTGTGATATTTTGTCATCTTGCAGGCTGTTCAAAATATGGTTAAACATTAGCATTTGTCTTGATTCACTTTGGCCCAATCTAAATCTTGAAATTCCATCTCTTCTCAATTACTTTTATTACTCCTTTTAATGCTACCTAAAACATCAATAGTGGCTTCACCCTATAATCTTGTAGAAGATTGATATTATATTAGCTGAATAAAGGTGTTTCATTATTAAAATTAAATGCGTTTGTTTTCTAAAATTTTTATGAAACAAGTAGAAAGTTATCAATTTTAAGAACTTTTCCATTAATAAAAATGTTGATGTCTGATATAATGCAAAATGATTGAATGACCTCAGAAATATAATAGATTATGCTTCATGTGATAGCTTACATTTTTCATAATCAGTGTGTTTATGTTTGTAATTTTATGGGATACTTAGATATTTCAAGTTTATGTTATTGCAATTTATCCACCTTTTATGGTTTCTCACTAAAAGCAATAAATGGATAACAGCCCATTAGAGAACCATACAACTAAAGCAAATATCATCAGTGCTTTATTGATAGAAATCTGCTCCCTAAAAGAACACTGAAACACAGTCAAAACAAAAAACAAAAGGGATAAATAAAAATATAAAACTGTAAATGTAGGGGTCATTAATAGTACTAGTAATGTTTTCTTATTTAGTTTAGATTCAGGAATTTTTATCATGACAAATTGAAGTATTTATATAAGGCATAACCCAATTTACTGGGGTAATAATATTTGGAATCCTATTACAGTTATATTGTCATTCTTGGTATGTTAATGCAGGAGAAAAGACAATTAGTTTCTTATAAATCTCAATAGTGAACCAACATTTTCCAGTCTGGCCGGACTAAAAAGAAAGCAGAAGAAGAAAAGAACCCGTATTATTAAAAGTAGGACACCATCTGATTTCTACTGAGAAAAAATAAATGAAAACTATACGCTGCTAAGGAGAGATTTTGTTCATTACTCAAACAACGGTCTTGACTGTTTTTACTAAGTAAAGAGCTAGAGGAAAAAATGATGCCTTACACCTAATCATGTGAGTTTGTCTCATTAACTACCCTCGCAATTTTGCATGCTTAGTCAATATGAAGACATATTTCCTGAGAGCTTTGATGCATTAGCAGTAGTCCTGCCACTGTAACAAAATGGTCCTCTGAGAGGTGCAGAGGTGATTCGAACACTCACCAGATTCCATTGCCCCTTTGTGCCATTTATTTAAAGAAAAGAGCATTCTGAAGCAGATATATTTTCAGTATTGCCTGCTGCTATCACTATCACTATTTAGTGTCAGTGGAGGGAAGCTGGTGTCAGACGCAGAAGCTGAAATGAAAGTTAATTACATCCCTGCAAAATGGAATCATCTTGTCCTCAAAGAAACCTATCTTCCCCACCTTTCTTTTTGTTGAAAGGAATATATTTCAAAGTCATTTCCCTTTCATCATTTGGTACTAATGAGTACTTGAAATGAGATTTTAAAATATGTCAAAAAAACAAATATTCATATTCTTTTGGATTTCTCATCTTTGCTGACCGATTCATAGAGATTGAGTCTTGATGTAAGCCTTATTTTCTCCTTGTGTTTTGGTTTCTTTCTCTTTTTGTTAAAGCTCCTTTATGGGTAATTTTCTTTGAGTACTCTTCTGCCTCATCAGGGGAAGTATGAGATACTTGAAAAAGAGAAAACTTCAAAAAAATGTCAGAGTAGGGACTAAAAATGATTGCAGAAAGTCTAAGAAAAGAAAAAGTAAATTCATTTAAAAATCTGAAGTTCCTCATAACAAATAGACTTATTTTTATATACTCATTTTAAAATTTCAAAGCACAAAAGACAAAAAGATTATAAAAGATGACATTCAAAAGAAGAATAAAAATATAATGTGTCTCAAATGCAAAGGTCATATTAAAAAACTCCAAATAAGGAATTAGTTTTTGATGTAGTTGAAGTTCAAAATTTTTTTACCCATTATCTAGACATTGAATATAAAAATGTAATTCTAGATTATTCAAATGATTATCTGTACGCTAATTTTCTTTGCAGTTTTGATTACAGATGGAATTCATACATGGATCAAGTGCTATATTCATTTTAGTTAAAGGGAGTTAACTTTTCTCATGCACTCTAGATAGCCTCACATGCCAAAATAGAACTCAAGAAGTGGTTAAAAAAAATGAAGTTAAATAATTACTTGTGGTATGAAAATAGGCATTGTTATGGTGTTATTGATAGCGGAGGTGGCCTGTCTGGAACAGCCACTGGAGGGATGCCAGCTGCAGATGGGGAGGCATGGCTGGGGCTGTGCCTTCCACAGAGCCGGTAGGTGCCAGGAACAGTCAGGAGCCCAGCCCCCTACCGAGTTAATGGGGTGGGAGCCCCGTGCTCCCAAGTGCAGCTGCAGCCGCCTAGCCCTGGCTCATGACCCAAGCATCCCGGCACTCTCAGGTATCTGGGAAGCCCCCTCTGCCCCCTGAAGGCTCAGAAGTGCCTGCTGTTGCTCCTTGGCCTCTCTCCACTCCTGGTGCCTGCTCCAATTTTAGAGCAAAGTTGTAGTTAGTTCCAGGCTCTGTCATGATCCAGCCAGGTATGAGTGCATTTGCATTTGGGGCTGCAGTGACACACCAGCTCTCTGCTGCCTCGGCCCCCTTCAGACTTTGGCACTGACAAGGAGGGAGACCAAGGTGGGGCTGAGGGTGGCTTTGTGCGGGCCTGCAGGTGCCCTTTGGCAGGAACAGCCTGGGTGCCATGGATCATATGTTGTTGGTGGCAGGAGGTAAACAGGCTCCTAGGTAGAAAGGGGCTGGTCCCTGGTGAAGCCTTACCTTCAAGCCAGGGAGGGCCTGCAGCCTGGGGACTGGGTTGCCAGTTCTGGGTGTGACCCACTGGGAAGTTATGGTGCTTTTTCTGTGCCTGCCCGTGGCTGCCCGTGAACCAATCAGCATGCATTTCCTCCCTTCTAAGCCCATAAAATCCCCCAAATCAGCCAGACTTGGATAGTAGGACTACCAACTGTAGGAAGCAGTAATCCACTTCCATTCTCTTTGACTTGTCAGGATGACCTGCCTGCAGAAGGAGCTACCCACTGAAGGTCTCTTCTCTGCTGAGAGCTGGACACTCATTGGGATGAACTGCCTGTGGAAAGGAGCTACCCACTTTGGGTCTCTAGAGAGCTGTTCTGTTGCTCAGTGAAGCTCCTGTGCATCTTGCTCACCCTCCAATTGTCTGCATACTTCATTCTTCCTGGACATGGGACAAGAACTCAGGACCAAATGGTGGGACTGAAAGAGCTATGACACAAACAGGGCTCAAGATTTAACAGCCAACAACAAAACAAAATAAAGCAAAATAAATGTCAGAATGTGTGAGCTATCAGATCATTGGCCTGTGGATATTCAAGTCTGAACTGAATTTGAATTGTCTCTTTTCGGGGAAATGATGCACATTGTATCATGTCAGGCAATAATTTTTTGTATATGTTATGGATAGTTTGTATGTATGTGTGTGGTGGGGATGGTATGAATGCATGTGCTGGCTGGGAAGTAAAGCGATGAACTGCAACAGATCCCAATTTAGTTTTGTTTAACACTGACCCCTTCTTTGGAAACATCACCACCCCTATTCAGTGAACTGCAACTCCACTCATATTCACATGGTCCTTGGCCTCTTAGGCCACAGAAGGTTAGTTTTGAAATAGTGACTTGAACCAAAGTGAAGCATTGAGAATGCTGTTCAACCCTTAAGTATTAATGAATCCCTTAAGCCTATCCTTGTAAAACCTGCCTGAATTTAGAAAACTAAACTAAGGTTTAGTTTTAATGTAGACCATATTTTAGTTTTAACCTGTTTTTTATTGTAAAATTTAGTGACTAAAAAATGTTTCTTCATTTACCAAAAGTATTCATTTGAAGACTCCTTTTAGTAGGAATTTTTTAATTCTTATAAACACTATATAGAGAAAACTATGTGCCAAGAAAATGAATCTTTATTGAATTAACAGAAACAATTAAATCTGAATTACTTTGGACATCAGTAAAATATAATTTCTAAGGAAATATATCTTATGAAATTCACCAAAATGTCAATTGATATAAAAGTTAAGGTGTAATGAAGTATTTAACATACTAGTAACATAATTTGTTTCATTGTACTCAGTATCATAATCTCTAAAGAGGTGGAAATAGCAGAAAACAGCATGGTAGAAAGAAAGAGAGGTTTATAATCTGTGTGCGGCAGAATGAATGAGAGAAATTGAATTGAAAATGATATTTAGGCTCATTAACATACTATGAAAACTTTGTCCAAATTTTTAAAATTGAAATTATCTAAAATATAGAAACAGATTAGATATTTCAGAAAGTGTATTTTTCACAGGGTCAATTTTAAGACAGTGTTAGGAGCAAAATAACTATTTCTACATAAAAATGATTTAAAAGCCAAGTAAATGTACTTTAAATGTAAAAATGTAGATCCTCATAAACAAGCTACTGAATAATGTATATTAAATTACATTTAGAGTACTAGTATTATCCGGTGTTTAATACAGAAATGGAAAAAGTAAAGATTTGGAAAACAATGATTTTCTTGTTTTGTTTTGAATTTGAAAAATGGCTTAAATATAAATAGCATATTACCAAATTGTTTAAAACAACACTCCAAAACTTGAAAGTACATTGAAGAGCTGAAAAAGCTTCATTAAAATAAAGCAATTTAAGAAAAATTCACTGCATTTCTTCTGAAACTATTCCAATCAATAGAAAAAGAGGGAATCCTCCTTAATTCATTTTATGAGGCCAACATCATGCTGACACCAAAGCCTGGCAAAGACACAACAAAAAAAGAGAATTTTAGACCAATATCTCTGATGAACATCGATGCAAAAATCCTCAATAAAATACTGGCAAACTGAATCCAGCAGCACATCAAAAAGCTTATCCACCATGATCAAGTGGGCTTCATCCCTGGGATGCAAGGCTGGTTCAACATACACAAATCAATAAACGTAATACAGCATATAAACAGAACCAACGACAAAAACCACATGATTATCTCAATAGATGCAGAAAAGGCCTTTGACAAAATTCAACAACCTTCATGCTAAAAACTCTCAATAAATTAGGTATTGATGGGAATTATCTCAAAATAATAAGAGCTATCTATGACAAACCCACAGCCAATATCATACTGAATCGGCAAAAACCGGAAGCATTCCCTTTGAAAACTGGCACAAGACAGGGATGCCCTCTCTCACCATTCCTATTCAACATAGTGTTGGAAGTTCTGGCCAGGGCAATCAGGCAGGAGAAGGAAATAAAGGGTATTCAATTAGGAAAAGAGGAAGTCAAATTGGCCCTGTTTGCAGATGACATGATTGTATATCTAGAAAACCCCATCATCTCAGCCCAAAAGCTCCTTAAGCTGATAGACAACTTCAGCAAAGTCTCAGGATACAAAATCAATGTGCAAAAATCACAAGCATTCTTATATACCAATAACAGACAAACAGAGAGCCAAATCATGAGTGAACTTCCATTCATAATTGCTTCAAAGAGAATAAAATACCTAGGAATCCACCTTACAAGGGATGTGAAGGACCTCTTCAAGAAGAACTACAAACCACTGCTCAATGAAATAAAAGTGGATACAAACAAATGAAAGAACATTCCATGCTCATGGGTAGGAAGAATCAACATCATGAAAATGGCCATACTGCCCAAGGTAATTGATAGATTCAATGCCATCCCCATCAAGCTACCAATGACTTTCTTCACAGAATTGGAAAAAATGACTTTAAAGTTCATATGGAACCAAAAAAGAGCCCGCATTGCCAAGTCAATCCTAAGACAAAAGAACAAAGCTGGAGGCATCACGCTATCTGACTTCAAACTACACTACAAGGCCACAGTAACCAAAACAGCATGGTACTGTACCAAAACAGAGATATAGATCAATGGAACAGAACAGAGTGCTCAGAAACAATGCTACATATCTACAACTATCTGATCTTTGACAAACCTGACAAAAGCGAGAAATGGGGAAATGACTCCCTATTTAATAAATGGTGCTGGGAAAACTGGCTAGCCATATGTAGAAAGCTGAAACTGGATCCCTTCCTTACACCTTATACAAAAATTAATTCAAGATGGATTAAAGACTTACATGTTAGACCTAAAACCATAAAAACCCTAGAAGAAAACCAAGGCAATACCATTCAGGACATAGGCATGGGCAAGAACTTCATGTCTAAAACACCAAAAGCAATGGCAACAAAAGCCAAAAGTGACAAATGGGATCTAATTAAACTAAAGAGCTTCTGCACAGCAAAAGAAACTACCATCAGAGTGAACAGGCAACCTACAGAATGGGAGAAAATTTTTGCAATCTACTCATCTGACAAAGGGCTAATATCCAGAATTTACAAAGAACTCAAACAAATTTACAAGAAAAAAACAAACAACCCCATCAACAAGTGGGTGAAGGAAATGAACAGACACTTCTCAACATAAGACGTTTATGCAGCCAAAAGACACAAGAAAAAACGCTCATCATCACTGGCCATCAGAGAAATGCAAATCAAAACCACAATGAGATACCATCTCACACCAGTTAGAATGGCGATCATTAAAAAGTCAGGAAACAACAGGTGCTGGAGAGGATGTGGAGAAATAGGACACTTTTACACTGTTGGTGGGACTGTAAACTAGTTCAACCATTGTGGAAGACAGTGTGGCGATTCCTCAGGGATCTAGAACTAGAAATACCATTTGACCCAGCCATCCCATTACTGGGTATATACCCAAAGGATTATAAATCATGCTACTATAAAGACACATGCACATGTATGTTTATTGCGGCACTATACACAATAGCAAAGACTTGGAACCAACCCAAATGTCCAACAATGATAGACTGGATTAAGAAAATGTGGCACATATACAACATGGAATACTATGCAGCCATAAAAAATGATGAGTTCATGTCCTTTGTAGGGACATGGATGAAGCTGGAAACCATCATTCTCAGCAAACTATTGCAAGGACAAAAAACCAAACACCGCATGTTCTCACTCATAGGTGGGAATTGAACAATGAGAACACAAGGACACAGGAAGGGGAACATCACACACTGGGGCCTGCTGGGGGGTGGGGGGAGGGGGGAGAGATAGCATTAAGAGATATACCTAATGTTAAATGACGAGTTAATGGGTGCAGCACACCAACATGGCACATGTATACATATGTAACAAACCTGCACGTTGTGCACATGTACACTAAAACTTAAAATATAATTTTAAAAAAATATAAAAAAAGAAAAGTTCACTGCAAAGATCATAGCTTGTAATGACCAGTGCAGTTTGACAATGATTTGATTTTTATTAAAATCAAAGAAGTTTTTTCTTTGAAATAAACAGAATGAAAATAATTCTCCATCTCTTTACCATTGTGCATATCTACCTTAGATCTTCTGCCAGTGTAAGCTCTAGAGAATTCTGTTAATTAAACTGCAATAACAGTGGCATTTATAAACATTACATTATTATTTATGTAATATTAATATGTAAACTAAACCTAAATTAAATTAAAAACAATTATTTCAAAGTACAATAATTAGGATAAACAATCTAATACAATTAGTAATTACAATCAACCCATATTGAGTTTTACCATGTACTACACTTTCTAATTCTTTACACATCTTTTCTTAAATAATCTTAAGGTCAAATCTAGAAAGTAAGAATTGTTTTTGTCCCTATTTTAGAAATGAAGAAACTGAGTTTCCTCAGATAAAGAACTTGCTAACTTAGCAGATGAAATATTAATCCTAAACCAGCCCATCCATTCCATTCAATGAACTCCAGCATTAGACATGAAATTGTTTGCAGAAGGCAATTATCTGATCCAGGTTTAGGGAAAATTACCTACTATTTGCAGATAATACTTTATAAAGTAAAGATGCTGAACTAGATAATGTCTAAAGTCTTTTTCAGCTCCTATATTCCATGTTAAATGTCTGGTCCTTCCATTGATCAACTATTTTAACATTGAAGAGAAATCTCCAACCGTTGTTCCTACTGGTGCCTGCTACACTAAATCCCCATCTTTCAATTAACTTTTTTCCTGTTGTGTTGCAGGGGTGGGTATCAACAAGATCTGCAAAACAACAGCTATAATACAATTTATTTTGGATTATTGAATACAAATTATGATAACTTAATTGAAATGTGGAATAAACCCCATTCCAAAAAGGGTTTTGTAAAAAACTAATTCAGATAATATAGAAAAATATCAAAGCCCATTTTTCTTTGAAGAGATATTGTTGTATATATATACATCATGCCATGATGTGTCCACAGTAGCATATGACCCAAAGGAAAGAAAAAAAAATCAGTCTGGAAGAGGATGCAAAGAGATCCAACAAAGGATCCATATGGAAAATGACTTTTAACATCTCTTTCTTCCCACTAGTTCTGCACCTTTGTTTGAGCCATGATCTCATTCCAGTTTCCAGTATTTCATCTTGTCCTTAACCCGTGTTAGAATTTCTGCTCTTAGAATGTGGAGAAAGGAATGCGGTAGAAAGCAGGTAAAAGGTTGAGCTCCTCATTAAATTAGAAAATATACCAGCCTGAGCAACACAGTGAGACCCCATCTCTATAGAAATACAAAAATTAGCTGGGTGTAGTGGTGCACACCTGTAGTTCCAGCTATTCCAGAGGCTGAAGTGAGAGAATTACTCAAGCCCTGGAGGTCAAGTTTGCAGTGAGCTGTGATAGTGTCACTGCACTCCAGCCTTGGTGATAGCAGGATCCTGTCTCAAAATAGATATAGATATAGATATAGATATAGATATAGATATAGATATAGATACAGATATAGATATAGATAATGAATTCTCTCTACTTTTTATGTTTGAAATTTTGTATAATAAAAATTTTGAAAAATCATAAAAAATTCACACAATAAAAAAGTCACAAGATAAGCAGGAATACAAATTATACATTAAGGACAGAGAGAGCACTTTCATATAATTCTATTGGCCCTCCAAACTAAAAAAGTTAAACATTAAATCCAATCTTGTCATATGTCAGGAGCAAGAATAATCAGAAAACATAAACTTTACTCAAAAATTGACAATCAACAGAACTCGAGGGCCTAGAATTTCAATGGAGTATTATAATGGTTAAGAAATATTCACTCAGTTACTGCAAGGTAACTTCAACTTAAAATTAATAGCAATTATTTATCTTTATGACTCTAGTGTTTGTTCTCTCAAGACCTAATTAGAGTAGATTAAAGTAATAGAATCTTCACTAGGAAATATATCAGGAATGTAAGTTGTAAGTCATATTTATTTAAAAATTAGGATCTCAGACCTTGCACTTAAATAGGTCTAAACCTTAATTTATGTTACTCAGTTAATAAATCTTAAGTATTAAGGATCCACATTACTAGAGTGTACCCCTTATATTAGCTAAACTATGTAAAACTTTAATAAATTATAGTGGCAGAAAATAAGGTCTACAATTTAATATAGTGGTAGAAAATAAGGTCTACAATTTTATGCCTGTTGTGGGAGGCTGGAAGTTTATTTTCATTGACAGAGAGTCTGATTTTCCTTTATGAATTTCCATGTTAGCTAGCAGCATGGAAGTTGTAAGTAGTGCATTCACCATGTGATACAGCTCTTGCTGAATATTCAAGTAATGTCTCAGATTATTACTACAATTAGGGAAGGGAAGGCTGGGGTGAGTTCACCGCCTTCTTTGGACTATTTTCTTATTTAAAGAGGAGGGAAGGCAAAGGTAGCTGACAATGGTAGGGAAGCCAGAAGCTTTCATCATGGGACCCACTGGATACCTTTTGGCAATTTCAGCATTCCTATCCTGGACCCAAAAGAGGGTAGGCCAGTTAGATCACTGGCTGCTCACTGCATGAGCAGTGCCTAAGAACCATTTGGAAAGCTTGTTTAAATTTGAAGTTCCTTATTTTATTCTGAATAGGAGTCCTAGGGTTGGTGCAGGTACCTTTTTAAAAAAACAAACAACAACAACAAAAACAGTGGTCCTGATAATTCTGATATAATACATTTCTCTAATGTCTGGTCAACTAGTTCAACTCCCATCTTAAATGTCTTTAAATAATAATTGTAGTTTTTATTTGAATGGCACGTTTATCTTAAACCTCATAACCTGACAGTTCAATTCTATTCCTAGGTTACCTATGGGCAGATATACTATTCATAAGACCAACGCTAGTATCAAAATAAGTGGTAGAAAAAGAACATTTAGAAAGTAAAACCTCCTATTGATGATTTGCTTAGAATACAAATTTTAAAAAATCTTAGTGATTAAATAGTGGCTGAGAGGTCATTCTAGAGCTATTCTGAATTGAAAAGTCTGGATTAGTAGTGTACAAATGAGCACACCAGGGAAGAATGTGAACTGTATTTCCAAATTCAAAATAAAATAGTTTTCATTAAGTAAATGATGCTACCCATTCACTAATTTGCATATTAATATTAAACAAAATAAACATAAATTAGTAGAATCTATTGTTATTGATCTTACTTTTAGTCTATTAAAGGTTTTTTTTCTACAGCTGTTTTAATTAGATTTGGTTGCCAAAATCAATTTGCTTATTTCCATATAGTTGCTTTCCTGCCCTTAAGAAATTAAGACAATATTGCAGTTCCCCACATCAAAAAAAAATCAAAAGTTATACTCCTTGTTCTTCATTATTTTCACTTTGGAAGGGAGAATAATGAGTCAAAATTTCTCTTTTTACCATGTTTTTTCTCTTTCATCTTCTGATATGATTGAAGGCAAGGGAGTTTAATAAATTTAAAGAAACATGCACACATATGTTTATTGCGGCATTATTCACAATAGCAAAGACTTGGAACCAACCCAAATGTCCAACAATGATAGACTGGATTAAGAAAATGGGGCACATATACACCGTGGAATACTATGCAGCCATAAAAAATGATGAGTTCATGTCCTTTGTAGGGACATGGATGAAATTGGAAATCATCATTCTCAGTAAACTATCACAAGAACAAAAAACCAAACACCGCATATTCTCACTCATAGGTGGGAATTGAACAATGAGATCACATGGACACAGGAAGGGGAATATCACACTCTGGGGACTGTTGTGGGGTGGGGGGAGGGGGGAGGGATAGCATTGGGAGATATACCTAATGCTAGATGACGAGTTAGTGGGTGCAGCGCACCAGCATGGCACATGTATACATATGTAACTAACCTGCACAATGTGCACGTGTACCCTAAAACTTAAAGTATAATAAAAAAAACCCTAAAAAAATAAAAAAATAAAAAATAAAAAATAAAGAATGACTTCTAAAAATCAATGAAATGTGACATCAAATGTCAAGGTAGGCATGCTCATGAGAGCTGTAGAAATCCAGAGAGCTCAAAAAAATTGGACCATATATTAGTAAATATTAGGACTGGAAGAAAACACAAGTAGAACATTTAAGAATCTCCTTTCTTTCGTAAAAGAGGGAGACTTCCACTTTCCACACCCTCAAAAAAGTTTGTAACCAGCCCAGTATCACAATTTATGATGTTTTCTGTAGCATGTTTTACTAATTATCTTTCCTTGGCTCTTTTTGAATTCAACAGTTCGGTTTAAGTGGTCTTTTCTTCATTCCTCTCTCATAACTTTTGAGGAAAGAATGACCAAAGGAACATTTCTGCACACAAGCTTACAGTCAAAACCAAATAGGTCCAATGGAAAACTACTCTTTAAACAGTAAATTGCTTCAGTATTTCGATAAGACATCTTTCCATATGGCCCAATATTTTTTTTAAACATATCCCATGTTGGATTGCATCAGTCCAGAGCATTTTTGGCATATAGACAGGGACACAGGATGGAAACTCTTATTTTCTGAGATAAGAAGGAATGAGTTAAGTGCACCTGGAGGGAAAAAAAATGCTCAGTAAATTTTGTGGAGAGACAGAGAGAGAGAGAGGAGAGAGGAGAGAGAATTTGAGTAAGACTTGAGACAGAGATATAAAGACAGAATTAATGGGAATAGAAAAATTTAAATAGAGTCTGATACTTAAACCCAGAGGTGAAAAATACACATTTGGTAGCAGCCAGATTCCCCAACTAGAACCATAAACGTCAACAACACACTAGAGATTAAGAAATTCCTATAGATATTCAGTCAGCCTTTCTCTCTCCATGGATATTATTAGGAATGGACCTACCACTGTGTTAAGACATCTGGAGTACTCCCAGCATCTGCTGTTGTAGGCATTATGGCAATTAACAGCTGTCAAAGGAAAAAGCACATTGCAAAGATCCTTGTTGGAAACTTGGAAGTAGCCTTGGCCTCTATGGTGAAGGAATTAGAAGCCCATTGTGGGCTGATTGCCATGCAGACCATTTTGTGAATTTCTAGACCTCTTTAGTGCAACATTGTAAAAATCTTTTTGTGAAAAAAGTCTCATTTTAATGAATCCTTGTAATGGAAAATTTGGGGTGCTTTTGTCCTGTGGTAATACAGTGGAAACCCCACAGTTTACATTTGTTGATTCCAAGCAGAAGTCAGGGGAGTAGCCATACATTTCTGAACCAGAGTTAATATTTAATATTACTGAAACCTGATTAAAATTTAGATGTGTGGATTATTTTAAACACAAACAAAAGTAGACTTTTCAGGAAAACTGCATGTTTTAAAGGAGAGCAAGCAAACAAACAGAAACTCAAAAACGTGGGTATTTCATGATACATTTGAATATAAATCTAATTCAGTGATTAATGCTAAAGTGGCTAGAAAATATAAACAAATAGCTGATGAAACTGAAGAAATGGGGCTGAGAAATGTAGCATAAGAACCTAGCTTATCATTACATTTCCTTGGCTTGCTATTCTATCCAGGCTGAGGTTGTTTGTGTGGTGTATGATTTCAGAATGTTTTCATTACAATGCACATCTTGATAAATATTAGATGGGTTTTACAGCTTCCCACAGTGCACAGTGATCCCTGGGGTCACACAGCCTCAGTCTCTTTAGGAGTGAGAAGTCTCTTATTGTCACTACATATCACCCAAATTTCCAGTACTGAGTGAAATGGTACAATCTGCTTTTTCCCTCAGGGCTTTCTAACACTCTCTGTAAAGTGCTGTAAATCTTACTAATTTGCTCTGATTTGGGTAAATGTTATAGATATTCAGACTCTGAGCTTTGTAAAATATTTTCTTTGTCTCAGTGTTTCTTGCTTCATAAAAAATGGTAGAGCTACTTTACAGTAAAATTGCATATTTCTAATGTTAGGTTTATGAAAGTGTAATGTAAAAATATAATTTCAAAATCTATAATTTTTTAATTTTCCAGTATTCTATCCCCTCCTTTACCAAAAACATTAACTAAAATTACAAACACCACAAATATACTCACTCACAGCATATATTATATGTATATCTTGTCCTATACGTTTATGCTAATGACAGAAAGAAGCCAGTTGAAGGCTCTTCTCTGGTTATATGTAATGTTGAAAAAAGTTTCATTCTTCTCTGAGACATATGAAACTTAAGTGAAGAAATAAGATCCAAGAATTTGATGGCTTGGTATATTTAAATGTGTACAACTGAAATAATTTTCTTGTAATTTGAATGGACCTGCAAAACTCTTAGGACAAGAAAAGAAATGAAAGTGACTGAAACCAATATATTATTGATTTTAATTCAACCTGTTCCTTACACTTGGGTAGGTGATTACTTTAAAAAAAAAAACACTGAAAATCATATAGCCATTTCTAAAACACACACAAAATAACTGTAGACAAAAAATATATTTCCAGTGAGCACATGTGAAATATTTTTTAGAAAGGAGAAGCAAGCAGAAATATATCATTTGAAGCAATGCCTTCTTCCATGCATGGATCCTTGCTTAACAATTAGATGTCAAAAAATGCACAATCCTAACCTGAGTATGGTCATGGCAGAATAGTGTTGACCTGCCAGATGTTTCCACATCTGTGGTACATCTGTTTAAACAGAACTATTGGAGGGTCTGCAAAGAA
The DNA here is from genome assembly GCF_000001405.40 of Homo sapiens. Classification (NCBI taxonomy): domain Eukaryota; kingdom Metazoa; phylum Chordata; class Mammalia; order Primates; family Hominidae; genus Homo; species Homo sapiens. The sequence continues at coordinate 87,531,487 of NC_000008.11, read as the reverse complement.
AGAAAGTAAAATGTAAAATCTTTTGAGTAATGTTTGCTCTCTCATGAAAGGGATTTAATATCCCAATTTATTGAAAATCTCTAATTCAGTGTTTCTACAAAGATGAAATTGAAGACAACAATGCTCTGTCTTTTTAGTCAAAATCAGGCAATATTTTACAAACTTGATAACAAAAGATTATTTAAACATACATAATATTTAAATAAATATAATATATATTAATGTGTGCAGGCACAGGCTACTAAAATTCTGAATGTTAATTTTAGTCCTGGTTTGTGAATGGCATAAAGCCTTAGGTAATTATATACAATGTAACAGCATAGGGTAGGGTGGATGTTATATTAAGTTATGTAGTAATGAAGGTTTACAGTGGAAATCTCTGTGACTATCTACTTCTGCAAAACTCCCTGTTTTCTCCTTTGCAAATCATTGTAAATCCTCTTTCTAGTTAATTGCAAAAAAAAAAAGCACAATGCATATGAACAACAATAGTTATTACCAGCCATTAACTAATTTATTCCACAAAGATAACACTCAATGAACAAACTCCAACAAATAGCTTATACATCTTGAGTGTGAATCTGAGTTCTATATACTCAGCCGTCATTCATCCGGGTGTTACTGATTACTTATTAATTGACAGAATCTGTGTTTAGGCTCTAGAGTCTAGCTACACAATTAATGAGATGTGATCCTATTTTAATCTGACTGCTTTTTGAAACATTCTCTAAATTTGTAACACATCCATCTTTCAATCAATTATTTTCCTTTCCAAATATTTAATGGAGATCATCATTAAAATTAACATTTTAGCCAATCCTTAGTGAACCCATGGCTTCATGCACTGAATACCTTTTATATCCTTGCCATCACACCTTATCTTTTTAAAAAAAGCTATAATTTTAATTACTAAAATTAATTAAATTAAACACAACACATTTTGGATATTATCCAAGGTAAATGAACTGAAAACAATTTAAGGTTCATTGTCCCTACTTTAATTCTTTAATGTTATAATTATTCAATACATATACCATGGCTGAAAGCATTTCAAATGAGTATACTTTGATCACATTATAATCATATTCTTTTGATTTGAATTAGCATTTGCTGAGTTAAATTGCTTGGAGTTAATATCTATATGTGGACAACCACAAATGAGCAACCACTTTTTTCTCCTTTTAAGGCAAAAATATTACTTTAGCATTTTTCATAAATTTTAACTTATACAGTAGCAATCCTGTAAATTTGATAGTGATTTCTTCTAATGTCCTAAGGGACTCTTGCTTGTAGACTCATGGCTTTGTGCCCAATTTCAAATTACTGTTTTCATAATTGTTCTTGGGAATAACATCTTTTAAAACTCTAATAATTGTTACTTAGATGGTTTTAGCCTTTCTTTCTTGTTATTGCTTTAGTTCTTTTGTTTTATAATAGTTCTGGAAACTCAGTATTTTGGGGAATCTCCTGTTCCTGTGAATTCAATTCTCCATTTTATTTATTTTATCCCAACTTATTTACAAAGACTATAGATGTATATTCCTTTAATTCTTCTTTATACTCAATCTATCTGTTCTCTTCAATTTGTAATTATACTATTTTCGTTCATTTCCATTCCCCATCAGTCATTTAAGTATTAAAACTTTGATTAAGGCCAATATATAGGGCTAGCTAAAGATATGGAAGCCTTAAATAAGGTTAAAAAAGTAAAGGTGACCTTTATTGGCTAGGGTATAGGGCACATGTTTAATGGTTGTGGTAGTTTGTCTCAAGTCCAGGAAATTTTATGAGGTTTAATACGAAAAACCTTGAACTCCATGCTTGTAATTTAATAGATTATAGTGAAAAGGGAGTCAAGGTTTTTAAAATAGGCAAGTGATATAACTTTTTAGAAAAACATAATTCTGGTTAACATGTAATAAATGCTAAATAGAGATTTCTTGGAAATAATCCAAGTGTGCTGAGATTAAGAAAAAGAAAAGGCACTTAACTTAGTCTTGGAAAACTACAGAATGTTGATCAGCTGTATATTTATATTCGTAATAATTTGTTTTGACATCTGATTCAGCCTCAGACAAATCTGATAGAAGTCCTTCAAGACTTCCTTTTTGGAAAAATGGAATACTCTTTCCAAATAAATGAGATGTAACATTAAATAAATGGTACAAAACTAAGGCAACAAGGCCATCTCATTATAAATATTTAAAATATGTAAGATAATTAAATATTTTCAAACAGTGAGAATGATATCTACTATGTGATGAGTTACAAGGATATCTCAGTTTATTGAGCTTCACTTTGTTGCACTTTGCAGGTATTGCATTTTTTACAAATTGAAGGTTTGTGAGTAACACTGTACCTAGCATCTATCTTTACAATTTTTTCAGTAACGTGTTCACTTGGTGTCTCTGTGTCAGCATTTTTTTTTAGCAATAAAATACTTTTAATTAAGCCATGAGCATTTTTTAGACATAATGCTATTACACACTTCATAGACTACAGTACAGTGTAAACATAATTTTTATATGCACGGGGTAACCAAAAACATGGTGTGACTCACTTTATTGCAGTAGTTTAGAACCAAACCTGCAATATCTCCAAAGTATGCTTGTATAGGGTAGGAGAATAACAGTGTGGCAACGTGTGGGTAGACAAATATTAATGGACAGTATAGTTAAAGCTATCATGGAGCTTACAGTCCAGTGAGGAAGAAAGATACTAAAAAAAAGTAATAAATAATGTTCTCAAAGAATATTGCAAAATTACAATTGTAGAAAATGTTAGGCAGGCTATGTACCATTGTACAAGCTTTTCAAGGGCAAATAGCCTGTTTTTCTGGTTTATCATTCTATCCCCACTGCTTAGCTCAGTGCTTGGAGTATTTCTGTTGTACTACACTATCTGGCCATAGTGCACAAGATATCGGTGTCTATTAATTTATTTATATTCAACCATGTTGGGGAGAAAGGAAAAGGACATCAAAGTTAAGGCTGAAGTCAAGTTGTATATACATCTAGAAAAGCACTATTCAAAGGCCTCCATTTCATTCTCAGTGGGTCACAAATTTTTCTGTCAGTTAATAATGTAGGAAAACTCAATCATCGTTAATTGTCATTAATTGTAAATGTCTTGAGATAAAAACAAAATATTTTGGAGGTAAAACTATATTTTTTTAAAAACAGGAAGAACTATTTCATGCACAGAGAATACACATGCATATGACAGTAGCATGAAGAGCATTTACATCCAGGATTATGCTCTTTGTGCAAACAAGCAAAATGAAATTGAATGTAATCACAAAAATAGAAAGGAATAAGGAAAACATTCTAAATGTAAAAATGGGATAAAACACAAATAAAGGGTAGACTACATACTGCAGAAACAATTTTCAAATATATTAGGGTAAAAAACTGATCCCTCAATTGTTGAGAGATAATTTGCCCCAGGTGTTTCTGCCCATCCTCTGAGCATCTTTTGACCTACTCTGAGTCACAGAACTGACAGCTTTTCAAGGATGTTTTAAATAGCGAACAACGTGGAAGATAAAGACGATGTCTCCCTCTGAGGCAGAAGGTAGATTTGTTTGCTGTCCAGAAAAGTAAAGATAATGTCACCCTCTGAGGCAAAGATGGGGCAGGTTTGCAAGAAGCTGTTTAATAGCCTGGTGTTTTCTAAGCTCTGGGTTTTATCAGCTGTGATGTTAACCCACTGAGTGTGTACACCTATCTGGGCTACTCCATGTTGTTCCTACGGGATTTTAAGAGCAAGGGGAAAAGAATGAAAACATGAGCTCATGCTGCCTGCTATGTCATGAGCAGCATAATCCTGTGTCTCTGACCCAAGTGTCTTATGTCTTCTTCCAGCTTCCATGAAACTTACCTTTCAAGCTTACTAACTCTTTCAGACATTAACTTTTTAGCTTATGAATAGGGCAAAACCTCAGACCTTTCATAGTTCTTAACAATATCTATTTTACTTAAAATACTAATATAAAATAAGAACACATAGAAACTGATTAGTCATAATTTCCACAGTGAATACTCAATAGTTGTTTTCAGATTTTTCTCACTTGTTACAGAAGAAATAAAAATTATTCTGCCTCCATTCATATACAGCAGATCTGATAGCTTGAAAATCACTTTTCTAAGAAACTACTAAAAACCTTGGATACAATTCAGAATGCAGATACAATTTTTAAATGTCCATAGACATTTTCTAATAAGTCTCTTGATACCAAAATATTAAAATCAGCCCCCAATTAAAATATATTGAACATTATTCCTTATGAACATATATTAAATTAAATTTATCAGAATATTAAGATAATATACCATGACAAAAGACAATTTGACCCAAAACCAACCTAATGAAGATTTGAAAGAAGTAATCTATTGGCCAAATGTATAACAGCAGCAGGTCAAATAAGGCAATCCATATAATAATCATACCATGTGACCAAACCTTTAGAAAACCTCAGAAAAAATGGGAATGAGAATATAACTTTACGATAAAAGTAAATGTCTGTTTTAAACAAATAATAGTGAACCTCTATATGGGGGTTTCCTAATAAGTATTTAAGCAAGTATTGGGACAAAGAAGTTCCACATTAAAATATTTTTGAGAAATGTAATTTATACATTCCTTACTTAGGAATGTAATATTAAGTGGAATTAAAAACTGCAACCAAAATTATATTTCAGTATAGTTAAAATGTGTTATCAGTTTAGAACATTGTTATATAACAGAAAGAAAATGGGCCAAAATATCTTTCTTTGCCTCCTTATGGTGTCTCTCTCTGCCAAAATGTAAACAATGATGAGATTTCTATCTGGGACCTTGTTCATGAATGATGGTTATTTTCTTTTATGTACTTTTATTTAAACTTTCATATTTGAAAAAATATATGTTACTTGAGAAAACAACAGCTTGGGCTTGGAATGGGACAGATGACTATGGGTGAGTACTGACAAACTGCTGATAAAGGCCTTCTCTTTGTGTTCTCTGAGACATATCTGTACTAGGTTAAGGGAATTACAAAATGACCACTTAAATGTTTTTGGATGATGTTGCCTGAAATTAATTTTACTTATCAGATGTGGACTTTAGCTGCATGAAGTCATACTTTCTGCACAATCCTAAATATAACAGATTTTCTGGCACTGTGTGAAGTTTTTTTCATAATACACAAAAGGCGGGTGAGAGACATTTTAATGAGCTTTTTAAATACAGTCCAAAAGCATGACATCTATTATATGCATAAGTTATTTAAAGAAAACGTATAGCTGTGTCACTGGCTTTACTACGTTCTTAAACCATGACTCAAATTCTAACTTGTTTACTAGTTTGTTCACTTTAAAAATGAAATTCATGGCTTTTAATACTAGCCTTTGGGGACGGTTATAATTTGAAGGGATGAATTTGTATTACTCAGAAAGTACGTATGGGGTACCATTGTGCAATTATTTGTCAGTCTTAGGATAACTGTGGCTGTTATATCACCAGTCGAGTACTTATTGACTACTCTGCCAAAAGTACAGTACTTGTTACTGTGGCAGGTATTTAAAATAATGATTAATATTTATCATGTGACAGGCAACTTTTCATTGCTTCATTTACATTAGCTCTATTAGTCTTCAAACTATAATATAAATAGTATCCTTATTTTACAATTGAGAAAACAGTGTCCCAGAGAGTTGTAGTGGTCACAGTGTAGCTAGTGGAAGAGTCGGAATTCAAGGGTTCTAGCTCCAGGGTTGTGCACTTAGCCATTATGCAATATTATGTATAAGAGTAAGACTTAGGTCCTGCCAACAGGGCTATAGTGCTTTGTATGTCATGCAAGTAAGTACTTGAATTACTGAATGAAAAGTATCATTAAAAAGATAAGTATAAAATACATAAGACAAAGAATGTTCTCCACTGTAAAATCAGTCATCAGATGGAAAGTCTAATTATAGCTATTACAAAGCACATGCGTACATTCATAATTCCTACACAAAGAGTGTTATTTTGATTGTAAAAATTTCCATAGATCCTACCTCAGAATTAAACTGCCAATTAAAAATAATTAACTGGGGGATTTCTGTATCTTATAATTGGAGATTAGTCAACAATCACGAGAAAAACAAAAGTATGGATGATTTCTCTTTCTGAGTCCTTAAAAGCCTCTAAATGCTGACAAGACTGTTAATAGAAAGTACCAAACCAATCCTGAGGTAGAAATGGGAATCTAAAGATATAAATGAGGTAAAAATCCACTCTTCCTATAACCTATTTACTAATCTGGAAAACTCGAATTTTTATTTTTATAACTTCATGAAATGAGAGGGACCAAGAAATCAAAACCAAATGTCCACAAAAGCAAAGGAGTATAGCAGGAGGTCCTTCCACAAAAGCTGTATCCAAAATCCTACACCCTGAGGATAAGGATGAATGAGAAATGGACCAGTTCTCACATGGTCTGAAACCCCTAGGTCTTCCATGTTTTAAAGTTGTTCTGGACGAAGGTAATACAAATCTCCTCCTGAGAAAGAATTTCATCCCAGGTGTCAAATTAATTTTAAAGCTAATCTTGCAGGACAATGGCTGGCGAAGGTAATCAGAACAACAAAGAAACAGAGTAGGTTATAACTAGTGGAAAGCACAGACAGCATAAACAAAGCAGCAAAGGCTTTATGTATGAGAATTATCAGTCTCAGTAAAATAATTTTATTTAATATGTTTGAAGAGATAGTGGATACATTCTAAAATATCAACAGGAAATAGGAACTTAAAAAGGGGCACAGTAAACTTTAAAAAGAATGAGATGTAACTTTAATGTACAAAATTAAATTAATAAATTATAGAAAAAGAAAATGAAATAATCCAGGATTTAGAATAAAAGTGAAAAACAGTAAGCATTTTAGACAAAATAGAATAAAATGATTTAATATATGCTTAATTGATGTTCTGGATGAAGAAAAGAGATTAATGGTGCAGAGGAAATATTTGACAAGATAATGGCTGAGAATTTTCCTGAATTGATGAAAGACACCATTCCATACATTCAAGACGAGATATAGAAGAAGAAATAAAAACCAAGCATTTTATGTAAGAAGCCCAGAAAGAAAAATGCAAAAAGAAAATCTCTAAAGCACTCTGAGGAAAAAGATACCTTCCTTTCAAATAAATGGTAGTAAAAGTGGTAGCTGACTTTCTCATGGTGAGGGAGGACTGAGGAGGAATAGAGGAAATTGGAGTTCAATAATTTACAGTTTAGAGTTCAATATGCTAAAAAAAAAAAACTCTACCAATTTAGAGTTTTATACTCAACAAAATTGTCCCTCAAAAGGTGAGGCAAAATAAAAATGTTTTCAGACAAACAAAAACACACATTTTGTTACCAGGAGAACCTCATTAAAAGTAATTCTAAGAAATGTCTTTAGGAACAAGGAAAGCGATTCAGAACAGAATGCCTGGGCTGCAAGTAGGAATTACTAGGAATAAAGTGTAAATATGTAGGCACATTTTAAACAACACTTACTATGTAAAAGTAATAATGTGGAGGAAAAATAGAATTAAAATAATATAGAACAATAACACAAGTTAGGATGGGAATAAATGGAGCTAAACTGTCCAACATTTCTTGTTTTAACCTGGAGTATAAAATCATATTTCAATGATATTTATCAATAATCTGTTAATAAAAAGAAAAAGCTGCATAGCTATCTTAATATTAGAGAAAATAGCCTTTATGGCAAATGCTTCATGGGAATAAAGGTGGATAACACAAAATAGTAAAAATATCAATGTGCTCAATATATTAGTGAATTCACTATTACTGAATATACAACAATTGTTTGCTTTCAGTCACCAAATTAAGAACAAAACAGATAAAATTAAGAAAGCATAAGATGCTTTAATAATAACATATATTTTAGTTTTAATTTATTAAAAAAATAAAAATAATTTATAATAAGCAACTTGTGTCCCCCAACTGAGCACATATTATCTACAGTAACAGTGCTTTTTCCATATGAAAATAGATACATTCAAAAATATATTACAATTTCAACTCACAATTTGTCAAAATTATTTAAACATTTTTAATATGTTAGATATTATTTGGGGGTTTTCAATTTTCAACTGAACCTTACTTCATAAATTTATCTCATACTCCAGATCAAAGGACTTGTTATTTTCGAACTACAATGACTTCTTATAAATTTTATGTAAAATTTCAGCTCCACACAGTATCATATTATGACTCAGGTTTTGATATGTATTATAGAAATTATCTCTGATTTTTCCACAGAAAGAGAATACAATGCATGGAATTAGATATTTACAAAATGCATGTAAAGGCTGGAGAAATCCACATTATAAAAGTTAGGTCTGCCACTGGCTTCGGGTTGACTGCAAAAGAATCAGAGATTTGATGCTTCACAGATTTTCCACAGTCAGCCTATTGCCTTAGAAAGGCTATTTTTTTCAGCCTTCCACAACTCCTGTGAATGTATCTCATCGGTGTGGCCTAAATTGCATGTACAACCCTGGTGTTACAGACATTCAGTCCCTAATACTGAGGAAATCATTGATGGGTTGTAAAGGTTATAAGTGCCAACAGAGAATGTCCAGGAAACCCTTGCACAACATTTGAATGTTGGAAGATAAAAGGTGGGTGTGAGTCATCAATTCTGCATTAAGATTTGACTTCTTAGAGTGTAACTTTTATGAAATCAAATTTATTGATTAAAATAAAGACTAGCATTGCATAATTGACCTCTTGTTGTCTCTCCCGCTTATGTACTCCAAGATGACTATTCACCACATGCATCCACCTTGAAACACATTCGTTTTATTGGAAATAACTCAAAAATTATTCTAAGCCACTCTGTCAGCATTGAATGCAATCAAACTGCCAGTGAAAAAAATGTATGCTCCATGATTATAATGGGAAATGCACGTGTAGAGAGAAAACCAATTTGTTTGTCTCTGTGACTTAATATTAGTGATTAAAAATAATGGATGGTTTATTCTTTTTTTAAGTACAAGCTGCCTTTAATAGCAATAATTTCTTGTGTCAGCAAGATATGCTAATAGTTATTTCATTTTATTTCACACTATTTGTTTTAAATGATATCATAGTTTTATAATGCATGATGTGGAAAAAATCCGTATCTTTTGGCACAAATATAGCATTTGTTGGCTATATAATTAAACATTTTTTGGCTTTTCCATTATATTGTGTTTTAATATCATTAGCTAACTACATAACTGAAAATTCAGGCAAAGTCACCACACAAGAGGAATTCTAGTCTTGATAAATATAACCAGCTGTTTTCAAATCACTATGTCTTTTCTCTTCTTGGCACTGAGCATTGTCTGGAAATGCATTGTTTCTGAGAAAACGTTTCTATATACATGAATGTATATAACGGAAGTGTTCTCTTGTTTTTAGAAATGTATTAGAATTTCAACTCACAATTTGACACAGAACAAAGAAAATCTGAACTCTGTTTTCAAGAGGATTATATATTAAATAAAATAAAATGCAATCAAAATGGGGGGCCATTATATTTCTCATGGTTTCCATTTTGTTTTCTCATTGTGGTTTTCATTGTGTTTTTCCTTGAATTCACATTATTATTTATTTATCTTCTCTCTATAATTAGTCTTAATGATTTCTAATAACTTCTTACATCAAAGTGTTATTTTCATTCTATCCTTTCCTTTTTGTTTTCATAAATACTGATTCTAGATCAACATCTCACCAGTATAATTACAATGAATATTTATTCTGGCATTCACCTAGAGTTTTAGATCACACAACCCCTCTTGTGCTATACTCTATTTAATTCTGAGAATCATTAGGGGATTCCCTAATGTCCTCATAAATACCACTAAAAATGTTCTTATGCCTATGCAGTTGTAAAATTCCAGGAACCGTTAAAAGTTTTCCAGAGATGCTTTTCACTGCTTAGCACATAGTAACCACTCAGTAAGTGCACATTGATTGAATGAACCTGATCTCTAGAGTAGACCATTATTAGTGGCTCTTTTGAAGGAACAGTATTAAAGCCATTCCCTATAGCTCAGGTCCATGGCGCCTAAGTAGGTAAAAAAGTTGAAAGAAATTATTAAGAAAGACATAGTAAGTCTTGAAGTCAAGTAGTATCAGTCCTCCAACTTTGTTCTTTCCACTCAATGTTGAGTTTATTATTCTGGATTTTTGCTTCTCCAAACTTTGGACTCAGTTTGTTGATATGTACAAAGTAAATTACTGGGATTTTGATTATGATTGCAAGCATCAATGGAAAGAACTAATACCTTGACAATATTTAGCTTTCTTATACATGAACAAGAAATATCTGTCATTTATTTAGTTTTTACTATGAATATAGTAATCAAGACAGTGTGGCATTAATGAAAGAGTAGACAAATAGATCAATGGAAAACTACAGAGAGCACATAAATGGACCCATGTAAGTGTAGTCAACTGATCTTCAACAAAAGAGCAAAGGAAATACAATGGTGAAAAGATAGTCTTTTCAACAAATGGTACTGGAACCACTGGACTTCACATGCAAAAAACGAACAAACAAACAAACAAAAACAAAAACAAAAAAAATGAATGTAGACACAGACCATACACCCTTCACAAAGATTAACCCAAAATGGATCACACACCTAGATGTAAAATATAAAACTATAAAACTCTTAGAAGACAACATAGGAGAAAATTTAGATGACTTGGGTTGGTGATGACATTTTAGATATGACAACACAATGATGAACCATAAAAGAAAGAATTGATAAGCTAGACTTGGTTAAAGTTATAAATTCTACACTGTGAAAGACACTGTCAAGAGAACAGGAAAATGAGCTACAGACCAGGAGAACATATTTGCAAAAGACATAATCTAATAAAGTACTTGTACCCAAAGTCTGCAAAGAACTCTCAAAGCTCAACAATAATGAGAAAAAAAAAACCTGATAAAAAATGCGTTGAATACCTTAACAGGCACTTCAGATATATAGAAGAGATACTGATGGCAAATAAACATATGAACAGATGCTCTACATTATATGTCATAAGGGAAATGCAAAATGTTCTTAGGCCTATGCCTAAGTTACAACAGTGACATACCACTACACTTCAATTCAAATGGCTAAATTCAGAATACTGACAATACCAAATGCTTTCAACAGTTTGGAGCAATCAAAACTCTAATTTATTGCTGGTGAGAATGCAAATGGTATAGCTACTTTGGAAGATCATTTGATTTTTACAGAACTAAACATACTCTTACCATACAATCCACCAATTGAGTTCCTTGGTATCTACCCAAAGGAGTTGAAAAGTTATGTCCACACAAAAATCTGCACATGGATGTTTATAACAGCTTTATTCACAACTGACAAAACTTGCAAGAAACCAAGATGTCCTTCAGTAGGTAAACTGATGAATAAACTGGTATAAAATAGAATATTATCCAGTGCTTTAAAAAAAGCAGCTATCAAGCCATGTGAAAGATATGGAGGAAATTTCAATGCATTTTCAATGCATTTTACTAAGTTAAAGAGGACAATCTGAAAAGACTACATCATACATCATATATCATACTGTATAATTATACACCATACTATATAATTTTGTCTTTTCCAGAATTTTATATAATTGGAATCATACATTATGATGCTACTGTTACATTGGCCATACTGTATGATTCCAGTTATATGAAATTCTGGAAAAGACCAAACTATAGGAATCAGTGTTGCCAGGGGTTAAGGAGAGAGAGTGACTTTTAGTGCAGTCAAATACTCTGTATGATACTACAGTGGTGAATACATGTTATTATATATTTGTCCAAACCCATGGAATGTGAACACTAAGAGTGAAGTCTAATATAAACTGTGGACTTTGGGTGATAATGATGTGCCAATGTACGTTCATCCATTGTAACAAATACGCCACTCTGGTGGGGAATACTGATAATGGGGTGAGGCTATGCATGTGTGGTCACAGGGGCATATTGGAAATCTCTGTATCTTCTAATTTTGCTGTGAACCTAAAACTCTTTAAAATAATAAAGTCCTTAAAATTAAATAAAATCAGATAATGACATCTAGAAAGTTTCTTGAATTATAAAAATAACTTGGTTTTATCTTATGTAATAATCCATTTGATATTATGCAGGACACATGGAAATCTTAACTATGTTCATAATCTGATGTAATTTCAAAACAAAATCCTCACATGGTAGGATGTCTTCAAAACTTGCTACTGTTGTAAAATTAATTTTGAATGTGGAAAACATCTCTAGTGTTTTCCAAGGTATTCCACGTTGGTTGTTGATGCCAAATTAAAATTTGTAATTATTTATTTTCTCATGTAATGTCTACAACTACCTTTTAGACTGGGTCAGGTACCGCATATGCTTTGTTGGCCTCTGCATACTAAGTACCTAACACATAGTTGCTACTAAATCTATATTGAGAGAATAAATAAAAGGAAAAGGTCCATTAGGTAACTAAATACATGTTCAGCCTTGAAAGTCTTTCAGCAAGTCTTAAAAGTCTAAAAGCACCGGGAATTTTTTAAACCTTCTGTTACAAAAGCCATGAATCTTTTTCAAACTAAAAATAGGTGTCACAATAACTGGAAGTTATGATTAAATTGGTTTGATTCATAACCTGAATTTACATGGTTTCTTCAGATACCATCAAAATGTAATCAAACATCATGTGCTTGGATTAAAGTGCAATTTTAATAACAAAGAAGGATGGCAAGAAATAAATATATTTATTGAAAGAAAGCTTAAATTAGAAATATCTTCCACTCAAAGCCATTTGGTGAGTCTAAAATCACTGACGGTTTGTGCTAATTTTTATATAGTTAAGAGGTGTTATGACATAATGTTTGATGTAAACATTCTATGAAGAATTAGATATCTAAAGTTTGGAATTTTAAACTTTCACTCTTAATGAAAGGAGTTTAAAATCATAATATTTATGAAAACTTTCTTAGCAAAAATATAAGGTGGGTAATCATTTAAAGTGTTATGATTTGCAGTGATAATGAGTGAGAAGACAGAGGTAAGAATTGAGTGTTTATTGTTGTAGGAATATGTATCGCAGTGCTGTGAAAAATATACAAAAAACTGCTATTCCTATTCAAAATATTTAAGCTGAATGAAAGACAATTTCATCAGTAAGAAAAGTAAAGCAAAGCTCATTTTTAGAGTAATCGACCTCATAGTATTTAACAGGATGAATAAGTTTACTCAGAAATCAGAGTCAGATCTGGATTTAGGAGCAATTTTAGGATATGTATTGTTTGTCACCTAGTAGCAACACAGTAGGGCTAGTATCAGAAGTCTGTATTGTGTAAGTTCTGGGTAGCAAAATGTTCTTTCAGCTGAATACAAAGAAAATAACAACAACAACAAAAATACTTGAAATCCTGAATTTTACATTGCTGAACTGATTACTGGAAACTGGCATGAATGATACAACAGTTACAAAATCCCTTGATTTAGGGTTTATCGTGAGCTGGTCATTGCACATGTAGAGAAAGAACATTTCTGGTTATAGTCCTTGAAAGGTCATATGCTAGAAGATAAAAAAAAGATGCAGAAACAGTGAAAACATGTTGATGGAATATAATAGACCTGATCAAGATACAATAGGAATAAAGCAAGAGAAAGTATTCATTTTTGCTTGGTTTAGCCAGAGAGGAATTAAACAAAGAGATAACACTTGAGATAGGTTTTATAGTACCTTACATTAGAAAAAAAAAAACTGAACTCAAGGTGAAATATAGAGTTCTTTTATGTATGTATGTAGGTGTAAATGAGCATAAGGTATTCAAAAACCATGTTTTTCTTGATTGTAGTCTAAGGTGTAGTTAGTGCAAGGAGAGAAAGGGAGTTATGGGAAAGATAAAAATTGGGATTACATTGCAAAGAACATGTAAACCCAAAAGTGAATTATGACTTTATCTTATGTGGTAAATAACTGGAAGACTATTTACATCATAAAATCAGACTTGTGTCCAAAAAACAGACAACTGAAAGACCTAACACAAAACTCAAGGCTGGATTGCAAGAGACAGAAAGTGAAGGTAAGAATCTTATGAACAATTACTAGAGACACTGGAGGGAAATGAGCTAATGCTATAGCAATGGGGATAAAGGAGAAAGAAGAATCTTAAAGAAACTACTGAATCCTACAGAATTCAGAGGCAAAAATAGAAGCATTCAAATTTCTAAATTGATATAACTTGACTTCTTTAATGAATTTTTTTAAAGAAGGGCTAAAATTCACTGGAAAATATCAAGTAACAGGCAATATCTATGTTTTAAATAATACAGTTTTTACTTGATTAGAATGCTTTGGTGAAATTTGGTTTTGTGAAACAATATTTTTTAATGGTAATATTTTAGACAATAAAATACTGGTGCTAATCCAACACATCTGTATTTGGAAAACAAGCTGTATTAGTCCATTCTCACTCTGCAATAAAGATGATGCTCAAGACTCAGTAATTTATAAACAAAGAAGGTTTAATCAACTCGCAGTACCACACGCTGGCGAGGCCTCAAGAAACTTACAATCATGGCAGAAGGGGGAAGCAGGCACACCTTACATGGCAGTGTTACAGGTAGTTAGGTATGAAAGGGACAGGAGAGGGCTCTCCTAACCACTCACTAGAAATGTCAGGTGATGGTTTGGCAATTATCGCACTGCCTCTCTAAAAGTGAAAAATTGGCAGCCAGTGCCAGGGAGAGGCCATTTCCTGATGATCCACACATGTTAACATTAAGGTGTTAATTGAAGGCAGGCCCCAGGGAGAAGCAACTTTCTGTGCATGAACATTAAGAGACAAAAATGGCGAAGTATGATCTTCTGGTGCACTCCACAAGAAAAGGAAGAAAGCCTCAGATAGGCATGCATATAACTCCCTAAACACACTGCCTGTGCTCAATTCCCAAGGGTAAGGAGGGGACTGGGCATGCAGAAAGCACACCCTAAAGGAAGAATCATGGGAATGAGGCAAGCCTATAAAGTCCCAGGTTCAACGTTAAAGGCCCTGCTTTTTCTCTCTTTGACCTTCAGGTGTCCACTTGGATCTCTTCCAAAAGTTCATTCATTTCTTTCCAGTTACAAAGGCTTTTAAATAAACTTCCACTCCTGTTCTGAAACTTCCCTTGGTCTCTTTTTCTGCTTCATGCCTCTTGGTTGAATTCTTTCTTCTGAGAAGGCAAGAACTAAAGTTGCTGCAGACATGTATGAATTTTCCATCTGTAACTTGAGGTAACTTGAATCTCCGCCACCAATAACAGCAGCAGGCCAGACAGAGAATGTTGTGAGAGTGCAGTAAAAACTACCATTTATAAAACCATCAGATCTCCTGAGAATTTATTCACTATCATGAGAACAGCATGGTGGGACTGTCCCCATAATCCAATCACTTCCCTCCCTAGACATGTGGGGATTACAGGTCCCTCTCTTGACATGTGGATTACATGTGGAGATTGAGATGAGATTTGGGTGGGGACACAGAGCCAAACCATATCATCTGCCCCAACCCCTCCCAAATCTCATGTCCTTTATACATTTTATAACCAATTTATAACCATTTTATAACCAATTATGGCTTCCCAACAATCCCCCAAAGTCTTAACTCATTCCAGAATTAACTTAAACGTCCAAGTCTAAAGTCTCACCTGAGATAAGTCAAGCTCCTTCTGCCTATGAGCCTATAAAACCAAAGGAAGTTAGTTACTTCCAAGATACAATGGGATACAGGCATTGGGTCAATGTTCCCATTTCATGTGGGAGAAATTGGCCAAAACAAAGAGGCTACAGGCCCCATATAAGTCCGAAATACAGCAGGGTAGTCATTAAATCTTAAAGGTAAGAAATGATCTCTTTTAACTCCACGTCTCACATCCAGGGCACGCTGACACAGGAGTGGGCTCCATGGCCTTGGACAGCTCCTTTTCTGGCTGTCATCGAGTGCCTGTGGCTTTTCCAGGTGCATGGTGCAAGCTGTTGGTGGACCTACCATTCTGGGGTCTACAGGACTGCGACTCTCCTCTCACAGCTCCACTAGGCTGTGCCCCACTGGGGACTCTGTGTGCGGGCTCCGACCCCACATTTCCCTTCCACACTGCCCTGGCATAGATTCTCCATGAGGGCTCCATCCCTGTAGCAGACTTCTGCCTGGACATCCAGGCATTTCCATACATCCTCTGAAATCTAGGCAGAGGTTCCCAAACTTCAATTCTTGACTTCTGTGCACCTGCAGGCCCAACACCACATGGAAGCCACCAAGGCTTGGGGCTTGCACCCTCTGAAGCAACAGCCAGAGCTGTACCTTGGCCCCTTTTAGTCAAGGCTAAAGCTGAAGCAGCTGGAATACAGAGAACCAAGTCTCAAGGCTGCACAGAGCAGGGGTGCCCTGGGCCTGGCACATTAAATCATTTTTCCCTCCTAGACCCTGAAGCCTATGATGAGAGGGGCTGCCATGAAAACCTCTGAAATGCCCTGGAGACATTTTTCCCATTGTCATGGTGATTAACATTTGGCTCCTCATTACTTACGCAAATTTCTGCAACTGGCTTGAATTTCTCCCCAGAAAACTGGTGTTTCTTTTCTATTGCATCATCAGGCTGCAAATTTTCCAAACTTTTATGTTCTGCTCCCCCTTTAAACATAAGTTCCAATTTCAGACCATCTCTCTCAAGTTCAAAGTTCCACAGATCTCTATGGTAGGAGCAAAATGCTGCTAGTCACTTTGTTAAAGCATAGCAAGAGTCACCATTGCTCCAGTTCCCAAGAAGTTCCTCATCTCCGTCTGAGACCATCTGAGCCTGGATTTCATTCAATAAGCCTGGATTTCATTGTCCACATCATTATCAGCATTTTGGTCAAAACCATTCAACAAGTCTCTAGTAAGTTCCAAACTTTCCCACATCTTCCTGTCTTCTTCAAAGCCTGACAAACTCTTCCAACCTCTGCTTGTTACCCAGTTCCAAAGTTGCTTCCACCTTTTTGTATATCTTTATAGCAGTACCACACTCTCTGCAGTACCAATTTACTGTATTAGTGTGTTCTTACACTGTTATAAAGATACTATCATCAAATGGGTAATTTATAAATAAAGGTGGTTTAAGTGACTCACAGTTCCATATGGCTGGGAGGCCTTAGCAAATGTATAATCATGATGGAAGGGGAAGCAGGCATGTATTATGTGGTGGCAGGCCAGAGAGAGTGTGTGTGAGAGTGCCAGAAAAACTAATTATAAAACCATCAGATCTTGTGAGAATTCACTCACTATCATGAGAACAGCATGGGGGAAACAACTTCCATAATCCAATCATTTCCCTCCCTTGACATGTGGGGATGACAATTCCAGATGAGATTTGCTTTGGGGCACAGAGCCAAACCATATCACAAACCCTCTCTTCCATCAACTATTTTGTGGCTAGAACTCAAATTTTCCAAAGCAGTTATATTTTCAAGTCAGAATTAAATATTTTTTCTAGAATTACCCTTACTCTATTTGAGTTAAACAAAATTTTTATCAAAGTATAACACATATACAAAAAAGCATAAAATAATATAAGAACTTATTTTTTTCCAAAATAACAGTTGTTAAATGAATTTTGACTTACTGAAGTTAAGAAGTCATTTATTTAAAAATATCTTCCCCATGTACAACATACAACTAGTGGGTGGTTTATGCAGGAAAAGTAAGTAAGAAAACTTCCATTGGATTTCTGTGTATTGTAAAGCAAAGTTACTGGTAGAATTTCTCAATTTATGGATTTCCTTTTACATGTACATATTGGCCGGAATGCCTTGCAAAGGCTTAATAAAGCCTATTAAAGAGATAAAGTTATGTTATGTCCTATTCATATCTTTGAAAGCTCAGTGACAAACAACAATAATAGTATATGGGGAGTTATAAAAACAAACCTGGAGCTAAAAGTATCCCTTAAACATCTATGTATTCAGTTACTAAAGTATGATAGAATGAATAAGAGAAGTCTTTTAAGGCACTGAAAACATACTCAGAAAGACGATAGATATAAAACTTGTAATATGAGTGGAAAACGAATTACTTACAACTCAAGACAAATTACAATTAATGTGACTAGCAAAGAGAAGCATGTTGCCTGTTAACAATAGTTAACTATTTGAAATTAATTTACATGAATAATAAATAAATCGGTAATTAAATGGGAGAGATGGGCACCATAATTTTAATTAGGCAAATTAAAAATAGCTTGTATTTATATATTATAGTGCTTTACAAGCAAAGAGTTCAATGGTTGATTTTGAATCACTTCAGAAACAAACATTGACCATGATATTGAAAACTAGTTTCAAGGACTGCAAAAAATGGGAAATATAAGTTGGGCATTTTAACCACTTACATGGTGATATCTAACTTCAATTCTTTTAGAATTAAAGTTAGGTATCACCATTTAAACGATTAAAATAGAAAAGAAAATTGCAGGCCAATTTTCACAAATCCAAATGCAAAATTCAGTGATACAGAATAAGGACAACCAATCTGAGTTTAAATCAAGAAGGCAATGTGAAACTGGTTCTAGAATGCTACTGGCTCTCATAGAAAGGGATCTTGTAACCTCAGGCCATCAGGTGTCAATCACGTGCTAGGTTCTGTCACAACCATTAAGTCATGAGGTTAGGCAGGCCCTGCAGCAACATATTTAAAATGGAATTGGTACATATATTACTTGACATTAGCAGGGTCATAGCACAAGTAAATTACATGAAGAGGTGGCCTGGATTTCCATGTCATCTACTACTATCGTACCAGCATCTTTCACTCAGCTTATACCTATGGTTGCATGGGGGATTTTTTATGATTGGCCAACATAAAATACAAATACAAATCTTGGTTCACAAAGGTTCAATATGGTATATGTGTTCAGGCCAAATACCAACTGCTGTTCCACTAGAGGAGCTTAAAGATAGTGGGTAAGGGAAATCTTCTCAATGGGCAGAGCTTCAGAAACCACATGTCATCAGTTATTTGGTATGAAAGAGAATTGGCTTGAAATAGTAATATATAAGTTCATGAGCAAGGACAAATGGCTTCACTGGTTGTTCACTGGCCTGGAAAGAAATGTTAGATTAGAGTCAAAGACCAGGGTAGGAATGTCTGGATAAATATATGGGTTTGGTTATGAAGTGTGAGATTACTCCATGGAGAGGCACTGAACAACCGAGTAGATAGAATGACTTTGCTAGTTGACATGAGCTAGCTTCAGTGTGGCAAACAGTCTGATTAAGAGAGTAGCTAAAGTAGCAAGGATGGAAGTTATTTTGGGGGACATCTTTAAAAGTTCCTGTGTCCCAAGGATCCCAAGGCTTAAAGTCCAACTGCCAGTAAAAAAAAAATATATATATATATATATATAAAATATATATATAGTATATATAATATATATTACACATATAAGTATGTATATTTACTACTAAATATATATATATTTACTACCAGTAAAAATATATATATATAATATATATTTTTTACATCTAAAAATATATATATTATATATATTTTTTACTGGTAGTTGGAGTTTAAGTCTTGGGAGCCTTGGGATGCAGGAACTTATACAAAATAACTTCCAACCTTGCCACTTTAGCTACTGTCTATATATATATATGTGTGTGTGTGTGTGTGTGTATATGTATATATATATACGTATAGATATATATACATACTGAGTCCCTAATTTGGCCCTATCCCTGTAAGACAGTATTTCATTCATTACAGTGGGTTCCTTTCTCCCTGAAAGAGGCAGAAATTCATCTTGACTGGAATGACACATATTTTTCAAATAACTTCTTGCCTTTTCTGACTGCAGTATCTCAGCTTGCTTGATCTGCTGACAAAGTGTGTCATCCAATATCAGAAGAGACCAAGAGCCTCACTTTAAAACAACAGAGATGCTACTGTGGACATATGGCCAAAAGAACCTCTAGTTCCATTACAACCCTTCAGTTCAGAAACTGCCTGCCTGATAGATAAATGGAACAGCCATTTGCAGGCTCAGCTTGTACTTCGGCTTGGAGATGACATCCTATATGGATGGGACACCATTCTCTAGAAAACAATGTGAATTGTAAATTGATATATATTATTTTCTGTGGTGTTCCTGTGGGTGGAATACATAGTGCTGGCAACTAAGGGTTAGAATTAAGAATGGCACCACTTAATGACTCACAGTGACCCAGTTGGGGAACTTGGGCTTCCTTTCCTACATCTTCCTTTCCTGCACCTCAGAGCTGTTTTGGTGTAGAGTTCCTGATCCTCAGAAGCAGAACACTTCCATTAGGGAGTACAGCAAGAATCCTTCTAAACTTTAAGCTATGGCTGCTACTGCTCACTTCAGTGTCCTTGTGTTAACAGACCAGAAGGAAAGAAATGGAGACACCATCTTGATGAGGAAATTAACTATGATTATCAAATCAATTACATGATCCTGTAATTGTAATACATGTAATATTTAGGCAGGCAATATATTTGGCTCCCACTGTCCAATTCTACTTCTTTACTCCCATGTAGTTTAATACCTAAGTACACTTCGCATTAAACTTCCTGTATGTAAATTTTTATCTAAGTCTGTTTTCTGGAAAATCTGTCCTAGGCCTAACAGGACTTGGTGTATCGGTAGAGCATGCCATTGTATGTGTTGAATAAAAAGTGAATATGTGAGTAAATTAATTAGCTAACATTAGAATGTATTTAAGTTCTTTATTAATTATTTGATACCATAACAATCCTATCAAGCCAATTATATTGTTTTCTCTATTTTATAATAGAAGAAATGAAGGATTAGAGAAATTAAATAACTTGCTCAGTACTGTACGTAAGTTACAGAAGGCATTTTTCCTCAGTTATGCATTGTTTTCCCACCTATTTTAATGGCTATGAGGGATTTAAAGCCTTTTTTTCAATTGTTTCTATTCTTCTCCTTCATAAAATTAAAATGGAGAAAACTAAACAAAAATTAATTAATCCAAGGTCTTCTTTAATGATAAAAAAGTATTACTTCCAAGCTTACTTCTGCTTATTTTCCCTCTTCCTCACTTCAGCTCCTTCATACCACCCCTGCCTCTCCTTTGGACTTTGTCTTTGAGATCTTGTCAGCAATGCCCTTTCCCTTACTTAATATGTAGGCCATTCTAATAAGAAAATACTTAGATGCCTCAGAACAAACATTGCTCTTATGCTATCTGTAAAAGGCAAAGGAGCAGACCTAAGATTCAATACAAGCACCATTTTCCTGTAGTTTCTCTGCTCACTGGATATTCCCAGGACTCCGTGTTATAGATTAAGACCAGGCAGCTAATAATATTAGGTGATGTCTGTTATGTAGTCAGGAAAGATGGCTTTACTTTCTACTCCTCGTGTATTAGTCAGGATTCTTGAGAGAAACAGAACCAACAGGATGTGTGTGTGTGTGTTTGTGTGTGTGTGTGTGTGTGTGTAGAGTTTTTATAAGGCATTTGCTCAAGCAGTTTTATTGGTTGAGAAGTCCCACAGTTTGCCATCTGCAAACTGGAGACTTGGGAAAGCTTATGGTGTGGTTTGGAGGCCTAAGAGCTGGAAAACTGATGACGTAGATTCCAGTTTGAGTCTGAATGCTTGAGAACCAAGAACTCCAAGGGCAGAAGAAGATTGATGTCTTGGGTCAGGCAGTCAGGTGGAGTAACAGCAAATCCTTCCTTCTTCCACCTTTCTGTTCTATTCAGGTTCTCAACGAATTTGAATAATGCCTACCCACACTGAGAAGGGCAATCCTCTTAACTCAGTCCTTCAGTTCAAGCGTGAATCCCTTCTGGAAACACTCTCACAGACAGATCTAGAAATAATGTTTAAGTAGATAACTGGGTACCCTATGATCCAGTCAAGTTGACACATAAAATTAACCATCATACCGTATTTGTTAGTCATCAGAAAAGCATCTGAATTACATGCTCAAATCACCTAGTGCATGAATGGTAGGCCAAATTCTGCTCAAAGTAATGCTGCTGAAATGTAGAATTCATAAAAATACTTTCTGAATCAACTATGAAGAGAAATGAAATCCAGTTGTTCTTCAACAAAAAGACACATGATGTCTCATTTTCAACTGATTGACCACAACAGGGATAATGAGACAAATACAGACCTTAGTATTCAAAAGTAACAAAAAAATAGATATTCAGAAAAATAGCCAGGAATAACTAGTATACTATGATTTTAGCTAGTACACTGTATATCTGATATAGTGATATTCTATTTTGATCACCCTAATAAGTCTCTTGTTTTTAAAGTTGGCTCTGTGGGATTGTTTCATTTATTTTAAAAAATCCAAAAGAAGGAAATACATCAACCTGAAGATTTTAAGAACATAAGGGAGAGGCTTAAAAATAGAGACCTACAAATACCAGAGGGCTGGGAAAGCCTTTCATCCTCTAACAGTAAATACTTTGAGTTGCCTTTGGTGGTTTCCTTTTTCCATTGAGACATAATATTAGTAGAATCTCATATCTTGTTAACCATGCGTCATTCATCAAATGCTTTTAAAGCACTTGCTAATATAAATTAATATTGATTAATCTATAGTTATTCAAATCTATATTTAATCCTTTTAATTTATATTTTTCATATTTATTTTTGGGTTTTCCCCTCCAAACTTCATTGGCTTCCTTCTCTAATTCTACACATTCAGCCTTGTATGTTTTGCCCTTCTCAAATATATTATTTATTAATGGATATGTTTTTGACACATTTACCAGATAATCCTTTTTTTTATTTGTATACTTCCACTTATCAATATTTTGTTATATCAAAATTATGTGATCTGATCAAGCTATTTTTATATACTTATATAAGCCATATTCAATGAATGCTGTGTTCTCAATCAATCTTCACAACAATCCTGGCAGTATATGTTATGTCAACTTTAGATTCAATATTTTTAGCTCTTTTTATCAAACATGAAATAATTATTTGAACATTTGTTTAATGTTTGGTGCAAGAATATGCATTAAACTAATTTACATTAATCACTGATCACTAAAAACTTGTAGTGGTATATTAGCAAAAACAGTACTACTCTGTGATGTCAATTTTTAGCATATAGATTTACATAAATGATTTCCTATATCTGTTCCTGGAGAAATAAATAAGATAGCTAGAGAAAGGTACAGCTCAATATGGCAGTTCATTTCCTAATAAGATTAAAAATTCACATGGAAAAATCTTAATATATTGAAAATCCATTTTTTCAACAGCTGATTTCCCCAAAAAGGACACAAATGATTTAAGAGAAAAAGACTCTTTGCTTATGTAGATTGTGGTGTATACATGACATATATATATATAGAAGGAAAGAAACAAGCTTTTGAAAAATGTGAGTGGAGACTTTAGCTCCCAGGTTCTTTTTGATATGAAATATATTTTAGAACCAAAACATTTTGTAGCTAATAAATTCCAGTGTGAAAATGTATAAGGATGCCTGAAACTGGTAATGCTTTTTTAAACTCTCTATGGCTTTGGGGAAAATTGATGAACAGAATGCATGAAAAGTACAATCTGCATTTTGAAATATCTAAAAATTACAAGTTAATCATTTATCGCCATAATTCTTTCACTTATAATGGCCCCAAAGCCTCAAAATGTCTCTTTCAGTGAAGCAGTTCAGAACTGTAAATAAAATATCTGAAATAATAGACATTCCTCCTGTCTTCTGGGGAATTTCAGTGGTGGTAATAGAATACTTTCTATAACAAAGCCACCTATCAATTTAGTTTTGTGACACTATATCTCCTTGGTGCATCTTTTGTAGTAAGCTTTACAGTAAATATTTTCAAAACCAGAATTTAAAAAATTCTATTACAATTGTGTTTCTCAATCTTGATTGTGCATCAGGATCACCTAAAGGGCTCTCTAAAATATTATATTTTGGGGCCCCACTCCCAGTTCACTGATTTAGTAAGTCTGAGGTGCTACCTCAGAATTTGTATTTTAGCAAGTTCCATATTATATTGATGTTTATAGTGCTACACTTTGAGAACCACTGTCTAACAGAAATAGCATTCACATATGAAAAAAAAAAATCAGGAATCAGGCGGTATGTGTGTGTGTGTGTTAGCACTTCCAGCACCTGGATGAGCCAAAGTCTAAACGAAAAAATAATGAAAATCCTTACCACCAATAAGCTTCTCTTCACCACATCCTAACATCTGGTCAGAAGAAATACATGCCTTTGGTATTTGCTTTCCTTCTAGTCATAAGAATAGATGCAGCATATAAAAGGACTATTAAATATCTAGGAACAAATTAAAGCCTTTATCTTTTAGCAGGCAAAATTATGTAAAACAATATATTTATTTTCACTGATATAATTATTAAGATGACTTTGGGAAATACACATAGTATATAACATAAATTTTAAAAATGATGTCATGGAGGGGGAGGAGGAACTGAAGGGTTTTGCAGCAGAACAAGCTGTTTTGAAATGAAATAACTTGGCAGATTATTCAGTTATCCATTTTGTAGGGTAACAAAACCAGTAAATTCCTCGAGAACAAAACTTAGTTTTACGTAGCTCTAGAAATAGTAAATAAACTGTAGGAAAAAACCCATATTTAAATTATACTAAGCCTGTATAAATTAGAGTGTTGGCAAGTATATAGTAAAATCAGCCATCCGCTCTCTAATATCTAAAAGCATGATGCAGTTTGAGGTCTCTGAGTTATTAGGGTTGTATATGGAAACTGCTCAAATTTCCTCCATTTCTTAAAGTATGTATGGTGTATGCCTTCCCCAATGGCTCTACAACTATGTTAATTCTTAGTGGATTTTTCCTCAAAAAAAGAAAATTATTGACATCATAATTCCATAAAAATTAATTTAAAAAGCTACATTTTGCACAAGAGTACACTAATTAGTTGTTTTCTAAAACTAACATATACTTTGCACAAACACTATATCGAATTATTTAGGAGCGTTTTAGCTCCTCTAAAATTAACAAGAAATAATTATGTTCAATTGCGAAGGAACCCTACCTGATAGTATGCTGAAATATGAAAGGTCTAAATCAGAGAAATTAAAAATGCATATTGCTTTGTAAAAATTGGGAAGTTAGTAGGCACAACTTTACAGTATATTGCTGGTTCTCTGAAGAATAGAGATGACCTGGATGAGAGTGGAAGATAGATGCCAATGGATTGACCAACCAGTCATTGCATCAGACTGATTTTCTATCAGTTTTTCCTACCCTTTTCTATTTTAATTATGGAGAAAGACCAAGGAATAGGACCTAGATTGGAGGCTATGTGTAAAGACACACACATACACACACACACACACACACACACACACACACACACTCACTCTCTCTCTGTCCTGGGTCATTCCATGAGTAACACTCATAAGCAAGTTTGTTTAGCTGTTTCATTTTGTGCATAATTATTACAGACAGGAAGCAGAGAAATAAGCTGGAATTCACAACTTTTATACAATGCAACATCAAGTTCAGTCTTCAAAAGTCAAAGAAGTCTAAATTCATCTGCAATCAAAGCCCTTGGAGCTGTTGGAGGTTGTTTTAAGGCTTGTTCCCTGAGTAAGAACTCTAGGATCTTGACTTTGAATAAAAGAGGGCAGTTGTGTTGTAACATGGCTCAGTGTATAACAGAGGATAAATTTGAAATATTACATAAGGCTTTTGACCAAGAAAAGCATTTCATTCTGTTGGCTTATATATCCAAGAGAAAGCAGATTTGTTTTGAGAGAGCACTAGAAAGCAAATCCCGGCTGTTTTCAGCATATGTTTTAAGTTTAATAAAAAAAAAAAGATTGCTCCACATTGTTATTTCTTTGTCTGGTAACCATTACAAACTAGTTATGTAAGTTTAAAAACCT
This sequence comes from Homo sapiens, assembly GCF_000001405.40. NCBI lineage: Eukaryota > Metazoa > Chordata > Mammalia > Primates > Hominidae > Homo > Homo sapiens. The sequence continues at coordinate 87,505,545 of NC_000008.11, read as the reverse complement.
ATAATTTTCCAATAAATTATTTTAGTTTGCCTAAAAATGCCCTTTATTTCTGAAGTTAGAAGTAATTAATTAATACTTTTGGTGCAAAATTGAGATCACTTGACCAATTTTTCTAACCAAATGCTGTTTCAATTAGAAAGACATAATGAAAGAAATTAAACAAATATATAAAAGTTCAGTGAATGAATATTAGGAATGAGCTAAACTAGCCACGGTGTGTTCCAAGGAATATGCTTTTGTTAATATTAGTTAATAGGGAAGTTTTGCAACAGATGATTTTAACCACAGCTCCACAGAGTCCTCAATTTCTCTAAGAAATTAAAAACATTTAAAAATGAGGTGCCCTGTGCAATATTTGTTTTCCAAATTTATTTGAGAATAAAATGTATGTTTTTGGCTGAGAATATTTAGGAAAAAATGGATCAACTAAATTAGTGTGATTCCATTATATCATAAGAACCTGAGAAAAAGGAGATTCTATGAATATAATTATATAAAAATAATTGATTTTACTATAATTATAATTTAATTGCAAATTTTATAATTACATATATATATATATTATTTATTTATTCAATCCAAACTGTAAGATGAGGGAAGGATAGGAACACAAAGTGAATACCTTTTTCCATATGGACTTACATTTTATCAGGGGCTGGTCACATCTCCTTATCCAGGGGACAAAACCTGGTAGGCCTAACAGGGGGAAAAATCTGTTAAAGGAATTCAGCTTTTGAAGACAGAGTTGATCTGCTGAGAATGGCAGGAAGGACAGATAGTATGTTTTTGGCCACTGAATTTATAAACTCTGGGAGTTTTTCTACCCGAGGATTTACTGCTATGTAAGAAAATAAATATCATTATTAGTAAACACTTTAGTAGGAGTTTTTTCTCACTTGCAGGTCAAAACATCCTAATAAAATACTTAATTGTATTTGCCTATTCAAATTATATATTAAAATCCACAATCTTAAGGGAGAATACTTTTAGTCAGTTCAGTGATTATTAAAAGTAAAAAAAAATTGATTTAAAACTGGCATTCATTCCTGAAAATAAACTTTATAAGCTGCTGAAATGTATGGCCTACATACTCTGTATTGAGAGAGGGTAGATGTGAATTTAGATGGGGTTTTTACTCCAGAGTGATATCAAACCCAGGGTCATTATTTTCTGTGACAGTGAATTTTACCTTGTGCAATTGTTATTTGATTTTTTTTTAATTTGTAAAACTGTACCATCTGTGGAAAACATTTGATTCATGTAGGATTAATACAATTTTGGAGTTTCTTGATATTAAAAGGTCCCCAAAGCAGTATTCCAAAATTTTATTCTATGATCAAAAATGAATTCTTGTTATACTTGTAGAATCTAATAAATTGAATTATTTTCATTCAATAAACATGTATTGATCACATCACTCTTCTAGTAGATATAGACATGTGAATAAAATATAATATATAAATAAAATTTAATCTTTGATTCTTAGGAGTCCTAACTTCTGAATATTAAACTTGGATATTCCATTATCTGTTCATTGTCTATTCTTCTTCAAGCTCTTTTGATTTTTCTTATTCTGATTAGATATACTCTTCGACTGCATGGAAATTTCAGTTCTCACTGTTCTTCATTTTCTCTCAGCTTAGGAGTTCCTTAGTTGGCCTTGCTTTCTTTTTTATTCTACCTGTACCTTTTAGGTGAGCCCATAATTATTTCTTCCTTTCCAAATCCCCTTAATTCCTATATAATTGTGCTGAATGTGCTCTATAAATTCTGTAGCCTAAATAATCAAATTTTCTTTTCTCTGCTCCTATCCTGGAACTGTTACATTTAAGAGAAAACTAACTAGTGACTTCTAAATAGAAATAGTGAGTCCTGTCTCTCAAAAAGTCCTTTCTTTCTTTCACTCTCTAACACTACTGTCTTCCTTTAACCTAAGTAATATTTTCAAGTCTCTCATATCCTCAAAGCAAAGCAGCAGCAACAGCAGCAGCAGCAACAACAACAACAACCACATAGCCTTGAATAAAAACCTTTCCCCAAGATCTGATGCTAAATGTACGTATTTTCTAAGTCAAGCTTCCTGAAAGCATAATGCAATTTGTTTTTTTTAACTTCCTCCAGATGCTTTCACTGAAATCATAGCAATTTATCTTCTTCCTGTTACAGGAATTAAGTATATATATAAAATATATAGAAATATATTATATATGTATACTATAGATGTAAATATTAAAGTATAATTTATATTTAATATATGAAATATAAATGCTTCTTATATATATATGTACATACAACATGTAAATTATATATATGTGTGTGTGTGTGTGTATATATATATATATGCTCCTCGTAGCAGTTTTTTTCTAATGGTGAGAAGCAGGGTATAACTTTGGGTGATGACTGATCTTAATTTGAAAAATACATCATTGAACCTTTTTGTATATGTGAAGGTCAAGCCGATAATTCTAGTCTGACATGGTGAGGCATGAAGTTACCATAACAATAAAGGGGTATTTCTCCTGGGTGTGTCACTGTTAAGGTGATAACTAATTCCTAGCTTTACCTGGTATTTGGCAACCTGGTCTCAGGGAAGGGGAAAGGTGAGGGAGAGGTTCTGAACTGAGAGGGAGCAGGGCTCAGTATCTTGTCACCACTGAAGGCAAAGATTGATAGATAGCTGGGAACCCTGTTGAACTAGACTTGCCCTATAGATTTTAAGAGAAGTGATGTCTGAGATCTAATTGTCTTGTGTTATAATTCCCCTTTCCAACTTCTCTCCAAGCTTCAGTTATCAAACTGTTAAGGCTTGAATTGGGGTATCTAGGAGTGCCTGGCCCCACCCCCATCTGTTCTCTACACATAGAGGCAACTACGGCATTTCAAGGCAAAGTAGAAAATCTCAGAGTAGGATTCTGAGCTTGGATGAAAAATAACTGGGAGATTTAAAGTACTTATTAGAGAAATTTAAAAATATTAAGCAAGGGGGTTGCAGATTTAGTCATTACTAATGTGGAGATTTGAACTTTTTACTTTAGAAAAAGTATTGAATCAAGAAGGTTATAAAGCTGCTTTTTAAAACTAATTTAAAAATTAATCTTAGATAGTATCTTATTTTTGTAGCCTTTAGTGCTGTTTATTGCTTTCTTAACACTTTCTCTTTGAATTACACTAGCTAATGTTGAGTTTTGATTACCGGCAAAAGCAAATCCTGACTGAAAAAGAAATTGATTTCTAGAATTAGAACATTTCAAGTGAGAGGCTCAAGATTATGGAAATGATTAAGTCAGAATGAGTGGAAAGGAGTGAATACCCTCTATCCCAAAAGAAATAGGGTAGTAGTCTTATTCTTGGCCTTTGGATTCAGAAAATCTGGGCTTAACTCTGTTTTAACTGAAAATATAGTAACAAATCATCCCAGGTTGCCCAGGAAGGTCTCAGTTGTAGCACTGAAAATCTCCTGTACTGGGAAACTCCTCAGTCCCGCACAAACCAAGATGGTTGGTCATGCTAGTCTTGGATAAGCCTAAGTTCCCTTCCCTGTAAATTGGCATAGTAATAGTTCCTATGTCCCATAGATATAAGAGAAACTAAATTACTTGAAACAATATTATGTATACTTAATATATACAGTTGAGTGCTTTAAATACATGTACATATGTATATAAATATATACTTCAGTATCAAGTTTGGCAGTCTAAATGTTAGCTAAGTTATCATTATAAATATTTATTCTTACTTTCTTGGGTAGAACATAGTATTTCATGTTGTGCATGTAAAACAGTTGGTAAACTGGGCATTTTTGATATATATCATACACACTGAGATTGAAGCTATATGCCAAATGGCTACTTTGTATGATTTTTAATGGAGTTCTAAAAAATAATAATAAATGACATAAGCTAACCCATCTGAAAGAAGACAGAAAAGAGCAACTTCAATGGTCATATACTTTTATTGAGAGACCTGTCTATGGCTGGGAATCCATGACTGTTGAAGATCGAAAGAAATAATGTTTGCTGAGTTATGAAAGGTAAGTTTGTTGAACTATGTCACATTAGAAAATGCAACTTGGCTGTCTTGGAAAAGTCAGAGGAATTGAGGATGTCTTCTGTTCTTCATAATCCAACTAAGCACCCCAACTTAGCACCCCTTCCCGGTTACAGTCATGGGCAGACTTCCATGAAAAATCAGCTCTATTTTATATTGAAGTATCTAATTTTCCAATACACCAAGATAAAATAAACTACTTTTAAACTAGAGTATTAAAAATAAATAGGACTTCCATCCTTGTTGCTCAATGCCAGAAGAGGAACAGAATCCAAATTTATGTATCAATGTAATTTCTGATTTTAATTAGCCAATAGAATTATCCAAATAAAATTAATTCAACAACCTAGTAAGCTTTTAATAGAGTTGCATTTCCAGTTAATCGCCATGCTTGTTAAAGAAGAATTTTGTATTGTTCAGCTTCTAAGGCATTCTCACTACCCCGTATACCTGCCTTATTAGGAGAAGAATGAATACCATTTGGCACTCAATAGGTGATATATAACAGGGAGGCAATGAGGTGCTTCACAAGAAGCAGCCACTGGCAATGACTGGAACCTGCTTCACTTCCAAGGAAGTGAAAAAACAAAGTGATGCCTCAAGATCTTTCATGAGGTGGAGTACAATTTTCACCATGGCTAGGTTTGTTTTTAAGGTTTATCATGTACATATCTGGGGCCTGTTCTGTGAAGATTTGAACAGCTGGATATCCTTGGATCTCTCTCTAGCATGCTAAATGTTTCAAGCATTGCAGTTTCAGGGTAGCAAGACTTTTTACATGTTGGTTCAGAGTTCCTAAGGTACATGTTGAGAAAGAAAGAGAAAGAGCAAAAGAAAGAGAGAATAGCAAATGAAAGTCTTATGATCAGATTATGACCTACCCTCTGTAATAATGGAGTGTCATGTTTGCTGCATTCTATTGGTCAAAGCAGCTGCAAAGGACCACCTATGCTCAAAAGGGAACATAGACTTGAGCTTTTGATGGAAGAATCTCAACTTCACATTATAAGACCATGTGGGTTGAAAGTTGTATCGATATGGTTACCTTTGAAAAATACAATCTGCCACAGAAAGCTTTCACAGAATGATTTCAATACAAAGAGAAAAAGAGATGATATAGGGATATGGAGAATCCTATTGCATTTGTGTTTTGGATGCTGGTTGCTCGTGAAGCATAGTTGTATTACTGCCATTCTCTCATTGGGTCTTAAACTCACTTCTCTTCCTTTCTTCCTCATCTTTGTGGAATTACCTTTATCAGGACTCTAGTAGTAGACAGCACTAATTGACTTATCATCCTGATACTACTCTCAATTTCCAGGAAGACCATTTGTTACTATTCTTCCTATTCCAAATTCGTAGGAGGTGTCATGTTTTCATAGTCCATGTTTTGGACACATTTGGTTGGGCCCAGGTAAATCTGATTTAAATTTGACATAGCGTTTTTTTTTTTCTGGAATTTTTAACATGGGAACCACCACAACAAAATGAGGCAGTTCTTTTAAGATAGTCCATTTGAATGGCTGATGAAGAAAAAATTTTCAGAAGAAAATTTTGAAATTAGCTTTGAATTCATTGTGTTTAGGCATTTGTATAATAACTATGAGGAAATATTTATCAGGGAGGGGGGCAAACAACAAGAAAATATTTATCATGGAGGAGGGGCAAATGAGAAAAAATGTAAAACAGAAGAGTGGTATTTAATTCATTGGCAGGAGTTAGAGTGATGTCTAATTGAGCAATATCACTTTCAGTAACACAGCTTCTTTTTAATTAGTTTTCCAAGTGCAGACTAATATTTTCAATGTGATGCTCCAGTAGATTCATAGATGGGCATCTTAAAAACAGTTAAAATTCAAAGTACATAAAGATAAATAGACAAATAACTTTGTGTTTTGATGAAAATAACTTTTATTGTAACTTAGGTCTACTTTTCCTGAGAGAGCATTTCAGCTCGACCTAATGGGTGGCTCATATTTGTTGAACATATGCTGCTTCTCACTATTTGGAAACATAGAGTGCATATGCTGTTTCCCATGTAACACATCTTATGCAGTACATTTATCTACAGCCCTTTATTGGCAGGAACTTTTAGAAGCTCCTGAATGTCACTTAATTCCTGAGAACAATGACCTCTTGCAGCTGTCTGAGGAGAGGGCAAGGAAATAGAAGTTCATGCTTTCACTCTGTCAAGCCAGGAATGTTGAAGCTAAAAGACCATATTAGGGTAAATACAGATATGGAAAAATGGCAAAATGTAAAGGAACATATAGCTGAAAAATAGAGGGGATATTTAAGAAACTGAACTAGAACTTAAGAGGCAGGTATTCAGAGTAGCACTTCTGAAATTAAGCCTATTTGTAGGTTGCTTTAAGATGGACAGAGATCTTCTGATCTTTATTTGCTTCCTGTAATCTACTTAGACTTCAAAGAACAACTTTAAGTTCCTCAAATTTTGATTGCCTACTTCAATATGTTGCTGAAAATTGACTATCAATTTACTTCCTTTCTAGGTTAAAGGTTTGATAATGTACTTCAAAGGTTTCCTATGAAGTTACTTTTCTCTTTTAAGTTCAAAAGAATACTACTATACTTCATCTGTGTAAATATTTCATAATTAGAAAACCCACTCACCACAAATAGTTAAAAAATAGGCACAAAACTACAGAATAGTTAAAAATCCAAAATAAGCATAAATTAAGCTCTTTATTTGTTTCTACAATCATACATTTGAGGAAATAAAAGAATTTTACCCATTTCACCTCTAAATTTAGTTTGTTTTCTTTTCTCAATGAATGGACTGTATTCTGTCACTTGAGTATGCAAAATTATTCTATTTGTGAAATTTTCAGGAAGAGTAAGATTCTTAAATAAATAAATTTAATGGATATAGGAAAAGTATCAAGAAAGAATTTTATGGGATTAAGAAACAGAGAGAACAAGTTTTGAATCATGAGAAACTCTGAAAAATAAGAATGTTAAAAGGATGTCAAAGAGGGAGAAGAATTACATAGGCTTTTCAAACTCTGGTGTTTGATGTTATAAAAATAGAAATACGAAGGTGAATGAAATGAAAATAACTCTTCCTAAAAATCTTCACAAATAGAATATTTTTGTATACTCAAGTGACAGAATAGAGTCACTGTGATAAGAAAACAAACTAGATTTAGAGATGAAAGAAGTGGGACAAGAAGACAGGAGAGAAGTGTCAGTATTGAATGTAAAACTCCTTAAAAAAATAAGCTTATGTACAATGTGTTGAGTCTTCCAGTACAAAGCTGCATTTTTTTCAAGCAGAAAAAAAAACATGGAAAAAACATTAAAAACATTTAAGAGAATTTTATTTTTTTGTTAGTTTGTTAATAGTAGCGTTTGACATAAGTGAAAGAAAATCCCTCCTTGCCCAACTTATTTTCATTTGGCTACCAGAGTTGACAGTTCACTGTCCTCTTTTCCTCCTTCTTCAATGAATCTTCCTTTCCAGTCCACTCTGATGGCTCCTCCTCTGATTACCTATTTCTATTTATTTCCCCAGGGCTCCATCCACAGTCCTAGTCTTCTCTCTATCTCCCTTATTCTTAAGTGATCACAAGTTGCATGTATTTAAAAACCATTTGCAAACTAATGACCTTCAAATTTCTCTCCCCAGCTTATATCTATTTTCAACACAAAACTGATACCTCTTTTTGGATGATTATAGGCATCTTGAATTTAATATATCCTAATCAGAACTGTTGATTTCCCACCCACATCTCTTTATTCCCTCAGTTTTTCACACATCAGAAAAGTATATCCCCATTCACTCTTATTCATGCAAAACCCTAAAAGAAACAGTTTTACTCTGAAACCAATGAAATCTAAGTTTCAAGGTCTTATGTTTGCAAAACCTCATTCCAATAATAAGGGTCTAGTTTTATATTTGTAATGTTGTGTTATTTAGTTAAGAGGGCCATTTAAACTATTTAAGCTTTGAATCTCACCATATCCTGAGCAATCTTTGCTAGGGAGTCCTTCTTGTCTTCTTTAATTCCCTCAAACTTCACAATCTATCCACCCTCAAATTCTATCAGCTCTATCATCAAAATGCATCCTTAATCTAATGAATTCTCACCAGCTCCACTCAAAAACCCTAGTTAGGTCAATATCATCTCACCTTAATCATTGAAGCTGCTTCCTTTCTGATTGCCTTGCTTTAATTATTTCTATAGTTTTTCTCCAAAAATACTTTTAAAATATAAATTGATTACATGCAATAATTCTGAACAAAGTGCTAATACATCAAATCCAACAATGTATAAAAAGAATTATACACCATGACCAAGTGGTATTTATTACAGGCATATAATGAAGATTCAGCATTCAGAAATCAATCGATGCAACCCATCTCATCAATGGATAAAAGAAGAAAAATCATATGATCATACCAATAGATGCAGAAAAAGTGACTGACAAAATGCAATATCAATTTATCATAAAAATGCTCAGGAAACTAGGAACAGAGAGAAACTTTCTCAACTTGATAAAGAATATATACAGAAAACTTACAGCTAACATAATAGGGAGAAGCTAGAACCTTTTGCAGTAAGATTGTGAACAAGGTAAGAGTGCCCCCTCTCACCACTTTTTTTCCACATTTTACTGAGCAAGAAAAAAGTATACTTATTTGAAGGAAGAAATAAAACTGCCTTTGTTCACAGTGATGTGATTGTCTATGAAGAAAATCTGAAGGAATCAACAAGAACATCCTAAAACTAATAAGCTATTATAACAAGGTTGCAGGATACAAGGTTAATAATACACAATCAATTTTGTATATGCCAGCAATGAACATGAGGAATTTGAAATTAAAAACACAATACCATCTATATTAGCATCTCCCCCAAAAGAAATTCCTAGGTATAAATCTAACTCTCTCTCTCTCTCTCTATATATATATATATATACGCACACACACACGTATGTATGTGTGTATATATATATACACACACACATATGTATGTATGTGTGTATATATATATATACACACACATATATAATCTATTTGAGGAAAACTACAAAACTCTGATTAAAAAAATCAAAGTTGAACTAAACAAACGAAGAGATATTCTATGTTCATGGATAGAAAGACTCAATGGTATCAATCTGTTCATTCTTTGCAAGTTGAATTATGGATTCAATGCAATCACAATGAACATCCCAGCAAGTTGTTTTATGGATATTGACAAACTGATTCTGAAGTTTATATAGAGTCAAAAGGTACAACAGCCAACACAAAGTTGGAGAAGAAAAAAGTTGGAGGACTGAATCTACTGACTTCAAGACTTACTATAAAGCTATGGTAATCAAGACAGTGTGGTGTTGGCAGAAGAACAGACGATATGGCAGGGCGTGGTGGCTCATGTCTGTAATCCCAGCATTTTGGGAGGCCGAGGCAGGCGGTTCACCTGAGGTCAGGAGTTTGAGACCAGCCTGGTCAACATGGCAAAATCCCGTCTCTACTAAAAATACAAAAAGTAGCTGGGTGTGGTGGTGTGCACCTGTAATCCCAGCTACTTGGGACACTGAGGCAGGAGAATTGTTTGAACCTGGGAGGTGGAGGTTGCAGTGAGCCAAGATCTTGCCATTGCACTCCAGCCTGGGCAACAAGAGTGAAATTGCAGCTCAAAAAAAAAAAAAAAAAAAAAGACGAGATATCAGTGGGACAGAAGAAAGAGCCCAGAAATAGACCCACATAAATACAGTCAACTGATCTTTGACAAAAGAGCAAAGAAAATACAATGGAGAAAAGGTAATCTTTTCAACAAATTGTGCTGGGACAACTGGACACCCACATACCAAAAAAATTTGACATATCTTTCAAATTTATTAACAAATATTAATTCAAAATGCACTACAAACAAAAATATAAAATAAAAACTATAATACTCATAGAATATAACATAGGAAGAAATCTAGATGACCTTGAGTTTGGTGATGACTTTCTAATTATAACTTAAAAGGCATGATCCATGAAAGAAAGAATAAGTCGTACTTCTTTAAAATGAAAAAGTTCTGCTCTGTGAAGGAAATTGTCAAGGAAATGAAAACATAACAGACTGGAGAAAATGTGAAAAAGATATATCTGATAAAGGACTAGTATCCAAAATCTACAAATAAGCCTTAAAGCTCAAAGCTCAACAGTAAGAAAATAAGCAACCCAATTTATAAAATGGGCTAAAGCCCTTCAGTAATGCCTTGCCACAAAAGATATATAGACAGAAAGCAAGCATATAAAAACTGTTCCACATTATAGTTCATCAGATACATGCAAACTAAAACAACACTGATATACTATTACATAACGCTTACAATGCTGAAAATTCAGAATACTGAAAAGACCAAATGCTGGCAAGGATGTGGAGCAACAGAAACCCTCATTCATTGCTGGTAGAAATATAAAATGGTATAATCACTTCTTTGGAAGATTGTTTGGCAGTTTCTTATACAACTAAACATTCTTGCCATATGATCCAGTAGTTGTGATTTGGTATTTACCCAAAAGACTTGTAAACTTAAATCCACATAAAAACTTGCACACAGATATTTATAACAGCTTTATTTCTAATTACTAAATCTTGGAAGCCATCAAAATATCCTTCTCAAGGTAAATGGATATGTAAACTATTATGTCAAAACAATAGAATACTAAAAAAAAAGAAGAATTTATCAAGTCAGGAAAAGGAATAAAGGAAACTTAAATGCCTTTTACTAAATGAAGGAAGGCTAAATATGGTACGATTTTAACTATGTGACATTCTGGCAAAGGCAAAGCTATAGAGACAGTAAAAGATCAGTGATTTCCAGGGGTTATGGGAAAAGGGGGTATGAAAAGGCAAACCACAGTAGGTTTTCAGGGTAGTGGAAATAGTCTGTATGACATTATAATGGTGGATTCATGCCATTATACATTTGTCCAGATCCATAGAAACTACACCACCAGAATAACCTTAATGTTAAACTACAGACTTTGAGTGAAAATGATTTGTCAATGCAGTTGTTCAATTGTATCAAATGCACCACTCTGATGGAGGATATTGATAAAGTGGGAGGCTATTCACGTGTAGGAGCAAGGGATAGATGGAAACATCTCTGCACCTTCCTGTCAATTTTGCTGTGAAACTAAAACTTCTCTAAAAAAGCAAGTTATTTTAAAAGTAAGTAAAAATATTGAGCTTTTAGAAATTATATAAAACAATGTATTAATAAATATAAATACATACATATAAATCATGTTGATGAAAACCTCTTGTTCAAAGCCCTCTAGCGATTTCCTACCATACTAACAGTAAATCCCAAATTCACGTACTCCAAGCCTACAGTCCATCATTTTTACCATCGTATATATTTCCTTTCAGAGGTGCTATAATATAAATTCCAGAGAGGAAATTTGTTTTTTGGTCTTCTATTTCTACATCCTAGATAACTATCTGGCATCTTGATAGGCATTAAGCAAATATTTGTTGAATAAATAATGTTTAAAAAAAGAATTCTGTTTTATAGCTGTTCTATTGGAATCTTATTTTGTTAGCATTTCTAGAACTGACTACCTGTATCCTAGTTAACCTACTGATTAAATATTTTCCGTAATTTTTTTTCTGTAAATTATTTTCCTTGCTTCTATGCAACTCTTTGACATTGCCCTAATTCATCTGGGCTGCATGTAGTATTTGTGTTTATACATACGGTGTGTTCCTGGAAACAAGAATGGAAATTGAACGTATAAAAGTACTGTTCTGTTTTGTTTTCTTAAAAAGTCATAAATGCTCTAGAGAAAAATGGGGGTTCATTTTCAGGTAATAGAAGTATATTATAAAATGCTTACACTATTAACTATGGGTACTTTTCACATGTTCTTTATACAATATTTTTAAAAAGAAACAAAAAACAAAAGGCTTATATAAAAACAAATAGAATTAACCACCTCTGTATTAGGTATCATTGCCTTGTAACAAATTACCCCCCACAATTAGTGGCTCAAAACAACAAACATATACTGTTTCTACTCTTCCTAGGGTAAGAAACTGGGAGTGGCTTGGGTGGTTCTAGTTCAAGGTCTCTCATGAGGTTGTTGTCAAGTTGTCTACCGGGGCTGCTGCTGTCTCAAGGCTCAATGGGGGCTGGAAGTTGCACTTGACAGATCACTCACTTGGTTGTTGGTAGGCTTTTAGTTCCTTGGTGGCTGTTGCCCAGAGGCCCCAGGACTCTCTGTGGGGCTGCTTACAACATAACGTCTAGCTTTCCAGAGTGAATAATACAAGAGAGAAAGAAAAAATAAGAGCAAGGATTTACCATGGCAAACCTCTTGTATACACTCCTCTAAGGACTGAGGCTCTCAAATGCTAAGATTTTGAAACAAAGGTTTATACTTAGGAGAAGACTATATGTGAAGCCCTGTTATTATAATCAGTGTTACCATGAGTACAAACTAAAACTGAACTGTTGAAAAAAAACAAAATTATTTATATTATTGTTGACCTTTTATGAAAGGAAAATATTAATTAAGGCCAGGTCAAAGAAAAAAAATGCCTCCCTGATCTCTGAATAAAAGACCCTAAAATTATAGGTAATATAATGGAAAAACTAAGTTCAGAAGAAAATGGGAGGGAATATATGAAAGAAAGTGAAATTCAATTAGATTTTGTTAAAAATCACCAGAATCCACAATGATTGAGCTCAATATTACTGTGTGACATTATTCTACAATAACTGATTGGTAAAATTTTCCATTTTGGTTATTCAATTTTTAAAACTATCTAAAAACTTACAAAGACAATTAAGAAATACTTTTTTAAAAATGATATCCTAACAAGCACATGTACCCTAAAACTTAAAGTATAATAATAATAATAATAATAAAAAGAAATATGAAGAGAAAAAACAATGAGTTCCTAAAAAGAAAGATGAAAAGAGGACGGGGAAAAAAGAAAGAATAATAGTTTAATAGAAATGAAAAGCAATCTCACTCATAAGTGGGAGTTGAAAATGAGAACACGTGGACACAGGGAGGGGAACATCACACAGTGGGGCCTGTTGAGGGGTGGGAGGCTAGGGGAGGGATAGCATTAGGAGAAATACCTAATGTAGATGACGGATTGATGGGTGCAGCAAACCACCATGGCACATGTATACCTATGTAACAAACCTGCATATTCTGCACATGTATCCCAGAACTTAAAGTATAATAATAACAAATAAGAAATGAAGAGCAATTGAGGTTGTACATAAGTAAAGCATTTCCCCCCCATTTTTAAGCCAAAAATCATTCAAATGGGGCACTCTGGTAGGTTCTGGAGTTTTTCTGCTTGAAGATATTCATAAAGAGACTAAGAAAATATTTTTACAAAGTATTTCAGATGTTTACCTGCCTAAAGGCAGGCAGCTTGAACAGAACATTTCTCAAGGCCCTTATATATCTATTATCTTATAATTCTATAATTTCATGGCAATTCAAACCACTTTATACTGTCAATATTCTCTATTTATGTGAACAGGCATCAACTCCTGTATCTTATTTCATTTATAATACAAGAGCTTGAAAAGCACCTTCAGACAGCAATTTGTACATGATCTGATATATTTTTATGGTTTTTGTAAGCATGAAAGATTTAAAAGAACTGTACCAAGGACTGCATTATTTATAAAGGGAAGGTATGAAACAGCATGTCGTAAAAGAAATTAAAACAGAAAAGCAGTAGAATGCTAGTAAAAGTCTCCATTTTTACTGTATTTTCAGATAAAACACAAATCTAAACTTGGAGATGGTGCTGAAGGATCATACGAACTTCCAGCAACCACAAAATTCCTTTGTTACCATAATGAATAAGATCACAGGATATAGCCAAAAACTTTGCTTTATTTTCATGTAGGGACATACTGAGGCCTTGGCAAAGGAAACATCAATTAGTTTGTTTATTATGGCCTAGCCTTTTCCTTATGCTTCCTGTTAACAACAAATTGAGAAACAAGTTGAGCAGCAAAAAAGAACTTTAACGTTTACTAAAATACTAACCTATGTGTGTCTCAATTTCCTTATCTGTAAAGTAGGGAATAATAATGGAACTTACTGTATGAGGTTGTTGGGAGAATTAAATGAGTTGATCCATTTGAAGGTTCATAAGTGCTCATTTATGTTAATTATTACTATAGCAAAGACTTTCTTAACTGATCACTGTTAATATATTCATCAAATTAACCAATGCTCTCCACATCCTATGTAAAACATAGTGATTAATACTATGACTAGATTAAACCAATTTAATAAACCAAAGCAAACTAAAGTGTATGTAGATAGAAGGCTCCCATTACACTCATTGGAAAAATCAAGTAGACTTCTTTTTATGTTTGATTTTGTTGAAAAAAGCTTGGACGTTGTACACAGCGCTTTTGATTGTAGTCCATGCCAGAAAGATGATACAGAATGTCAATTTCCCAATCATGGGACTCATCTGATACATTAACATCTGACAAATTAATACACATTATATGTTTTAAGATTATAATGTTTCAGATATATGTATATATAATTTTCCATAATTTTTTAATTTAACTAACTTTTCGCATTAGCCAACTGATTGTATGCTGATGTAGATTACCTAGTATAGAGGAAGATATTAATAACAAAGAAAGCAGAGAATAACCAAGGAAAGAAAATATTTGGCTAAGTTAGCATGATTAGGTTGCAGAACAAAAGTGCAAACTTTTTAATCTTGTAATACACTCGCAAAAACATAATTTGAATACTTAATACACAAATTAATATTATCAATAAAGATAATGTTATTTACTTCAAAATTTTGCTGAATACCTTTGAAATCTTTACGAAAAGGAATGATGAATTCTAAACTATTGCCACTGTGTCAATTGTTGGTTAAACCAGATAATACACTTAGATGATTTAGATGAAAAAAAATCTTTAAAAATAAAGATGCTCTCTGCTTTTAGATCACATTGAAAATTTCTTTAAGTTCTTATTCTACTTGAGTTGTTAAAAAAGCCTTGGAAATTGTACACAGTACTTCTGATTGTAGTTCATGCTAGAAAGAAGACGCAGAATGTCAATTTCCCAATTGTGGGACTCATCTGATACATTAACATCTGGCAAATTAATATGCATAATGTTTTAAGATTATAATGTTTAAGATATATGTACATATAATTTTCCATAATTTTTAATTTAACTAACTTTTTGCATTAGCTAACTACTGATTTCAATTCTGTTTGAAAGAGGGCTTACAAAGTTTTCTTTCTTAAATTGGAGTACAAAACATATGAATATCCTTTATATCATTATTTTCTCCTGTATTCATGTATTTGAATATTTCATAATATGTATGTGTGAACGGGTGACGGGGGAATGGAGACAGTGCTAAAGAAGAGGATTCTATGAACGGTGAAGTTAGCTGAGGGTTCATGATTGGCAAAGAGGGATTTGGGGGTTTTTATGGCTGTAGATCAGAAGACTCAGAGTGCTGAAAGGTTGTATGCTGATGTAGATTATCTAGTATGGAGGAAGACATTAATAGCAAAGAAGAGAGAATAACTAAGGAAAGAAAATATTTGGCTAAGTTAGTGTGATTGGGTTGCAGAACAAAAGTGGATTGTGTATTTGCCTTTGATAAAAGGTTACTCTTTGCTTTAAGAAGAAATGTAAAAACAAAATTCCCAGAAACCTATCTATCTGCCTCTCTATCTACACACACACACGTATTATTTATAAATAACACAATTTTTGGTTTCTATCTCCAGCTCGATCTCTGGCTCTATCCTCTTTGAAAACAATTAAAATCTGCAACTGGATTAAATTTGAATTCCTACAAGATTCCAAATAGATCTGGTTTTCATAGTTCTCCACATTTCTGAGTGCCCTTTGTCAGAATTACATATGGATGAACAGAGGTAGAGATAAGTTTGACACTTACATTATCAGAAGATCTAAGAATATTTGAACTAATCAGAGTTTCTCATCATAAGTGGTTAAATGGTAAATATATGTAAAAGCAACTCAGCGGAAACAATAGAATCCTCTTGCTTCCTCTCTACCTATGATTGGCCCAAGCCCTTTCAATTTTTTCTTCTACATATTTCCAAATCTGCATTTACTTATCTAACTGCACTAGCATGGCTTAGTTCAAGTTCTCATTGTATCTCACTTGAGTGATTGGTATGGTTTTCTTACTGTGTTCTTGCTTCTAGTGTCCCTACTTGTGTGATCTTCTGAAAACGTAAATATGATGGCATCATTTGCCTACATAAAACCATTCTGTGACTCTGTGACATGTAGGCTTGACAGGACAAAACCCAAGACCCCAATATGGCATATATGGCTAACCATCACGTAGGTCTCATTCAGGACAAGCTATATAATTTTCCCAGAGCAATGAAAATTATATATGAAAATGTGGTGGGCATTACTAATAAATTCAGAATTTCAATGTGGTGACAGAAAAACATTCAACCTAGCACGAGGTTTTCCAAGCACAAAGCCCTGTGCTATTGCACAGGTATCATAACCGTGAAGCTGGTCTTGATCTCACCACTTACCACATAATCTTTTAAAATTTCCTGACAAGTAGCCTCTGGTGTAGGAATTGCTAATAATCATGTGTCACTTTCATAAGTGTTTATACTGCTTATGAAAGTTCTATGTGTCATAACTTCATATGATTTTAGATCAAATTACGTTTGTTTGGGTTACAAATGTTGAAAGAATTTGAAACCATTTTGTATTTGAAGATATTTGGAATGGTCAAATGGTGTTATTAAAATGTTTTATTATATAGATAACATGTAGTATGAAACTCAGTTTGCAACCCACCCTATTTCAACTGAGAAATTAGAAAAATTTCCTGCCTCTAGCAAGGGATGATGAACCAAATTAGATTTTTATGTTTCTATTGATATTTTCATCTCTACCATCTCTATCATTATTTATGCTTATATTAGAAGTTTTCCAGAGAGTGTATGGATAAGCTATTACTGTGAAGCATTAAATCAAGTCTAACCAGAAATAATAATTTTGAATATCAGATGGTTAAATAATAAGAGATATTGTAGGCCCTTTAATAGAAGGATATGTTATATGAATTGGAAGGACTCATGACATCACAGAAAATGTATCAAAATGGTGATGATAATGATTGAAGACTTATAGTAGCATTAATTTTAAAATAGGCTAATTTAGAATCATGAGTAATTTTGAATTCATGAAATAATACTTTTTTGGGGTAGTATATTAGGTAGACATTCTCTCCTTGCTCACATATAGTATGAACTGCATGACAAATACGTTTTGCTTTGTGAACAAGTCTAAACATAAGAAAAACTGTTTTGTTTCATAGTTTTGAAAAGCAAAAGCAAACTAAAAATAGTTTGAAACAAATATGTTTCAATTTTGTACTTTCTCTAATAAGCCAAAGAACGTTATTTTATTTTAATATCTCTAGTTAGGATTTACGTGTCAGAAATCATTTTACTTAAAAATCTTTGGCCCTTTAAAACTTGTTATGGAAGATATTTTTATCTCCTTTTATGATACAAGGCCTTAATAAAGGAACTTGAAAAATGAATAGAAGAAAAATTTAGTTGTCTAAAATAATGTAAAAATTAATTTATATAAATAAATTAGTAGGAAGTTGATATGCAGGAAAAAACAAAGGTGAAGGCAATTTGGTAGACCATTACAGTAATTTCAAATAAAAAACTAAAAAAATTCAATAATCCATGCTGAAATCCCCAGCTTCTTACGAGCTGGTACTTTTAATAATTTACTAGAGTGTCCTTGAGGTTCCTAGGAATGCTGGTGCAGTAATGGTCCCATTTTCCAAAGCCTGGAATAATTCCTTTATAATACAAGGAGTTTTTCACAGTCTTATCCTAGAAAAAAAGATTGTTAAAAATAATTAATCCTATCACCCTAAAACTTTAAGGCTTATAATAGTATTATTAGCTTGAATTCTATATAAAAAGAAATAGAAAAAAACAGAAAAAATTCATAGAACTTCTAAGGATAGAATTCTCACCTTAGCAAAATATATAGAAAATATAATTTCTATATAATTTTTTTATTTAAGAAACTATTTCAATGCTTATATCTATAAATTATTTCTGTATGAGGCTAATTTTTAAGTTTTAAAAACAAATATCAGCTTAAGGAGATTTTGGGCTCAGACAATGGGGTTTTCCAGATATACAATCATGTCGTCTGCAAACAGGGACAATTTGACTTCCTCTTTTCCTAATTGAATACACTTTATTTCCTTCTCCTGCCTAATTGCCCTGGCCAGAACTTCCAACACTATGTTGAATAGGAGTGGTGAGAGAGGGCATCCCTGTCTTGTGCCAGTTTTCAAAGGGAATGCTTCCAGTGTTTGCCCATTCAGTATGATATTGGCTGTGGGTTTGTCATAGATAGCTCTTATTATTTTGAGATACGTCCCATCAATACCTAATTTATTGAGAGTTTTTAGCATGAAGCATTGTTGAATTTTGTCAAAGGCCTTTTCTGCATCTATTGAGATAATCATGTGGTTTTTGTCTTTGGTTCTGTTTATATGCTGGATTACATTTATTGATTTGCATATATTGAACCAGCCTTGCATCCCAGGGATGAAGCCCACTTGATCATGGTGGATAAGCTTTTTGATGTGCTGCTGGATTCGGTTTGCCAGTATTTTATTGAGGATTTTTGCATCAATGTTCATCAAGGATATTGGTCTAAAATTCTCTTTTTTGGTTGTGTCTCTGCCCGGCTTTGGTATCAGAATGATGCTGGCCTCATAAAATGAGTTAGGGAGGATTCCCTCTTTTCTATTGATTGGAATAGTTTTAGAAGGAATGGTACCAGTTCCTCCTTGTACCTCTGGTGGAATTCAGCTGTGAATCCATCTGGTCCTGGACTCTTTTTGGTTGGTAAGCTATTGATTATTGCCACAATTTCAGCTCCTGTTATTGGTCTATTCAGAGATTCAACTTCTTCCTGGTTTAGTCTTGGGAGAGTGTATGTGTCGAGGACTTTATCCATTTCTTCTAGATTTTCTAGCTTATTTGCGTAGAGGTGTTTGTAGTATTCTCTGATGGTAGTTTGTATTTCTGTGGGATCAGTGGTGATATCCCCTTTATCATTTTTTATTGCATCTATTTGATTCTTCTCTCTTTTTTTCTTTATTAGTCTTGCTAGTGGTCTATCAGTTTTGTTGATCCTTTCAAAAAACCAGCTCCTGGATTCATTAATTTTTTGAAGGGTTTTTTGTGTCTCTATTTCCTTC
The DNA here is from genome assembly GCF_000001405.40 of Homo sapiens. Classification (NCBI taxonomy): domain Eukaryota; kingdom Metazoa; phylum Chordata; class Mammalia; order Primates; family Hominidae; genus Homo; species Homo sapiens. The sequence goes on along the minus strand of NC_000008.11, from coordinate 87,486,196 downwards.
AGTTCTGCTCTGATTTTAGTTACTTCTTGCCTTCTGCTAGCTTTTGAACGTGTTTGCTCTTGCTTGTCTAGTTCTTTTAATTGTGATGTTAGGGTGTCAATTTTGGATCTTTCCTGCTTTCTCTTGTGGGCATTTAGTGCTATAAATTTCCCTCTACACACTGCTTTGAATGTGTCCCAGAGATTCTGGTATGTTGTGTCTTTGTTCTCATTGGTTTCAAAGAACATCTTTATTTCTGCCTTCATTTCATTATGTACCCAGTAGTCATTCAGGAGCAGGTTGTTCAGTTTCCATGTAGTTGAGTATTTTTGAGTGAGATTCTTAATCCTGAGTTTTAGTCTGATTGCACTGTGGTCTGAGAGATAGTTTGTTACAATTTCTGTTCTTTTACGTTTGCTGAGGAGAGCTTTACTTCCAAGTATGTGGTCAATTTTGGAATAAGTGTGGCAGGATACAAAATCAATGTACAAAAATCACAAGCATTCTTATACAACAACAGACAAACAGAGAGCCAAATCATGAGTGAACTCCCTTTCACAATTGCTTCAAAGAGAATAAAATACCTAGGAATCCAACTTACAAGGGATGTGAAGGACCTCTTCAAGGAGAACTACAAACCACTGCTCAAGGAAATAAAAGAGGATACAAACAAATGGAAGAACATTCCATGCTCATGGGTAGGAAGAATCAATATCATGAAAATGGCCATACTGCCCAAGGTAATTTACAGATTCAATGCCATCCCCATCAAGCTACCAATGACTTTCTTCACAGAATTGGAAAAAACGACTTTAAAGTTCATATGGAACCAAAAAAGAGCCCGCATCGCCAAGTCAATCCTAAGCCAAAAGAACAAAGCTGGAGGCATCACACTACCTGACTTCAAACTATACTACAAGGCTACAGTAACCAAAACAGCATGGTACTGGTACCAAAACAGAGATATAGATCAATGGAACAGAACAGAGCCCTCAGAAATAACGCCGCATATCTACAACTATCTGATCTTTGACAAACCTGAGAAAAACAAGCAATGGGGAAAGGATTCCCTATTTAATGGTGCTGGGAAAACTGGCTAGCCATATGTAGAAAGCTGAAGTTGGATCCCTTCCTTACACCTTATACAAAAATCAATTCAAGATGGATTAAATACTTAAACATTAGACCTAAAACCATAAAAACCCTAGAAGAAAACCTAGGCATTACCATTCAGGACATAGGCATGGGCAAGGACTTCATGTCTAAAACACCAAAAGCAATGGCAATAAAAGCCAAAATTGACAAATGAGATCTCATTAAACTAAAGAGCTTCTGCACAGCAAAAGAAACTACCATCAGAGTGAACAGGCAACCTACAAAATGGGAGAAAATTTTCGCAACCTACTCATCTGACAAAGGGCTAATATCCAGAATCTACAATGAACTCAAACAAATTTACAAGAAAAAAACAACCCCATCAAAGAGTGTGCAAAGGACATGAACAGACACTTCTCGAAAGAAGACTTTTATGCAGCCAAAAAACACGTGAAAAAATGCTCACCATCACTGGCCATCAGAGAAATGCAAATCAAAACCACAATGACATACCATTTCACACCAGTTAGAATGGCAATCATTAAAAAGTAAGGAAACAACAGGTGCTGGAGAGGATGTGGAGAAATAGGAACACTTTTATACTGTTGGTGGGACTGTAAACTAGTTCAACCATTGTGGAAGTCAGTGTGGCGATTCCTCAGGGATCTAGAACTAGAAATACCATTTGACCCAGCCATCCCATTACTGGGTATATACCCAAAGGACTATAAATCATGCTGCTATAAAGACACATGCACATGTATGTTTATTGCGGCACTATTCACAATAGCAAAGACTTGGAACCAACCCAAATGTCCAACAATGATAGACTGGATTAAGAAAATGTGGCACATATACACCATGGAATACTATGCAGCCATAAAAAAGGATGAGTTCATTTCCTTTGTAGGGACATGGATGAAACTGGAAATCATCATTCTCAGTAAACTATCGCAAGAACAAAAAACCAAACACCACATATTCTCACTCATAGGTGGCAACTGAACAATGAGAACACATGGACACAGGAAGGGGAACATCATACTCTGGTGACTGTTGTGGGGTGGGGGAAGGGGGGAGGGACAGCATTGGGAGATATACCTAATGCTAGATGACGAGTCAGTGGGTGCAGCGTACCAGCATGGCACATGTATACATATGTAACAAACGTGCACATTGTGCACATGTACCCTGAAACTTAAAGTATAATAATAATAAATCAATTTAAAAAATCAACTATAAAAAACAAAATAAAATACAATAAAAACAAATATATGGGGAAAAATGAATATAATTTTGTATTAATAAAGCATGCTTTTTCCGAGATCCTTAAACTTTTTACATGTGGTCGTTGGTTTATCTTCCTGTTACTGATATTGAACAGATAACCAGAAATTATTTGCCTTATTTTTATATTTTGCTAAGATAATAAATTCTTTCAATTACTGGACTAGCTTGTATAAACAATTTAATGTTTGATGGCTTCTCTTTGGGACTGCCACATGGGTACATCTCTATGGCGCCCTACATGGAAGAGGCTTAGACTTCTCTGCAACATTGATGCCAAGGGTAGCTGTGTAACTTGCTTTGGTCAATGCAATGCGAGGAGACATGTGGTGTGCCATTTGTATGAAGCAGCCATCAAGTCATTCCTGCACTGTCTGTCTTTTCTCCCCATTAATGTAATACTCTGCATCCAAGCACAATGCAGTCAACCAATATCAGACAAGTGAATGAGAAGTGAATCTTTGTTGTTGAAAGTTACTGAGGTTTTGGCAATCATTTGTACTATTGGAAAATTTAGCTTAATCTGAAGAATTACACTAATATTTTTTAAACATATCTTGTTCTATACTTGATTTTGTTCATATTTACTTTACTTATATAAACAGATAATAAAATAAAAGCCATAGGGAGTAAACACATTTATAAACAAGCAAAAGAAATGAATTTGTGTTGATTGCCCACTGTCTCATTTAATGCTCATAACCACCCTGAAGCATGGGGAGTGTCTGACTGATTCTTAGATGAGGACACTTAGGCAGTTCTTAATAAAAAAAAAACTCTAGCTCACTCCTAGGAGGATAAGAATAATTACAATGTCATTTAAATATATGTATATATAATTAATACATATGTAATATATAATATATATAAAATTAGATTTTACTTTTTGGAACAGAAATATTTTGCAATGAATGCCCCATCAACAACTATGAAATCAATTATATTCATGTTAATATGAATTTAATAGAGGGATAATATAGTTAAGCTGAAACTGTATCCGGCCTCAGATAATGAATATGGTACTTATTATTAGAGCATAATTTTGTGTTTGTTATTGTTTCTAGTTCAGTAAGCTTACACTGTTGTACGCAATATGTTAATTTACTTATTATACCACATTTCTCCTTCTGAAGGATTGGTACACTATTTTTTGGACTTAACATCCTACCATTAGAGTGTTTTTCCATCCAATTGGTACAAAGCAGAAAGTTACATATGAAATTTCTTAACTTTTTCCCCATAAAACTTAAGTAATTAAAACAGTACTATTTAAAAACAGAGATAATGACTCTCTGCAGTAAGTGGATACTTAAAAGTGGTAATCCAAATAGTTTAGGATACATTTACATTACTTTTCTGTAAACACTGAAAGTGACAAGCAGTCTTAATATATAGATTTACAATAAAGAGATATATGATATCATACAGATATGAGTGGTTTCTTGAAATCTGAAAATATGGAACCTATGAAAACAGTGTTAAGTAGCCTGTTGAGTCATACAGCTCAACAGTGTTGTAAAGCCCAGATTTGAATCCAATTGAGTCTTCTTTTCATGTTACCATAAAATTAAAAGCTCTAAATATAGCATGATCTTGTTTAAGTAAATAGCTCAAAAATCCCACAAAACTTATTATTATTATTTTTTGAGATGGAGTCTCGCTCTGTCACCCAGGCTGGAGTGCAGTGGCGCTGATCTCGGCTCACAGCAAGCTCCGCCTCCCGGGTTCACGCCATTCTCCTGCCTCAGCCTCCCAAGTAGCTGGGACTACAGGCGCCCACCACCACGCCCGGCTAATTTTCTGTATTTTTAGTAGAGACGGGGTTTCACCTTGTTAGCCAGAATGGTCTCCATCTCCTGAACTCGTGATCTTCCCGCCTGGGCCTCCCAAAGTGCTGGGATTACAGACATGAGCCACCGCGCCTGGCCAAAATTTATAATCTGATAATAATGACTGAAAACTAAACAGGAAGAACTGTGTTGACCAAAAGGATAGCAGAATGTCAGAGAAATATATCAATATGGAGAATATAAATCATGGATTCAGAAGCAGACACCAATAGAAGTAACAGGTTTTTTGGAGAATTAATGTCAAACTCATTTATACTTCCATATATTTTATTTATATTGCTATACTTGCAAAAATGATTGGCAATAGCACACAGTAAAAGAAACAATAAAAATAAGGAAGACCAGTAAAGCCAGGTAAAAGGACAGAAGAAAAATAACAATAAAATAAGAATACTAGTTTGACAGAAGTTACTGTACTTTAGCACAAAACATAATTCTGACTTCATAGTCAAATTAAAATGATATTTTGTAAATTTTATACCTCCCATTTCTTAACAAAATTAATCTATTTATTAAAGTAAAGTTAGACACCATTGATCTATATAGATAGCATAATAAAAGTGTTTCAGGGAAAGTAAACTTATTCATTGGTTCCAGAATTTATGCTACTATTGAATACAAAAAGGTAACATTACTTTTATTTTTCTCAATTAAATTTAATCTACTCCAAAAATTCACTCTCTGGACTTACAGGAAATTGAATTTAATCACTCTTGGATATCGCTAACGTTCTATTCACAATAGTGTCAATGTTATGAGCCTGATGCAATTTAAGCCTTTGAGAAGGAATACCTGGTCTCTCTGTATGGTCACTGAAATGCTTTGCTTTGAGCCCACTGATCTCTTAACCGTGGGTGGCCATCCCTCGTGGGGTGGGGGGAGGGGGGAGGGATAGCATTAGGAGACATACCTAATGCTAAATGACGAGTTAATGGGTGCAGCACACCAACATGGCACATGTATATATACGTAACAAACCTGCACATTGTGCACATGTACCCTAAAACTTAAAGTATAATAAAGTTTAAAAACAAAGATGCCATTGTCTGCAGTCCACCCTCTCCAGGTGCACCACGCAGTAATTTTCTCAGAAGTGTGCTGCCTCAGTGGGTACTATGAGGGAGCTGGCACAGGGCCTCTCTCTTGTGGAATATATAAGATCTCAATTCCTCTTGAAATTTCGTGAGAAGCTCTTGAGATAATCTTCTTTTTCTTCATCTTCCACCAACCACATACACGCTTCCCTATATCCTCTCCTTCCCTGGATTGATTGTAAATATTCTCCCACTAAAGTCCCATTATAAAGACAATGCTGTTGGGAGTTGGAAAATTGGATGCGGCATTCAGTTTATTCTTTTTATGCTTACTAATTTATTTTGTCAGATACACTTTTTTTAAAAAAGGTTAAGTCTTAAGGATAGTCAGAGTTAAGTTTTATTGATTTGTTGCTGGTGTTATGTCAGACTTGGAATTATAGCATTTTATTACTTATTCTGCTTACACCAGTAAGTTTTAATTATTGCAGACAGAGAAAACAGAAAAATTAAAAGAAAATTATTCTTCTCCCAAAAATAGGGTGCTAGAAAATGGTCTGAAACATATTAAGTTGTCTTATACCACCATCTATTCTTTTTCTTTCTCTCAATGTGGTAAAATATACATAACATAAAACTTACTATTTTCATTCTTTTTAAGTGTGCAGTTCAGTGGCATCAACATTGTCAGGTAACTGTCACCACAGTCTACCTCCAAACTTGTCATAGTTCCAATTTGAAGCTCTGTATCCACTAAATAATACCTCCTTATTCTGCTCTCCTCCCAATCACAGCTAACCACCATTTTTCCTCCTGTCTCTGCGAATTTGAGAAAGATTTGACTCTTCCAAATACTTCATATAAGTGGAATCATATGTATTTGTCCTTTTGTTTCTGACTTATTTCACTTAGCATAATGTCTTGATGGTTGATTCATGTTAGAGTATGTATCAGGACATCATTCGCTCTCAGTTGTATTCAGTATTTTTCTTTAGCTAGACAATATGACTAGGTTTGTTTGGCAACAAAGTTGAGAAAGGAATTGGAATTAATGAGCTTAGTGAACAGCAAATTAAAGCATATCTTTTGAGAGAGAGAGGGAGAGAAAGAGAAATGGCCTGGGGAGCAGACAGGGAAACTGCAGAAGCTGATATTATAGCACTTGTATATTTTTCCATTGCACTGGAAAATTAATTTGAACACTTTTCAGCACTTCTTCATTTGTGGTTTACATTGGACACAGAGCTTTTTAGATTTATTGCTTGGTTTGAAAATGGACAAAAACTTTATAACAGCCTCCCTATCCATCCCGTCCTTTCCAAATCTTACAAAAACCAGCAGGTTTTTCTATTAAAAACCTAGTCATGTGAATCCTGTAAGAAGATGTCATTGTTATAAAACAATACAGTGAGCGGTGAGGACAAAGAATGCCAAGTTAAACACAAAAGGGTAAAAAAAATCTGTCCACATGTTCCCACACCCTTAGGCACTTATTCCAGTGTGAATTGCCTGTAGGTTTCTTATGACAAAACTTGGCCCACCAGGCAATTCATCCTCAGAAGGGCTCAGCTCTCTCCAGAAACTGCATTCATATTTCCCAGATGATAATGGCTTTTATCAAAAGCAGAAGTTGAAGAACAGGAAAGCTCAGCATCAGAAAAGTAGTCCAGCCCTGAGGATGAGTTTCACCTGCAGGCCAGTAATGGTAAGGGCTAGAGAGCAAGGCAGTTGTTGGGTTTGGGTGCTCAAAGATGGGAAAAGCCAGTGCTCATCAGATGGCAAATGATTTTCTTATTCTGGAAATAAACAGTATATTTGCAATCTTAGTTTACGTTTTTTGTCTTTAAAATATATAAGGCAAATGTGTCAATAAATGCATAGAACTCAGGACAAAAATAAAGTACTCTAAATGTGTGCATAACATTGTTATAGCTATAGAGGTGCCTCTACATATATGCCCATAACAATATATATTTTAATAGGTATTTGTGAATCCTTCTTACAGCTTTCTTACATATACAGATAAACCTATTTTAAAACTTATTGGAAATTTAAAGATTACCCGCAGACTTAGCCTCCTGCTGCAATGACCAGTCCATGCAACCCTAACTCTGGAAAGCAGCACTTGTCAACTTTGTGACTTTTATTAGCTACATAGGTATCTCGTCCCACCATGTGGATGAGATCAGAAAGCCTTTTTCTTGTTGATGAGCCTACCCTGTGGTTGCTGTTTTATAAACCTACCTGCCTGTTCTGATACTTAAGAAATTGCATTGAGTCTCAGGGGCCAAATACCGTTGCCACCCTTTGCTTGGGGTGTAAGTGTTGACTTCCAAATTGCAATTCGTGCCTGTCAAAATAATTCATTTGTGGCCTGGCTTAGCCTTTTCCATGCTGAATCATGCTATATAAAACCATTTGTCATTTTTTCCTTCATATATATGTCAGACTTGGTTTTCTAAATTCAAAATATTCAACCAGACAAACAACAAACCCTAGAGCATTGTATCCTTACAAGGACTTTAAGCCTTTTCTTCCACTGGGGCTTAATATCCTGGCTTCTCACCTCAATATTTGTGGTAATAATGCACTATCCATTTCATATGAAGTGACTTTCTAGCTGTCACTGATTAAGCTGTTCTTCCTCAATGCCCTGATTTATATCCCTGAATTTTTCAGCCTCCTACCAGTGACAAACGGAAACTAGCCCTTTGCATATAATGAATACACTTGGCCTATGTACAATGTAGACAGATGTACTGTATCATTAAACACTGTGTTAAATAACTCTTGAATTACAGTTGAACTGAGGAAATACTTACATCCTTATATTAGGAATCATGGAATTTGTTTGGGGTTTTACATTGAAGGAAGAATCACAGAACTATATATATTCAAGATAAGACACTACTATTTATAATGCACAACATCAACATTAAAGTTTCTTTCACAAACAGAAAAATAAGGGAATTACAAATGCTCCCTGTAGAATGCAGTTCCTTGATTACATAATGTTACTACTCTACAAGTTCCACATCATATATTAAAATCTAAAAAAATCTAAGCTCTGAAAGAAAAGGCTGCACAATAGAAACATTTAAGAAGTGTTGCAGTATAAAACAAGAAACAGTAAAGCTAGAAAAATAAAACACCTCATATATAGTTTGCTCTTAGTAGGCATATCTTAAGTTTAGTATTGAATTGAAAGACACTTTAATCTGATAGAAAAGTGGTGAATGTGAGAATTTAGAATTATCTTTCTATGGGTAGAGCTTATATGCCCAACTATGACTACAAATAATTTAGTAGGCCTGATATATATGTCCACTCGCACACATGAAAGAAAAGAGGGGAAAAAAGGATTATCAAAAGTGTTAAGCAAATGGAATAAAAAAATAAGTTATCTTAAAATAGCCATTGACTATAGGTTTATTCTTAAGATAGTTAAGGAAATTCAGATAATTCAAAGGAAAAACTGTCAGATGAACCCATTTTTTTGCCTCATATTCCTAGTTCTTTTCCTTTACAGCACCCTTTAGAGCACATCTCACAATGCTATATATACACTTATTTGGGGATACATAATTTTTGTAATTTTCATATTCCCCATCAGACAGACCCTGAAAATCTATATAAACAGGAACTGTTTCATTTTTATTTACTGCTGATTACTTAGCCGGACACAGAGTAGTGCTCAAGAAATACCAGTAAATTGTATGAAAGTTTTTCTTCTTTTTTGCATTTCAGGAAATAATGACTCATCTGTTTTTAAATAAATTTTATTGTGTATATTTGAGGTTTAACAACATGATGTTATAAAATACATATAGATAATAAAATGGTTACTATACAGAAGCAAATTAAAATATCTATCATCTCACATAGTTACTTCTATTTTTGTGACAAGAGCAGCTAAAATCTACTTATTTAACAAAAATCTCAAGTGTCTCCCAATTTTATTGCCTATAGTCCTCCTGTTATACATTAGCTCTCTAGACTTGTTCATTCTACATATCTGCTACTTTGCGTCCTTGGCCAAATCTCTGTTTGCTACACCCCTAGCCCCACCCATGGACTCTTCTATTTTCTATGTATTTCGAGTTATCCAAGGATTTATTCATTTTCATCATTTAACTCATGCTTACTGAAGGCCTGCCTATGTATCATTTCTGTTTTTTATACTGTACATGCCTCTATAAACAAGATACCTTCTCTTCAAGGAGCCTAAATTCCTAACGTTCAGAGGAAGAGACAAACAGAAGGACAAGTTCGACCCTGAGACAATGTTCACAAAAAGAAGAGAGGAATGAAAAAAAAAAAAAAGAAAGAAAAGCATCAATTTTCCATTTAAAAGCTATAGATATAGCTTAAGGAATTAACGATGAATATTTCTTTTCATAATAATCTCAATGGGAAGAATAAGTAAATGTAAATTTTATGATAAAAAGATCAACCAATAGTTGGTATAATAAGCAAAACAAAATTTTCACTTTATAGTAATATATTCCATTTCAATCATGAAGACCAGCCTGAGGCATCAGGTCAATTAATGTAATAACTTGCTACATAGAGACTTAGGCATAACAAGTGAAATTTAATTTAGTGGTCTCATGCTAATCATCGAGGGTCCAGAAGACAGCAACAACATAATTAAAGAAAAGAAAAATAGAATTATAAAGTTAACTGAAGGAACTAGTGCAATATAGCCCAGAAAAGGAAGGCTAAAAGATGTTTAATTTCATTTTTTTCTAACACTTGAAAGGATATAGAAGAGGTATGATATTAGGGCAAAAGAACTGGTATGAATATTAATACAAATGTGCCAATAAGAAAAAAAAAGTGCAACTAGGGAATTTGGGTATTTTATGATTAACATTTTTTCGATAATATTATGTGATTTTTGCTGTGGAGTTATGGACAAGAAATAACTTACCATAGGCTATAACATAAGTGAGTGGAGAGTGTTTTGTTTTCTCTGTGGTTATTATTTATTTATTTATTTATTTTACAGAGATGGAGTCTACTCTGTCACCTAGGCTGGAGCGCAGTGGCATGATCATAGCTCACCACAGCCTTGAATCCTGGTCATGCAATCCTCCTGTCTCAGCCTCCCAAGGAGCTAGGACTCTGGAATGCTCCCCCACCTGGTTCTGAGGGTATTTCTGTGGGGTTATTTGAGTTGTGCTTTTGTAGCACGGATTGGAGATGTGCAATAAATTGTGACCATGCTGTCTCTTCTTGAAAAGAAGTATCAACATTGGTTAAAATAAGCCTAATAAACTGCAACAGATACTATTAATCACTTAGTATGCCCACTAAAAATTAGACTACCGATTTTTCTACTGGACTCCTTTTCCTAAATGCATAAAACCATTTAACGCATGAGAAATTCATAGCTAAGTACCAGAGCTGAGTCCATGATTTGTACTTTTATTTCTGCAACCTATTGAATATTTACATTAAAAATTTCTGAATACAGTTTGTAAGCTAACGTGGAGTGATTACTTCAGATATTTTGAAAAGTAATTTCATGCTCATTTTTTTCTAGTGGTTTTATATGCTTTAGTTTTTTAATCCTAAAACGGGTTTCTTCTCTGACTCATAATTCTACTCTGATTCATACTACTTTAATATTTCATTCAAAGATGATTTAACAAAAAATACCAAAAAACCCTATTCTGAATACAAATAAGCAAAATAGATGTTACTGTTCTCATCCTATCAATTTTTAGTTCAAATTGCTAAAATGACTCAAATATTTTAAGGTTATGCAACCAAAACCTGATAAAAGCATTATAAAAACATTTATTTTTCAAACTGATTTTTTCCGGTTCTATAGTCAAGTTAACGTTCAGTTGTTATTAGGTTTCCCTGTAGGTTCAGGGCTATTTGGTTTTCTATGGTCTCTGTTCACAAGTACCTTAAAATATATTTTAAAAGATAATGGGAGGCACCTATATAAAACATTAGGCAATATTAGTTCAATACATAACCAAGTGCCTAATTGTAAATTATAGACTATCTGTGTTCACTAAGAGAGGACTATTAGTGCAAGTGAGGGGCAATCAGGAAATGTTTTATAAAATATGGTGGATGTTGTAGCTTGAAGGAAGACTAGAATTGGTTGAAGAAAGACTGAAATTGGTTAAGAGGAGTCAAGGAAAATACAAGTAACAGATTCAAAATAGAATTTGTGCTGGAAGAGTAAGAAAACTAAACTCAAGGCCGGGTGTGGGTGGCTCATGCCTGTAATCCCAGTACTTTGGGAGGGCCGAGGCAGGCGGATTATGAGGTCAGGAGTTTGAGATTAGCCTGGCCAACATGGTGAAACCCCGTCTCTACTAAAAGTACAAAAATTAGCTGGGTGTGGTGGCGCGTGCCTGTAGTCCCAGCTACTGGGGAGGGTGAGGCACAAGAATCGCTTGAAGCTGGGAGGCGGAGCTTGCAGTGAGCCGAGATTGTGCCACTGCACTCCAGCCTGGCGACAGAGCGAGACTCCGTCTTAAAAAAAAAAAAAAAAAAAAGAAATCTAAACTCAATAGGATGGTCATAAAGGCGAAACCTTGGGAAAATTATGCACAAAAAGCTGAATGGTTCATTGAAGAGTTCAAACTCACTTAGAAGAGCAAAAGAGTTGATTAGAGACAAGAATGCAGGGACATCGGGGGCCAAGACTGCATGGTATATACTGTCTAAATGAAAAAATAAACAAGAAGCATAGACATCAAATACTGTTCACTGGAAAAGTTAATTTAGGAGAACCAGCAAGAAAATATAGAAAGATTATATGGCAAATCCAGGAAATGTTTTTGTTGTTGTTAGCAATACAGATATTGTTGTTAGCAATACTGATATCATTATTGTTAGCAATAATGATATTTTTCTCCAAATTTCTACCTTTTACTTAATCTTCCACGGTAGGTCTAAGTGGTTGCCCCACCTCTCCTAACTCCACCCCCACCACAGGTGCACAATCTCACTGGAAGCAGTGGCGTGCTGGAGTGGGCTCGCAGTACCATTAGGGTTGACTCTGTGCATCTCTTCCCAGCTGCATGTAAGTGGCTATAACAGGATTATTTACAACATGAAAACTGGAAAATGCTACAAATCAAGAGTTTTGGGGGAGTAGAGGGAAACAGTTTTGTAAACATCGATTAACACATCACTGTGCACAACTATGTATTTTACCGTATTCTTTTCAATTTTTTCTTAGTTACAGTCAGTTTTGCTTCTCAGCTTCTTAGTTTTTATGAACCAATCAGAAAAACGGCTATAGAATACTTATACTGCTTAAGGCTAGTAGGCTAGAAAACATGAACATGAAAGCTCATAATCTATTCTAGTTAGTGCAATGTAATGTCCACAAACTATGAAATCTGATGGAGTTACTCTCATAAAAATGTTTTCTAAATGTCTAGTTTTTCCAATATTCCCTGATGGATACACTACAGGAAGAAAAGAAATCAAGGCTGACTTCTATGATAAATCCCTGGTGCTAGAACGGATATCCTGCAAGAAGCAATCATCAAATACCAGGTAACAAGACATCTTTAACAAGAATTCCTGTTTCAGGTGAATTTACACAGTGGGCAAATCATCCAGATTTTAGGACTTGGGATAAGAGCAACAATCTTCAGACAAATCTCTGCAAATTGCTCTTCATAAATTGCTTTCACAATAACTTTAATAAATCTGAGATTCTGATGTATCCAGCTAGGAGATCACTGAATCGTTTTCTAAACATATGGTGACACTGTGACTGACAGCAGGGTATCATTAAAGAAACAACAGCTTGAATAAAGGAAGAAACTTGAGCTCCCAGACTTGCCAGGGAACTTACTTCCATATAGATTGGAGGTGACACCTACAAAGTTATTGCCCATTTTTTTCTGTGCCACTTCAGAAGTAATAGCATCTAAGATGATAGGCATGTCATTCGTTCATTCACTCAACATAAGAAATTCAGTAGGGCAGGAGATGTTGTTAGGGGCAAAATTAATTACCAAACTGCATGTAATTTAAAAAAGGAAATTAGTATGTTTTCTTAGGAAAATAGGAAAGTCTTAAAATGTTTTCTTTATTTATTTAATATGACATACAGGAGTAAAGAAATGACATTTTATTTTAGGAGGAACTAGAATGTAAAAGGAACAGTATGTGTATATTTCAACAATAGGCTTAGGCTTCATATTTTAGTAAATTAATATATTTGGAAAAATGCAGATCCCTGATGGGAACTAAATAGGTCCCCTAGACTTACAATAATATGTGCAAACTCATAAGAATTAGCTTACCAGGAACAGAAAATTAGAAATTTATCAAGGCAAGAGCAAACTGCCCGTCTGCCAAAGATTGCATCATTGCAGATGATTATGTGAGGTGGTGTTTTAACATGGGAATTCATCCCACTTTTTGTTTCATTGTTTGCCTCTTAACAGAAACAAATATTTGGAAAGTTTTCCTGCCCTACTTTTTCTTACTAAGTGGGTGAGTGTCCCTACCCTTTTCTGCACACCCATGACACAGAGAGAGGAAGAGGCTTAAAGCCACATTGAAGATGTGCAGCACTTACCTATGGTGTTCCAGGCTCAGAGCCCAAAGTGGAGCTGTTTGAAAAATCATTACCCTTCTATTTATCTAAGGAGTCCACCAGAGTATATTTGTTTAAAAGAATGCCCTATTTAAAATCTCTGCCTGCCATTTTTAATTTCTATTTATGGTCTGGTATCTCATAGCATATTAAGCTACTGTGTTAGCGAAACAAATAAAAGAGAAGGTGCTTCTTTAAAAGACAATACATTATCTTAGCTCTTTATGTTGTATTCCTTTTGTATATTCTACTACAGGAAGAGACTGTATTTCTCAGCTGCTTCAAAGTCTCCAAGTTATCTTTATTTTGTTTCTCAATACATTTAAAAATGTAGTTAACTGAGATCTTTAAAGAGTTTCACCCACTGTGCATACCTTACTGAAGGTGTTGGATAAGCAATGGTGAAGACATGAGACATAATGTCAATGGTGATGATGATTCTGGTAGTCAGATTTTCAAAGTGCCAAAAATTTGGATTAATCCCATAGCAGTATTAAAATCACCATAGTCAATATTTTCTTCCTTTGACATACATATTATAAAATAGTTTATTATTCTCGCTTGCCAACTGCATTCTATAGCAGAAAGCACAACAAATTGTGAAGAACTCATTATAGTTTGAATTGGGCAAACCTGAGTCAGATTACTGGCAGTTTTATTAACTACTTGTGTTACTCAGACAAGTTCCTTAATTTCTCCAGGCCTTAGTGGCCTCTTCCATAAAATAAGAAAGGCAACAATTATAGTTAAAGGTGTTAAATGAGACAACATACATAAACTGCTTAGCATACTGTAGTAATTAATGCATTTTTTCTTCCCTCTAAATTTGGAAGAAAAAATATGGACTTACTACAAATTTATTTTCAGGCTCTTTTAAGATATAAAGGACTAAAGAATATGTTTTCAGTAGAAATATTTTCTTTAACATTCATTCATTATAAAAGTTTAATTTCCCTTAATGTTTATATTTTCTGAAGTTATCACTAATTTAATATATTCTACTATAAGGAAAGAATAATTATCCTATTTATTTTGTTGGTATATATTATTATACCTTGAAATCTTTCCATTCTTTTTGTTGTTCCTTTTTCAAATATTCATTTTTGACATCCTCCTACAAAGGAACACAAGATTAGATTGAATAAATGAGCACTTTTTCCGATTATTTAGTATTCTATACCATGATTTTTGCCACTAAATTTATAATAAAAGCAAGCCTTGACATGTTTAATTTTGGGCAGCTGGAAAATAATAGCAGAGGCATTGGATAGGCACATGGTAAAAAGAAATAGGGTAAGTTATTGGAACAATCCAAAAATGTAAAGAATAAAGTGAGACTTTCAGAAAAACAGGATAAAAAATAGTTGTATTGGTACTTATAGTAACAAATCATCATATATAAAGAATTTAGCTTTGTTTATATAAAGCAAGGCACACCCATACCCTCCCCACTCCAAGTACATACAAGTCTTCCCAGGCATTCTTGCATCTTAATAACACTACCATTTTATAAAATGTAAACAAGTAAAAAACAGAGGGGTGAGATATTTTTAAGATTTGTTCCCCATTTTAAAATTAAAGATTTGACCAACATTATCTCTATACTGCTATGTGACACTAAGATCATTATTCCATTTCTTCTGTGTATATCATCCTTTTTGTTTTACCGTTTTAAAATTCAAATTGCAAACATGAATGAATATAAATCTACATACAAGTTGAATAAATGTGTCTATACTATGCATATAAAAATTAAAAACCCACAACTTTCTTACCAATAATCTAACACAGAGCTTTAGTTATCAAATGTAAAAGGGCATTTTTATATTTTAGAAGGATGTGATTATGCTTCTACTGCATTTTACATATTTTAGAAGGACTTTATTAAATATATGAATATAAAAACATATTTCTTAAGCAGAAAAAGGGGTACACTACTTAACATTCCAACTATTCATATAAAAACCTGTAATAGTACCTTATGGCCTATTGATGATCAAAATAATTCAAATGATAGTGAATCTGGTTTCATACATTGTCACATATAATACAAATATAAAAGGCATATAATGTACAACAGCTTATTTCTCTTCTGGAATATGGTCTGTTACTTAACATAGTAAGCTTTCAGCTCAACATGACAATAACTTGTCACAGTTAATTTTTTAAAAATCAAATAAACCAATTAATAGAGGGTAAGCAACATGGACTATTCATTTCAAGAAAATATGAATGAATTCAAACAATACTAAGCATAATTTAAATATTAGCTAATTCTACAGACACATAAGTATCTTCCTGTGTTCACAACTTACATGTTTTCTAAGTGTTCAAAAAATACCAGTTTACAATAATTCCTGTATGATAAATACTATATGAAATCACTTTTGTTTTTTCTCAGAGACTCGTCATAGTTTGGCATTTTCTTTTAAACTCATGTCTGTAATAACTCTCAATGTGAAGGAAACTTTAGGATTAATTATAGTGGATATAGCTTTTCTGACATTATTATTCCTCAAACAAGGACAATTTACTGGATAGCTTCACACTGTAGAATAACTAATGACCCCATCTCTTTTTGGCACTCCAAATTAAACATCTTTCAATGAAAACAGAAAACAGATGTTCAACATTAGCAGATGTCCAGGGTGACACACTAAACATATGCAGGGAGTGGAAATCCTAGCTCCACTCACATGTGTGAGAAATGCTGACCAGTGCATGGAGGATTTCCAAGCACCATCACTTGGTTTTGTAAGAATAGAATTTCATTCATGTATTAGATAATGAGATCCTCCCACTTTCCAAAGTCTATACTGTGCCAAATCTGTTTTTTTCAACAAAGTGTAATGATCTACTAGAAATTTTAAACCATAATTAGTTTTCTTATTTTTATATTATTTCTACATAAAAGAACAAAATAAGCAAAGAACTATAATATGCAAAAATAATTTATCTGCACTATCAAAATAAATTCTTAAATGTATCTATTTTCCTTAAATTCCAAGTGGCTTCCACCATTATTCACTTTAAGCCTACTCAAATGCCATCTTCTCAGTGTAGACTTCCCTTGTTCAATTCAGGCAGAATCTCTGAATTGAACTATCTGTTTTTCTCCCCACTAGAAGCTTTGTGAAGGCAATGAGTCATCTGATTTATCATTCTATTTCCAGTGCCTAGAATAGAGGAGGTAGTAGATACTCAAAAAATTATTTGTTGATTAATTAGAAAAAGATATAGTCATTTTTTCCTCCTCCCTTTCTCTATTTCTTTATTTTAGGGGTTTGTGGGAGGTAATTCCTCACCAATCAGTGCCACAGTACCCTGCATTTGATAGACAAGGAATAAAAATAATTATCTAAATCAAGGTGCTACCCTAACTAGCCCCTTTATAAATGATGTTTCAGCCAATATTATTTTTAGTTAAAGCATAAGTACATACAATAAAATGTATTTTTCTTACATTTTCTGTTAGATCAGTTTTGACTACTGTATACACATGTGTTACCTTCACCAAAAACAAGATAAAGAACCTCTCCATCCCCCTGAAAGGTTAACCTATAACCTTTTTCAGTCAAACCTCTCTTCACAGTGTCAACTACTTTTGGACTTCTATCACCACAGTTTAGTATTGACTATCTTACTAAAAGAAATCATACAATATATCCTTTAGGTGTTTCCAGTTTTATTCTCTTTGAATAATGTCTCCAAGATTTTTCCATGTTCTTACATGTACCAGTTTGTTACTTTTTACTAGTATTCCAGTATCCTAATGAACTTCACTTTGTCGATTCATTTTCCTGTTGATGAATATTTGTGCCTTTCAATTATTTTATTATTAAGACTTAGACTGCTATGAACATTCTTGTAAAAATCTTTTGTGTTTCTTTTTGACTCTTCTGTTAAATATTTAGGAATGGAGATGCTGAGTCACAGGGTAGATGTAGGTCTAACTTTAAAGGAAATAGTCAAAGATTTCTCCAAACTTGTGTAATTTGATACTAACATCAGCAAGGTATAGCAGTTCCAATTGCTCCTCACCTCACCGTGTCACATGCCAACTCATGACACCAAAGTTATAGTTGCCTATGTTTAGTTCTAGAATCTTTATGGGTCTGCACTTTATGTGCAATGTGTCTGATCTGTCTTGAATTACTATTTTTTTCATAAAGTGAAGCTAATGATTATGGTTCATTTTTTCCCACACGAAAATATTTATTTGTATTTTACTTTTATCATATTTAAATTTCAGCCATACCTGAAAATATGAAATAATATCTAACTGTGGTTTTAAATCAAATTTTCCTAATAATTAATGTCGAACACTACCTTATGTGTTTCCTGGACATGACCATATCTTCTTCTGCAAAGTGTCAGTCAAGTCTTTTGCCCATTTTATAACTGGGTATTTTTCTTACTACTGTTGATAGGCAGTAGTACTTTACACATTCTGCATACACATCCTTATTCATATTTATGTACTGTGAACATTTTCTCAGTCTAAGATCTTGCTGTTGATTATATTAATCCTGTCTTCTTAATAGTAGATATTGATAATATTGATGAAGCCCACATTATAATTTTAGAAAATTTTATATCAGTGACTTTTTTTGTACTGCCTAAGACATAATTCCCCACACCAAATTCATAAATATATTCTCCTATGTTTTATTCTAGAATCTTTATGTTTCTGGGATTTATGCTTAAATGTTCGATCTGTCTTGAATTTTTCTTCTTTTTTGTATAAAGATAGAGGTTTAAGCTCATTTATTTCCCATAGAAATATTTTGTTATAAAGATTATCCTTTCCTCTTTGAATTGACTGGAGTCTTGTAAAAATTTATCAACAACACATGCAAGTCTATTGCTGAACTATATTTGTTCCATATTGCTACTTGTCTCTGTGTATGTCAATATGAAATTTTGTTGATCATCGCAACTTTATTGTAAGTCTTGAAATAAAGGGCGAATCCTCCAGTTTTGTTCTTTTTCAATATCTATTTGATTATTATACATCTTTAGTCTTTTTGCTTGAATTTTAAAACAGCTTGATGGTCTCTTCAAAATAAACATTGAGAGAGATTCCTTTGTGTTTATAAATAAACTTGGAAGAATGAACATCTTAAACATATTAAGTCTGTTAATCCATGAACACAGTGTATCTTTCATTTATTTCAGTGCCTTTAAGTTCGTGTAGTAATGTTTTCTAGTTGTCAGCATAGCAATTATATACCTTTCCTTTATATTTATTGTGAAGTTTTGCACATATTGTTTTAGATTTAATCCTAAATGTTTTATTTTCTGATACTACTCTAAATGTTATCTTATTTTTTCCCAATTGTTCTCTGCTATTACATCAAAATACAACTGCTTTTTGTACATGGATCTCATAGTATCATTTGAGTAGGGTATTCTACATATACAATTGTGTTGTCTGGAAACAGGCAGTTTTACTTCTTCCTTTCCAAAATTTATGTTTTTAATTTATTTTTTCTTGTCTTTTGTGCTGTATTGGCTTCCAGTGCAATGTTGAATAGAAATGGTAACAGTCTTGCCTTCTCTTAGGTGAAATGAATTTCAACATTAAGTGTAATGTTAGGTTAAACCTTCTACTAATCAATTTATTGGATTGAAAAGTTCCTTTCACTTCTGAGTTTCCTGAGAGTTTTTGTCTAAAGACTTGTTATTTTTTCTTGCATCTACTGAGATGTTCATATGGCTTTTCTCTTGTATTCTGTTAGTGTAGTGAATTATATTGATTGTTTTGAATGTTACACCAACCTTGTACTTCTGAAAAAATGATACATGTTTATTATATATCATCCTTTTTATACCTGGCTATATTTGACTTGCTAATATCTTGTTAAATGTTTTTATGTATGTTCAAGAGGGACATTTCTAATTTTCTTTTCTTGTACTGCCATTGTTAGGTATGAATAAGGGTAACGCTAACTTCATAAGGTATGCGATATATCCCCATACACTATATTTTCTGAAAGAGTGTACATTACTGGTATTATGTCTTCTTTAAATATGTGATGAAATTCATTAGTGAAGCCATCTGGGCCTGTAGTTTACATTGTGGGAAAGTATTTTTTTTTATTATTACAAGTTTAATTTCTATAATAGATGTAGTATCACTTAGGTTTTTTTGTTCTTCTGGCTTTGAGTGTAATTAGCTCTTTTTTTAAAATAACTTTTTTTTATTATACTTTAAGTTCTGGAATACATGTGCAGAATGTGTAGGTTTGTTACATAGGTATACACGTGCCATGGTGGTTTGCTGCACCCATCAACCTGTCATCTACATTAGGTATTTCTACTAATGCTATCCCTCCCCTAGCCCCCCACCCCCAGACAGGCCCCGGTGTGTGATGTGCCCCTCCCTGTGTCCATGTGTTCTTATTGTTCAAGTCCCACTATGACGGAGAACATGCGGTGTTTGGTTTTCTGTTCCCGTGTTAGTTTGCTGAGAATGATGGTTTCCAGCTTCATCCATGTCCCTGCAAAGGACATGAGCTCATCCTTTTTATGGCTGCATAGTATTCCATGGTGCATATGTGCCACATTTTCTTTATCCAGTTTATCATTGATGAGCATTTGGGTTGGTTCCAAGTCTTTGCTATTGTGAATAGTGCTGCAATAAACATACATGTGTATGCGTCTTTACAGTAGAATAATTTATAATCCTTTAGGTATATACCCAGTAATGGGATTGCTGGGTCAAATGGTATTTCTGGTTTTAGATCCTTGAAGAATTGCCACACTGTCTTCCACAATGGTTGAACTAATTTACACTCCCACCAACAGTGTAAAGGTGTTCCTATTTCTCCACATCCTCTCCATCATCTGTTGTTTCCTGACTTTTTAATGATCATCATTCTAACTGGTGTGAGATGGTATCTCATTGTGGTTTTGATTTGAATTTCTCTGTTGACCAATGATGATGAGCTTTTTTCATATGGTTGTTGGCTGTGGTGTGCTGTATTCAGGAGACCCATCTCACGGGCAAAGACAAACATCGGCTCAAAATAAAGGGATGGAGGAATATTTACCAAGCAAATGGAAAGCAAAAAAAAAAAAAAAGAGAGAGAGAGAAAAAAAAGAAAGCAGGGGTTGCAATCCTAGTCTCTGATAAAACAGACTTTAAACAAACAAAGACCAAAAAAGACAAAGGACATTACATAATGGTAAAGGGATCAATGCAACAGAAGAGCTAACTATCCACCCATACAGGAGAACCCAGATTCATAAAGCAAGTTCTTAGAGACTTACAAAGAGATTTAGACTCCCACACAATAATAGTGGGAGACTTTAACATCCCATTGTCAATATTAGAAAGATCAACAAGACAGAAAATTAACAAGGATATTCAGGACTTGAACTCAATTCCAGACCAAGCAGACCTAATAGACCTCTACAGAACTCTCCACACCAAATCAATAGAATATACATTCTTCTCAGCACCACATTGCACTTATTCTAAAATTGATCGCATAACTGGAAGTAAAACACTCCTCAGCAAATGCAAAAGAACAGAAATCATAACAAACAGTCTCGCAGACCACAGTGCAATCAAATTAGAACTCAGGATTAAGAAACTAACTCAAGGCTGGGCACGGTGGTTCACACCTGTAATCCCAGCACTTTGGGAGGCTGAGGCAGGTGGATCACGAGGTCAGGAGATCAAGACCATCCTGGCTAACATGGTGAAACCCCATCTCTACTAAAAATACAAAAAATTAGCCAGGTGTGGTGGCGGGTGCCTGTAGTCCCAGCTACTCGGGAGGCTAAGGCAGAAGAATGGCCTGAACCCAGGAGGCGGAGCTTGCAGTGAGCCCAGATCGCAGCACTGCACTCCAGCCTGGGTGACAGAGCGAGACTCCACCTCAAAAAAAAAAAAAAAAGAAACTCACTCAAAAACTACATAGAAACTGAACAACCTGCTTCTGAGTGACTACTGGGTAAATAACGAACTTAAGGCAGAAATAAATAAGTTCTGTGAAACCAATGAGAACGTGCTTGCTTCAGTAGCACATATACTAAAATTGAAACCAATGAGAACAAAGACACAATGTACCAGAATCTCTGGGACACAGCTAAAGCAGTGTTTAGAGGGAAACTTACAGCACTAAAATGCCCACAGGAGAAAGCAGGAAAGATCTAAAATTGATACCCTAACATCACAATTAAAAGAATGAGAGAAGCAAGGAAAAACAAATTCAAAAGCTAGCAGAAGACAAGAAATAACTAAGATCAGGGCAGAACTGAAAGAAATAGAGACATGAAAAACCCTTCAAAAAATCAATGAATCTAGGAGTTGGTTTTTTGAAAAGATTAACAAAATAGATAGACTGCTAGCCAGACTAATAAATAAGAAAGGAGAGTAGAATCAAATAGCCACAATAAAAGATGATAAAGGGGATATCACCACTGATCCCACAGAAATAAAAACTACCATCAGAGAATACTTTAAACACCTCCACGCAAATAAACTAGAAAATCTAGAAGAAATGGATAAATTCCTGGAAACATATACCCTCCCAAGACTAAACCAGGAAGAAGTTGAATCCCTGAATAGACCAATAACAAGTTCTGATATTGAGGCAGTAATTAATAGCCTAACAACCAAAAAAATAAAGCCCAGAACCAGATAGATTCACAGCCAAATTCTACCAGAGGTACAAAGAGGAGCTGGTATCATTCCTTCTAAAACTATTCCAAACAACAGAAAAAGAGGGACTCCTCCCTAACTCATTTTATGAGGCCAGCATCATCCTGATACCAAAACCTGGCAGAGACACAACAAAAAAAGAAAATTTCAAGCCAATATTCCTGATGAACATCAGTGCGAAAATCCTCAATAAAATACTGGCAAAGCAAATCCAGCAACACATCAAAAAACTTATCCACCACCATCAAGTTGGCTTCATCCCTGGGATGCAACGCTGGTTCAACATATGCAAATCAATAAATATAATCCTTTACATAAACAGAACCAATGACAAAAACGACATGATTGTCTCAATAGATGCAGAAAAGGCCTTCGATAAAATTCAACACCGCTTCATGCTAAAAACTCTGAATAAACTAGGTATTGATGGAACGTATCTGAAAATAATAAGAACTATTTATGACAAACCCACAACCAATATCATACTGAATGGGCAAAAGCTGGAAGCATTCTCTTTAACAACTGGCACAAGACAAGGATGTCCTCTGTCACCACTCCTATTCAACATAGTATTGGAAGTTCCGGCCAGGGCAATCAGGCAAGAGAAAGAAATAAAGGGTATTCAAATAGGAAGAGAGGAAGTCAAATTGTCTCTGTTTTCAGATGACATGATTGTATATTTAGAAAACCCCATCATCTCAGCCCAAAATCTCCTTAAGCTGATAAGCAACTTCAGCAAACTCTTAGGATACAAAATCAATGTGCAAAAATCACAAACCTTCCTATACACAAATAATAGCCAAACAGAGAGCCAAATCATGAGTGAACTCCCATTCACAATTGCTACAAAGAGAATAAAATACCTAGGAATACAACTTATAAGGGATGTGAAGGACCTCTTCAAGGAGAACTATAAACCACTGCTCAAGGAAATAAGAGAGGACACAAACAAATGGAAAATCATTCCACGCTCATGGATAGAATAATCAATATCGTAAAAATGGCCAGTAATTTATAGGTTAAATGCTATCCCTATCAAGCTACCATTGACTTTCTTCACAGAATGAGAAAAAAACTACTTTAAATTTCATATGGAACCAAAAAAGAGCCCATATAGCCAAGACAATCCTAAGCAAAAAGAACAAAGCTGGATGCATCACACTACCTGACTTCACACTATAATACAAGGCTACAGTAACCAAAACAGCATGATACTGTACCAAAACAGATCTAGAGACCAATGGAACAGAACAGAGGCCTCAGAAATAATGCCACCTCATCTTTGACAAACCTGACAAAAACAAGCAATGGGGAAAGGATTCCCTATGTAATAAACGGTGTTGGGAACACTGGCTAGCCATATGCAGAAAAGTGAAACTGGACCCCTTCCTTACAAATATATTACCCTGTTGTTCTACAGGTTAGAAGTTCAACAGAAGCCTCACTGAGCTAAAATCAAGGTGTGGGCAAGGTTGCATTCCGTCTTGGAGGCTAGAAGGAAAAATTTTTTTCCCTGATTTTTTCATATTCTAGGGGTCACTCATGTTCATTAGCTGTGGCTCCCTTTCTCCATCTTCAAAGCCTCATCTTTATTCCATAGATCCATCTCTTTCTGACCACAGACAGAAAATGTTCTCTACTTTTAGGGATCCATATGGGCCCACCTGGATACCTCTCCATATCAAAGTCCATAACTGGAATCACATTGGCAAAGTCTCTTTTACCATATTAGATAACAAATTTACAGGTTCTGGGGATCAAGGCATAAACATCTTTGGGGATCATTATTCTCCTGACCACATATATCTTTTAGACTTTACTTATTCTGTTAGGCTATATTTTCATATACAATTTTTCAATTTATTTTTTCATGGATTACTTGTCAACATGGTTTAAAAACTGAAATTTATTATGAGGTAATTAATAAAAATCTCTTCTCTTTGGTCTTTTAACCCTATTTTAGTTCGTTTCTATATCTCCAAGTTAACTGTTATTCTTATTTCTTGTTGAACTTATAGAATTTATTTTCCAAATTTCTTTATGCCCGCATAGACAAATACAAATATACATTCTTATTCTCATCAGTGTCATTCCACTAACAATTGCATATTACGTGTACTGCTTTGCTTCTTGACTTTTCACTTAACTCCCACTTACACTCTATAATAATATAATAATTATATAATATCTAGGTAATCTCTTCATATCAATCCTTGAATGGAGATATCATAGTTTATTTAATCAGACTTTGTTGATGGACATTTGGACAGTTAAATCCTCTACTCATACAAATCCTGCTGCAATGAAAAGCATATCACACACATCATTTCATAGGTGTTCCAGTGTGTGGGTGAATTCTCAAAAATGAAAATTCCAGAATTGGGAAATGTGCCGACAGATATGCTCCTGTTTAGTGTTCATAATATTACCATAATGCCTTCCGTAGGGATTAAGAACCTGTGTCTTGAAATATCAAATGTATACATTTTTCTATTGACTCACCCTACAATGGATTAGAATTTAAGACATTTACATACTCCCCACTTCTCCTTTGCTACCCACAATTTTTTGTGATATTATTAACATTAATTCTTCTATTGGTTAATTTCTTAACTTTGTATTATATATCTACTGAAACTTCTAGGTATTTTTTCTTTCCAATTATCTCAAATTCACTGAAAAGATATGCTAACAGAACATTTTTTTCTTGAAACATTTGAGAGTAAGTTTCTCACATGATACCTCATCATTCCCAAATGCTTTAGTATTTCCGACAAGTGACATTCTCCTACATACACTCAGCACAAGTGTCAAAATCAGAAAATTAACTGATATCATTTAATTCTTAGATCCCAATTGAATTTTGCCAATTGCCCCAATACTGTGATTTATAAGTAAAGGATCCAATTCAGAATCAAGTGCTGCATCTTGTTCTCATGTCTCTTAAATTCCTTTAATCTGGAACTGTTCTATACAGTCCTTCCTTGACTTTCATGAGTTTGATGTTTTTGAGAATTACAGCACAGTTATTTTGTAGAATATTCTTTATTTTAGGATAGTTCGATATTTCCTGGTCATCAGACTTGGGTTACACATCTTTGACAGAAATATAACTGAAGTGATTTGATTCTGAGTTCTCATTGCATAGTGTCAAGAGTTAGTGGAATTTCAATTTATCCCATTCTTAGTGATGCTAGCTTTGATAAATTGGTGAAGAAGATTTCTGCCAGGCTTCTCCACTGTAATGCTGCTTTCATCTCCTTGGAATGAGTACATAGTTCATGGGGAGTTACTTTGAAATTATGTAAATATCCCATTTATCTTCAAATGTTCCATTTATTCATTCATTTATTTATGAGTTTGGAATAATGTGTTTTAATTTTATCCAAAGGATTATAATTCAAAATTATTTATTTTGGTGCTCAACTAGAGGTGTCTAGAATAAAACCTTCCAGCTGGTTTATGTGTCCTGTTGACATATTCCCATCATTTGTTGAGTATTTCCTTACTTTTTGGAACATGAAAATACTTCATGTTTTATTTTCCCTGCCCCGGAACTTGAATCAGCCATTACTTCGGGAAGCCCCAGTTCTTCATAGTAGAGAATGTTATTCAGAATCCAAGAGGTGGTTTACTAGGTGTGCTGTCGCTGCTGTGGAGGGCCACTAACCCCAAGCCCTCTTAATGGGTAGAAAGAGTACACAGCATGTCCACACATATCCAGCAATACTGATAAGTCCAATGCATTACTACAGGGTTCATTCTGGCTTTCTTTTACTTCCTTACTTTTATTCTTTTCTATATAACTCATTTCTCTAATAATGAGTAACCTGGCTCAAGTTATTTCTAATATACTCAGTTATTTGATTAATCTTCCTGTATGTAACCAATTTGCTATCACTGTTACTGCTCCTTCCCTATGCAGAGTACCTCCTAAACAAACTCAAGCTTGGGCACCCACATTATGCTTAAACCACACTATGGACTCACCGTCCTCACCAGGCTTGAATATTTACAACCCACTCCTGGCGATCCCCCTTCAGACAACCTTCTCACTCCATCAGGTTTGATATCCTGCATAAGCCCCCTTCCCAGTAGTTGCACTTTCCCACCCTGTAGCTATGCAGACTCCCTGCTTACACTACACAGACTCCATAACTGCGCAGAACTTCTGCACACTCGTGCGTGGACAGGTCTTCTGCCTTTTTCGCGCTGCAACCACCTCAAACTGCTCAGCTTGAACACCCAGTACCAGCCCCTCCACCTCCCCGCCCAATCCCGCTCCCTGCCCAGCAGACCCCCTCTCCCTTACTCTGTGCATGTTCGGACACTCCAGGTCTCTGTCTGGCTGCCACTCTGCCAACACCTGTGCCAAGAAGCCTTCCCAGGTGATGCCACCTCGTCGTGCATGGGCCTCCACATCCTGCCCTGAAGTCCATCAAGGCACCCTTCCTTGCTTGCAAACCCTCTCCCCTCGTGACCTTAAGACTGAATCACACAGCGAAGGAAGAAAAGGTAGGAAACCAAAGAGTAAGCACTCCTACACTTTTTTTGTTGTTGTTGCATATGTATACATACATATTTATATATACATATTTATGTATATATGTATATATTTGTATATATGTATATATTTGTATATACATATATGTATGCATATATTTGTATATACATATATGCGTACATTTGTATATACATATATGCATACATTTGTATACACATATGCATATTTGTATACACACATATGCATATATTTGTATACACACATATGTATATATTTGTATACACACATATAAGTATATATTTGTATACACACATATGTGTATATATATATGTATATACACATATATATATTTCCAACGCATTCCATATATATATGTATATACACATATATATGGCTGAAAGAAAGCTAATCATGAAAAAAAATCAACTGAGACTTTATAACAGAGCTATTTACATTTTAGGTCTTACGGCACTTATCTAACAATTCCAATTCCTTTGTTAATACATGTAAACAATTTAAATGGGATTGACTCAGAGAAATAAATCTTATGTATATTTGTGATGGCTCTATATTATTTTGATGACTTACTTATTTTGTCATTTCTTACATTTTATTTCCAGTGGAGAAAATATTTTTGTTTTATAAAGATAAAATAAGACAAATTTTGATAGATGTAAAGATATATAGTGAATCATTAGAAAAGCTTGGACACAAATAAATTAGTTGCTTGCCAACTCAATGATAAAGCACATTTTACCCCTGAAAACTTGAAGAAAAGGTCTATTTTCCATCTACTGCAATCTTACACAATTTAGAAGGAATTATGTCATATCTGCTCAACATGACAATCTGTTCGACTGGGAACCTATTTGGGATAAAACATAATTGTTTTTCATTTTTCTCCACATTTGAAATTAAACATTATATATATTTCATAATAATTATTATAATAAATATAACAGTCATTAATTTAGAAAGTTTTTAAAACTAGAATTCCTAAATTTCTCTATTTCTCTTTGTTTCTTCTTATCATGTTTTTATTTTATTTTTTTGGAGGGGGACAGAGTCTTGCTCTTTCGCCCAGGCTGGAGTGTAGTGGCGCGATCTCGGCTCACTGCAACCTCTGCCTCTGGGGTTCAGGCAATTCTCCTGCCTCAGCCTCCTGAGTAGCTGGGACTACAGGCGCATGCCACCACACCAGGCTAATTTTTGTATTTTTAGTAGAGACGGGGTTTCACCATGTTGGCACGGATGGTCTCAATCTCCTGACCTGATCCACCCACCTCGGCCTCCCAAAGTGCTGGGATTACAGTGTTTCTTCTTACTCCTGTGTTCATTACTCTCTCTTTCACTCTTCTCACAATTCCTTTCTCTTCTATTCTTTTCTTAATTTATATATCAAGAGAATATATAAAGCCTAGTGTCAAATTATTTGCAACAACTATAATGGGAATTCAAATTTAAGAAGCAAATCTTTCTTAAAATTTAGTATAATATGGAAATTATTAAGTATTACCTGACTAGTTTTGTGCACATTACCCACTAGCAGAATCATCAGGTGTGATTCCTGTTGCCATCTCTCCAGACTACAGAGCATGTTATCTTTTATAACTGATACAATGAGATAAATTTTTGTGATTATTATTTTACCATCACTTCCTTGTTGCCTATTTCAAATGTTGTTGAGCCTGAGGAGTTTCTGAGGTTGATAATCCACTGCTTTTTTGCATCTATCTGCTACTTTGAATTGTCATTTGATTGGTTCTTGGGCTTTAGTTATCATACTTAATAATTTAATTAAAGGAATTATTTATTTCCCAATATATGTCAGATACCACAAAGAGATAAATGTGTTTTTTTATCTATGAGAAATTCTCAGGTGAGCTAAAGACAAATATCTTGTTTAAAACCAGATCAATTACACTAAAAGTAGGTATTTCATGTTTTAATGTTGAATACTGATGTTTTCCCATACAGTTCAATAAAAGTTATGCATTATATGACTTCTATTAGAAATAATGGGCTAAGATCTATAACAAAACAAACTCCAGTAATGTTTATTTCCTGCTAATGTCAGACCATTGTAGGTTGGCAGGGATATTCCTGCTTTGAATAGGTATTTAAGGGCCCCTTTTTAAAATAGCCATTCATGGATCCACGTTCTTTTTGTCTAACATCTCCTTTATTTCAGAGGCCTCCTCCAGATCCTCTGCCTCCAGGCTTAAACAAAGGAAGAAGCAGAATGAATGATCATAAGTAAGGAATCTGGAAACCGCAAGGAAATCCAGAAAATGAAATTAGCAGTTTGTTCAGAAGAAAAGGAAAAAGATTTAAATGAGCAAGTAGCTAGTTTGTGTCACACTGTTGTTTCTATGTCTCTGTCAACTGCAATAATAGTTTACAGTTGATCATATAAAAGTAGAGATGAATAAATTTTTGCAAAGTTCATGTTAAACAATGGGTTGTTTTTACAAAATAAAACAAAAGCCATTAAAAAAATGGATAAATTCTAATCAACATTGATATTTTAAAGTAACAAATGTCTTTTTTTGGCAGATGACATGTTGTAATAGCTTTGTTCAAATTTTGTTATACGAAGTTCTTTACATAAGGCATTTTCATACAACATGCTTTTTCTCAAATTCTTATTTAACATACTATTTCTCCAATTCTTATTTAAATAACCCTAGAGGAACTATGAAATAATCTAGAGCTGAAGATATTGATTCTACTCTTAGGTAGCAAATGTTAGTTAAATAATTTTATTCCTATTTAAAGTGGTTCAGTCATCACCTATGATTCCAAGTCTATCACAAAATATGGTCTCTGAAAAACATGAGGCACCTGGAGGAAAATAAATAAAACAGTAATTGCATATGCACTTTTTAAAATTTACAGTAATTGGTGAGTGAAATATAATAACAGAAGGATAGATTCTGATCATCTAAACATAGCATTCATGTTCCAACAAAGCTGTTGCACTGTCTGACAGATTAAAAAGTTGTAAATAATAATAAAATTGTATTGTACTATTTCTTTGATTTTATAAAGAAGCTCATTCAGAGTATAGTTAATGAATAAGACAGACAAAAAGGCATAGAGAGACACAGAGACAAAAAAGAGACAGAGAAGTTACTTAACAAAATACAGTAGAATCTTTTGTTCAGCAAAAGCAAAACACCAAGTAGCTTTTAAAATAATTACTCTAACCTGAAACAAGATACATGACTTTTAACCCTGGTATTTGTACAGAAGAAAAATTTGGGAAAATATAATATTTGAAACCAAATCTTAGATATAACTTACTCTAGCACTATAGTATTTGAATTCCCTCTATAATAGTCCTGACATATGGCATTCCAGTACCAGCTTGAACACTTCCAAACGATAGGGTGTTACTACTTCACAGGTGAGCATGGGCCAGTGCTGGATATATAGGTTCTATAAAATGCTGTCTATGGTTACTTGAAGTCAAACATCACAGGACTTTTAACCATTAGTCCTTATTCTGTGATCTAGGAAAACGAATACATTGATACCTTCTGCATGAGAGATTCTAAAATACAGATGATGGATATAATGTAATCCATCTTATTTTCTCTATTCTGAGCATCTTTCTTTGTTTCAATCAATACACTGATATTTCCAATTAAATTACTGGTTCCTCCCTCTAAAACGCCTGTGCTATTTCTAACCAGAAAAATACACGTGGAATGAGAAACTATGTACTTGGCATTTATGATATCATTTTTAACATAGAAATGATGCAGTAAAAAGAACATACCACAATACTGAAATCTGTGAACCTCAGATCTCTCATAGAATTCTGAATAAACATATATTTTGTTAATATTCATTACATATATTCTTTTGAAAGAATGATGACATTGTTATCTCATGGAATTTGGTAACCTCCATTTCTCAGGAATATACACATATATACATATATATATGACATAGAGTTATTAGGATTTGGATTACCAGGCATTTTATGTGCAGTAAATTATTTTAAACTTATTTTTTTGTACAGTAAAGACAGTGAAAGTAATAGATAAAATTCTCAAAATTCTATGATCCAAGAACTTTGCTTCTCTGAGAACTGTACCTACATATCATTTGATAATGTGGAAGAAACTTTGGAAAATATGCTTGTAGTTTCCAAAAAATATACCATTTAAGTAAATAATTGTATGTGTTTGCAAAACCTAGTATTAAATCCCATCTGTATTCAGATTAACATATTTAACCAATGTTTTGCTGCTGTGAATAAAAATAAATTGATTTGCTTATTTATATTAGGAACTCTGAATGAAAATGGGAAAAGTGAGTACCAGTGAACAACACAGAAAAAATTGATGTCAATCTTTGCCATTTTAATTGACACATGCTTACACTTAAAGAAATGACAAGTGTACATTTCCACTCATAACCATATCCAAAGAAAAGCTTCCTCAAGTATATAAGTGTTCCTGCTTAATTAGTCCTTGATATCTATTGTTCATGAACCCCAAGCTGGAGAGGGTGCATAATTCTTAGGTAGGGAAAATATGCATTGAGATACCTCCAATTTGACATGGCTAGCAGAACACAAGTTTTGACTATTGGTCCACACCCAGATTTCATTGAAATGGAAGAAAATGTACTAATATAAAATCAAAATGATAGCATGTTGCAAAGGAGGGGAGAACAGACCAGTAAGATGTTGTATAAGACAGAACACACATGGAATCTGATAAAGATAATGATAATTTCATTTTGCAATGTTAGATAGGAAAAATAATACTTTTCCTAGAGAAGAAATATTTGCTTGGGAGATCAGCCAGTTAATGAATATATTAGGTGGCATCTGCAAATATTTATTCATGCTCAGAGTGCTGACTTCAGTATGAATCTTCAGAATAAAGTTAAATAATTCCACAATTGGAATGATAAATGAGTTTGAATTCAGAATAAGCCCAGAATAGGTTTTGTGTCAGAGACACAGAGTAGCATGTCAGAATTTAAACCACCATGTCACCACCACTCTGCATAAATGTCTCAAGGAAATCTCAAGAACCAGGCTATATGACAAGGGTAAACTCTGCAACCTCCCCCTGCCACCCACTTCTTATACATGGCAGCAGGGCTAAAGCTCCCATACACAGAACTGGCATTTCTTGATTTTCTACAAAGTTAACATCTGAGTTAAAAATAAGCACTTCAGCTACCAAGCTAGAGTGTTATCTACAATTATGGATATAAATTCAGGAACCAAAAAAAAATCATGAGCATGATAGACATATTCCCTGACATATTATTCTTAGATATTAAAAACACAACTAGATAAATTTTCAATGTTGTTATACATTGAATGATTAGTAAAATTGATATTATTGATGATTCACCCTGGTAAACTGTAAGACTGAACTGAAGTTTTACCTCAACACATTAGAAAGTGCAAAGAAAACAAAATGAAAAGAATGAGAGTAAAGTTAGAAATGTGAAAAGTAAATCAAGGATATTCAAGATTCATTTCACATGTGCCAGAGATAACAGAGAGATTAGAGCTGTTAGAGTATGACGACTAAGTGTTCACATGCCACCACTACCTTTCTGAATTAATCTCCTTCCATTTTAATCTATGCTCATTCTGTGCCAGCCACACTGGCTTATTCTATTCTTTAAACTTGTTTACCATGTTCTCAAGTCACATAAAAGGTGAATCTTTGCATGTGGCTCTTCCCTCTTTTTGAAACATTTTTCCCTAAAATGTTTGGCTCATTCACTAAATTCCTTCAGGATTCTACTCAATGTCAGCATATCCATAAGGCCTTCCCCATTTACATTTTATAAACTAAAATCCTCCAGTGCTGGGCACTCCATTCTGGGTCTCCACTATGTTTATCCCCACAATGGTAAATGCATAAATCATCAAAACCATTTAGTTAAGTGTTTATTGTCAGTTTCCTTCACCAGACTGCAGGCACTTCCCCTGTTTTGCTACCTACTATGTTCTCTGTGCTCAGAGCATTGACTGGAACACAGTAGGTACTTACTTGTTAAATAAATGAATGAATGATAGGCACCAAAGAAATGTTCCTAAGCTTTGAAACTTAGGATGGAACTGTGGAACTATGGATTTGGAACATTTCTTAGAGACGAGGAAAAACAGTTCAACTTTTATCATCAAAGAACCCACAATGCCTGACCAACATGGAGAAACCCCGTCTCCACTAAAAATACAAACAATTAGCGGGGCGTGGTGGTGCATGCCTGTAATCCTAGCTACTCAGGAGGCTGAGGCAGGAGAACTGCTTGAACCCGGGAGGTGGAGGTTGCAGTGAGCAGAGATCGCGCCATGCTGCTCCAGCCTAGGCAACAAGAGCGAAACTCCATCTCTCTCTCTATATATATACATATTTTTTTTTTTTTTTTGTGTGTGTGTGTGTGTGTGTGTGTGTGTGTGTGTGTGTGAAACTAATTACCTCAGGAATAAAGGACAGAAAAAACAGAAAATAGACAAATAAAATACAAGAAATAAAATCAGTCTGGCTTCAGACCATTTATCTGCAACAATGAGCAATGATGCATTAATATAATATTGAAGGCTATTTACCCAACTTACATGGCATTATAAATTGAAAATAAAAAATGTAGGCATATAAAAACTGTAAAAAATAAAACCATTAAAAAAATCAAAGTGAGAAAATAGAGCATTGAAAGACCTAAGAAACAGAGGTGTAAGAAAGAAATTCAAGGCTAAAAAAATATTATTTATTAATAATAAATAAATAATTATCAATCATTGGAAATGTGGCTTTGAAACATTTAAATTAAGAAATTATTGATAAAAGAGAGTCAGGATTAAAGAAATTACTAGTACTCCTGTACAAATTTTTCAGATAACTTAAAAAGGAACCATACACAAAATGGTAGACAAAACAGTATAGTAATGTATTTTATTCAGATAATATCTGTTAATATTTCCAAATTCATTGTGAATGTGGAAAAAGAAATATATGTCTGAACCATTGAACAATATGCTTATCGTTATTTCTGTACATGGATGTTTCTAGTAGAAATATTTTACTTTATTTTGTGTTGGAGGGGAAAATATTAGGGAGCCAGGAGGACCTTAGATTTTAACTCAGTTGTGTCTGTGTATTTTATCATTGAAACATGTAAGTCATAATTTTGGAAAAAGTTACCGTATCTCTCTAGACAAGAGTATTAAAGATGGTCTATAAAGAAAACTTTTTTTAACCCCAAATTATGTCAAAACATATTTTTTATAATAAAATATTTTCTAAGGGATTCAATTTGTAAACAGCTGTCGAACCATGTTCAGTCAGATATACTATTTATTTTCTATATTTACCACAATAATAATATAAGTATATATTATAAGGGTTTCAAAAATATAAAAATATATGAAATAAAAATAAAAATTGCTATCTTCTAACACCTTCCAGTCCCATTTCCCACCTTAAACGGACCAGTTGACAGACATTGACAAGTTCTAGGAACATGCAACTTGAAAGTTTGATAATGAAAATATAGGTTTCTAAAGACACACTGTCAAATAAATTGCTCATAAGGACAACAAAAAGATTTCGTGGGTGAATTATGTGATTTTCTTGTTCAAGACAGGAAACCAAACCAACTCAATGTTAATTGTTCTGAGAACATGTATCCTCAGATTGTGTACTTTTTATTTTATTTTATTTTATTATTTACTTATTTATTATTTTTATTTTTTTTTTGAGACAGAGTCTCGCTCTGTTGCTAGGCTGGAGTGCAGTGGCACAATCTTTGCTCACTGCAACCTCTCCTCTCGCTGCAACCTCTCCTGCCTCACCCTCCCAAGTAGCTGGGACTACACGCGTGTGCCATCATGCACAGCTAATTTTTGTATTTTTAGTAGAGATGAGGTTTTTTTTTTAAATGCATAACTGATATATAAATGCATTACTAGAAGAAATGTCCTGGTTTGTACTTTGATAATTCTAAATAAAATCAACTTAGTTTTTATGTTAAAATAACAGTCTTAAACTTATAGTAATTACCTCTGCTTACAAAATACGACAGGTGTACCAGGTTGACTTTTACATTTACCTCATGCTAACACGTTAGTAGAAGTTAGAGATATAAAGAGGAAGATGTTTTTCCTGTACTTAAGTGGCTTATGTTTTTAAATTTTTTAAATTTTTTTTTTTTTTTTTTTTTTTGAGACGGAGTCTCGCTCTGTCGCCCAGGCTGGAGTGCAGTGGCGGGACCTCGGCTCACTGCAAGCTCCGCCTCCCGGGTTCACGCCATTCTCCTGCCTCAGCCTCCCAAGTAGCTGGGACTACAGGCGCCCGCCACTACGCCCGGCTAATTTTTTGTATTTTTAGTAGAGACGGGGTTTCACCGTTTTAGCCGGGATGGTCTCGATCTCCTGACCTCGTGATCCGCCCGCCTCGGCCTCCCAAAGTGCTGGGATTACAGGCGTGAGCCACCGCGCCCGGCCAAATTTTTAAAATTTTTATTGGTGCTTAATAATTGTTCATATTTTTGGGGTACACGTACTATTTTAATACATGCATACAATGTGTAACGATCCAATCAGGGCAATTGGGACATCTATCATCTACTAGTAATTTCTTCAATCTTGACTCCCTTTTATCAATAATTTCTTAATTTAAATATTTCAAAGCCACAATTCCAATGATTATAATTATAATTTCTTTGTGTTGGCAACATTCTAAATCTTCTCTCCTAGATACTTTGAAATATACAATAAATTATTCTTAACTATTGTCACCCTACTGTTCTATCAAACACTAGAACTTACTCCTTCTATCTAAGTGTATTTTTATACCCATTAACCAACCTCTCTTCATTCCCCCTCCACCCTTCCCAGCTTTTGGTAACCACTATTCTACTTTCTACCTCCATGAGCGCAACTATTTTAGCTCCCACACATGAATGAAAATACCCAATATTTGTCTTTTTATGCCAGGCTTATTTCACTTAACATAATGATCTCCAGTTCCATCTATGTTGCTGCAAATGACAGGATTTCATTCCTTTTTAAGTCTGAATGATACACAATAGAATATTATATAATATACTATAGTATTATTCAGACATAAAAAGGAATAAAATAAAATTATATATGTGTGTATATATATACATATATACACACACACATATATATATATAAACATTTTCTTTATCCATTCATCCACTAATAGACACTTAGTTTGCTTCCATATCATAGCTATTATGAATAGTGCTGCAATAAACATGGCAGCCCAGGTATCTCTGAAATACTGAGTCCCTTTCCTTTGATTATACACCCAGTAGTGAGATTGCTGGATCATATAGTGGATCTATTTTTAATTTTTTTTAGAAAAGGTAGTACAACCACTACTAAACAGTGGTGAAACCAGTTTTCTATAGTTTTCATACCCATTTATATTTCCATCAACAGTATATTAGCATTCCCCTTTCTCTGCATCCTCTCCAACATTACTCGTTATCTTCTGACTTTTTTTTTTAATTAAGAAATGGTGCCTCATGTTAGCCTGGGTGGACTCGAACTCCTGGGCTCACATCATCCTCCTGTCTCAGCCTCCCAAGTCATGAGGCTACAGCTGTGTGCCACCGTGCTCAGTCTCCTTTGACTTTTTGATAAAGGATAGCCTACCAAATAGAAGATGATGCCTCATTGTGATTTTTATGTCCATTTCCCTGATTATTAGTGATGGTGAGAATTTTTTCATGTACTTGTTAGCCATTCATATGTCTTCTTTAGTGAAATATCCACTCAGATCATCTGCCCGTTTTTTTAATTATTTGGGTTTTTTGCCATTGAGTTGAGTTCCTTATATATTCTGATTATTAATTCCCTGTTGAATAGTTTGCTAATAATTTCTCCCATACTATAGGTTGCCTCGTCACTCTGTTGAGTATTTTCTTTGCTGTCCAGAAGCTTTTTAGTTTGAAGTCAACCTATGAGTCTATTTTTGCTTTTGTTGCCTGTGCTTTTGAGGTCTTGCCCAAAAATTCATTGCCGAGACCAATGACTTAAAACATTTCTCCAAGCAGCTTATATTTTAGTAGAAAGAAATGGTTACATACAACTGATATATAAATTTAAATTATATGTCAGGGACAAATGCAGAATATAACAGATAAGAAACAGCAAAACCTTCACAGCAAGTGGGTGTCATGGAGCAAAGGGTGCTGAGGGCATTGGAAAAGAAAGACTTCTGAGATAAAGTTTCACATAGGCAGGATTTCAAAGACGAACTTAGGCTGATGAGAGAATGGAACATAGGCAAGGCATAGAAGTGTGAAATAATTTGGTGTATTTAGGAAATTTCAAGCAATTCAGCATGAGTAGAGCATTGATATGGTCTGGCTCTGTGTCCCCACCCAAATCTCATCTTGAATTGTAATCTGAATGGTAAACTCCACGTGTTGAGGGAGGGACCTTGTAGAAGGTAATTGGATCATGGGGGCAGTTCCCCCATGCTGCTCTCATGA
Source organism: Homo sapiens (assembly GCF_000001405.40). Classification (NCBI taxonomy): domain Eukaryota; kingdom Metazoa; phylum Chordata; class Mammalia; order Primates; family Hominidae; genus Homo; species Homo sapiens. Next base: position 87,448,671 of record NC_000008.11, on the reverse strand, counting down.
TAGTGAGTGAGTTCTTATGAGCTCTGATGGTTTTATAAAGTGCTCTTTCATCTTTGCTCAGCATTTCTCTCTCCTACTGCTTTGTGAATAAGAACATGTTTGCTTCCCCTTCTGCCATGTTTGTAAGTTTCCTGAGGCCTCCCTAGCCATGTGGAACTGTGAGTCAATTAAATCTCTTTCCTAATACAAACATAAAGAAGAATAAATAGCAGGAGCAAATGCTGGAGAAATTGGCAGGGGCTTTTAGTAACAACTAAGTCACTTGGACTTTCACATATAAGCTATGGATATGAATAAATGGGTTTTAGAAGTGATAGGCATTTAACAATATGCAAGTCTATATAAGACTTTCTAAATCATCTATAATCATGTATTGCATGTACTCTGTAAGCAATATGAGCTGCTCTTATATATCTCACTATATGTAACCCAGACCCATGGGTAATAATTTTTTCATCTATAAAGTAAATCATTAATTTATTGATTTAAAAACATTTACTATGTATTTTATTATGTGCCATATACAGGAATAACAGAACTAAACATGTAAAACCGTACTCTCAGAGAGTTTATAGTCTGGTGACAGTAGGGGAAAATATGCAAATTAAAACATCCCAATAAATATTTGCATCATATGATGTAGATGATGTAGAAGCAAATGGGGAAGGTGATCAGTGGTCAGTAACTTCAAGGCTCAGCAAAGTCTCACTAATGCCAGTGACACTGGAGCTTATTCTAAAGGATAAGTCTATGTCACAAGTTATGAAATGAAAAAAGAATATTCATGGCCAAGGGCAGTGGCTCATGCCTGTAATCCCAGCACTTTGGGAGGATGAGGTGGGTGGATTGCTTGAGCCCAAGAATTTGAAACCAGCCTGGGCAAGGTGATAAAACCCCATCTTTATAAAAAATACAAAAAAAATATTTATCAGGGCATGGGGGGCGGTGCACAACTTTCATCCTAACTAGTTGGGAGGCTGAAGTGGGAAAATCGCTTGAGCCTGGGGAGTGGAGGCTGGAGTGAGCCAAGATCATGCCACTGCACTCAGTCTGGGTGACAGAGCAAGATTTTGTTACAAAAAGAAAAAGAAAAAGAGAAAGAAAACAGGATATTAAAGCCAGAGCAAGCAGTGTAAGTAAAGACACAGATACACAAGTCAGCACATTGACAACTAAAAGGAATTCAGTGTGGTAGGATAAGAGAGTTTTAAAGTGTTCAGTGAAGTGAGATAAGGGGCAAGAGAAACGGGCAGGAGCTTATCTGTTTTTATACCGTGTTAAGAAATTTAGTTTTGATTCTATAAGCAAAGAACAGTCACAGGAAAAAAATGTAAAACATAGAAGGTGTCATAATCAGAGGTGTTTATTTAGACAGTTTTCTTTGGAAACAGTACAGAGAATGAATTTGTAGAGGTTAAAAGCATTGTGTCTAAAATCAGACAGACAAGCATGGCTTTAGGTGTCATTTCCAGCCCTGCCAGCTGTGCAGCTTTGGATAAATCCTCATCTTTCTGAGTCTCAGTTTCATCATCTTCAAAACGGGAATCATGATTCTCTATGTTTCATAGGATTGTCATGGAGTTTAAAAAAATAATAGATGTAAACCATTTAGTAGACTTTCTAGCAGTTTTGTGGATGATCAAGAAAATTACTCCCACAGGCAAGAAAACAACTAAAGTATACATCAGTGTGGCCCAAATTTTAACTCCATTAAGGTATTACATAACTTTATCCTCAAATAGATTATGAAATCCACTAAAGAGATGGAATTTTCTTATTTATTTTTAATTCTCTTATTCCTGAGAATTTAAGAAAAGCTTTTCTAAATGTAAGTGTTCTATATAAGTCTGTTAAAGACTACAGATAAAATCTTAGACACATAAGTGGTTACTTTTGACATTTTAATCTAACATTTATGAACAAGTAACTTGTTGGTTGTTTGATATTCATCCTTTCTAAACTATAACCATTTAAAAAATATCCTATTAATATGTTTTATTAAATTTAGAATAATTAAATCTCGTATCATCATTTATTTTTGTAACAAGTTATTTTTGTAATTCAGTTTTTTTGCTATTACAGTGAGAATTAAATGAATCAGTAAATTCAGATTTGCTTTCTTTTACTGTTAGAATTACAACAGAATTATGCATAAAACATCATTTTGGTTCCTCTAATAATGTTAAATTTTATTATTTTTCAGCTTGATATACAATGTTATCTATAAATATGTATTATCAGACAGACTGTAGTACTTATGTGTCTATCTTGAAATATAAAGCATCATGCTTAATCTTGAGGTATGAAAAGTAGCCCTTTGGGAACATGGCATATATCTGTATCTACATCTATATCTATCTATGTCTATAAAATATCACCAACCCTCATTTTTCCAATATTCTATTGTCAAATATACAGCAACTATTTCTCAGATCTCCCTTCCTCCAACTTCAGCATTTTTAGAACCGGATAGCCCCTTTCAGAGTCTAGATAGGAAAAAAAATAGAGGAAAACCTCCAAGCAGGTCATACACATACTCAGGCAAGTTCATTGTAGTTTCTGTTGTTCTGCAATGTTATTCTATTATTATGTATAGCGCTACTATTTTTTCTCACAAGCTATGTATCATCTTTGTTTAAAAGCCATGATTCCAAAGGAAGGGGTAGGGGTCTACTTTCTCCTGCCTTCTACAGGGTTGTTGAATGGTTTCTAGCTTGGCCTAAATTTGTCCTGATTGTTTGGTGGTTGGTGTTTGTGTAATCAAAATAATGTATCAGAATCCTGCATTTGAAAGTAGGAAATTGGATAATATGCTTGTGCTTTTGGCTGCAAAATATAGGCAGGCTGTCACACTTTATGCAATCTACAACCTTCGCATTGCCTCTGTGCACACTGACTAGGCTGCATTGAGATAGTCCAGATGTGACAGATGCATGAATCCCACTGAGCTGATCTTTATTCTGGAGGAAATCCAAGAATATTCTGGCCAGAAAGAGGTGAAAGAAAAATCTTAGAGTTACATCATGTACAGCTTTTATTCCAGAAGTAATAATGAATTGCTTGCTTTGTTTATTTATATTTGATATTTATAAGACAACACCCATTGTGAAATGCCACAGGGCATGTATATTATGAAAAATAAACAAAATGTTAAAAGCCAAAAGTCATTTTTAATTAACATATCAATTGTGAAAAGTTCAACGGAACAGATGTCTCTAGTTTTGTGCCCAGAAGTTCAATGAACTGGAGTTCTGTCAGGTCAAGAGAAAAATAAAATAGTGCAACTGACTAAAGGCCTTGAGACTCTAAACAGGAGGACTCTTGTTGATTTTACCCTCTGTGGTTGTACATAGATATAGATATCCCTCTAAAAATATCAAAGGCTCATGCCATATGGAGGTTTATAGAATATATTAAAATTATATTACTGAAGAGTTGCATTTATGTTACATCATTTCAATATACAAGTTCTGAAGCCACTGAACTAAGCATACCTGGCATAAGTCACCAGCATCAAACCCTTCCTATACTCATACCACCAATCTATTTTCACGAGTTATTTGGGTGAAACACAGATTATATAAATTCCTACTTAAAAATCCCAATGGCATCCTAGTGAAGTTAGAAGGAGATTCTGATGAATAAAAATCAAGCCTCTTGCAAAATGTGACACCAGATTACTTCCCAGCCTCCTGTCTCATATAAATCTATCACATTCTCTTCATTTCAACCTTGTGTTTTTGTTACTAAGTTAATGCTTCAATGTGGTGCTCCAAATATAGATTACCACCCCACTTCCTACCATCACCATATAAAAAGTCCTGCTTATTCTTCTATACTTAGATAGTATACTACATTTTTCATGTAGCTTCACTCCCTCTACACTTCTTTATAATTTCTACCAGCAAAACTAGTTGTTCCTTCCTCCTAGTCCCCTGTTCTGAGTAAGAATACATTCAAGTCTTATAGTTTCATGGCTTAAAGAAATCCAAGGTTGATTCAATTTATGTGTATAAAGTCTGAAGGTAACTGGTCCAATTCACCGATGTAGTTCAGAAAGTGGGCTCTTGCTGTCTTTATGGTACAACATCTCTTTTTGTGCTACATGTTAACAATATGGTTACAGCCTGTGTTCTAGCAGAAAGAATGGGAAGAGCCAAAAACCTTCTGCTACTGAGATATTGTCTGTTTCTGTAAAAGTCAAGCCCTCTACAGAGAATATCTCTAAATACGTCATTGGTTGGAACAAGGCCACATGATCATCACTACCAGCAAAAGAGTCTGAGAAGATAAATATTTTTAAATTTCAGAATCTGGAGAAAAGATTTAAAACATGGGGATGTGAGGGACTTCAAACTATCTCCCGAACTGCCATAAAACTGAACAGTTTTGCTATTGGATCACAGGTGTGTTAGAGTCTGTGTCTAATTTCGAGTCCCTTGAAGAAAAGGACTGTTACTTTAATAATTTTATCCCTGATGTCGAGAACATTTTCAAACTCTGTTTAATAAATTGATAGTGCCAAGAAGGAGAAGATGTCCTTGTTAAAACCCCTGGCTTTGAATGAGACACTAGAGGGCTATATACTAGAAGAGGGCAATCTGAAAATAGACCAGTCTTGATTAAATCAAGGTAATCTTCCCATCACTTTTCTGCCAACTAGAAAAAAAAAGATTATACTCTCTCTGAAACAAAATAATATTATTCAGAGGCTTTGTAAGTATTTTATATACAAAGTCCAACATTCATCTAAAAGTATCTGTATTAATTTCCTATTATTCCTGTAACAAATAACCACTAACTTATTGGTAAATTATTCTCTTAAAATAAGTTTCACTGGACTGAAATCAAGTTGTCAGTAGGGATGCACGCTCTCCAAAGGCACTAGGAGAGCATCCATGTACTTACCTTTTCCAGATTCTGGAAGCTCTACTATATCCTTAGTTTGTGGCCCCACATCACATTGCCTTTTCTCCCTCTGCTTACATCACCATATCATCATCTTTTATTTCCTCTTCTGTCTTCAAATCTCCCTTTGTCCCCTTATAAGTATATATTGCACATGTAGGGCCTGCTGGAAGTTCCATTTATTGGTATTAAAATGAATTTTTAAATAACTATGGTATTAATAGATAAAAATATAATGAATACACCAGAAAACTGGAATTATAAAAATAAATATCATAGAAATGAATCTATAAATTTAAAAGAAAATTAGAAAAAGTATAGATTAGTAAACTGGAAGATGTATCAACAGAAAACATCTAAGTTACCACAGATAGAAAAACTAAGATAAAAAATACAGAAAAGAGGATCTACATTATAGAAACATATTAAATAGGCCTAATATACTTGACATCAAAGTCCCAGGAATAGAAAAGAAAAATATTAAAGCAGAAGAAGTATTTGAAGAATTATTGGTAGAGATTCCCCAAAACTAACAACAATATTAAGTTATGCGTTCAAAAATCTCTCTTAACCTTAATAAAGATCTATCTCTAGATAGATACATCTATGGATAAATAAAGACCAATTATAGATAGATAGATAGATAGATAGATAGATAGATAGATAGATAGATAGACAGATATCTAAAGAAAGTCACATCTGGACACATAATAGTTTGAAAACCTAAGACAAAAATCTACCAAAATTTGAACCATAAAAAAATAGAAAATCTGAACAGAAAAATGATGAGAACCAAGATTGGAGTAGTAATAAGTCTCCCATCAAAGAAAAGCCCAGGACTTGATGGCTTCACTGATGAATTCTACCAAACATTTAGAGAAGAAATAACACCAATTCTATACAAACTATATCAAAAAATTTAAAAGGAGGCAATTCTTCCTAATTTATACTACTAACATGGTGTTACTCTGATACCAAAACCAGATAAGGACATTTAAAGACAGAAGACTGCTGGCCAATATCCTTGATGAACATAGATGCAAAAATCCTCAACAAAATACTAGAAGACTGAATTGAACAACACATTAAAAACATCATTCACCATGATCAAGTGGATTCATCCAGAGATGCAAAGATGATTTAACATATGTAAATTAATAAACAAGATATATCACATCAAAGGAATCAAGAACAATAAACATGTGATCATTTTAATAGATGCTGAAAAAGAATTGAAAAAATTCAACATTCCTTTATGACAAAAACTCTTAACAAATTGGTTATAGAAGGAACATACCTCAACACAATAAAGGCCATATATGACAAACCCACAGCTAATATCATACTGCATGGGGAAAAAGTGAAAGCCTTTCCACTAAAGTCTGGAACAAGACAAGAACATCCACTTTCACCAGTTCTATTCAACATAGTACTGGAACCCTAGCCAGAACAATTAGGCATGAGAAATAAAGGGGCATCCATATTGGAAAGGAAGAAGTCGAATTATCCTTGTTTGCAGGTGACATGACTTTATATTTAGAAAAACCTAATTACTCCACAGAAAACTGTTAGAAGGAATAAACAAATTAAGTAAATTTACAGAATACAAAATAAACATACAAAAATCAGTAGTGTTTATACACACTAACAGCAATCAATCTGAAAAAACATGTTGAAAAACAATGCCATTTACCATAGCTACAAAAAGCCCTATGTAGAAATAGACTTAACCAAAGAAGCAAAAGATCTCTACAAGGAAAACAATAAAACACTGATGAAAGAAATTAAAGAGGACACAAAGAAATGGAAAGGTATCCCATGCTCATGGATTGTAAGAATATTATAAAAATGTCTATACTACCTAATGTGAGATTCAATGCAATTCCTATCAAAATACCAATAACATTCTTCACAGAGATAGAAAAAACAATCCTTAAATCCATATGGAACCACAGACGATCCCAAATAGCTAAAGCAACCTTGAACAAAAAGAGCAAAGCTAGAGGTATCACATTATCTGATTTCAAATTATACTGCAAAGCTTTTATAACCAAAACAGCATGATACTGGCATGAAAAACAGACACATAGGTCAATGGAACAGAATAAAGAACTCAGAAACAAACCCATGCACTTACAGCCAATTGGTTGTTGACAAAGACACCAAGAACATACACTGGGGAAAGGACAGACTCTAATAATAGTGCTGGGAAAACTGAATATCCATATGCAGAAGAATAAAACTAGTGCCCAATCTTTCATCATGTATAAAAATCAACTCAAAATGGATTGAAGACTTAAATGTATGACCTAAAACTATGAAAAGAAAACACTGGGGAAACACTACAGGAGACTGATCTGGGCAAAAAAATTTTGGGTAAGACTTAAAAAGCATAGGCAACAGACGCAGAAATAGAGAAATTTGATTATATTGAGCTAAAAAGCTTCTGCCTAATAAAGGAAATGGTCAATACAGTGAAGAGACAGCTTACAGAATGGGAGAAAATATTTTTAAACCATTCATCCAACAAGGGGCTAACATCCAGAATATACAAGGAACTCAAACAACCCAACAGTAAATAAATAAATAAACAAACAAACAATCCCATTTTAAAATGGGAAAAGGAAATGAATGGATATTTATCAAGCGAAGACATACAAACAGCCAACAAGTATATGAAAAAAAAAAGCCTAACATCAGTAATCATCAGGGAAATGCAAATCAAAACAACGTGATATCACCTCACATTTGGTAGAATGACGTTTATCAAAAAGTGAAGATAACAAGTGTTGAAGAGGATGGAGAGAGAGAAGAATGCTAGTACACTGTTGGTAGAAATGTAAATTAGTACAGACACTATGGAAAATATTATGGAAGTTCCTAAAATATCTAAAAGTGTAACTACCATATAATCCAGCAATTCCACTGCAGAGTATACATCCGAAAGAAAAAAAATAATATTTGGAAGAGCCATCTGAACTCTCATGTTTACTGTGGCACTATTTATAATACAACATATGCAAGCAACTTGTGTCCATCAGCAGATGAATGGATAAAGAAAATGCGATATATCCACCTAATGGAATATTATTTCACCATAAAAAATTAAATCCTGTCATTTGCAGCAACATGGATGGAAGGGGAGGTTCCATTATGTTAAATAAAATAAGCCAGAAACAGAAAGAGAAATATGACATGTTTTCCCTCATGTGTGGGAACTAAAACAGTGGATCTCATGGCAGTAGAGAGTAGAAAGGTGATTACCCAAGGCTGGGAAGGGAAGTGGAAAGAAAGGGATAAATAGAAGTTGGTTAAGGGGTACAAAAATACAGATAAATAGAAGGAATTAGTTCTAGTATTTGATAGTATAGAGAGAAATTATAGTGAATAATAGATTATGCATTTCAAAATAACTAGAAGAGAAAAATTGCAATGTTGCCAACACAAAGAAAAGATAAACCTTTAGGGTAATGGATATTCCAAATTACATGATTTTATCATTACTCATTGTAAACAGGTATCAAAATATCATACATACTCCCAAAGTATGTACAAGTATTATAAATCAATAAAAATAAATAAAATATTTAAAACTAGTCAAAGAATAAACGTTACCTTCAAAAAGGAACAATAAGACTTAAAACAGTCTTCGCTACTACAGTATAGAAGGCACAAAATAATGAAAGTAAATGGACAAATTTCTTGAAAAATACAATTTACTAGAACCAACATTAAAAGACATTTTAAAATATAAATAACTTTATATTAAAGGATTTAACCTATGACCCAGGGCCAACTTGGCTCCTGAATTAAATTTTATAAAAATCTAAAAAACAAATAATGCCATTTTAGAATATACTCTTTCATATAATTGTTTAAAAGCTTCTGAAAATATTTTTAAAATCCAGTATAACATTTGTACAAGATGGACAAATATGTTAAAAGAAAGAGGCCAGCCATGCTGGCTTATACCTGAAATACTAGCACTTTAGGAAGCCAAGGCAAGAGAATTGCTTGAGCCCAGGAGTTAGAGGCTAGCCTGGGCAATATAGCAACACCCTCGTCTCTACAAAAATAAAATTAGCCAGTCATGGTGGTACATACTAGTAGTCCTAGCTGCTCAGGATGCTGAGGCAGAAGGATTGCTTGAGCACAGAAGTTTGAGGCTGTAGTGAGCTGTGACCATGCCACTGTACTTTAGCCTGGGTAACTTTGAGATCCTATCTCTAAAAATAAAAATTGAAAAAATTTAAAGAAACAAAAATTACAGGGCCATCACTCTTATTTAGATCCCAAAATTTTAAATAAGGAATTACTATATCCAACTCATATTTATAACAAAACAATAACAAATTGATTTTATTACATAAGCTAATGTTACTTTAACATATGAAAAGACATCAGAATCTTATTTTAAAATAACAAAGACAAATTTTATTATTCTTTCAGAATAATAAATGCAGAACCGTTTGTATAATTTAACATTCACTTAATAAAAGCCCTCAGCAAACCAAAAATTTAGAGAATTGTCTTGATCTGACAGGGTACATATGTACAAACACACAGCAAATGTAGTGAAATATTGAAATTGTTTTATCATCACTTCATTCATCACTGGTTTGTCTGGATGAACAAACCAGTGTAATGAGTCAGAAAAATACATCTTAAAACATAAGGAATAAAAAGAATGAATACATATGTCATTATCCATATCCAAATATGGCATGATTGTATTCACCAACATAAATACACTCACATTTATATAAACACATACACACATATACCTGTATACATATATTTTATTTTGGATATGTGTAGTTAATTTTATATTTTATAGTAAAATTTATTCTGTATTTTATATAATTATAATATATAGGTCTTATTTCAATCCCGTTGAGAATGATGACATTTTTGTTTAAACAGGCAATAGCCTGGTTAGATTTAGGTTGCAAATTCCAACATGCCCTATGTGGGCTATGGTTCATAGTCTGTTCAGTTTTCAAAGTCTTTGGCCAGCAAGGGTGGTGGTTTATCTGCTGACTCAGCTTCAGCCTTTTTTAATGCCTATGAAGAACAAATCTATGCATGTGTGGCTCTAGTGTGAGCTTAGGAATTCTTAAATTCATGGGGTCACTTTCGTGAGTGCTTTCATTTATCTCTCTGGTATTTTCCAGTTCCCTGTGGTTCTTCTTCCCATGTCTTTAGCCAGAAAGCTTGGGCATTAGTTACCTCACTCTGCTTTGTACTTCTGAGGCCGTGCCCACCTACTGGGCCAAGCAACATGAAAAACAAAGGAGAAAAATGGTAAACTCATGCCAGTTTGGTATAATTTTGAATTCTGATCTTCTTCCCCAATCTATCTCCCATTGTTTACTTTGCAGAATGGTCAATAGTTGTGATATGCTTTCTGTTCAGACTCTATAGCTGCATTTAGAAAGAGAGTCAGGGAAGAGTCCAGGTAGTTCTTTCCTGGAACTAGGATTCAGAGCAATATTCTTAATAACTAAAAACTTAAAAAGAAAACAAACTGCTTATAAACGGTGGAATCAATTGTATATATTCGTACCATGAAAAAGTAGCATGTTTACATCATGAATTATCATTTGTCAATGTAAAAGAACCAACAGCTGCTATACACATCAGTGTTGATTGATAGATTACATAGACGTAGCATTAGCGAGGCAAAGCCTGTTGCAAAATAATGCACAGTATGTAGTTCCACTCATATAAAGTTCAAGAACAGGCAAAACTAACCTTATCAGAAAATTAGACTAATTGTTACCTTTAAGGAAGATCAATGATTGGGAGTAGAACTGAAGGAGGTCTTTTTGAGTGCTAATAGTATTCTATATTAGGAACTTTGAAGTGGTTATGCGAGTGCTGCCACTTAATACAAATTCATTGTCCAGTACACTTAAGAACTGTATAATTTTATTATATGCATATGATAACTTAATCTAAAAGTCTACAAGTATATTTTAAGAATGGAATGCCACAAACATTGGTCATATCATATTGGTATTTTGATTTTTATGTGTACAAACTTCCAGGATTACTGTAATTGCTATTCAGTTAATCTGTATCATTGTTATAAGTTCAATTTTGCAAATTTCTATGTCTACCAGCCCACCGCTCAAACTCTCTTTACTTCCTATCTTTTCCATTCTCTCCCTTTCTCTCTCTTATATACATATACGTAGAGTTCTTATGCAATTAAATCCTGAATCATTTTAGTTTAAAGACAGATCTAAAAATAGCTAAATATTTATCACTATGTGAAAGTATGTGGAAAAAAACATGAACAAATGACTTTGGATTTTTAGTAAACCCTCTAAATATGAAGAACACTAATCTTCTAAGATATGAAAAAAAATCCAATTCTAAAGTAGGAAAATATATTTTTCCTTAGAATTGCAGCCTTTGGTCCTGAGAATAAATTCATGGCCATTAGAAAGTCATCACATATGCAGAAGTGATAAGCACTGAATGTAGTCAGTGTGGCTAACAATACAACCTGTCCTATAGTAGACTGTCAATTTTTGTTTATGGAATAAAAAATAAATAGTTCATATGGTGACTTGAATTTCCTACTAAATAGAGTTTAGACAATTACAGTGGCAACTTTTGGGTCATTAGCTCTCGGGGTTGTCGACACAGGTAAGTAGTATAGATTTGGTAAACTCTTCTGTCATTTTATTAAATACAGATTTTATCTATTAAATACAGATTTTATCATTTGTACATGATTTATTTATGGATAAATGTACCTGTATTTCTTATTGTAAATAAATTTACAATAAGAAAAGCCTAACAACATTAATTATACATCAAATAACAGGCATAAATTCACCAATTTGCGTTCATTGTCTGTACTTTGTGCATTTCATGAGTAATAATATATTGTATCCTACATACACAAATAAATGACAAAAATGATAGTTTCATTGTAAATTCAAAAGCATGGCTGCCTTGTTTTTTTTCAAAACTAAAACTTCTATTAAAACAATAGAGAATCTCTTTACTGTTTTTAAATTATTTATGCAAAAATAATTGTTCCAATAAGGGAAATGTCTTGAAAACCTGTTTTTAAAAGCATAAATCATTGCCACATTCTGTAAATTTGCTTTAGATTATTTTCTCTTCTGGAAAACTGTAATTAAAAAATAATTTCTCACAATAATTATGCATGAAAAGAATATTAAATCAAGAATACTTTTAAAAGAGATTTGTTCAAATTAGAATCAGAGTACTTTTCAAGTGGTAAACTAATATTTGTTTTTCACTTCTTAAAGTTTATATTCATAATTGATTTGGTAGAAATATAAAGTAACACAGTCACACTAGACTTTTGGAAATTTCCTCTGTGTTTATAGCTTTTATCTACATTTCTCTTGGAGAAAACATCAGTTTGCAATTTAAAAATCATGTATCATACAGTTGGAACAATCTACTGCAATTATAATGTTTATGACTGGAAATGTAATAGAATAAATTGACTGTATTAAAAAATTAAGTGCTGGTCTATTGAGATTATTTAAAAGATATCTAAAAATAACAGTGTATTTATTTACTTAATTGAAATATTTTCTGAATTATATTAATAGTGTAATTATTTCTTCAGTCCATTCTCCTTTATTATACATTATTATTAAGCAAATGAACAAAACAAATACTGTTTCTAAAATTATCTGGTAATAATCTTATTTTTATATTTCTTATTTCTTATAGAGACCATAAATTAAATAACATACTAGTAATCAAAAGAATATTATCACAAAATTATACCATTTTGGTTATATTGATTAAAGTTAAAATGATTTAAATTAGATAGTTGGCACTAGGTAATAAATCTGGATTCAGTTTATTTATTGTGTTCAAAGATGTATCTTAAAAGAGCTTCTTATTATATATATACATATGTGTGTATATATATAGCTACACATTTTATATATATATATATATATATAAAACTTCGAAATAAAATATATGCTGACTGAAAAAAATTGGAACAGAGGGAAAATGAGGATAGGAAAATGAGCTGATGTCAGAAGTGAGATAAGTACACTAAGAACATGACAAGCGTTCCTGTGCATCTGATGGAGATGGGTCACAAATTTAGGCCAAAGCTTTCCAGTAGGATTGATCTAGAAGGATCAGTGATTCATTTAATGGGTCATAGTATCCTTGAAATAAAAACAAAGTAGTCATTCAGGAGAAGACCTATTCCTGGCACTATAACTGGAAAAACATGTCCCATATGTCTTAATAAAAAGAATATTGGAAATTTCATCTGCACCTATATCCTTATAGTACTGTCAGAAGAGCTCTGACATTTCTGGTAATAATGTCCTCATATTAGGCTGTGCTATCACACAGAACACAATTCAGCAAAAGCCAAAGCAATCTAATATGGATGGATACGGCTATCAGATAACATCGCTTCACCCAGCAAAACACTGTGGTGTGCATATTTTCACTTTGTCTTAGAGGTTGTCCTGTCTGCATGCATGTGTGCTCACGTGTTGATATGGACGCCTTGATAAAAGGAGATACAATATCACTTTCAACAAAAATTTAGTCATTTATTATATTCAGCTTTATCTTTGTATATTTTCCATAATATGTACATTTTAAAAGCGTTTTTTAAAAGAGAGTTTTAAAAGTTTTACATCTAAGCAAAGGGCTAAACAGTATGTTTTCAAAACTTCTCAACCACTGATTCTTAACTGAGTGGAAATAAGTGACGGTTATTTCTGGGTTATCTTTCCTGACTTTTTCTAATATTACTATTTTATTTTTTCTTATCCAGTACAAAACCAACGAATTTAAGAGCTAGTGGAACTAAAATAGGATTATCCTCATCTTTTGAAAGATAAGGGCTAAGATAAGAAAAGTATACAGACTTAAACAGGCAACCTGGATTTGGCTAAGGGTCTTAAAAATTAGTTTGGCTTTTATTTCAGGACCAAACAACAAGAGTTTATTTTTTTTTAAGTTTAGAATTGATGCCAGGAAAATGTTCCCAAGTTTGAAAGGAGTTTTAGCATAATCTCTTATGAAACTTTAAAAAATGTAAGTGCCTGACATTCATTTGAAATATCCTGGGTTAGAAACTTCAGAGGGTCGTGGGAGAACAAATATAACCTCAGAAAGCCCCAGAGGGGAGCCTGTCATGTATTCCATATTGAGACTCATGTATTTGTTTTGAATAAGCTAAATAGGAAAAAATATGAGAAAACAAAAATAATTCCTTTCTTTATTTTGAAAGTTCAGTCTGCTCTGTAACTTGTCACCCATCGAGTGCCAAAAAAGAAGCTGGAAAAGATAGACATACCACAGGCATTGTGGGGTGAAGAAACATTACGCCTACAAGCTTCTTCCGTTTTGCTATCCCATGTTCTTTTCTGTCTTTAAATGTCAACAACTCCAGTAAGCAGGGAATGCCAAGAGCACAGTCTCCAGGCCGCATGTGTTATCCTAGCTGTGTGTTGCCCTCTTCAATGTTACTGTGCTCCTGACTTCTGTCATGTGAAATGGGAGACATTGGAACAGTCATCATAAACAGACTTTTTCAGAGAGGATTTAATCATCCCTTTTTTTGTAGGCAACACATACGTTTTAATGGAGATTTTTCAGAAAATTTCAGCAAGCAACATATTCACTGGCAGATGAACCTCAGGACTAGGGAAGGCCCAAATAAGAAGAAACTTCTTAATTTTCCATCTGCCTTCCCATTTACTACATATCTCTTAAATAACTATGGTAAAATTTTTGATATTTATCTTTAAAAACGAAATCAAATTGTTCTGCTCTATTACAAATCTGATTTAGTTCAAGAGTAATCACAGAATGGCTTTTCACCAGCTACAAAGTGTCCCAACTATCTTTTCACACTTTTAAAATGACTATTCTTCCAATAAGTTTTATTCTATGCCTAGAGTAAAATTCATTTTATTTTAGTAGACCATTATATTAAACTTGACTTACAATGTTTTAAATGCTTTTTTTCGTATTCGCTCTGCTCCTTTTTCAACTTAGTGAGTCATCCCTAATTTAAAGTATGGTCTTTAATCTCTCTATAGCTAAAACTTTTTTTTTCACATTCTGTCAACAATTACTCTTATATCTATGTTATTTCTGTTGCTTTCCTTGAGCCTCATTTATTTACCAAATCAAGGGCACCAAATACTTTCCTTGAAATAACTCAATTTATTCTACAAAGTATCAGTTGAGAGAAAATGGTTTTGCCACTTCTTGCCCCTGGCAAAATATCAGAATATACCAGTTTAAAAGACAGGGTAGTTAAACTAATTGTCTTACATAAAATTATTCCTGTGGTGAAAGACATGTGGGTGCCGAGCAGACTCTATTTCAATGTTTCAGATACTGGTGGGTTAATAGGCAGTCTTGGATCATTTTGTGGGAAAAACAATGTCAACCATTTTCTTCAATATGTACTTTGAATTAGGCACATCTTTCAGATAGAAATCCATAATGAGTGGTAGGACCAAAGAGAATATTGAAACTAATGTAGGTAACAGGTTTCATTTGATCTTTTTCAGCAAAATATATTCAGAATTTCTGCTTCTGTATAGAGTAGGTTAGTTAGTGATAGACCATTGCTTTTGCTGAGCACAATTAGAAGAGCTGGGGGAAAAAATATGCCTTTAATGAAGTTATAAAGATATGGTAATCTAGAGAAGTTGAACTATCAATGTGGAACTGACTGCTGCTTTGGGGGCTGTTGCTGATACTGCTAAAGGAATTTGCCTAAGCAGAGGTACATTGCTAGAGAACAGAGAAACCAGCTGAGCTTTCGGTAGTCTTTTCTATCTACAACGACAAAATTAGAGACTCTAAGGGGACTCAAACACATGATCAATTGTTCCACCGAGATGTCTGTGCAGGGCAACAGGCTCAAAAGCTAAGCCAAAAGCTGTTGGAAAAACGCTGAGATTTCATCAGTCTTCCCTAAAGAAACAAAATTAGAGTTTAGGACTTGACAGTGGTGAGGCCCAGGTGATATTTTCAAATCTCATTGAAAACCCTGAAGAGTAACAGGGATGAATAAGTAGACTGAGGCTTGCCACTCTTGTGACATGGGATCAATTTTCTCTGATTGCTTAAAGTGATCAATCCCCCATTCTAATTGCCTAAAAAACATTAATAATCCTATCACGACAAAGTTATTATTTGAAGTCGATAAATTTTTGGACAAAATATCCAGCGTTCAATTGAAAATTACCAAGTATAAGAAGAGCAAGACTATGTGACAGAGAACCAGGAAAAACAATACAATTAGATATCTTGATGCACCAAAGATTCAGATATTAAAGTTAGTAGAAAAGAAATTTAAAATAACTTTGATTAATACGTTCAAGAAATAGTAGAAAAGTTGGACTAAAAGGATAAAAAATATAGAATATCACCTGATAATTGGCATCTATATAATTGGAAATGAAGAACTCAATAGATAGATCAATCCCAAATTGAAAACAGCAGAAAATAGAATTAGTAAGCTGGAAGGAAGAGCAATTAAAATATGAGAACTGAAATAGAGATTAAAAGATTAAGAAATACCCAAAAATATGTAGGAGGAAAACACATACAGGGAAAATTTCTCATGTATGTTTAAATGGAGCCCCAAAAGGAGAGCAAAAAGAATGAGGCAGAGAATTATTTGATAAAATTCTGGCCAAAAATTTTCTAAAGCTAATGAAAGACAAATTCCTATATTCAAAAAAGCTGTAAAACCTAAACAGAATAAGTAGGAATAAAACCAGAATAATATGTAAACTCACCAAAGTAAAACCAATGAAAAGCAAAGATAAAAATAAAACCTTAAAATTACAGTAGGTTATTTTTGTGGATATTGACAAATCAATTTGTCTCCAAAATTTAAATGTAAATCCAAAGGAGAGGGGAATTGGTAAGACAGCTATGAGAAAAAACAAAGTGGGAAGATTTACTCCACTAAATATATCAAAAATGATATAAAAACCCCCAAATTAAATAATTGTGGCATCGAGATGAGGATAGACAAATGCAACTATTTTGTAAAATATTTTGTACATTAACTTATACATACATGGTCAGTTAATTTATAACAATGGTGACAATGTAGTTTAGTGAGTAGATAATGGTCTTTTTTTACACATGGGACTGGGAAAACTAAATATAGATATGGATAATAAAACCTCCACCTTAAATTCACTCTATAGACAATCATCAATTCCAGATTGATTATAGGTTAATTGTAAAATGTAAATAATGACATTTTTAGAAGTAAACACGGAGAATTAAATATTATTTGAACAGGTGAGCAGGAGTGAGGTCTTATTGGTAAAGGTTCTCTTTGTGGCACCATACATAAAAATTTGACTTTGTTTAATCATCCAATCATTATCCAGGCAAAACTGAGCTATGTCTGAAACTCCCCATTTAATAAACTAGTCAAAATAATTCCATGTATATTAGTCTGTTTTTGCACTGCTGATAAAGACATACCCAAGACTGGGCAATACACAAAAGAAAGAGGTTTATTAGACTCACAGTTCCACGTGGCTGGGGAGTCCTCACAATCATGGCGGAAGGTGAAAGGCACATCTCACATGGCAGCAGACAAGAGAAGAGAGCTTTTGCAGGAAAACTCCCTTTTTTAAAACCATCAGAGTTTGTGAGACTTATTAACTATCACAAGAACAGCAAGGGAAAGACCTGCCTCCATGGTAATTGAACAATTACCTCCCACTGGATCCCTCCCACAACATGTGGGAATTGAGGATGAGATTTGGGTGGGGACACAGCCAAACCATATCACTATGTCTGTGGAAAAATTGCTGATCAGTATGAAGCAAGTGCATAACATATGCAGGTGGGTGTTTTATAGAGATATATAACCTACTAATTTAATTTTGACCCTGCTGGACTTAGTTAAAATAATGCTAGTTTGTGCAAAGTACTGAAACAGACGCTCCTGCTGGAAAAAAAAGCAAAGTGCAAAGTAGCCAAGAACTGTCACAAAACAACACAGTGACAAACATGCAATTAAAATTGAATACTTGAATGATCACTAACATATTGCCAGAATAAAGTATGTTTCCTTTTATTTTTCGTGTGCTACATGGTTTAACACAGATGTGGCTGGCTTAATATGTGGCATCTGTTCTTGCCTCCACCAAACTGAAAATTTGAGTTGGCACATTTTTCTACTCAGAATTTAAAAATAAATCTATTTAAATCAAAATCATTAGTGAGCAATTGAAGACTTTGAAGGAAGACAGAAGGTTTACTGCAAAACTGACACTGCAAACTGCTTAAAAGAATTTAATTAGAAATGTCTATTTTCTTCTACATATCTCTCGACACACTTCCAACCTAGGATTTTCTCCTTGCTTCATTTTGCTTTTTCCACTGCCTTTCAAATGTCTGCTCTCCTGATACATCACAATCCTCATTATGCCTGGACCCCTGGAAGGAATAATCCAGGTTTCTTAGGAGGGTGGCAGTTCTAGCCAGTTAGTCCTATTCAGCATTTCCTATCCCCACTAATCCTGGTGAGTAACATCTATCACTGCTACATTTCCTATAGAAAAAACATGTTTTCCTCTCCTTTCCTCCCCACCAGAAAAAAAAATCTTAAGGGGAAGACAACATCGAAGATTTACCTGAGATAGCCAGGGCTCCATTGACTCCTGGCTTAAGCTCCTTTCCCAGCTAAGGAATTGAGGAGACTATTTTCTACATCCGTTTTTGGAGTATTGCTTCCTATCCCAGTCTGATGGCTTAGCTACAAAGAAAGTATCTTCCCTCAACTCCAAACTTGTCCCTCTCAGTTGACTCAGGCAAAGTTCCACTTGTACCAACAGAGTCAGTAGTTAGAACTTAAATTCAGAGAACATGCAATTTTTGTGATACAAACTAGCAAATGCTCATCTTATAACATCCCTCTTCTTGAGGTCACACACCAACTACCATCATGATTTGTGTCATTTGGTAACCATGGCAAGGAAACACTCATTGCACTTTCATCAAGATGATTTAATCCAAAAGACAACTGAAAGCTGCACCCTAATTCACAAATATCAGATGAGCTCTCTAATTTTAACCCTGAAGTTGCCTCCTTTCGGGGAAATACTGTTCTCACTACACTTTAGTCAAAAAGGAAGACTCAGCATGTGTTCAAACTCAACCATAAGGAAACACTGAAAACATCAGAATGAGTCAGATGGATTTCACTAAGGATTTTGTTAGGAGACAGAGACATTTAGCACCACACTATAAACAATTTAATCTTTTAAAAACTCCTTTAGGTATTTCTGTTCCTCCCAGATCCTATTTGGGTACACTGCCAATCCATTTCCTTCTCCTTTTGGCTTCTTTAACATCCTTATATCACACATCACAGTCTGCCACCTTTTACAGACACCCACCCATATACATGGCCTATGAGAGCTGAGGCCATTTGGGTTTTGCATTCTTTTCATGAGGAGCAATACCATCAGGCCATCTGGGCTTCTCCAGACTCCTATGGAAGCTATTGACTTGAATGCTGTTCATATTCATCATATTAAAAACTTGTTCAAAGTTTTAGTCACTTTTTTGTATAGATTATTAAATATTCTAGCATGAACTAATGCATAGTGGTTCTTTATGCATTCTATGGGCATATTCTAATATGAATTTTATAGAGATTGGCATGAGGTGTATTTGTTCAAACTACAATATTTTATTCATATAAAATGGACCTACTATAACTAAAAAAAAAAGTGACCCCTGGTCTTTGAAATATCTGTTTAAATGTTTATGTTCCTCTTTAAAAATGTAAAATTCTTTGAGGTAAGGCTTATTACAAGAGTAATTTTGTTGACACAGACTGAAAGTTTTTGAAGGATGTTATAAATATCTCTTTTACCAAAAATAGTACCTTAGAGTAAAATTAAAGCACATAAGTAGGTGGATGGTTAATGCACCATTTACAAATGTCTTATTTACATAAACATTTACAAATGTCTTATGTCATTATTTTCTAGAGCAGATAACATTACAGTTATCTTAATAGGAAGGCTACTAGCTATTAAAAAACAATAAACATTTGCATTTAATTACTATGAAGAGTGACATTTATTATAACTTGAACATTTTACTTACATCTGTCAGATGGCCAAAAGTTGGTTTAGCTGTTTGGAGCATAAGTTGCTTGGTCACTGGGTCTAATTCTAGATGAAAACAGAAGAAAACACTTAGAATATCATAAAAAAATAATCTTCATAAAAAGAGCAATTGCTAATCCTATTTTTATCAATATTTCAAAATAGTAGACAAAATTAAATTTTCCCTAATAATTAAATTGATTCATTAGTACTTCTAAGTTCAGACAACCAGACCAACCCATAAAATTTTAGCATCAGTAATTTAGCCTAATTTACACAATGTCCAACTTTATATTCAGAATTTGGAAATTGTTTAGTACTTAACATGTGGCAGACATTAGTGGTTTTCTACCTCAAAGCCATTCATTTATCCGCTGGCAGATTCACTTTCCATGACAGAGGCTGAAACACTAGATATTTGGGTTTTTTGTTTTTGTTTTTCTGACTTTTTTTTTTTCTTTTTTTGCCTTTTTTTTGGTTGGGGGAGGATCTTATGCTCCTAAGATATAGGCATGTTACCCAAACCAAGAGCAGGTAGATAATTTCTTATTTAAGTATGGGCATGTATGAGAATAAAAAGAAAGCATTCATAATTCTGCTTAGACAAGAGAGTATATCAGGCTACCCTACCCAAACCAAACCAATAGGATTTAGAAGGAAGTATGCTGGGGGGGCTTTGGTGAAGGTCTGTGATCCAGGAGACAAAAACAACCTAGGATGGCCAACTGCCCTTTATGTTATGGATGAGGTTTTATTGAATTATAAAGCATGCAGCAGCATCTTGAATGCATGAAAAAACAAAACCAAGGACTACAGCCAATGCACTGAAGACAGACGAGTGAAAACACAGAAAGAGCCAAAATTTTTGCTGACATAATGAAGAGTTTGTTTATTCTTACTTGAAATCAAAAATAACCTCATTCTTTAACTACTTCACTTTTTACTTGTGATGAAAGCATTTTAAATTATTTATATAAACATAAATATTAACAAGTAATTCAATTTAGGACCATAGTATTTTGTGCACAACTCATTCAGATAGTTGGGCAAACTGTTTTGATCATTTTTATTCCCTAGGCTTATGTAATCTCCATATTACATTTTTTCTTCAATATTCAAGACATAGATGAAAGCGCTAATACTTTTAAGGTAAATATGTCAGTTTTAAGCCAGACTACATATCGGTAAACCTATTAGCCCATCTTATACAGCCTACTGAATAATCAATATTCATAAAAAGCCATGGTGTAACTTAATATTTTGAAAACTAATACATACTGCTCTAAATGACAGAATTTTAAAAGCAGTGAAACAATTTTATACCCCAAACTCATTTGATTGTAATGAGTAGAACACATTCAAGCCAACTAACATACAAAAGATGTATGTTTCAAAGGACATACAAGATAATGTAGCAGACTCTTAGGGTATGGCCTAATGGGAATTGAGTCTGAAAGCACATATATCAGGAATGAAGGATGCTAGCTCTTTACAGGGGGAACTGCGAGGTCCTTGTCATGCTGCTGACTTTGTTTTCCCTTCCATTATCTGTTCAATGCTTCCATAATCTCATCTTGTATAACACCTAATAAACATGGGAGCCCCAAGCCAAAGTTTACATGATTTTATTCAAGAAGCTAACAGTTGGCTCCATTATTTGACAAAGTTTATATTATTAATTGAGAAAGGATGATTGGTTTATCCACACCTATAAATTTGTTTATATTAGATTAAGGGTATATCCCTGGTCAAATTAAATCAATTAAGGAACTGTACCTTTTGGGTCTGTCAATGGGATACACAAATGAAATTTTTTGGTAAAAGAAGTGAGCCAAGGAAACTCAAATTTGATTATGCACACTAAGTGCTAGGTGCCACCTCACAGAATCTGCAATTGCCGTTATTTCATGTAGTCCTCACAGAAATTGCTACCAGATAGGTAGCCGCGCCACAATTTTACAAATGAGAAATTGATGTCTCAGGAAAATTAAGCAATTGGCATTGCTAGGATTTTAGCTAAGTTCTGTGTAGCTTGATAAAAAAGTAAAAGTGGATAATTACCTCATTATAAGTTTCTGTTATTGTTTTTAATTGACATAAAGCACAACACAGAATTGTGCAGAATTTCTCTCAATTTTATGGTTGTGAAACTGTAGGAACATCATTTTGTCATAATAAATGTTAGCATTATTATTCAAGTTTTTATACCAACCTTACATTACTCCGATCATGATGTTGCATTTAATAATTTAGAAAATCAAGCAAACAGGGAAGAGCCAAGATGGCCGAATAGGAACAGCTCCGGTCTACAGCTCCCAGCCTGAGCGACGCAGAAGACGGGTGATTTCTGCATTTCCATCTGAGGTACCGGGTTCATCTCACTAGGGAGTGCCAGACAGCGGGCGCAGGTCAGTGGGTGCGCGCACCGTGCGCCAGCTGAAGCAGGGCGAGGCATTGCCTCACTCAGGAAGCACAAGGGCTCAGGGAGTTCCCTTTCCTAGTCAAAGAAAGGGGTGATGGACGGCACCTGGAGAATCCGTTCACTCCCACCCAAATACTGCGATTTTCCGACGGGCTTAAAAAACGGTGCACCACGAGATTATATCCTGCACCTGGCTCAGAGGGTCCTGCCCCACTGAGTCTCGCTGATTGCTAGCACAGCAGTCTGAGATCAAACTGCAAGGCAGCAGTGAGGCTGGGGGAGGGGCGCCCGCCATTGCCCAGGCTTGATTAGGTAAACAAAGCAGCTGGGAAGCTCGAACTGGGTGGAGCCCACCACAGCTCAAGGAGGCCTGCCTGCCTCTGTAGGCTCCACCTCTGGGGGCAGGGCACAGACAAACAAAAAGACAGCAGTAACCTCTGCAGACTTAAATGTCCCTGTCTGACAGCTTTGAAGAGAGCAGTGGTTCTCCCAGCACGCAGCTGGAGATCTGAGAACGGGCAGACTGCCTCCTCAAGTGGGTCCCTGACCCCTGACCCCCGAGCAGCCTAACTGGGAGGCACCCTCCAGCAGGGGCACACTGACACCTCACACTGCAGGGTACTCCAACAGACCTGCAGCTGAGGGTCCTGTGTGTTAGAAGGAAAACTAACAAACAGAAAGGACATCCACACCAAAAACCCATCTGTACGTCACCATCATCAAAGACCAAAAGTAGATAAAACCACAAAGATGGAGAAAAAACAGAACAGAAAAACTGGAAACTCTAAAAATCAGAGCGCCTCTCCTCCTCCAAAGGAACGCAGCTCCTCACCAGCAACGGAACAAAGCTGGACGGAGAATGACTGACGAGCTGACAGAAGAAGGCTTCAGATGATCAAATTACTCTGAGCTACGGGAGGACATTCAAACCAAAGGCAAAGAAGTTGAAAACTTTGAAAAAAATTTAGAAGAATGTATAACTAGAATAACCAATACAGAGAAGTGTTTAAAGGAGCTGATGGAGCTGAAAACCAAGGCCCGAGAACTACGTGAAGAATGCAGAAGCCTCAGGAGCCGATGCGATCAACTGGAAGAAAGGGTATCAGCAATGGAAGATGAAATGAATGAAATGAAGCGAGAAGGAAAGTTTAGAGAAAAAAGAATAAAAAGAAATGAGGAAAGCCTCCAAGAAATATGGGACTATGTGAAAAGACCAAATCTACGTCTGATTGGTGTACCTGAAAGTCATGGGGAGAATGGAACCAAGTTGGAAAACACTCTGCAGGATATTATCCAGGAGAATTTCCCCAATCTAGCAAGGCAGGCCAACGTTCAGATTCAGGAAATACAGAGAATGCCACAAAGATACTCCTGGAGAAGAGCAACTCCAAGACACATAATTGTCAGATTCACCAAAGTTGAAATGAAGGAAAAAAGGTTAAGGGCAGCCAGAGAGAAAGGTCAGGTTCCCCTCAAAGGGAAGCCCATCAGACTAACAGCGGATCTCTTGGCAGAAACCGTACAAGCCAGAAGAGAGCTTCTGTAGGGTCTCTCTCAGACCACAGTGCAATCAAACTAGAACTCAGGATTAAGAATCTCAGCAAAAACGCGCAACTACATGGAAACTGAACAACCTGCTCCTGAATGACTACTGGGTACATAACGAAATGAAGGCAGAAATAAAGATGTTCTTTGAAACCAGTGAGAACAAAGACACAACATACCAGAATCTCTGGGACGCATTCAAAGCAGTGTGTAGAGGGAAACTTATAGCACTAAATGCCCACAAGAGAAAGCAGGAAAGATCCAAAATTGACACCCTAACATCACAATTAAAAGAACTAGAAAAGCACGAGCAAACACATTCAAAAGCTAGCAGAAGGCAAGAAGTAACTAAAATCAGAGCAGAACTGAAGGAAATAGAGACACAAAAAACCCTTCAAAAAATTAATGAATCCAGGAGCTGGTATTTTGAAAGGATCAACAAAATAGATAGACCGCTAGCAAGACTAATAAAGAAAAAAGGGAGAAGAGTCAAATAGATGCAATAAAAAATGATAAAGGGGATATCACCACCAATCCCACAGAAATACAAACTACCATCAGAGAATACTACAAACACTTCTACACAAATAAACTAGAAAATCTAGAAGAAATGGATAAATTCCTTGACACATACACTCTCCCAAGACTAAACCAGGAAGAAGTTCAATCTCTGAATAGACCAATAACAGGAGCTGAAATTGTGGCAATAATCAATAGCTTACCAACCAAAAAGAGTCCAGGACTAGATGGCTTCACAGCCAAATTCTACCAGAGGTACAAGGAGGAACTGGTACCATTCCTTCTGAAATTATTCCAATCAATAGAAAAAGAGGGAATCCTCCCTAACTCATTTTATGAGGCCAGCATCATTCTGATACAAAAGCCGGGCAGAGACACAACCAAAAAAGAGAATTTTAGACCAATATCCTTGATGAACATTGATGCAAAAATCCTCAATAAAATACTGGCAAACCGAATCCAGCAGCATATCAAAAAGCTTATCCACCATGATCAAGTGGGCTTCATCCCTGGGATGCAAGGCTGGTTCAATATACGCAAATCAATAAATGTAATCCAGCATATAAACAGAGCCAAAGACAGAAACCACATGATTATCTCAATAGATGCAGAAAAGGCCTTTGACAAAATTCAACAACCCTTCATGCTAAAAACTCTCAATAAAGTAGGTACTGATGGGACATATTTCAAAATAATAAGAGCTATCTGTGACAAACCCACAGCCAATATCATACTGAATGGGCAAAAACTGGAAGCATTTCCTTTGAAAACTGGCACAAGACAGGGATGCCCTCTCTCACCACTCCTATTCAACATAGTGTTGGAAGTTCTGGCCAGGGCAATTAGGCAGGAGAAGGAAATAAAGGGTATTCAATTAGGAAAAGAGGAAGTCAAATTGTCCCTGTTTGCAGATGACATGAATGTATATCTAGAAAACCCCATCGTCTCAGCCCAAAATCTCCTTAAAGCTGATAAGCAACTTCAGCAAAGTCTCAGGATACAAAATCAATGTGCAAAAATCACAAGCATTCCTATACACCAACAACAGACAAACAGAGAGCCAAATCATGAGTGAACTCCCTTTCACAATTGCTTCAAAGAGAATAAAATACCTAGGAATCCAACTTACAAGGGATGTGAAGGACCTCTTCAAGGAGAACTACAAACCGCTGCTCAAGGAAATAAAAGAGGATACAAACAAACGGAAGAACATTCCATGCTCATGGGTAGGAAGAATCAGTATCGTGAAAATGGCCATACTGCCCAAGGTAATTTACAGATTCAATGCCATCCCCAACAAGCTACCAATGCCTTTCTTCACAGAATTGGGAAAAACTACTTTAAAGTTCATATGGAACCAAAAAAGAGCCCGCATCGTCAAGTCAATCCTAAGCCAAAAGAACAAAGCTGGAGGCATCACACTACCTGACTTCAAACTATACTACAAGGCTACAGTAACCAAAACAGCATGGTACTGGTACCTAAACAGAGCTATAGATCAATGGAACAAAACAGAGCCCTCAGAAATAACGCCGCATATCTGCAACTATCTGATCTTTGACAAACCTGAGAAAAACAAGCAATGGGGAAAGGATTCCCTATTTAATAAATGGTGCTGGGAAAACTGGCTAGCCATATGTAGAAAGCTGAAACTGAATCCCTTCCTTACACCTTATACAAAAATCAATTCAAGATGGATTAAAGACTTAAACGTTAGACCTAAACCATAAAAACCCTGGAAGAAAACCTAGGCATTACCATTCAGGACATAGGCACGGGCAAGGACTTCATGTCTAAAACACCAAAAGCAATGGCAACAAAAGACAAAATTGACAAATGGGATCTAATTAAACTAAAGAGCTTCTGCACAGCAAAAGAAACTACCATCAGAGTGAACAGGCAACCTACAAAATGGGAAAAATTTTTGCAACCTACTCATCTGACAAAGGGCTAATATCCAGAATCTACAATGAACTCAAACAAATTTACAAGAAAAAAACAAACAGCCCCATCAAAAAGTGGGTGAAGGATATGAACAGACACTTCTCAAACAAAGACATTTATGCAGCCAAAAAACACATGAAGAAATGCTCATCATCACTGGCCATCAGAGAAATGCAAATCAAAACCACAATGAGATACCATCTCATACCAGTTAGAATGGCGATCATTAAAAAGTCAGGAAACAACAGGTGCTGGAGAGGATGTGGAGAAATAGGAACACTTTTACACTGTTGGTGGGACTGTAAACTAGTTCAACCATTGTGGAAGTCAGTGTGGCGATTCCTCAGGGATCTAGAACTAGAAATACCATTTGACCCAGCCATCCCATTACTGGGTATATACCCAAAGGACTATAAATCATGCTGCTATAAAGACACATGCACACGTATGTTTATTGTGGCATTATTCACAATAGCAAAGACTTGGAACCAACCCAAATGTCCAACAATGATAGACTGGATTAAGAAAATGTGGCACATATACACCGTGGAATACTATGCAGCCATAAAAATGATGAGTTCATGTCCTTTGTAGGGACATGGATGAAATCGGAAATCATCATTCTCAGTAAACTATCGCAAGAACAAAAAACCAAACACTGCATATTCTCACTCATAGGTGGGAATTGAACAATGAGATCACATGGACACAGGAAGGGGAACATCACACTCTGGGGACTGTTGTGGGGTGGGGGGAGGGGGGGAGGGAGAGCATTGGGAGATATACCTAATGCTAGATGACGAGTTAGTGGGTGCAGCACACCAGCATGGCACATGTATACCTATGTAACTAACCTGCACAATGTGCACATGTACCCTAAAACTTAAAGTATAATATAAAAAAATAAAGAAATAAATAAAAAATAAAAAATGAACATAAATAAAAAAATAAAAAAGAAAAGGAAAATGAGATACTAAGTGAATTATGTAACTTGCCTAATTTTAGAGGCAGAGATAAGGTAAAATTTGGTTCTCAGCTCCCAGTACACTGTTGGAATCAATACAACCCAAACTATATTGAAAAAATATCTATCTACTATTGAGAACCAA
Source organism: Homo sapiens (assembly GCF_000001405.40). Classification (NCBI taxonomy): domain Eukaryota; kingdom Metazoa; phylum Chordata; class Mammalia; order Primates; family Hominidae; genus Homo; species Homo sapiens. Next base: position 87,421,072 of record NC_000008.11, on the reverse strand, counting down.
ATGTTTAAAATTATGAAGCATTTTCAGTTGCTATCTGCACCGATTTTGTTATCCAGAATTTTGATTCTTGATTTTATCTTTCCCAACCTGTGTTTGGCCTAGGTCTCTATAACAGTCATCAGTTTAATTCAATATTTATTGAAAGCTTACTCCACGATCAGTAACATGTTATGAGGGAGATACAAAAGGATCATAAGACATGGCCTTATAATTCTATTGTATTGTTAAGATATATGACCATGAATTAATGAGGTTAATTTTCAAATAAATATACCAACGACTGTCAAAAAAAAAAAAAGAAGAAAATCAAGCAAACAATTTATAGCAGGGAAAGTAACATGTAGGTAAAACAAAATTAGGAATCAGTTGTGCCTAAAGCATTATTATTACATTATATTTAAATAGCAAAAGCATAATAGCAGCATGAAAGAGAGTGGTCGTTAAGTAGGTAGATTTTATTTGAAATGGGGTTGTCTCTCTCTACCTCAAGTAACTGTAAGTGACAGGAATCCAAAGTGGGAAGATGTCATCTCCGAGTATCAGCAAACTTTGACATGTAATAAAACTTTTCTCTTTTTTTCTCACAACATTTCAACAAAGAGGCATGCTTTTGCAAACAGGGTGCAGAAATACCATGTGATTCCATTTCAGTAATTATGATAGCCATAAAAGAATGATTGTTTCCTTTTCTTTGTACCTTCCGAGAGACCTCAGGAGGACAGCTGAAAAAGTAATGTCAAATCGATCTACAGGATGTAATTTAAAAGGTCCTGCTGTTATCAGGTTTTCCTAAAGAAGAATGCCCTCAAGAGTTGACATATTTTCATTATAGTGCTTACACAAAGCTGTGAAACCTCAGTGATAGTGATAGAAATAACATTGTATCTGGGTTCATTGAGCAAAAAAAATTAAAACTAAGAGTCTGAAAAGTGATGATCAAATGATGTCTATCTTTTATTCTGTAAATGTGGTAAGGTATATTAACACTTTGTTATTGTTAAATGAATCTTACATTTTGTAATAAATCAAACTTGGTCATTATGTATAGTGCTTTCTATATATTTCTGGATTCAATATACTTACATATTGCTATATTACATATAATAAATATATATATAATATATATTTTTATTAATGAGGTTGGCCAGTAATTTCTTATTTTGTAAAGTCCTTATCAGGTTTCAATATAAAGTTTACCATGGGCGAATTAAATAATTCTAGGACCATTTTCTCTCTTGTCCTTTAGAAGGGTTTGTGTGGGATTGACATGTTTTCCTTAAATTTTTCATAGAATTCACAGGAATTCATACTTTAAAGTGAATTGGCATTTGTGGGAATATTTTAAACTAAATATTCAGTGTATTCAATAGACAAACTTTGTCACATACTCTATTTCACATTGTGAAGACTTCCTGGGATTACAGTATCAATTTCATTACTCTTTTCAGAGCTATCTTGTGATTTTGCTGATGATCTCCACTGTTGGGCTATACAACACATTCTGAATGACTATATCTTTTGAAATTTTTTGAAATGAGTTTTATGGCATAGGAACAATTTCTATAAATATGTAACAACATTTTCTCCAAATCTTATGCATTCTTATTGTCTTTTATTAAGATATACACACAATAAAATTCACGCCTTTAAACAGTACAGTTTAGTGGTTTTCAGTGTATTCATACAACTGTGGAACCATATCTAATTCCAGACCATTTTCATACTGAAGATAAATACTGTACCTATTATCACTCACTTTCCATCTCTACTTCTTTTCAGATCCTAGCAAACACTAATCTTTCTGTGTCTCTGATTTGCCTATTCTAGACATGTTTGCCTATTCTAGACATGTTACACAAATGCAGTCGTACAATATGTAGCTTTTTGTGAATGACTTTGTTATTTTAAGATTCATCTATTGTTTGTAGCATAAATCAGTACTTCATTAATTTTTATGAATGAATATATATATACATATAATATGGACATGCCATATTTTCTTCATCAGTTGGTGAACATTCAGGTTGTTTACACTTTGGCACTGTTATGAGTAATGCTGCTATGAACATTCATGTAAAAGTTTTTGTGCAGACATATGTTTTCAATTCTCTTTAGTGTATACATAGAAGTGGAATTGCTGAGTCATATAAAAAGTCAATGGTTTGCTTTTTGAGGACTGCCAAAGTATTTTCCAAAACAGCTGCATCATTTTACACTTTCATCAGCTATGTATAAGGGTTTCAATTTCTTCACATATGCACAACTTTTATTACTGTCTATATTTTATATTTTGATATCCTATTGGATGTAAAGTGGTATCACAATGTTTTATGACTTGTTTTTCTCCCACTTTGAAGAAATTTGTATTTAAATCATTTGTCTATTTTTAAATAAGGTATTTTTGTTTTATTGTTGAAGTATAATAGTTTTGAATATATTCTAGAAACTAGATCCTAATCATATATGTGATTTGTGAATACTTTTTCCTTTTTTGTAGGTCATCTTTTCACTTTCTTGATAGTGTCCTTTGAAACGTAAAAGTTTTTAATTTGTATAAAGTCCAGTTTATCTAGTCTTTCTTTGGTTGTTTGTGCTTTAAGTGTTATATCCTGGAAACCATTGCCTAGTGCAAGGTTATAAACATTTACATCTATGCTTCCTTCTAAGAATTTTTCGACTTGTTAAATTTAGGGTTTTGATGCATTTTATTTAATTTTTTACATGGTATAAGATTGGGGTCCAAATTCATATTTTGCATGTGAATATTCGGTTGTCTCAGCACGATTTGTTGAAATTGTCTTGGTGTTCTTGTTGAAAATCAATTGACCATAAATGTGTGGGTTTATTTCTGGACTCTTATATTATTCTATTAGCCCATATGTCTATCCTTATACCAGCACCACACAAGTATGACTAATGCAGATGCATACCCTGAAAGTGTGCGTGCTCTTTGTGTCATATTCTTTTTCAAGATGGTTGACTGTTCTGGGTCCTTAGTATTTTCATATTGATTTTAAGATTAGTTTATCAATTTCTGCAAAAACGGAGAGCAGGAATTTTAATAGGAATTATGGCAAATCTGTAGATCAATTAAGAGAATTTTGCCATCTTAACAATAGTAAATCTTCCAATTCATAAACATACAATGTCTTTCTATTTATGTTTTCTCTAATTTATTTCAATAATATTCTGTAGCTTTCCATATCCAAGTTAAACATTTATTTTTTAATATATTTCTAAGTATATTGTTACTATCATATATTGATACTAATATTGATACTAAGTATACAGTATGATTTAAATACAAATTACTAAGTATATTGATACTATCATAAATGAAATTAATTTTATTAATTTCATTTTTAGACTGTTCTTTGCTAGTGTATAGAAATACAATTGATTTTTGTATATTGATCATGCATATTGCAATATTGCCAAAATAATTAATTGGCTTTGTGTGTATGTAAATTTTGTAGGATTTTTCTATATACACAATTATGTCATCAGCAAAGAGACGTGAGAGGTAATGTTAATTCTATTCCAATCTGGATATCTTTTCTTCCATTTACTTGCCAAATTTCCCAGGGGGTGATTTTTACCAGGTTGAGGAAATTCCCTTTTATTTCCAGTTCTGTCAGTACTTTTTATCGTCAAAGAGATCATGTGGGTAATATGGTTTTGCTGTGTTCCCACCCAAATCTCATCTTGAATTATAGCTCCCATAATCCCTACATGTCATGAGAGGGACCCAGTAGAGGCTAGCTTTTCCCGTGCTGTTCTTGTGATAGTGAATAGGCCTCATGAGATCTGATGGTTTTATGAAGGGCAGTTCCCCTCCACATTCACTCTTGCCTGCATCTATGTAAGATGTGCCTTTGCTTTTCCTTCACCTTCCACCTTGATTATGAGGCCTCCCCAGCCATGTGGAAACTGTGAGTCCATTAAACCTCTTTTTCTTTATAAATTATGTCTTTGGTATGTCTTTCTTAAACGCATGAGAACAGACTAATACAGTGGGTTTTGTTCTTTATCCCATCAACATAGTGTATTACAATGATTCATATTACTATGAAATAATACTTGATATTACATTCATGGATTATATTGAACCTCAGATACAGACTGCATTTCTGGGATAAATTCTATTTGGACATGGTTTATAATCCTTTTTACATGGTGCAGAATTAAGTTTGTTGAGAATTTTTACATCCATATTTATAAAATGTTGATCTGTAGTTTTCTTATCTTGTGACATCTTCATCTGTTTTTGGTAATACTCATAGAATGCATTGGAAAATGTTCCCTATTATCTGCCTCAATTTTTATCCACAGCCTTCAGGAGTGCCCAGTGTAAACAATTGCCTCTTACTGTTTTCAACAAACACCCCTGGGAAAAAGGCTTTGTACTGGGTGGACTGAGTCATATAACAACAACAAACTTCCAAGGTGAATCTTCCAGAGAATGACCAGACATGTAAGAGAAGGATGCTTGTCTGGGAATGAGGCATTTAAGGGTCTCCAACCCTGTTCTGGTCTTTCCAGTGACTGTCACACTTCCAGTTTCCTCCATGATTGGAGCCGTTGTTTTTCAAGGCTTCCCCAGAGCTGGATAGGGAATGTGGCTATAGGACAAGCTAAAACTCCACAAAGTTCATTGGTCTCACTCACATTCATCCACTTTTCTTGAATAAATGCTCTCCAGATTCCTGCAAGCCTTGGTTAATTTGCAAATAACTGAAAACATTGGTTCTTATCACACTTTCATAGAAAATAGAATGTTTGAAGGTCCTTATTTTGTCATTTTTGCTGATGGTAGCTTTCTACTTATTTTTATCTTCTTATTCTATTATATATTGCAAGAGGTTTATTACATTCCTGATTAGAATTGTGGATTTTTTGTGTGTTTTTGTCAAATTTTGCTTTATCTGGTTTGAAGATATATTGTTAAAAATATACAAATATGAAATTGTTATATAATTCTGAGAACATTGTTGTATTGAGAAAGTGTTCCAACTTATTTATAGTAAAGCTTTTTTCCGCCTTGAAATCTATTTTTGTGTGTGTATGTGTGTGTGGATGTAATTTTTTTTGTTAATGTCCATATGATTTTTTTAAAAACTTTATTTCCAATATTTTTATGTCATTTGTTTCTTATAAGCAGTATATAGTTGAAATTTGTTTTGATTCTTATTTGGTTTTAATTTTTCCACTTTAGGTAATATACTTCTATTTTCCCTATTTGTCTTACTTGCATCTTTTTATTATTCCCGTTTGATAATTTATATAGCTTTTTACAGCTTTTTAAGCAGGAGGTTTATCTAAATAACATAGTCCTTTATGAAAGGAAACAATTCTCAATTCTTGAAGTTTGGACAGGAATCTAGAATGCTCATTAATGCTGTCTTGAAAATAAGTAAATAGAAAGAGAAGAAGAAAGCTTAACCAGTGTGTAGTTAGATTTCCAGGACAAGTTTCAGGAATTGCAACAACTAGTCATTCAACATGCCTTGTTCAACACTGAGAAGAGTAAACAATACTGTAGTGTCATGATGAGGCTCAAAGAATTACAAGGATGCATATCTATGTTCTGAGAGTGCTCCTTTGATAGGGACACTTGAAATTTCACCAGTAGATAAAATTTCAGGAGCCTAACACAGAGCAATATATGACAATCTTCAGAAATAACCTATGAACCCAAAACATTCTGTGAGGCAGTGGTTCTAAAGTGCTCAGACCAGCAGCAGCAGTACCTTAGGACTCTTAATAATACAAATTCTTGGAACTCAACCTAGACTTACTGAATTAGACAGTCTGAGTATGAGTACCAGTAATTGATATGCTCTCAGAGTTCCTTTAGTAATTCTGGAGAGAACAACGACTACAGGGAAAACTAATGCCACATACACTAAAGCAGGTGCAGAATGCAGAAATCAATGTACATGTGGTAAAGCACCTTTGGGGATACACTCAGATCCTTGTGATACAGCAATGAGTTCCAGCTACTGCTCACATTTCTTGCCATCTGCAGAAATGGCACTGAGCAGGTCCCCCTTCATTTTGGCTATCTTGCTGCCAGAAGAAACATATCTGCAGCATCCAGCCACCCATTTCTCTCAGGGCTGAGGGGAATAACAGTTCCAGGTCAGACCTGTAAGTCATTTAAGGAAATCCTGCCTGTGAAGCTCTGTGTTTATCATAAGATGGATTCTCCATTCAAACAACATACCTCAAGCAGCTTGCAAAATAGCATAAAAAATAATGTATACTAAATTGTAAAAAAAATCCTTTTTAAATAACAAGTTTTTTACTTTAGTTTTCAAGTCACACCAGTAATTTTGAAACAAACTAAAAGTTATAAAGAAAAATACATAACAAGGATAACCAGTAATGTTTAATTAATTAACAGTTGTGGTAATAGTACAAGAAGATATATTGTTATTATATGTTACATGATATAAGTTGTAGCATTAGCATATGCCAACCAACCCCTACTTTCTTAACCTTCCACCCACATATATCCAGTACATATTAATTTCTTTTTTTATTTATTATTATACTTTAAGTTTTAGGGTACATGTGCACAATGTGCAGGTTTGTTACATATGTATACATGTGCCATGTTGGTGTGCTGCACCCATTAACTTGTCATTTAGCATTAGGTATATCTCCTAATGCTATCCCTCCCACCTCTCCCCACCCCACAACAGTCCCTGGAGTGTGATGTTCCCCTTCCTGTGTCCATGGGTTCTCATTGTTCAATTCCCACCTATGAGTGAGAACATGTGGTGTTTGGTTTTTTGTCCTTGCGATAGTTTGCTGAGAATGATGATTTCCAGTTTCATCCATGTCCCTACAAAGGACATGAACTCTTCATTTTTTATGGCTGCATAGTATTCCATGGTGTATATGTGCCACATTTTCTTAATCCAGTCTATCATTGTTGGACATTTGGGTTGGTTCCAAGTCTTTGCTATTGTGAATAGTGCCGCAATAAACATATGTGTGCATGTGTCTTTATAGTATCATGATTTATAATCCTTTGGGTATATACCCAGTAATGGGATGGCTGGGTCAAATGGTATTTCTAGCTCTAGATCCCTGAGGAATCGCCACACTGACTTCCACAATGGTTGAACTAGTTTACAGTCCCACCAACAGTGTAAAAGTGTTCCTATTTCTCCACATCCTCTCCAGCACCTGTTGTTTCCTGACTTTTTAATGATTGCCATTCTAACTGGTGTGAGATGGTATCTCATTGTGGTTTTGATTTGCATTTCTCTGATGGCCAGTGATGATGAGCATTTTTTCATGTGTTTTTTGGCTGCATAAATGTCTTCTTTTGAGAAGTGTCTGTTCATATCCTTCACCCACTTTTTGATGGGGTTGCTTGTTTTTTTCTTGTAAATTTGTTTGAGTTCATTGTAGATTCTGGATATTAGCCCTTTGTCAGATGAGTAGGTTCTAAGTGTGTACACTGTAGATGCCTTAAGATAGAATAGCAATAAATAAAACCAAACAAACAAAAAAGAAGAATTTGGAACACTTGGTAAATATAATAATATCTTAAGCATTTTTGCCTTCAGTGGCTAAGCTCTTTAGGCTCACCAATTAAACTTCAAGGGATTTAATTGAGTCATAGTATTAAATCTACCAAGGTAAATACCTGAAGCAAAATGACACTAGGTGTTAAAAGTTAAACAATATTTTAAGTGGATGAAGACTTGAATCATTTTAAAACACAACTATAGAAATTTAAAGTAGTAAGTGTGAAAAAATAGAATCTTGGGACCCCAAAACTCACTATGCAAAAGGGAAAGTTAAGCTTGGAAAATGAGTCACACAATACTGCCTTCCTTTTGTTCCCAGATAGCTGTAATTTCACAACCCTGTGTCATAGCCTCATCCACAAGCCACGTTCCCACAAGGATATAAGGCCGCATATCTCCTCACATGGTCTCTCTCACAAATCGTTCACTAGGTACAATTGAGAGCCCCTTGTGAGCCCCTAAATCTTTTAGAATACATACCCTCCTATATTCTAGACCTAAACCCGAGTTCTGTTGTATCTCGCCCTGAAGATATCAATTACTAGCTTATCTTCACAGGTACAGGACAAGGACAGGACCAGAAATCATCCCTCCACCTACCCTGAGACAAATTCATAATTGACTTTTTCTCTATTCCTTCTTTTCGCATGTTTACCTTGTCTTATATAAGAGCCTCACAAGAATGTAATCATTTACATCACTGCCTAACCTACCTCCCTCTTTTCTCCTCTTCTTGATGTTTCCCCTTTAAATACTGAAGTTCCTCAAATCTTCTTCGGAAAAGTACATGTCACAGAGGCTCCTGTGACTATGTTTTTCCTGGATGAGTCCTCAAACTTTAGCTAAATAAACATCTATCAATTGAGACACCTGTCTCAGCCACTTTTTGCTTAACACAAGAAACACAAATGTGAAAACATAGTGTCTATTAGCATAGTGAAGTTCCTATTTCTCTTGGTGATTTTTCTTGGTGAAATTTAGCCTCATGTGCATTCGGGAAATAATTATTTGAACAGGGACCATGTGGGTGAGTGTCTTTCAAAAGCATGAACACATAGGCATGTTTTAATAAAATCACTTGCACATGATAGGCACATTTCTTTTATTCTGACATTTGAGAAGCAAATCCTGGTCATATCGAGTAACCAGAAGTGATATATTGACATAGTATTACTGTTCTGTTTTTGTTAATTTTATATTTTGCTTTGAGTACAGATGTCATTTCATCTTAGTTTTAACATTTAGAAGGAAAACACATACCAAAACACATGATATATCAAGGATTTGGATGTTAGATGATGATGGAGATTACATACATAAATGATTAGCATTTTCCAAGTTTGCCTTAAGCAGACAAAATGAAGGAGAACAGCATCTTAATTTGAAGTGAAAAATGAAAAAAACTCAGGTTCCTTAATTTTTTTCTAAACACTTTAGCATTATAAATCTGAGATACTAAGTAATTCCTGATTATCAAAAAAGGGTATTTGTGCCCCAAAAGCACTAATGAATGTCAAGGTAATCCCTAGAAAATTTCATTCAGTTGTAGTAATAAGAAAAACAAAAAAAGCTATGTCAAACACTTCTCCCGTACAAGCAAAACTTTTTTAAACAAATTGCTTACTGTTTAAACAATAATATTGTTTAGGTTTCTATTCCCTTCATGGTCACTTATTATATTATTATTGAAAAATGATATCAGAATGTCACTAAGATGGCATTTATCATATCAATATTATTGTTGTCTTAATGAAAAAATACAATGAACTTACATGAACCCTTTCAGTACATAACTTGGTGGTGAAAATTTACAAAACATCAATGGGTGTAATACAATTATTATAGTAATGGTTGTAAAAAAAAAAAATCTAAAAAAGCCCAACACATGTCTTATGCCAGAAAAGACTACAAAACTGTCAATAAATGGATATACATAAAACTTCAATAAATTTAATTTTAATAAGTGACATCATTAACTGTACTTAACATATTTCCAAGAAATGGCTTAATTGGTTGGATATGAATCAACAACTTTTGGCAATAATACAATGTTTGGAGGATAATGTAGAATGAGTTTTTAAAAATATGTGTGAATGAAATATATATATATATATATATATATATATATGATATAGCTAGGTTAATCCTGCCTATGAAATGCTTGGGCAAAGCTATAGAAAGCAAAAAAGTGGACTTTTGTGGTGAATCACAAGTTAAACATAGGGTTGTAAGAAATCCTGTTGTTTATTCACTCTGTAAATATGTTTAGCTTCAACTATATGCCAGAAATGAGGATAAATAAAACACAGCCTCTGACCTTGGATGGCTATACACTCTATTCTTAGAGACAGGTAAGTAAAGCAATAATGAAATGAAATATGAAAAATGCAAGCATACTTGTATTTCTGGAGTTATTGCTGGTTTTGTTCCAGACCCCCAAGTATCATAATAAAGCGAGTCACACAAATTTTGGTTTCCCAAAGCATATAAAAGTTATGTTTAAACAATACTGCAGTGTATAGACTATTAAGTGCAATAGCAGTATATCTAAAAAATGTACATACACCAATTAAAAAATACTTTCTTGCTAAAAAAATGCTAACAATCATCCGAGCTTTCAGTGAGTCATAATCTTTTTGCAGATGGAGGGTCTTTCCTTGATGTGAACAGCTGCAGATTTATCAGGGTGGTAGTTGCTAATAGTTGGGGTGGCTGTGGCAGTTTCTCAAAATACGACAACAATGCAACAATGAAATTTGCTCATCAGCTGACTCTTCCTTTCACAAAAGATTCCTCTGTAGCAGCAATGCTGTTTGATGGCATTTTACCCACAGTAGAACTTCTTTTAAAACTGCAGTCAATCCTCCCAAATCCTGTCAGTCAATCCTCTCAAATCCTGTCATTGCTTCACTAAGTTTATGTAATATTCTAAATTTTTTGTTGTGATTTCAACAATGTTCACATCATCTTCACCAGGAGGTGATGTATCTCAAGAAACCACTTTCTTTGCTTATTTATAAGAAGCATCACCTCATGCATTCAAATTTTATTATGAAATTGCAGCAATTTAGTTACTCCTGTTAATGTTGACATATCAGCCTCCTCCCATGAATCACCACATTCTTAATGGCATCCAGAATAGTAAATTCTTTATAGAAGATTTTCATTTGCTTTGCTCAGAACCATCAGAGGAATCACTATCTATGGGAGCTATATCCTAATGAAATGTATTTTTTAAATAATATGACTTGAAAATCGAAATTACTTTTCAATCCTTGGGCTATAGAATAAATGTTGTGGTAGCAGGCATGTGGATCTCCATCAGAGCTCTTGGTTGACTATGTGCATTGTAAATGAATCTTTTCTTCTGAGCAGTAGGTCTCAATTCTGGGCTTAAAATATTCAGTGAACCATGCTATAAACAGATGGGCTGTCATCCAGGCTTTTATGTTCCATTTATGTAGTACAGGAAGAATAAATTTAACTTAATTCTTTTTTTTTTTGAAACAGAGTCTCGCTCTGTCACCCAGGCTGGAGTGCAGTGGCACTATCTCGGCTCACTACAACCTCCCTCTCCTGGGTTCAAGCGATTCTCCTGCCTCAGCCTCCTGAGTAGCTGGGACTACAGGTACACACCACCACACCAGGCTAATTTTTTCTATTTTAGTAGAGATGGGGTTTCACTGTGTTGCACAGGCTGGTCTGGAATTCCTGAGATCTGGCAATCCTCCCGCTTCAGCCTCCCAAAGTGCTAGGATTACAGGCATGAGCCACCACACCCAGCCAAATTAATTCCTTAGCTTAATTCTTAAGCCCCTGGGTTTTCAGAGTGGTAAATGAGGATTAGCTTCAACTTGAAGTCATCAGCTTTATTAGGCCCTAACAGGAGAGTCTGCCTATTATTTGAAGCTTTGAAACCAGGCATTGACTTCTCTTCTCCTGCTATGAAAGTTGAAGATGGCATATGCTTCCAAAATTGGGCTGTTTTGTCTATTGTTTACTGTAGCTATTTTAATCAAAGATCTTAGTTATATCTCCTGGATAATTTGCTGCAGCATCTACATCAGCACTTGCTGCTTCACCTTACAGTTTTATGTTATGGAGATGGCTTCTTTCCTTAAAGCTCATGAACAAACCTCTGTTAGCTTTCAAATTTCTGCAGCTTCCTCATCTCTCAGCCTTTATAGAATTGAACAGTTAGGACCTTGCTCTAGATGCTGAGGCTTGAGGGAGTGTTGTGGCTTATTTGATCTTCTATTCAGACCACTAAAGCTTTCTCTGTATCAGCAGTAAGAACTGTTGCTTTCTTATTATTTGCATGTTTACCGGAGTAAAACTTTTTAATTTTCTTCAAGAACTTCTCCTTTGCATTCAAAACATGGCTACTATTTAGCTAAAAGCTTTCAGCCTTTCTCAGCTTTCGACATGCCTTCCTCATTAAGCTTAATCATTTCTACATTTTGATTTAAAGTAAAAGAAATGCAACCCTTCCTTTCACTTGAAAACTTAAGAGGCCACTGTATGGTTATTAATTGGCCTAATTTGAATTTTGTCGGGCCTTAGGGAACACGTAGGTCTGAGGAGAGAGAGAGAGATGGGGGAATGACAAACTGGTGAGGGAGTCAAAACACATACATTTATTGATTAGGTTTGCAGTCTTATATGGATGCAGGTCATTGCATCCCAAAACAATTACAATAGTAACATCAAAGATCACTAATCCCAGATCACGATAAAAGATGTAATAATAATGAGAAGTTTGAGCTACTGAGAGAATTACTAACATGTGACACGGAGACACAAAATTAGCATATACTTTGGAAAACTTGTGCTGATAAACTTCCTTGATGCAGGGCTGTCACCAACCTCTAATTTGTTTTAAAAATGCAACATCTGTGAAGCATGATATAATGAAGCACGATAAACTGAGGAATGAGTACAAGTATGCCTACACTATCATAAATACTGAGAGACGAAAAGAAAAAAGCAGCCCAAAGTCCTTAAAAATAGTTCATAAAGATGACTCAATTAAATAGAATATCAAGTTTAAGTAATGTGAGTTGGAATTCTGTTATTTCACTTGTTAGTTTAAAAAATTAAATATTATCTGTCTATACACACACACACACACATATATGTATCTAAAAATAAAGCAACAGAAATGAAGAACTTGATAGGTGGGATTAATAAGAAGGTGAAATGGAGACAGCACAGGAGAAAATGCTCAGTTTGAAGCATAAGAAGAAAATAGGTTGAAAAACACTGAGAAAACAATGTAAGAAAAGGTCTGACAAACATAGAATTATAGTACCATGAAGAAAGGAGATAATAAGCAGAAGCAATGTTTGAGGAGGTAATTACCAAGACTTCAAACCATAGAAAATAATGTTAAGGCAGATTATGTAACTAAAGGGGAAAGATAATCAACGAAGAAGAATATCTAGAAGATAATACAGAAAGTTATCTTGAAAACAATGGAGTGAACAGAAATTTCTAAAAGGACAAAAAAGATACTATTCATAAAACAAAAAGAATTCTAAGTTGGACTGTATTAAAATTAAGAATATCTCATCTAATGAAAACATGAAGACAATTGAAAAGCCAACTCAAAAGGGAGAGGATTTTGCTCAATCTAACTCATGTATATAAATAATTAAAGATCTACAAATCAATAAAAAATACAAAGCAGTCATTATTCAAATGAGTAAATAAGTAGGCACTTATTCAAGAGGATATCCATAATACAAATACATGTATTTTAAAATTGTTTAACCTTATTATTCTGCAAGGTAATACAAATTGAAACTGTGAGATAGGGTTACCTACTTATCCAAATTACTAAAATAAAAGAAAAAAGGAAAAAACCAATAGCTGACAAGGATTGAAAGCAACAGGAATTTTTATAAACAGATGGTTGAAGTGAAAGTCCATACAAATCAATCTGAAAAATTGTTTCTCAGTATGTACTAAAGCTGAATATATATATTAATTATAATCTAGAAATTCCATTCTGAGATACAGGCCCACTTGAAATATATGCAATAAAAGCATTAACTAGAATGCAAGAATGTTCCTTACAGTATTTATTCATAATAGACACAAACTAGAACACCACCAATATCCATCAATAACATCATATAGTATGTTCGTACAAAAGGGTATTATACAATAATAAACTAAGTACTGAGTACTGACATAAGTAACATGGATGAATCTTGAAAACACAAAAGTGGACAAAGGAGGCCATATATTAAATGATATACTGTGTTTCTTATATTAATTTTAAAACAAGTAAAACCTACTCATAATATTACCAGTGAGAAAGGTGATTAACTTTGAAGATACAGATAGGTGTAGTAAGTAAGTAACTGAAAGAGGTTAAGGAAAGGCTTCTAGGGTGTTAATTGTTTTGTGATCAGTATGGTGATTAACAGATGGGTTCATTTTATAAAAATTTACTTATGATCTGTGTACTTCTGTATGTATGTATATATGATAGCCTTCAGGTAAAAAAAAAGTTCATTATGAGAATAAAAGTTATTCATTGATTTTATAATTAAAACTATAAAGGATAACTTCCTCCAGAGTAAATTACAAAATACTTTGAAATAAAAAGATTATTCAAACTCTACTGACATTCATTTTAAAAGTCTGGTTTATACCCTAGTTCTCAGTCTGGGGCTGTGGGCTATGGGCAGCCATGGAGATATTATTTACCTGTGGCATGTGAATTAATATGTAAACTGAGGGCCGGGCACGGTGGCTTTCCCCTGTAATCCCAGCATTTTGGGAGGCCAAGGCTGGCAGATCACAAGGTCAGCAGTTTGAGACCAGCCTGACCAACATGGTGAAACCCCATCTCTACTAAAAATACAAAAATTAGATGGGCGTGGTGGCACACGCCTGTAGTCCTAGCTACTCCGGAAGCTGAGGCAGGAGAATCACTTGAACCCAGGAGGCAGAAGTTGCAGTAAGCTGAGATCGTGCCACTGAACTCCAGCCTAGGTGACAGAGCCAGATTCTGTCTCAAAAAAAAAAAAAAAAAAGTGTGTGTGTGTGTGTGTGTGTGTGTGTGTGTATACACACATATATATGTAAACTGAGTATTACCTCTAGTGAATGAATATATTTAATTTACATGTTACTTTTTAATGCATTGAGAATTTACTGTGGTTAATGCAAACTTACTTAAAATGTTTGAATTTATAGTAGCTTTTTTCTATTAGGTATTTTGTCAACCAATACTTACCAAAAATAATATCATACTACAGATGTTTATGAACAATTTTCACTTTAAAAAAGTTTCCCTATACATGAACAAAGATTGGACTCAATGGCTTAGATGATGTATTTGGATACAGATCATTAAATTAATGATCTTTTAAATTCCTTCTTGTTTGTATCATTATCTAATTAAGAAAATACATATTTCAAATGATATAAGCAATCAAAGTAATGTTTTAGGTTGATAAATATTTAAGAACAAGCTCTGCTTCAATATCCATAGAGAAATATATTGAGAATAAGATGCAAAACTGCAGGGATTTCAACTTGTCACTGGATGATCAATCTCCCTGAATACTATTTAAGTGTTATCAGATAACAGATGCTTAGTGTTTGGCAGAGCTAAATTTTTAACTGATGAAATAGATATCAATAATTCTAATATTTCTTATGTGGCTCACAGTAGAATCTGTGCTGGTTTCAGAATCTCTAAAACAGTGACCAGGGTGTATTAGCCACAGAATACTGAATATAGGCTTTCCTTGTGCTATCGGCATTGTTAGTCACATTTCATGCCAAAGAAATGCTCATATCCTAGGGAAGGAATTTTCAAGAGTACACAGTATGAATAATGCCTATGACATACTTTATTCCTTCCATGTGTTACTCTTGCAGACCATCACCCTTGTAGTTTTTCACTCATCTGAATACTTCAAAAAATCAAAGATTAAGAAAAGTGGTAACCTTGTCTTAGGCAGTAATAAACCACTTACGAATTATTGCTAAGTATATGCTGTAAATATGTGTGATCTTGTAACAAAATCAAAGGATATGCTTGCATTACATAATCTCGTAGTAGTGTTTCTCTTAGGAATATTATTCTCTAAGGAGCATTATTTCCTGACTTAATCATCTGTTTGTAAATAATACTAATTATAATAATGCCACTATTTGCCAAATACTTTACATGCATCATTTCTAATCCACAAGGTGAAATATTAAAGTTTACCATATTATTGATAAAAAGTATATAAATTAAGTACTGGCCTTAAGAAATTATATAACTTCTAAGTGCTTGAGATTGGAATTACACTCAAATCTCTCAGTCCAAAGCCTAAATTTATTTTTTTGTATCTATTCCCTCACCTTTTTGTAACAATGGTTGAGTATATTAAGTCCTGCAAGTACAACTTTCGACAGAATCACTTATTTTCTTTCCAAATGAATGAAAATGATTTATTTTTTCTTCAACTCAGTACTGATATATAAGATAGCAGTTTTATGACTCAAAAATCTTTCTTGCTGCTTCCCAGTTATAACTCAATCCAGTTATAATCAAAGCAATTGCCAAAAGTGAGTTGGTGGAGGCCTAGATACGTACATACAGAGAAATATATATACAGAAGCAAAGATGCCATTTTAAAATGTAGCTCCATCACATTTCAGAAAGTTTTGCAAAACATTGTTGCCTGCAGAAAAAGATTAAATAAAAAGGATGACTGACTAGTAGCAGAAGATCTGGATAGTAAATTAAATGATAGTTATTTGCTAATATCCTTACATACTGGAAAGAGAATATGAGGATTTCCATTTTCAATCAAATATACAAGCAGCTAAACCCAAATTTAAACACAGATGTATACACTGTGGGTACTACAGATCCATTTTTCCAAACAGGACATAAACGAACAAAAAGAACCACTTCTACATGCAACAAATTTAGCACTAATTTGACCAGCGTGAGTTGTATTAATTAATTCAAGGAATTTGCAGCAAGAAAAATAACTAGTCCTTGCAAATGATTTCGACACCATAAATCTTGTTCTGTGAAAAGTGGAGGGAAAGTTCAGGAAATGAAACTCAGTACCCAATTTTGTCAAGAATAACAAAAAGGTCAGGATATTGCCACTTAAGTGTACATAACCATTTCTTTTTTAAGTATCAAAGCACCAACTGAGGTAACATGGCAATGATGAAAAGTGATGACCAATCACTTTTGGAATTGTTACAGTTTGTTAGATATCACAAAACTACTAATTCAATATTGCATGAGCCATAAACAAGCTGTTCCAACTTTTGAACAAATCCCCACTTCCCTACCCCTGCCACTGCCCACGTTGGATCTCTTATACTTGCTGACATAAAAACTTCCATCTGAGTTTCTCCCCTGCTGTCTCCTTCTTCTCTCTTGATCTAATACCTTCCCTGAATATGGCCTTTCATCAGATAGTTCTCTGCTGGATTCCTCAACAGGATGCATGCAGCAAACCTCTCTCTAATAGTGCTCTCAGTTGATCTGGACATCTGAAGTGTAAACTAAAAGAAACATCTTACCAATAAATCATGGTTATTTACTGTTCAGATAGCACTATTTGTAAGCAAATCACATCATGGGGGAGAGTGGCTTTCATAGATTGGGTCTGGTACCCTGATCATAATTTTTCCTTACGTGAAATGCATCCAGGGATCCAAAAGAATTGCTAAAACTCAAATGATTTGTGTTGAAGCATATAAAAAACACATCTTGAAATTTTGGTCAAGTTGTTTACTGATTTACTTAGAAAATATCTGATCTCTAGTTCTCGGTAGTAGTAGTAACTGTTGTCGTAAATATAATTACAATAATAATTTTTTTAAAAAAGCTACTTCCCTTTAATGAGTGCCTCCCTTGTGCAAGAATAAAATACAGATTAAGCCACATTTTATATATGAGAAAATCCAGTGTGAGAGAAGTAAAGCAACATTCAGAAAATCTCAAAGAAAACCTAAATGTATCTGCTTCATAAACTGTCTTAATTCTTCTATGATGATAATGAACAAATAGTTAAGGGATGGAGTAGCACGCGGAAATTGAAACTAGGGTAATTGAAACAAGGTTAACTAAGTAATAAGTGGAGGTAACTCTTCTCTCTATTGGCCATATTCCATTTTCGGTCTATCTACGACAAGTGCCATATATTTCAGGAGAATGCTCTTGCCATTCCCTATAGTGCTTGATGCTGTGCCCCAAAATAGATGAAACTAACTGCTGATGCAAACAAGATGTACAGCCCAACCTCTTGCTCACCAGCAGAAGTGTTTAATAATGGGTCTCAAACTATATTTTTGAAAGGCACATTGACAAAACATCAGCTGTAGTGATGTTTTAAAAAATTAAATCAATTTTTTTTTTATTTTCTATGTTGGTGCTTCTAATTCCACCAATTTTAAGCATCTTTATGAGGAAACCTGAAAAGCCATTTATTAAGAAAGCAATAAATTCAATTTAGCTAGTCAATTTGAATTCCTCCTTAACTGAATATGATAAAATACATAAATACTTTCCTTGGAGAGATAACACAATTGTATGATATAAACATTACATTACTAAGTATGCTTGTGTGCTTGTACAGCAGTAGCTCCATTCTTCAATATTTATTCCCCAAACTACATTTAACTATTGCAATAGTCTCCATTAGATGGCTTTGCTTCCATTCTATTTTCTGCTCTCATTTTCACATTTTGTTCTACTCCACATATATCTGAGTACCAGTCTTTCCATTTCACTTCCCTAAAACACTTTAATGGCACTGGATTTAAAATTGGATGATTACAACTCCTTAACATGGCATAAAAAATCCCCTGAGATTTGGCCCTGGCCAGCTTTTCCAGTTTCATGCACCATGATACAATGTGTATCAGAGACTATAAGAGGAAACAATGAATAAAGTTTGGACTCCCACACAATTGATATTTTGCCTCTGTGCCTTTGCTCATGCTCGGTCCTTATGTCCATCTCAGCTATAGTTAAAAGAAAACCTATTCAAAAACACCAAGCCCAAATTGCCTAACCCAAATTATTAATATTTATGCCTCAAATGGAAATTAATTGATGTACATTAATCCAGAGGCAGGGCAGTTTCTTAAGTTGATTGCTCACTACTGCTCTTTTGTGAGAGTGAAAAAGAATGCTTCCTGAAATGCTCGTGAAAACCTTCTGGTATTGTTTGACTGTGTCCCCACCCAAATCTCATCTTGACTTATAGCTCCCATAATCTCCACATGTTTTGGGAGGGACCCGGTGGGAGGTAATTGAATCATGGAGGCGGGTTTTTCCTGTGATATTCTCGTGACAGTGAAAACATCTCATGAGATTTGATGGTTTTATAAAAGGCTGTTCCCCTACACTTGCTCTCTTGCCTGCCACCATGTAAGATGTGCCTTCATTCCTCCTTCACCTTCCACCATGATTGTGAGGTCTCCCTGGATATGTAGAACTGTAAGTACTTTATACCTCTTTTTCTTTATGGATTACCAGGTCTTGGATATTTCTTCATAACAGTATGAAAATGAACTAATACACCTTCCTTGAAATTATTTAGTCAGAATTAGGTCACATGTCCTCTCCTAAGCCAATTGTGCACAAGGAAGAGAGGGCCCTTATATCATTCAGGCCTACCTGTTATTCTGTGTTTAATTATCAAATGATATTGGTGTTCCTTAATGTGGAAAAGCATAATTGATATCAGGAACTCAATATTTATGTATAGCTTTACTTGTTTAAATTTTTTTAAAAAATCCATGCTTCTACGAAAATCATTAACATCTTACCAAATAAAACTAATTGAGATTTGCAAGTAGCTTAAAGGTTAGGTAGATATTGTTTTGACATTTCTGTTAAGCATGGATGCAGATTCTCATGGCCCAGCAACCTCTAACTGAAATATGCATCATTGGTAAAAAAGTCAACAACAACAAAAAATAACATAAAAAACAAGAAAGATAAACAATGCATAATGTTCATTAGCACAGAACACATATCCTATTGGATCCAAAGGCACAGTGAAAAGTCTCTCTCAGCACTGAAGGGCATTCCTTGGTCACCCAATAGAGCAGCCCAAGCTTCTAGCATCTGTGGTTAACTTTTGCCCCTTTTCCTTTGTGGCCATATATGGGAGGGGCATTGACACTTTCCCCTTCTGAAGGAATCAAGGCATTAGCAATCTCTTTGATTTTGATGTAAATTTAGGGAATTGGGGATGGCCTTAGGAATTAAATATCTCAGGTTCTCATCTGTGAGATTTAGATTTATTGATTTCAATGTGGTTATCTTAAAAACCTCAATAGGTTTCCAATATATTTGCTTTGGGTTTATTTGGTTGGCTAGAAAACATATCCAAAGATTATATTTATATGTAGCTTTGGAGTGTAGGAATTTTTGTTGCCTCACTGCAAGCTTTTGTACACTAATCACTCTCTAGTTCACAAAGTGATGGCTTTAAACTGAGATAAATTAAAACTTGGAATATGATTCTGTCCTTTAGCCTCAATCCCAAAGACTTCAACAAGAATCATTTCTCAAAAATTACCTAGAGATGTTTTTAAGAAACAATGTCTAATCCACTTTCTGAGATAAATTAATTAAATAAGAATTTCAGGGGCTGGCAACAAAGCATGATTATTCTTTAAAAAGCAATAAGCAGCCAAAGTTGAAATCACTATGTCAACCAGAGGTATCACAAGAGGTTTAAGAGTTTAGATTTATCTTTTACTTATCTCAGAGGATAAGTAATTTTTTTTCCTTTGAGAATTCTTCTGTCTTTCCACCCCAGAATATCAGATCTTAAATTTGTATTACAGACTATTTTCCACAATGCAAAAAGTCAAATTATCAATCTTGTAGTCAATTTGGATAGCAATGACAGGGATAAATGGCATCTATTATTAAAACCATTCTTTTGTTAGTTCCTTGTGTCCTGAACTTGGGTCTATCTTGAAAAATTTTATTGATGGCCATTAGAATTGATCAACACACTGCCACATGCTGACATTTTTCTAACAAGTTCCTTAAGATACTGCTCTTATTTCAAATGTAGAATGTAATAATTTAACCAAATATTGATTTTTTCTTTTCAGTTTTCTACCCAAGAATGGTAGTCTTTCAGGAATTCAATTCTACACATTAAGGTGTATCAATTCCAGCAATCCAGTCCTGGTACCAGATTTTTAAATAATCTTCTCAGTTGTAAATCAGAGAAATTATTAGTTTGGTGCAAAAGTAATTGCCATTAAAAGTAATGGCAAAAATGCAATTACCTTTGCACCAACCATAAATCTAGTTAACTTAGGTAGAAAAGGATTTTAGCAGATGGATAATTGGTAGTTCACAAAATCTATGAGAATCCTCGGGAGTCGCTCAGACAGGAACAAAAGGTGAGGCTCAAGAAGGATCTTGCCCCTGGAAGAACCTATGGAATGTGATATTGCTGGTGCCGTGACCACTGATTATCTGTGAATTAGACAACATGTATTTGGGGGGTTCCAATTCTTGTTTCCCTTTCCAGTGGTCTTGGTTATGTCCTGCCTTTTATCATTTTCTGATGTCATTGCTCTTCCTTCTCCTTAGGAAAAAAAAATGTGCCTGGGAAAGATCTGATGTAAATAATTAATTTCAGTGATGGTTCTGGGTTACTCTAGTTCAGCTGTACCAGTTAAAACATTGAAATACTTTTTCACCAGTTGAGTTAAATAATCACTGTCCAAGCACCATAACTATCCTACCAGCACCTAAGCTGCTCCAGATCCCATAATGCCCCACTGCTAAATACACGATGGTTCACTGGTCAGGGATGCCTTAGGATCCTGTTCTGAAAAGCACTCCTTAGAATGGATCAGAGCTTAGGCTTTACCAAGGGTTAAATATTTTGAATAACACTCCTGCTCTCATTTGATTGAACTTTTGGCATTAGGGGCTTTATATTAGGTTCATAAATTATCCAGGATAACTCAGACTGTAAGTGCTGGCCCAGATTTGAAATCTAGTAGTCTCATTCCAGAGGCAAAGCTCTTAAAATTGTATTGATTTATTTCAGACAAGTTTACCTCCAATTAAGTGATTTCCTTCATAATGTTCACAAATGAAGAGGTGGGTGGTGTTGGGGAGAACAGAGAAAAGACTCAGGAAAGGTCCTAGTGACCCTAAATCATTCCTATTGTGCACATGCACAGTGTCCAAGGCTAACCCTGCCATGGCTGGGTATCCTCACGACAAGCACATATTTGGCAGCTGTTTTAAAATTCTTACTTATTGAGTACCATGTCTCATATTTAAACATAAAAGAAACAAATCAATAGTAACAAAAATAACCATCAGCTATTGAATCATCTCAGGTTAAACTGGTAGAGTAACTGAAATTAAGACATGAAAATAAAACAGAAATATACTGTTCCATTATAATGAAATCAATAAATGAAATAAGTAGTTTTCTTTTTGCATCTTTAATCTCTAGGAGTTGCGTGGGGTAGGGAGGGGATCTCCTTGATTCAAATAAAGAATTAAGCAGTGAAGAATAACAATCTCTCTGACAAGTAGAAAAAATATCCCACTAAGGGGATAATTTTCTTCACAGGAGAATAGGTGGGTCTGATAGTGGTTTTAGATTTACTGCCTGTCTTGGTCAGTAAATATTCTGAAAACAATATTAACAATAGAGTTAAAGCCCAATAAGTCCTAGGAGAAACTTTAAAAATGGCATGTAGAAGCCTTAAGGCAAAATATGTTTACTTCCTAATGTACTGAGCATGGGAGGCATGGTGAATTTAAACTTCTAAGACAGAGGAATTATATCCAACCATATAGGCCTCCCTGAGACTTGCAGTGATGAAAGGCATGTGTGGAATATAATAAAAGGAGGATGAATCAGGTTTTTTAAAAAGAAGGATTATGTAAAGCAATCCACGGTTTTATGGAAATGTAAGCAACTGAGAGTGAAAATATGCTGAAAAGCATTTGGAAAAATTGAGAGGGATCACCAGAATGTATATTTTTATGCAGGTTAAACATATGCCACTCAAACAGGCACACACACAGCAAATGTTTATTACATTTTTTGGTACATATCAACAAACTGGTCCACAAATAGGCTCATGTAGAACTACAGAATTTCTATTTTCTCTGGAAGTCCATTTTCTCTGAAAAAGAGGGCCCTGTATTTGGCAACAAATAGGAATAAAATTGGATGGTACTAGAAATGGAAAATGTCTAATTTTTAAACTTACCAAAATCTATACATGAATGCTTAGATATCTCCAGAAAATAGATTTATAAGAAAATAAGAAAATATTTCAAATCTATTAATATAACATGAGAACCCTTGCAAAAAGGTGTTTGCTGACAACACAGGTATAATCCAGGCCATATTATAAAGATGCTGATATCTAAAAACTTAGAGAAAATTGATGACGTATTAGTCCATTTTCACTGATAAAGATATACCCGAGACTGAGCAATTTACAAATGAAAGAGGTTTATTGGACTTACAGTTCCACATGGCTGGGGAGGCCTCATAATCATGGCAGAAGGGAAGGAGGAGCAAGTCACATCTTACGTGAATGGCAGCAGGCAAAGAGAGAGCTTGTGCAGAGAAACTCTCATTTTTGAAACCATCACATCTGTGAGACCCATTCACTATCATGAGAACAACATGGGAAAGACCTGCCCCCATGATTCAGTCATCAACCACCATGTCCCTCCCACAACACAAGGGAATTATGGGAGCTACAAAATGAGATTTGAGTGGGAACAAAGAGCTAGACTATACCAGATGATAATAACTTAATCATCAGTTTGTGATAACAGCAAAATTAAAGCCATGACCACAATTGCATATATGTGGTTATTTTATGTTGCACTAAAAGGAAGATAATCTACATGAATTCTGAATACTGTGAATTAAAAATATATATATTTCACTACATTTCTAGCACTCTTCAAGAAAGATATAATGTCTGTCTCTTGTCATGAACTATCTGCCATTAGTAGAGGTAAATTTAGTTTTGTGGCAAAGTTATATTTCATCAACATTTCCCAGCACTTAGGCAAAATGTGCCCGAATATCATGTCTTGCACTGATTTCACTCTTACAAAACAAATGATAATTTGGTTTATCAATATTGCCTTATTACAGGACTGGGTCAAGATGATGGATGAAGCACACTAACTAGGAAAGTAGGTATTCTGAACAAGTGATACAAACATTTCTAGTCATGGGAGGCTGTTCCTTTCTCCTAATAGTATAAATATTATTATCACTTGCCTAATTCCAGTGTAAATAAACTTTGCAGCTCTGAAAGAAATAGGGCATAAGAATAACCCAAAATATATGCAAAATAAAAAAATAAGGCAAGAGTGGCTCTAACAAATACAAAGCTGGTACTGTAAAATGAGCAACAGTCAAATAATCAAGAGTCTAGAGATAGATCAAAAATTATATTTTAAAAGCTTGCCTCTAAAACCAAAGGTTAAATAATAGATTTTAAAATACATGTTTGGGAAATTAGTTATACGTGATTCATTGAAGGAGGGATTAATCCATGAATTACATGAAAAGAAGTTCCAGATGATTTAAAGAACTACTTGAAAAAAAAAAAAAGAAAACAAACTATAACACATTAGAAAGAAAACCAAGAA
Organism: Homo sapiens; assembly: GCF_000001405.40. Classification (NCBI taxonomy): domain Eukaryota; kingdom Metazoa; phylum Chordata; class Mammalia; order Primates; family Hominidae; genus Homo; species Homo sapiens. The sequence goes on along the minus strand of NC_000008.11, from coordinate 87,396,853 downwards.
GTCACAAAGAGGGAAGGGGAATGATAGCTCTAAATACTTTAAGCGAGGGGGTGGTATTTGAAAATATTACAAAAGAGACAATAGATGGACTGAAGAAATTATTTCCAATATATGTAAAAGGAAAACTTTTAATACTACTGATATGATAAAATTAATATGAATTGATTAAAAAGGGACAAATCAATGAAAACAGATAAGAGCTATAATAGGTTATAGTAGAACTGGAAATGAAAATATCAAATAAATATATAAGAAATATTCAACAGTCATAAGAAAATGTAAATTAAAATGATATTTAAATACAAATATAAAAGTCAATTCTTCTCATTCCTGGTAAATATCTGTGCCACGGAAGACTTACCAATGAAGTAAGAAACACAGGCATACATAGTATTATAAATAACACATGTTTAAGGCACCACCAGCAAAAGCAGCTGATTATAAGTTAGGCATGTAGATTTCAGTGACAGGAGGTAACATTTCAAGTCAGAATAATTTAAGGGAAATTCTGTATTCCTAAATAACAAATGATAAGGTGTTTGGGAAAAAGTTAATTGCTATAACTGCATAGATTGTTGTATGAAACTATAGACAAACACCTGCAAAGAACTGAAGAAGACTGTAGTATCTCATAAGTCACAATGGTCCTAAGGAAGGAATGAGATTGAGGAAAACACATTAAAGGGCTATATTCAAACTTCCTCAAATATTTCCTCTTCTATACATAGTCATTCATTAGACAGTGGTATCTTTATCTGTTGTATTAGTCATTTCTCACTCTGCTCATAAAGACATACCCGAGCCTGAGTAATTTATAAAAGAATGAGGTTTAATTGACTCACAGTTCTTCAGGGCTGGGAGGCCTCAGGAAACTTACAATTATGGCAGAAGGGGAAGTAAACATGTCATTCTTCACATGGCGGCAGTAAGGAGAGGTACTGAGCGAAGGAGGAGAAAAGCCCCTTATAAAATGATCAGATCCTGTGAGAACTCACTCACTATAACGCTGACAGTATGAATCCAGGTAACCACCCCCATGATTCAATTATCTCTCACCAGGTCCCTCCCATGATACGTGGGGATTAGGGGAACTGCAATTCAAGATGAGATTTGGGTGGGGATACAGCCATACCATATCATCTGTGTTGCATTAACCTCTATGAACTTCTAAAATGCATGGGAAATACTGTGTTCTTATGCCTGTGATACCACCCCCTCTACTGCTTTTAGAGAGAATGATCATTAGCCTTCATAATATTCTCAGAAGAGTTAACACAAAGGTTTAGTACCACTGTTTTAAAGATAACAATACTTTTAATATTTTTATACTTCTATTATACTCAGAACTACTTTTTAAAACCTTTATTGTAGCATTTTCACATTACTTGGCACATATTAGAAAATGAATACATGTTTCTTAAATGAACACTTCAATATATTATATAACATATGCTATATTCCTCAAATATTGTTCCCTTCCCTCTTCTCCATAACTTGTGTTCTAAAATCCAGAGTAGCAGCAAGAACATTATTTTCACTACTGGCAAAAAATATATACTATGCCAATATCACAAGCATACAGGAAGCTATGTATCCTCATAACATTTCAATTCATCTATGATTACTTGTTTTTGCAACTTTAAAATACATAACGCAAAAGTGGTACTAATGAAAGTAGAGAGTAGAATGATGCTCACCTAATATTACTTATTATCATGTTAAAAGGACTCTATAGTCATATTTGCCTAGTTCAAAGCATACATTTAACTTTATGTTATTGTATTTTGAGTAAAAAAAACATTAAGCGAAGTGCTTTTGAGCTGTCAATCTATGCTTAGCAGGCAAAGTGGGGATACAACGTTAAAACACTATCGTTTTACTTTAATTCAATTACTTAATTTGGTGGGTTAGTGAATTTACTTAATGGTAATAATGTCTCATCTTGCTTTGCTTTATTTTGGTAGTAACAGAGACTTTTCTTTGTCCAGAGTAAAAAATAGTGTAAAATACCCATTTTCTTTTAAAAACCAGCAGAAAAAGAGCCATAAAATTTAAACATTTATAAAACTTAACCAAACAGATGAGTTTAATTATCTTAAACTTAAAACAATTTGTTAAAAAATAAAGAAGAGTTTATGTTTTCTTTTTATGCATGGATAGGTGCTCTCTAACTAGAAAAATAAAACAGGTATTTTACAATCTTAACTATTCTGAAAACAAAACACGCATCTATGAAGAAGGGTAGATGTTTATCACCATGGCATTGACTATACAGTTAAAAGCAGATAAAACAACAGGAATAATTGTGCTAACCTTTCTCACCACTTATTCTTTTATGTGGGGGCAGGGTTGTGTGTGGTGTATTTGAGGAAGACAGACAGAAAGAATAAGGGGAGAATGCAAATGGTGACAAACAAGATAAAAATAGAAAAGTGTCAGGATAAGTTGGTTCGTGTCTGGGATTCAAATTTCTGAATTTAAATTGCAGATAGACCTGAATATATGTGAAGTTGAACTATTCTGCTTCTTTTTATTCCCCAGTCCCCTCACCTGTGCATGCATTATGATAAGAACTGAAGCCAATTACTTGATATTTAGCAACGCTTTGCATTGTTAGGAGTCTTCTTATTTTATTTCACTAAGCAGGTTGTAATGCTTTAAGGCAATTCTGATTTTAAATAGTCCATAGTGTAACATGCTCATAAAATATTCTATGTGGGTGATTGTTACGCCCTATCAACAAATGGCAAAATATAGCCTGTGATCATGTCCATAGAAATAAGCATGTACCTTTTAAATTATTGTTACTATTATTTTATTTTTAAACTAGAAGTTGATTGGACTCTCTTCTCCATTCAGACTGGTCATTTACTCAAGTAAGTGCATTACATATTGTGCTCTTGGGATACTGGCCTTTGGATAGTGTTTTTTTATTCACTATTTTCTAAATAGCCAATGTGTAATTCGATCTTTTCACTAACACTCACATTTGTTCTCTCCAGTTTTGATTACCTGTCTCTCTTCCATTAATGTATCCAAATCTGCTCTGTTTTGAAGCCTAGAAGAAGTCTCATTTCATAAACATTCTCTGACTGTGCCTGTTCAGGGTGGTTTTCTCTCCCTCTTCTCAGGCATAGTTCTTAAGATTTTAACCACTCATCTTGGCATTTAACTTTCACTAGTCTATTGCACATACTACATTCATCTCTTTGTACTTTTATATTTCTATCATTTGGTTGTCACTTACTTTTTATTTTCACAAGCCAGACTATTATTGTGTCCAAACCATAATGTCTTTGGGGGAAGAAACCATGGTTTATAGTTCTTTTGCAATTCCCAAAGCCTACTCCTGATTACGGAGTAGATGCTTTGTAAAAAAAGTGAACTCATGTTGAATAAAATGCAATGACTAATAATAATTTAGTGCATATGTGTACTTTCAAATCCTGATCTTTATTTCTTTAGTAAGGAATTAAGATGACTTGGTCACATCTTATCTAATTGGCAGCACAGATGGACTGTTTCTGGAGGGAGAATATTATCAAAAGAGCAAGAAACATTACCTAGTCACAGTATGACCTATGCTTGAGTCCAGTCAGAGTAAATTATTTCTCTCGCTTTCTCCTAAATAGGGGACTACTGCCTCCCTGCTCACTGGAACATCCACTTGGTAATATTCTAGTCTCTGCAGAACTAACATGCCTAAAAATAATCTCTTGATTCCAGTCACAAAATTACTCTACTTTCAATCTTTTAGATTCCAGTAAATGACATCCTCATATTTATAATTCCTCTGTCCTAAGCCTTAGGAGTCATCACACAGTCCTAACATCAAAAACCTCTAAATAAATCTTCAAAATGTTACGTAGAACCACTTGAAATTCTCTTTTTATAAATAAAAACTAGTTAAATGCTAGCCATGTCATTGTTTACCCTGATGCATCTAGAATAAGACTTCCCATCGCCTTCAATATTCCCAAGCTAGTCCCAGACATCATCATCTCTTAGAAAAAATATTAACTGCTTTATTGGGATATAAGTCACGTACAACACAGTTTACCCATTTGGAAGTGAACAATTTATTGTTTTTCATTATATTCACAGAGTTGGGCAATCATCACTGGAATCTAATTTGGAATGTTTTTGTCACCCCCAAAAGAAACACATATGATTTAGTAGCCACTCTTCATTCCTCTCCACCCTCTTCCTCATGCCTAGCAACAGCTAATCGACTTTCTGATACAGATTTGCCTATTCTGTGCATTTCATATAAATGAAATCATACAATATGTAATTTTTTGTTTCTAACTTCTTTCACTTAGCAAAAAGTTTTCAAGGTTCATCTAGATTATTTCATGTATCAGGACTTCATTCCTTCTTATTGCTGAATATTCCAGAATATGCTTATGACATTTTAATTTATCCCTTCATCGGTTAATGAACTTTTTAGTTGTTTCTGATTTTTGGCTATTATGAATAATGCTGTTACAAACTTTAATTCATGTACAAGATTTTGCATGTACATATGTTTTCACTTCTCTTGGATATAGACCTAGAAGTAGAAATGCTCAGTAATATAGTAAATATATGTTGAACTTGTGGAGAAACTGCCATGTTGTTTTCAAAGTGACTGTACCCCTTCACATTTCCACAAGCTATGTATGAGAGCACGAATTTTTTCACATCTTTGACAACACTTGTTATTGTCTATATTTTATAATTTTTCAAAATAGTAGGTATGAAATCTTATCTCACTGCTGTTCTGATTTTCATCTTCCTAATAACTAGTGAAAGTGAGTACCTTTTTCTGTGCTTATCAGCCATTCTTCTTTAGAGAAAGGCCCATTCCTGCCCTTCATTAATTTTTAATTACACAGTTGTGGTTCTTTTTACATGCTGGGTATAAAGTCTTTGTCATAGAAATTATCTGCAATTTTCTCACATTCTGTGGATTCACATCACTTTCTTGATAGTGTCATTTGCAGCACAAAAGTTTTTGATTTTTATGAAGGCCAAATTACTTTATTTTGTTTCATTTTTTGGTTGGGCTTTTGTGTCTGAAAAGGGTTCGCTTTACCCAAGGTCACAAAGATTTACTTCTAAATTTTCTTCTAAGAGTTGTACAGTTTTAGTTCTTACAATTAAGTCTATGATCTCTACGACCCATTTAGAGTCAATTTTTGTGCAAAGTGTGGATCCAACTTCAGTCTTCTATTATCCCATTATCCCAGCATGATTTGTTGAAAAGATTATTCTTCCCCTATTGAATTATCTCAGCAACCTGTCAAAAAATCAACTAGGCATAAAAATAAGGTTTTATTTATGGACATTCAATTATATTCCATTGTTACACATGTCTACTCTTTTGCCAATACACATACACTTTGTAGTCAGTTTTGAAATTGGGAGGTGTATGTCTGTCCGCTTTGTTCTCTTTCAGGATTGTTCTGGCAACTCTGAAACTCTTGTGTTTCCATACGAATTTTAGGATTAGCTTGTGGCTTTCTGAAAATAATCAAGCTGGGGTTTTGATAGGGACTGCATTGAATTTGTGCATCAATTTGAGGTATCTGCAATCGTTATCTTTTTTTTATTTGAAATTTCTTTTTTTTATTATACTTTAAGTTTTAGGGTACATGTGCACAACGTGCAGGTTTGTCACATATGTATACATATGCCATGTTGTTGTGCTGCACCAATTATCTCTTCATTTAACATTAGGTATATATCCTAATGCTATCCCTCCCCCCTTCCCCCACCCCACAACAGGCCCCGGTGTGTGATGTTCCCCTTCCTGTGTCCATGGGTTCTCTTTGTTCAATTCCCACCTATGAGTGAGAACATGCGGTGTTTGGTTTTTTGTCCTTGTGATAGTTTGCTGAGAATGATGGTTTCCAGCTTCATCCATCTCCCTACAAAGGATATGAACTCATCGTTTTTTATGGCTGCATAGTATTACATAGTGTATATGTGCCATATTTTCTTAATCCAGTCTATCATTGTTGGACATTTGGGTTGGTTCCAAGTCTTTGCTATTGTGAATAGTGCCGCAATAAACATATGTGTGCATGTGTCTTTATAGCAGCATGTTTTATAAGCCTTCGGGTATATACCCAGTAATGGGATGGCTGGGTCAAATGGTATTTCTAGTTCTAGATCCCTGAGGAATCATCACACTCACTTCCACAATGGTTGAACTAGTTTATAGTCCCACCAACAGTGCAAAAGTGTTCCTATTTCTCCACATCCTCTCCAGCACCTCTTGTTTCCTGACTTTTTAATGATCGCCATTCTAACTGGTGTGAGATGATATCGCACTATGGTTTTGATTTGCATTTTTCTGATGGCCAGTGATGATGAGCATTTTTTCATGTTTCTTTTGGCTGCATAAATGTCTTCTTTTGAGAAGTGTCTGTTCATATCCTTCACCCACTTTTTGATGGGGTTTTTTCTTGTAAATTTGTTTAAGTTCATTGTAGATTCTGGATATTAGCCCTTTGTCAGATGAGTAGATTGCAAAAATTTTTTCCCATACTGTAGGTTGCCTGTTCACTCTGATGGTAGTTTCTTTTGCTGTGCAGAAGCTCTTTAGTTTACTTAGATCCCATTTGTCAATTTTGGCTTTTGTTGCCATTACTTTTGGTGTTTTAGACATGAAGTCCTTGCCCATGCCTATGTCCTGAATGGTATTGCCTAGGTTTTCTCCTAGGGTTTTTATGGTTTTAGGTCTAACGTTTAAGTCTTTAATCCATCTTGAATTAATTTTTGTATAAGGTGTAAGGAAGGGATCCAGTTTCAGCTTTCTACATATGGCTAGCCTGTTTTCCCAGCACCATTTATTAAATAGGGAATCCTTTCCCCATTGCTTGTTTTTCTCAGGTTTGTCAAAGATCAGATTGTTGTAGATATGTGGCATTATTTCTGAGGGCTCTGTTCTGTTCCATTGGTCTATATCTCTGTTTAGGTACCAGTACCATGCTGTTTTGGTTACTGTAGCCTTGTAGTATAGTTTGAAGTCAGGTAGCGTGATGCCTCCAGTTTTGTTCTTTCGGCTTAGGATTGACTGGGCAATGCGGGCTCCTTTTTGGTTCCATATGAACTTTAGTTTTTTTCCATTTCTGTGAAGAAAGTCATTGGTATCTTGATGGGGATGGCATTGAATCTATAAATTACCTTGGGCAGTATGGCCATTTTTATGATATTGATTCTTCCTACCCATGGGCATGGAATGTTCTTCCATTTGTTTGTATCCTCTTTTATTACTTCGAGCAGTGGTTTGTAGTTCTCCTTGAAGAGGTAATTCATGTCCCTTGTAAGTTGGATTCCTGGATATTTTATTCTCTTTGAAGCAATTGTGAATGGGAGTTCACTCATGATTTGGCTCTCTGTTTGTCTGTTATTGGTGTATAAGAATGCTTGTGATTTTTGCACATTGATTTTATATCCTGAGACTTTCCTGAAGTTGCCTATCAGCTTGAAGAGATTTTGGGCTGAGACGCTGGGGTTTTCTAGATACACAATCATGTCATCTGCAAACAGGGACAATTTGACTTCCTCTTTTCCTAATTGAATACCCTTTATTTCCTTCTCCTGCCTGATTGCCCTGGCCAGAACTTCCAACACTATGTTGAATAGCAGCGGTGAGAGAGGGCATCCCTGTCTTGTGCCAGTTTTCAAAGGGAATGCTTCCAGTTTTTGCCCATTCAGGATGATATTGGCTGTGGGTTTGTCATAAATAGCTCTTATAATTTTGAGATATGTCCCATCAATACCTAATTTATTGAGAGATTTTAGCATCAAGGGCTCTTGAGTTCTGTCAAAGGCCTTTTCTGCATCTATTGAGATAATCATGTGGTTTTTGTCGTTGGTTCTGTTTATATGCTGGATTACAATTATTGATTTGCATATGTTGAATCAGCCTTGCATCACAGGGATGAAGCCCACTTGATCATGTTGGATAAGCTTTTTGATGTGCTGCTGGATTCAGTTTGCCAGTATTTTATTGAGGATTTTGCATCGATGTTAATCAGGGATATTGGTCTAAAATTGTCTTTTTTTGTTGTGTCTCTGCCCGGCTTTGGTATCAGGATAATGTAGGCCTCATAAAATGAGTTAGGGAGGATTCCCTCTTTTTCTATTGATTGGAATAGTTTCAGAAGGAATGGTACCAGCTCCTCCTTGTACCTCTGGTAGAATTCGGCTGTGAATTCATCTGGCCCTGGACTTTTTTTGGTTGGTAAGCTATTAATTGTTGCCTCAATTTCAGAGCCTGTTATTGGTCTACTCAGAGATTCAGCTTCTTCCTGGTTTAGTCTTGGGAGTGTGTATGTGTCGAGGAATTTATCCATTTCTTCTAGATTTTCTAGTTTATTTGCGTAGAGGTGTTTATAGTATTCTCTGATGGTAGTTTGTATTTCTGTGGGATCGGTGGTGATATCCCCTTTATCATTTTTTATTGTGTCTATTTGATTCTTCTCTTTTTTCTTCATTAGTCTTTCTAGCGGTCTATCAATTTCGTTGATCTTTTCAAAAAACCAGCTCCTGGATTCATTGATTTTTTGAAGGGTTTTTTGTGTCTCTAATTCCTTCAGTTCTGCTCTGATTTTAGTTATTTCTTGCCTTCTGCTACCTTTTGAATGTGTTTTCTCTTGCTTCTCTAGTTCTTTTAATTGTGATGTTAGGGTGTCAATTTTAGATCTTTCCTTCTTTCTCTTGTGGGCATTTAGTGCTATAAATTTCCCTCTACACAGTTTTGAATGTGTCCCAGAGATTCTGGTGTGTTGTGTCCTTGTTCTCGTTTGTTTCAAAGAACATCTTTATTTCTGCCTTCATTTCGTTATGTACCCAGTAGTCATTCAGGAGCAGGTTGTTCAGTTTCCATGTAGTTGAGCGGTTTTGAGTCAGTTTCTTAATCCTGAGTTCTAGTTTGATTGCACTGTGGTCTGAGAGACAGTTTGTTATAATTTCTATTTTCTACACTTGCTGAGGAGTGCTTTACTTCCAACTATGTGGTCAATTTTGGAATAGGTGTGGTGTGGTGCTGAAAAGAATGTATATTCTGCTGATTTGGGATGGAGAGTTCTGTAGATGTCTATTAGGTCCTCTTGGTGCAGAGTTGAGTTGAGTTCCTGGATATCCTTGTTAACTTTCTGTCTCATTGATCTGTCTAATGTTGACAGTGGGGTGTTAAGGTCTCCCATTATGATTGTGTGGGAGTCTAAGTGTCTTTGTTGGTCTCTAAGGACTTGCTTTATGAACCTGGGTGCTCCTGTATTGGGTGCATATATGTTTAGGATAGTTAGCTCTTCTTGTTGAATTGATCCCTTTACCATTATGTAATGGCTTTCTTTGTCTCTTTTGATCTTTGTTGGTTTAAAGTCTGTTTTATCAGAGACTAGAGTTGCAACCCCTGCCTTTTTTTGTTTTCCATTTGCTTGGTAGATCTTCCTCCATCCTTTTATTTTGAGCCTATGTGTGTCTCGGCACGTGAGATGGGTTTCCTGAATACAGCACATTGATGGGTCTTGGCTCTTTATCCAATTTGCCAGTCTGTGTCTTTTAATTGGAGTGTTTAGCCCATTTACATGTAAGGTTAATATTGTTATGTGTGAACTTGATCCTGTCATTACGATGTTAGCTGGTTATTTTGCTCATTAGTTGATGCAGTTTCTTCCTAACCTCGATAGTCTTTACAATTTGGCATGTTTTCGCAGTGGCTGGTACCGGTTGTTCCTTTCCATGTTAGTGCTTCCTTCAGGAGCTCTTTTAGGGCAGGCCTGGTGGTGACAGAATCTCTCAGCATTTCCTTGTCTGTAAAGTATTTTATTTCTCCCTCACTTACGGAGCTTAGTTTGGCTGGATATAAAATACTGGGTTGAAAATTCTTTTCTTAAGAATGTTGAATTTTGGCCCCCACTCTCTTCTGGCTTGCAGAGTTTCTGCTGAGAGATCAGCTGTTAGTCTCATGGGCTTCCCTTTGTGGGTAACCCCACCTTTCTCTCTAGCTGCCCTGAATATTTTTTCCTTCATTTCAACTTTGTTGAATCTGACAATTATGTGTCTTGGAGTTGCTCTTCTTGAGGAGTATCTTTGTGGCGTTCTCTGTATTTCCTGAATTTGAATGTTGGCCTGCCTTGCTACATTGGGGAAGTTCTCCTGGTTAATATCCTGCAGAGTGTTTTCCAACTTGGTTCCATTCTCCCCATCACTTTCAGGTACAGCAATCAGATGTAGATTTGTTCTTTTCACATAGTCCCATATTTCTTGGAGGCTTTTTTCATTTCTTTTTATTCTTTTTTCTCTAATTCTCACTTCATTTCATTCATTTGATCTTCAATCACTGATACCCATTCTTCCAGTTGATCGAATTGGCTACTGAGGCTTGTGTATTCGTCACATAGTTCTCGTGCCACGGTTTTCAGCTCCATCAGGTCCTTTAAGGACTTCTCTGTATTGGTTATTCTCGTTAGCCATTCATCTAATTTTTTTTTCAAGGTTTTTAACTTCTTTGCCATGGGTTCGAACTTCCTGCTTTAGCTCGGAGTAGTTTGATCGTCTGAAAACTTCTTCTCTCAACTCGTTAAAGTCATTCTCATTCCAGCTTTGTTCCGTTGCTGGTGAGGAGCTGCATTCCTTTGGAGGAGGAGAGGTGCTCTGATTTTTAGAGTTTCCAGTTTTTTTGCTCTGTTTTTTCCCCAACTTTGTGATTTTATCTACTTTTGGTCTTTGATGATGGTGATGCACAGATGGGGTTTTGGTGTGGATGTCCTTTCTGTTAGTTTTCCTTCTAACAGTCAGGACCCTCAGCTGCAGGTCTGTTGGAGTTTGCTGGAGGTCCACTCCAGACTATGTTTGCCTGGGTATCAGCAGTGGAGGCTGCAGAACAGCGGATATTGGTGAACAGCAACTGTTGCTGCCTGATAGTTCCTCTGGAAATTTTGTCTCAGAGGAGTACCCGGCCATGTGAGTTGTCAGTCTGACCCTACTGGGTGTTGCCTCCCAGTTAGGCTACTCGGGGGTCAGGGACCCACTTGAGGAGGCAGTCTGTCCGTTCTCAGATCTCCAGCTGCATGCTGGGAGAACCACTACTCTCTTCAAAGCTGTCAGACAGGGACATTTAAGTCTGCAGAGTTTTCTGCTGCCTTTTGATTGGCTATGCCCTGCCCCCAGAGGTGGAGTCTACAGAGGCAGGTAGGCCTCCTTGTGCTGCGGTGGGCCCCACCCAGTTCCAGCTTCCCAGCCACTTTGTTTACCTACTCAAGCCTCGGCAACGGTGGGCGCCCCTCCCCCAGCCTCACTGCTGCCTTGCAGTTTGATCTCAGACTGCTGTGCTAGCAATGAGCAAGGATCCGTGGGCGTAGGACCCTCCGAGACATGTGCAGGATATAATCTCCTGGTGTGCCATTTGCTAAGACTGTTGGAAAAGCGCAGTATTAGGGTGGCAGTGACCCGATTTTCCAGGTGCCATCTGTCACCCCTTTCTTTGACTAGGAAAGGGAATTCCCTGACTCTGCCCTTCCCGGGTGAGGCGATGCCTTGCCCTGTTTTGGCTCACACTCGGTGCGCTGCACCCACTGTCCTGCACCCACCGTCCAACACTCCCCAGTGAGATGAACCCGGTAGCTCAGTTGGAAATGCAGAAATCACCCATCTTCTGCGTTACTCAAGCTGGGAGGTGTAGACTGGAGCTGATCCTATTTGGGCATCTTGGCTCCACCCCCATCATTATCTTTTACATGGACTTTTTAATGCCCTCCCAAATGATCTCACTTCAGTCCTTGTCCCCCAAATCTATTTTGCATATAGAACCCAAGTGATTATTTGAAAACTTAAGTCAGATCATCTCATCATCTCATGCCTTTCTGTTTCATTCAGAATTAAATCTAAAGTCCTTACCAAGTTTCTATGGTCTCACATTTACTTTTCCCCTGCTATTACTCTGATTCCATCTTTTACAATGTCCCCTTTCACTCATTCATTTCAACTACATCTAACTTATCATCAGTCATCCCATGCATGATCCACCTCAGATAACATTATACTCTCTTTTTTCACTCTACCTATATTGTTCTATCTTATTGACCTTTCACTTCCTTCAGGTCTGAGGTATAATGTCATATTATTGGACCCATGATCTTATACCTGGAGCCATGCCCATTTGATAGTCCTTAGTAAGTGGAAAAAAACATACATTTATTTAATACCTACCATGTGTCTGACACAATGTTAGGTGCTCTGAAAGTGTTTGTTAGTCTTTCAGAGTTAAAGAACTAAGACTTTATGCAGTTTAATTTTTCTATCATTCCTACATGGAGGAAATACTGAATCAACATTCAAACTGAGATCCGCCTTGATCCCCTCATTTAAAATATCATTTCTCCATCAACTTTAATTTCTGATCTGCTTTTTCTTCAGAGCACTTACCACTGCCTGAAGTATAATATGTACCATATAATATTATATATATTTTCTAAGTATGATCTTCTCCCAATATAATGTAAGTTTCATGAAAACAAGAATTTGGTTATGTTCAGTATTTTATTCTCAGTTCTTAGAAGAGTGCCTGTCACATATGGAATATTCAATAAATGTCTGTTGAAAGATGAAGCATATATCTTAAAAATATCTAATGGCTACAGATAAAATAGCCAAATTTAGCAGGGGTCCATTAGATAATGGTGCATGGAAATAACACATAATTAAAACTTTTCTTGTCCTTTTATGTTCAATATTTTATATTATTCAATCAGTATGTTCACTATAAAGGACAAGCCAAATGATTTTGAAGGCAGACTAACATAACTCATTCTTAATTGAATGAGCCTTTTTAAAATCTTATTTTCAACAAGTCAAAAATACTAATGTCTTGTAATCATTACCAGTCCTGGCAAACAATAAAATTTAGATAGCCATGATCTAAAATCAGATAATCACTGACATCTTATAAATAGCATTCTAAACTGAAAAGCTGAAAAGGATTTAACTTGTTCAAAATTCTATTTTTAACTCTACATGATTTGGAGCATGGTGCTGGAGAAGTCATTTATCTTTTCTAACCTTAGGTTGTGTTTCCTTAAAACAAAGTTAATACAACTTGGTGCTATGTATAGTTTCTTGCGCATTTGGCAGTGTGGAGAAAGGTGACATAATTCTAAACACAGGTTAATTTTTTACTTGAGAATTGCAACTCCAATGAAAACAATTCCTGTGGTGTAAAGCTTTCAATGCTAGTAGAAAGAAACACATTAATAGTGTAAGAATTAAAAATAACTGAAATGTAAATGCATGGGCAGCAGTATGTTACAGTGGAAATGACTGGAAGGCAGACAGACTTCAGTTTTAACATTGACTCTATATTTCCTCCATGTGGGAATGACAGAAAAATTAAACTGCATAAAGCCTTAGTTCTTTATCTCTAAAATAATAACAGACATTTTTAGAGCACCTAATATTGTGTCAGACACATGGTAGGTATTGAATAAACGTACGGTTTTCCCCCTTACTAAGGACTATCAAATGGGCATGGCACCAGGTATAAGATCATGGGTCTGATGAAAAGATAAACTGAAACTATACTACAATATGAAGCATGTGTAATAACTTCTGAAATTGTAGCATTTCTATTGTTATTTTTTAAATTAACTGATATTCTCCATAATATAATCACATCAAGGAAATGACTTTATTACAAAATGGAATATTTTTAAAAGATGAAAAAAGCACAAGGTCTTTGAAGTTCTCAAATAAATTTGGAACCAAGACAGCTATTCAATGTCTTTTTGCCTTTTACATATGCTTTATAGATTTTTTTTAATCCCAAAAGGCACATGTGGTCCTCAATCCAAACCCTGACAGTCAAAAATGACAACTTGAGGAGTATGTTTCCATCCTTTTGTGCATGGTCATATAAACATTTACATATAACTTTTAATTTTTTACAACTACTTTACATGTATACCGAAACACTTGAAAGAAAACCTTCGTATCAACAGAGGTAAATCAAGCAATGATAACTATATTTATTTTAGTATCCAAACCAAGAAAGACTGCTAATAAAAACTGTGTTTGAAAGGCAATTCGAAAGTGGGACTTTCCTGGGGAATCCAGGATATGTAGTCACAATAGACCAAATTCATTGCTGGTAGTTTGATAGTATTCCAGAATGCAATTATTCCATTATTTAGTCAATACTTTCTTAATTAATGTTCACTGAGGTTGTTTCTAGATCTAGGCCACTGCAAAAGGCAAACAAACAAACAAGAAGTTACATAATAAATACTCATTTTTGGTAATTATTTTCCTACAGAATAGAACCCTAAAATTACATTGCTGAGTCAGAGGGGTTATGCTTTAAAAGAAAAAAATAATATTGTCAGAGCTTATTCTAGAAATAATGTAACACTTTACACCCCCTCTAATGACATTTGAGAGTGATCATTTTTCCACAAGGAAAATTCTATAATTATATGGAGTGATTTGATCCTCTCTTCTAACCAAATTATGTTTTCTGTAGTAATATTATGTTTCTTGCTGATATTTTAAATTGATAATTATTTTCTCTAAATTGTTGGCAGTCATTGTTTCATATGAATGTAAAATCATCTTACCTATTTTGTATCTAACCAGTTAGCTAGAATTCCATAGGAAATGCCAAAATGCTGAACAGAGCTATATTAAATTCCATGAACATTTTGGAAAAGGTGACATTTTTTAATCAAATGTTAAATTATATGTCTATATTTGTTTTCTATTATTTAATAACATTTTTATAGTTTTTTAATATAGACTGGCTCTCTGTGGTTGAGTCACTCTTCTATTTATTTTTTAAAATGTTATATTATCATGGTAAGAACACTTAACATGAGATATACCCTCAACACAAATTTTTAAGTGTACAATACAATATTGTTGACTATAGGTAGAATGTTGTACAGCAGATCCATAGAACTTATTCATCTTGTGTAACTGAAACTTTATGCCCATGGATTAGTAGGTTCCCATTTCCCATGCCTCAACCCCTCGTAACCACCATTCCACTTTTTAATCCTATAAATTTGACGATTTTAGATACCTCGTATGAGTGGTCAGGTTTGGGGATTCTGTGACTGGCTTATTTCATGTAGCATAATGTCCTCAAGGCTCATCTCTCCTATTACATATTGCAGAATTTCCTTTTTAAGGCTGAATAGCATTCCATTTTATGTACATATTTTTAATTCATTTATCTGTCAATAGATTTCCCACATATTAGCTATTATGCATAATGCTGCAATTAACATGGTACTGCTAATATCTCTTTGAGATCCCAATTTAAATTCCTTTAGAAAATATCTAGAACTGGGCCTGCTAGATCATATGGTCTACTGTTAATTGTTTAAGGGACTTCCATTCTGTTTTCCATAGTGGCTACATCATTTTGTGCTCCCATTAACAGAGTGCAAAAAGTCCAATTTCTCCACATCCCTGTCAACACTTCTCTTTTGTGTTTTTAAATATAAGCAATGCTAATAGGTATGAGGTAATATTTCACTGTGGTTTTGTTTGCATTTTCCTGTTAGTGGCATTGGACATTTTAAAAATACACATGCTGGCCATTTGTATGTCTTTTTTAGAGAAATGTATATTCAAGTCTTTATCCTATTTTTAAATTGAGTTATTATTTTTAGCTATTGAAATGGAATATTGTCTTATATATTTTGGAGATTAATCCTTTATCAGTTGCACGGTTTGCAAATATTTTCTCCCATTCTATAGGTTGCCTTTGCTCTGGTGATTGGTTCCTTTGCTGTGCAAACGTTTTCTAGTTTGATGTGGTCTCACTGGTTTGTTTTTGTTGCCTGTGCTTTTGGTGTCACATCCATGAAGTCATTGCCAAGACAAATGTGAAAATATTTTTAACTACGTATTCTTCTAAGAGTTTAACAGTTACAATTCTTGCATTTGTGTCTTTAATCCATTTTTAGTTGATTATTAAGTACAGTGCAAGGTAAGGGTCCAATTTTATTCTTGAATGTGGATATCCAATTTTCCAATGCTATTTTTGTAGAGATTAAATTAGTAAAACAACCCCATTTACAACAGTCCTAAAAAACAATAAAATACTTAGAATAAACTTAGCTAAGGAGGTAAAAGACTTGTTTACTGAAAACTACAAAACACCAATTAAAGAAATTAAAGAACACAAACAAATGAAAAGACATCTCACGTTCACAGACTGGAAGACAATATTGTTAAAATGTCCCTATTACCCAATGAGACCTACAGATTCAATAAAACTTCTATTAAAATCCTAATGGTGCTTTTTTTCAGAAATAGACAAAACAATTTTTTATTTCATATGGAACCATAAAAAATTACACATAACCAAATCAATCTGCAGAAAGAAGGATGAAGTTGGAGACATCACACCACCTGCTTTGAAAATACCTTACAAAGCTACAGTAATCAAAACAGTATGGTATTGCATAAAGACAATCATACAGAGTAATAGAACACAATATAAAATACAGAAATAAATCCATGTATATATGATCAACTGATATTCAACAAGGGTGCCAAGAATGATCTTATTTTTAAGTATTATCATGTCCATTTCTAACTGTATACTATTTAGGTAGAGAAGCTATTACATTTTGCATTTCTATCTTGACATTTGACATTTTAATATTCAAATATTAGCACAAATTATTAAATTATATTAATCTTTTAGCTGGTAATTATATAAATACTCTTGTTTGTGTATGTAATTATAATAAGCAAACACAGATATTTGGTTCCTTTGTCTAAGTTTATCCTTACTAGTTTATATTATTGTCTTGCATTATCTAAAACCTCCCAAGTGGCACCAGTGGATGATGTCTGAAATTTTTGTCATAATCTAGATTTTACCACTTGGTAAATGTTTCTAACTGGTTTCTGGTAAATCATTTGGTCATATTTAAGTATTTCTCGTGTATTTTCCTTTTACTCAGAATTTTGCTTAGGATTTGCTACTAAGCTCTAGATAATGTATTATACCTGTGTTTTTATAATTCTACTTCAACTTCCTTATTTCATTTTTTAGAAAATTATTTCATTTTTTATATATAAAACAATCAGATTCAATCAATGTAATTTTACAAATATTATAAACGTATTTCTTAAAAAAAATTACTGGTATTCTGACAGTGCAATAATGTTTCATCATTAATTTAATATGCACTTTTATGACCATTACATTATTTGCTAATGTTTTCCCTTTTATTTCTTCATCAAAAATGAATGCAGTTCTCTAGTCATCAAGATCTATTTCTCATGGATTTTTTTTAAATTTAACAAACAAGAGATAGTTTGTTATAAATTCTGTTCTTTTACATTTGCTGGGGAGAGCTTTACTTCCCAGTATGTGGTCAATTTTGGAATAGGTGTGGTGTGGTGCTGAAAAAAATGTATATTTTGTTGATTTGGGGTGGAGAGTTCTGTAGATGTCTACTAGGTCCGCTTGGTGCAGAGCTGAGTTCAATTCCTGGGTATCCTTGTTGACTTTCTGTCTCGTTGATCTGTCTAATGTTGACAGTGGGGTGTTAAAGTCTCCCATTATTAATGTGTGGGAGTCTAAGTCTCTTTGTAGGTCACTCAGGACTTTCACAAGACAGGGATGCCCTCTCTCACCACTCCTATTCAACATAGTGTTGGAACTTCTGGCCAGGGCAATTAGGCAGGAGAAGGAAATAAAGGGTATTCAATTAGGAAAAGAGGAAGTCAAATTGTCCCTGTTTGCAGATGACATGATTGTATATCTAGAAAACCCCATTGTCTCAGCCCCAAATCTCCTTAAGCTGATAAGCAACTTCAGCAAAGTCTCAGTTTACAAAATCAATGTGCAAAAATCACAAGCATTCCTATACACCAACAACAGACAAACAGAGAGCCAAATCATGAGTGAACTCCCATTCACAATTGCTTCAAAGAGAATAAAATACCTAGGAATCCAACTTACAAGGGATATGAAGGACCTTTTCAAGGAGAACTACAAACCACTGCTCAAGGAAATAAAAGCGGATACAAACAAATGGAAGAACATTCCATGCTCATGGGTAGGAAGAATCAATATCATGAAAATGTCCATACTGCCCAAGGTAATTTACAGATTCAATGCCATCTCCATCAAGCTACCAATGCCTTTCTTCGCAGAATTGGAAAAAACTACTTTAAAGTTCATATGGAACCAAAAAAGAGCCTGCAGAGCCAAGTCAATCCTAAGCCAAAAGAACAAAGCTGGAGGCATCACACTACCTGACTTCAAACTATACAACAAGGCTACAGTAACCAAAACAGCATGGTACTGGTACCAAAACAGAGATATAGATCAATGGAACAGAATGGAGCCCTCAGAAATAATGCCACATATCTACAACTATCTGATCTTTGAAAAACCTGAGAAAAACAAGAAATGGGGAAAGGATTCCCTATTTAATAAATGGTGCTGGGAAAACTGGCTAGCCATATGTAGAAAGCTGAAACTGGATCCCTTCCTTACACCTTATACAAAAATCAATTCAAGATGGATTAAAGACTTAAACGTTAGTCCTAAAACCATAAAAACCCTAGAAGAAAACCTAGGCATTACCATTCAGGACATAGGCATGGGCAAGGACTTCATGTCTAAAACACCAAAAGCAATGGCAACAAAAGACAAAATTGACAAATGGGATCTAATTAAACTAAAGAGCTTCTGCACAGCAAAAGAAACTACCATCAGAGTGAACAGGCAACTTACAAAATGGGAGAAAATTTTCGCAACCTACTCATCTGACAAAGGGCTAATATCCAGAATCTACAATGAACTCAAACAAATTTACAAGAAAAAAACAAACAACCCCATCAAAAAGTGGGCAAAGGACATGAACAGACACTTCTCAAAAGAAGACATTTATGCAGCCAAAAAACACATGAAAAAATGCTCATCATCACTGGCCATCAGAGAAATGCAAATCGAAACCACAGTGAGATATCATCTCACACCAGTTAGAATGGCAATCATTAAAAAGTCAGGAAACAACAGGTGCTGGAGAGGATGTGGAGAAATAGGAACACTTTTACACTGTTGGTGGGACTGTAAACTAGTTCAACCATTGTGGAAGTCAGTGTGGCGATTCCTCAGGGATCTAGAACTAGAAATACCATTTGACCCAGCCATCCCATTACTGGGTATATACCCAAAGGACTATAAATCATGCTGCTATAAAGACACATGCACACGTATGTTTATTGCGGCATTATTCACGATAGCAAAGACTTGGAACCAACACAAATGTCCAACAATGATAGACTGGATTAAGAAAATGTGGCACATATACAACATGGAATACTATGCAGCCATACAAAATGATGAGTTCATGTCCTTTGTAGGGACATGGATGAAATTGGAAATCATCATTCTCAATAAACTATCGCAAGAACAAAAAACCAAACACCGCATATTCTCACTCATAGGTGGGAATTGAACAAGGAGAACACATGGACACAGGAAGGGGAATATCGCACTCTGGGGACTGTTGTGGGGTGTGGGGAGGGGGGAGGGATAGCATTGGGAGATATATCTAATGCTAGATGATGAGTTAGTGGGTGCAGCGCACCAGCATGGCACATGTATACATATGTAACTAACCTGCACAATGTGCACATGTACCGTAAAACTTAAAGTATAATAATAATATAAATAATAATCATAAAAAAATAAATAAAATAAAATTACAAAAATTATCTGCGAAAAATAAAAATAAGAAATAAAATAAAATAAAATAAAGAAATAAAAATAAAAATTGGAGTTTTCTAAATGTAAAAAAAAAAAAGAAAAAAAATAAATTTAACAAACAAATATCAACACTTAGTATTGTATATGAGCCAGAATATTTGGGTTCCAAGATGTGCTCTAACAGTGGTTAGACATGTGTCCTCAAGTAAATTATTTCTTCTTTCTAAGGTTCTGATTTTTAATCTATAAAATAAGAAGCTTGAGTAAGAGATGGGATTTGGACAGAATTGGGTCCGAATTCTGGCTCCAATACTTACAAATTTCTATGTATTTGTGCAAGTTACTTATGCTTTATAAGCCTTTGTTGCCTTACCTATAAAATGGGTTTAATAAACTTAACTAAGATTTTCATTAAGATGAAATGAAATAATGCAGAAAAACACTTTAATATAGTAAATAATCACTGCTTTAGCTATTAAAGATTTCTATGGAAGTACCCAAATATAGAACTCTATGAATACATATGTCCAAATGTGTGCGAAGCATGTTGCTATGTGGTTTCACATCTGTCAGGATATTTTCAGAAGATAATTATTTTTAGGCCGGTTTTTACTGTTAAAAAAGTTAGCATGTGTCATGGGCTAAATGGTTACATCCCTCAAAAATTCATAGGTTGAAATCCTAACGTCCAATGTGACGGTATTAGTAGGTTTCTTCTGGCAAGTAATTAGGTGCTGAGGGCCGAGCCCTTAGGAATTAGTACCCTTGTCAGAGCTTGCTCTCTATTCTCAGCCATGTGAGAATACAAGGAGAAGACAGCTATTTTTGCAAACCAGGAATGTACCCTCACCAGACACCAGATCAGCCAGGGACTTGATCTTGGATTTCTTGCCCTCCAAAACTATGGGAAAATAAACGTTTGTTGTTTAAGCCACCCAGCCCATGGTAATGCATTGAAGCAGTATGAACTGAGAGCTCATCTAAACTATATTTCCTTTACAGTCACAGTCTACAGTAAGTGATAGAACAAGCTGCTGAATCTTTGAACTAAAAAGTTCATCTCTGCTTTTATTTGATGTTATAATCCTTCATATTGCATAATTTTTAAATTTGCCAACCAACATAATTAAATATTAGCCCATTAAATTTTTATCGCAGAAAGTACAATTCTTCCTGCAAGAGATCTATTTATCTTTTATCAACATAGTCTGAGTAGATCCAAGGCCTGAAAAAAGGAAAAGACAGACATAGGATCTTGAATATATTTTCCAAAAGCATATTAGGAAAGTATTTAGTGACGGAATTCAGTGTACCTTTGCAAAAGAACTTGAAAACTTTAACTCAAATTTAACTTCTCATATAAGGTAACTATAAGTAATTTTTGGGGATTTCATTTAAGCAGACATTTTAAAAATAAGAGATGGAAGTTTTGTCTTGCAAGACATAATGAATTTCATTCATTTCTTTGAAGCTTTGGAATGGTTTCTATACCAATATTCCAATCTAATAACCTTGATTCGGTTCCTATGATAGCCTAAGAAAATAGAATCTGTGTGATACCTAAACTATATATAAAAACTTATAAGGAATGCTATGGCTTCGGAAAAGATGGTTATTGTAAACTTTCTCAGTAAAGTCACTGATAACTTTATCTACAGATATTTCTAAGCCTTGTTCTATTAACTCTTGGTGGGCATTTATCTAACATAGTTTACAAAATTTAATTTTGATTATTGGTTTGTCTAACTTTTTGCTTTCTCTTTGAAATGTGCTAAATTCCACTTACCTCTCTCTGTGTTAACAGACAGCACACAGCTTACCCTATGACATTTGCTAAGTTCCTGGAAATTTGTAACTAAACTATCAGCTGTTTTTAAAAACAGTGTTGTCAGAGATTGTGAAAGTGCATTAATTACAAAACTAAGAGCTGAATTCATGTACATTTGTTCTTATAATAGTACTATTCAAAACCATACTAAAACTTAGATGCAATAGTGTATATCTTCTTTATGCACATATATTTTCATTTCTAAATGTACTGTATAATTATTTTTGAGTGGAAGATTTATAAATGTTAAGGACAAAAGAATAATCACAAAAAGCATATTTATTTTATGTTCTAATCCAGAAATTATTACTTGTTTTGAGAACTCCTCAGAAAACCTTGCATTTTTGCCAGTTGTATGACTCAGTGTAGCACTTGGTAGTTGCTATAACAAACTAAAATCTTGGTTGCTTAATTCAACAAATGTTTATTTGTCACTTACACAAAGTCCAATACAGATGTTTCTAGCTAAGCTATTTTTCTGAGCAATTCCATCCAAGAAAAGAATTCCAAGGTCTAGGTTCTCATCATCACGTGATGCTGCTATTTTGGAGTACTTGACTTCCAGACAGTGAGTGAGATCATGGAAAAATCATATATTTCATGGCCAGGCAATAATATGTTCCCTCTATTCTATTAACCAGAGCCAGTTACATGGCTCCAACCTAACTGCTAGAGAGGCTGGGAAATTTAACGTGCCCCAGTACTAATGAAGACAAAAGAGAGAGTTGTTCAGTCTCTAACTAATCTCTTCCATACAAGGTGTACCAGTCTAGAACCCAACTGGGTATGTAAAGACGGGCAATGAAAATGAAAATCCTCAGTAATAGTCTGTTATACTAAAGTTGCCCTTATTAGGATCTTGATTTAAGGAACTATCTTAAATGTGGTATTTTTTATCATTTGTGCATAACTCTGTAAATTTTATCAAATTTCTTAGGAAACACATTTTATTTTATTACAGGCTTCCTAAAAATTGAGTGAAAATCAAAATTTAGCAATCCACAAGGATTTGATATCAGAAATACCCAAGAAAAACACTATTGCACAGTAAAAGACAGATGAAGTGCACGGTAAATATTCACAATGATGATTATATTTCAGTGGTTATGCTATATATTGGAAAGAGCTGTCATATACATGTTGATGGGGCACATTATTGCCTACATTCTGATTTTCTTTTTTTATGATGAATTATTTTGTAAGGAATTTTTTAGGGGATTAGTTTTGCCAAACAATATAATCAACCAAAGGAGAGAAATGTATATACTATAAAAGCCTAGTTGTAATTACCAGTAGCTGTAACACTGAATTCATCAGATGAAAACTGTTGTAGCTTCTAACAATTAAGCAATATTTTGCAATACAAATATTTAAATTAATCATGAAATAGAATGTGATAACAAGTTTATAAAATTACATTTGTACAGGCATAGACTTGGGTTCTATCTAAAAATATTGAAGTTTAAGGTTTACACAGAAACTTGGCCTGAAATTTTATATAAACTTATCCTAAAAATACACTTTTTCTTCATATAACATTTGGTTGTTTTGAACTTGATATCTGACTAATATTGTTTGCTAAACCAGTTAGGCTTTTTGGCCTGAATTGGCAATTCCTATAAGCCAACATTTATTGTAATTTTCTTTCATCTACAGACAATTAGACTTTTGGAGCATACAAACTATTTCCTAAATGAAGATATACAACCTACAACTTTACATACCAGTCATCTAAAGTCCTTGCTGAAAAACAAGTTACATTTAAGGCATCATAATTACAAGAGTATAAAATCAAAACCTGTGAATGTTAAGAATTAAAACTTAACTAATTATTGGTCTCAAAATGTTTCATGTTTAGGTAAGCGAGAGATGCAGCAAGGGTTTGTGATAATGCCTTTAAAAAATTCTGCCTAGCAGCACTCCAAATTATGTTACTTGTGGTTAGGGTCAACAATATATTTCAATATTACCTAAGTGATTGGTGGCTTCACCATTAAACTAATACCGCTATATTAGAAGTATCAGTAGAAGTATCATTGGGTCAGTAGAAGTATCATTGGTCATTAATCATCATTTGCAGAAAAGTCTACTTTTCAATAACATTTGCTTTTTTTCTTGAGAGAAAAATAAGAGCCAATAATTAAACCCACAACTTCCAATTTAAAAATATGTAAACTATGCCTTTATTTATTACTGGAAGAATTCACCCATCCAAATACTTGAAATGGTCATAATTTTTAAAAGTTATAATCTAACTACTATAATAAAAAATATCATATAAGTATGTAATTAAAACTACTTAAAGTAACAGAAGTGTAAGGTAGACAGAAACAGGAAGAAAAAAATCACAGGAGTTTACTTAGGTAAAGGAAGCTACCACAGTTATATGCAAAGTTGACAATGCTCTTCCTGGGAGCCCACAAAAAGTGGAAAATACCATGGCTTATACCATCTATAAAAAGGAAGCATAGTTTACATACAGAAATAAATTTGTTCTAGACATCTAGTGAAAATTTGCCATATATGAGGTGATTGAACTTAAATTATTAAGAACGTTGCCACATAAAAGTTTGAGAATTTTAATAATCATTGATAGGTAAGAGCATCAGAAAAGAGGCCACTTATTTGTGGACAAATAAAGTATTATGTAACAAAAAAGCTATTACTAGATTGATTTTCAATGTCATCAATGTTTATAACAGCATAGACTCTTTTCTACCTATCATAATCTTCTAAGAACTTAATCTTGGAGACCACGTTTATGGTGACTCTAAAACAGAAAATCAACCCAGAGTTTCTGAAGAAATTTGGAAATCAGTGGAGTGGGAACAAACATTATAAAGTATTTACTTTTTATCCAGTGAGGAACCAGAAATAATGACAGAAAACTAGCATTTGATGGGAAACATCAAAGTATACATTTAAGAACCTCAGTGAAAACTGCAAGTAGGATAAACTAAAAGATATCTACAACAGGGCCCATCATAAATTATCAAAAAACAGAAACAAAATCTTGAAAGCAGCACTAGGTATTTTTTTCTCTTTGAAGCAATTATGAACGGGAGTTCACTCATGATTTGGCTCTCTGTTTGTCTGTTATTGGTGTATAAGAATGCTTGTGATTTTTGTACATTGATTTTGTATCCTGAGACTTGGCTGAAGTTGCTTATCAGCTTAAGAAGATTTTGGGCTGAGACAGTGGGGTTTTCTGGATATACAATCATGTCGTCTGCAAACAGGGACAATTTGACTTCCTCTTTTCCTAATTGAATACCCTTTATTTCCTTCTCCTGCCTAATTGCCCTGGCCAGAACTTCCAACACTATGTTGAATAGGAGTGGTGAGAGAGGGCGTCCCTGTCTTGTGCCAGTTTTCAAAGGGAATGCTTCCAGTTTTTGCCCATTCAGTATGATATTGGCTGTGGGTTTGTCATAGATAGCTCTTATTATTTTGAGATATGTCCTGTCAATACCTAATTTATTGAGAGTTTTTAGCATGAAGGGTTGTTGAATTTTGTCAAAGGCCTTTTCTGCATCTATTGAGATAATCATGTGGTTTTTGTCTTTGGTTCTGTTTATACGCTGGATTACATTTATTGATTTGCATATATTGAACCAGCCTTGCATCCCAGGGATGAAGCCCACTTGATCATAGTGGATAAGCTTTTTGATGTGCTGCTGGATTCAGTTTGCCAGTATTTTATTGAGGATTTCTGCATCAATGTTAATCAAGGATATTGGTCTAAAATTCTCTTTTTTGGTTGTGTCTCTGCCTGGCTTTGGTATCAGGATGATGCTGGCCTCATAAAATGAGTTAGAAGTACTTAGGAATCCAAATTACAAGGGACGTGAAGGACCTCTTCAAGGAGAATTACAAACCACTGCTCAATGAAATAAAAGAGGATACAAACAAATGGAAGAACATTCCATGCTCATGGGTAGGAAGAATCAATATCATGAAAATGGCCATACTGCCCAAGGTAATTTATAGATTCAATGCCATCCCCATCAAGCTACCAATGACTTTCCTCACAGAAATGGAAAAAACTACTTTAAAGTTCATATGGAACCAAAAAAGAGCCCCCATTGCCCAGTCAATCCTAAGCCGAAAGAACAAAACTGGAGGCATCACACTACCTGACTTCAAACTATACTACAAGGCTACAGTAACCAAAACAGCATGGTACTGGTACCAAAACAGAGATATAGATCAATGGAACAGAACACAGCCCTCAGAAATAACGCCGCATATCTACAACTATCTGATCTTTGACAAACCTGAGAAAAACAAGCAATGGGGAAAGGATTCCCTATTTAATAAATGGTGCTGGGAAAACTGGCTAGCCATATGTAGAAAGCTGAAACTGGATCCCTTCCTTATACCTTATACAAAAATTAATTCAAGATGGACTAAAGACTTAAACGTTAGACCTAAAACCATAAAAACCCTAGAAGAAAACCTAGGCATTACCATTCAGGACATAGGCATGGGCAAGGACTTCATGTCTAAAACACCAAAAGCAATGGCAACAAAAGACAAAATTGACAAATGGGATCTAATTAAACTAAAGAGCTTCTGCACAGCAAAAGAAACTACCATCAGAGTGAACAGGCAACCTACAAAATGGGAGAAAATTTTTGCAACCTACTCATCTGACAAAGGGCTAATATCCAGAATCTACAATGAACTTAAACAAATTTACAAGAAAAAAACAAACAACCCCATCAAAAAGTGGGCAAAGGACATGAACAGACACTTCTCAAAAGAAAACATTTATGCAGCCAAAAGACACATGAAAAAATGCGCACCATCACTGGCCATCAGAGAAATGCAAATCAAAACCACAATGAGATACCATCTCACACCAGTTAGAATGGCAATCATTAAAAAGTCAGGAAACAACAGGTGCTGGAGAGTAGTGGAGAAATAGGAACACTTTTACACTGTTGATGGGACTGTAAACTAATTCAACCATTATGGAAGTCAGTGTGGCGATTCCTCAGGGATCTAGAACTAGAAATACCATTTGACCCAGCCATCCCATTACTGGGTATATACCCAAAGGACTACAAATCATGCTGCTATAAAGACACATGCACACGTATGTTTATTGCGGCAC
This sequence comes from Homo sapiens, assembly GCF_000001405.40. Classification (NCBI taxonomy): domain Eukaryota; kingdom Metazoa; phylum Chordata; class Mammalia; order Primates; family Hominidae; genus Homo; species Homo sapiens. Next base: position 87,370,171 of record NC_000008.11, on the reverse strand, counting down.
TATTCACAATAGCAAAGACTTGGAACCAACCCAAATGTCCAACAATGATAGACTGGATTAAGAAAATGTGGCACATATACACCATGGAATACTATGCAGCCATAAAAAATGATGAGTTCATGTCCTTTGTAGGGACATGGATGAAATCGGAAATCATCATTCTCAGTAAACTATTGCAGGGACAAAAAACCAAACACTGCATGTTCTCACTCATAGATGGGAATTGAACAATGAGAACACATGGACACAGGAAGGGGAACATCACACTCTGGGGACTGTTGTGGGGTCGGGGGAGTGGGGAGGGATAGCATATAGGAGATATACCTAATGCTAAATGACTAGTTAATGGGTGCAGCACACCAGCATGGCGCATGTATACATATGTAACTAACCGGCACATTGTGCACATGTACCCTAAAACTTAAAGTATAATAATAAAAAAAAAAGAAAGCAGCACTAGGAAAGTGACAAATCATCCACAAATGATACTCAATGGTACTAACAGCAACTTCTCATTGGAAACTATAGAGGCCAGAAGAAGGAGGAATAACATGCTCAAAGTGCTGAAAGAAAAAGACTATCAGCCAAGAATTCTAAATCTAACAAAACTAATCTTCAAACATGAAAAAGAAATAAAGACATTTCCAGATAAATAAAGACTGAGAGAACTTGTCACCTGCAGATTTGCTGTATGAGAAATAAGATCTTCAGACAGAAAAGGAAGGATAGAATGTGGTAATTCAGTTCCACATGAAAAATAAAGAGCATGAGCAGAGGTAATTACATAGGTAAGTATAAAACACAATATAAATATACACTGGAACTCTTTTCAATCACAAAAAAGAACATAGATGACTCAAACAGCATGTACGGAATGGTAGAATTGACCTAGGAAACCAAATCTTACACTTGAGTTCAGGGCTTCTTAGCTATATCAATGTAATGAATCCTAGTAAAAGAAAAATATGTTTCCTTCCTAAATACATGTGAACATTGAAGGCCATTATTAAATATCATTTAGCCAAAAATCTAGCCAAAATTTATACAATTATGGCTAAAATATATGGAATAAAATAACTACATAAGGATAATGGATTAAAAAAATTATTGAGTTATCAGTTAAACTGTTAGTAAAGTATAGTTGTTGTAATATGGATCCTGGAGGCAGAGTGTTAGGGTTTGATTCCTGGTTGCACCCCTTAATAGCTCTGTAATATTAAGCAAGTCATGAGAAGGAAAAGAAGGAGGGGAGGGAAGCCGAATCTGACATTTGGAAGCGGGCCTGGCATTTTCAGTTGGCCACATAATTCTCCTATGGCAGATTTGCACAGAATGTAACCCTCAGATATGTTGTCCATGAGCATGATAAAATGAGACAAGCAAGGTCATTTCATAATTTTGTCTAAGCACAGACAAAAGCAAGGTCAGCTTGATGCCTACAAAATACCAAATACCCCTCTTTTGGCTAATAGAAGCAGGTGCTATCTTTCTCTTTCTCTCTCTGTCTCTCTCTCACTCTCTCTCCCTCTCTTTTTGAGATAGGTTTTTGTTCTGTCACCCAGGGTGGAGTGAAGTGGCTTGATCATAGCTCACTGCAGCCTCAAACTCCTGGCTCAAGGGATCCTCCTGCCTTAGTCCACCAAGTAGCTGGGACTACAGGTGTGAGGCACCATGCCCAGCTAACTTTTTACTATTTTTTGTACAGACAGGGTCTCACTATGTTGCCCAGTCTAGTCTCCATCTCCTGGCCTCAAACAGTCCTCTCACTTCAGCCTCCTAAAATGCTGGAATTACAGGTATGAGCTGCCATGCCCAATCTACTTTTTTATTAATTACATATTTATCTTCACTCTAGTCTGCCCTTCCAAAACTTAAGATTTATTGGGATATATTGTTTTTTGACAGCGTTCAATCAAGAACAAATTTCTACATTCTTAGGCTACTTCCCAAATCACCCAACCAAAACCCAAATTCTATAACATATTCTTTTCTTTTCTTTTCTTTTCTTTTTAGATGGAATCTCGCTCTGTCACCCAGGATGGAGTGAAATGGTGTGATCTAGGCTCACTGCAACCTCCACCTCCTGGGTTCAAGCAATTCTCCTGCCTCAGCCTCCTGAGTAGCTGCGACTACAGGTGCACATCATCATGCCCAGCTAATTTTTGTCTTTTTAGGAAAGATTGGGTTTCACCATGTTGGTAATCAAACTCCTGACCTCGTGATCCACCTGCCTCTGCCTCCCAAAGTGCTGGAATTATAGGCGTAAGCCACCACTCCCGGCCAACATATTCTTTTAATGTCCTTTTGCTGAGACAATCTATGGTTCCCCATAGTTCTCTCTCATCCCAATGAGTAACAAACCCAATTCAGTCAACCACAGAAGTGTCCCCCATGACCTTTCGATAGAGAGCATTGATATCACTTAATCTTTCTATACTTTATTCTCCTGATCCACAAAATAGGGCTATTAAATGCATATTTCTCAATGGGTTGTTGTGAACATTTGATTAGATAAAACATATAAAGTATGTAGAATAATGTGTGGAACACAGTGAATACTTCAAGGTAATTAAAAAGTGGGAGAATCAGCTCAGAATCCAAGGCAGTACATCTCATAACAACGTACCAATTTTTTTAATAGATGTGGAGAAGCAGAAAGCAAGTCCTTCATGCACACTGAAATGTTGAGAATAGAGACTGATAGAAGATTTTTGAAGCAGATTTCTCGAAGAGTTCTGTTCTAAGCTTCACCATCTGCAAGGGGATGTAATGAGAAATACCTCTTCATCACCTCAACTGAAAGAGGGGATCTTCAAAAAGCCCACCTGGAGAGCTTTATATACGTTCTGAGAATTTAAAAGCCACAGTAGAGTACACTATTGTCTGACTACACCTTGAGACCTGTGAAGGTAAGAGAAAAGCTAGTTGACAGTTGACAAACAAGCTACATAAGTGGCTGCTCAGAAATTGGCCTGCCCTCTCAAAGTTTGTCAGGACAAAGAATATAGGAGTGTCTTCCCATGTAGACTTTCCTATGTAGGCCACATATAATCTCATGTGTAAAAGACAGCCAGGATAAAGTCCCAATGGTATATTAGTGAGAGAGGAGGCTGGGAGTAAAGTACCCTCAGCAGAGGAAATCTGAAGTTATCTCTGGATTCCCAGGGAGGAAAATGTACTACCTTATTAAGGAATTACAGGCAAATATTCCCCAATATTAAGGGATATCCAAAACTCTTTGAAGGTGCTCACTAGAAAGGCTTAGCTTGAAACAACTGTCAAACACATAGTGAAAAAACAGTTTATAACAGTAACAATTAAGAACATTTTCACTTCCTTTCTTATTTGTTTGCCATCCTCTTCTCCCCAGTACCCCATGCTGCCTCATAGCAGAGAAATCAGAACAATAAATAGAAAGCTTAGGGATGGCAGTGGAAAGCAGAGATACCTGTCATGCTCTCCTTACCCACTGCTGACCTCCAGCACTATGGTAGCAGAGTTCTAAAGTGGCCCCCACGACCTTCAGCCCATGGTGTTACTCCTGTGATTATGTTATATTACACAGTACAGGGATTTTTGCAGATGTAATTAAGGATACTAACGAGTTAACCTTAAAATAGGCAGGTTATCTGGGTGGGCCTAGCCCAATCACATGAATTGTTTAAACACAAAGAGTTTTCTTCAGCTGGCAGGGAAGAGAAAGATTCAAAACGAGAGAGAGGGTCAGCAGAAGGAATTCTTCATTGCTGAGATGGAGAGGGCCAGATGGATGGAGCAGGCTCTGATGGCTGAGAGTGACCCTCAGGTAAAAACCGCAAGAAAACAGGAATTTCAGTTCTGCAGCTGCAAGGAAATGAAATCTACCAATTTGAATGGACTTGGAGGTGACCTCTTCTCCACAGCCCTAAAATTAGATCACAGCTTGGCCAACACTTAGATTTTAGCCATGTGAAACTCTAAGAATAGAACGCAGTTGAACCAGCCCAGACATCTGACCTACAAAACTGTGAGATGATAAATGAGTATTGTTTAAAGCTGCTAAATTTATGGTAATTTGTTATGTAGCAAAAGGAAATTAATACACACATATAGCTGGCCTATCAACCTACAATGAAGTCTGGATACTGGCTTCTTACCAGGCTAGATTTATTATTATCCCAACTGAGAATATTTGGCAACTAAAAATGATTTATAGGACATTTTATGACTTAAGAGTGATCGTAAAATCATTACATTGAGTTTTCAAAGAGCAGGAAAAGAACTTCTCCAACTTGAACAAATAATAAAGAATGTGGGAGACATTATAAAATTCCTTTGTAAATGCTTCCTGTGAGTTGTAATTATTCAATAAACCAGTTATTTATTGGAAATCTAATAATTGCTTCTGATTATATTTTAATAGAGGCATGCATAAACCCATATTAATGTTAATTTTAAAATCTTTCTACAACAGGAAAGCAAAGTTATCATACTTAAAATTTTAACCTGAATACATCAAAATTGTGTGAGATTATTGTTACCAATAACAAATAAATCTACTTACAAGTGGACCTTATTGTTAGACATGGCATGGCAATGTAAACATAGAACCTTTGAATCAATAAATATAAAATTCATAAAGGATTACATTTTACAGTGGAACAAGTGGTTTCAAGTATAGCAAATCTGAAAATGAAAACATGATATTCAACATTTTACTGTGGCTTTTTTATGGGCTAAAATCAACTCTGCCATCTACAAGTTAAAATGGTCTAACTACACATCTGACAAAGGTCTAATATCCAGAATCTATAAGTAACTTAAACAAATGTACAAGCAAAAAACAAAAACCATTAAAAACTGAGCAAAAGACATGAACAGATACTTTAGCATACACACGGCCAACAAGCATATGAAAAAAAGCACAATATCACTAATCATTAGAGAAAAGAAAATCAAAACCTAAATGAGATGTCATCTCACATCACATCAGTCAGAATAGCCATTTTGACTGAATTACTAAAAAGTAAAAAATAACAGATGCTGGCAAGGTTGTGGAGAAAAGGGGACACTTATACACTGTTGGTGCGAGTGTAAATTAGGTTCAACCATTATAGAAAGCAGTGTGGCAACCCCTCAAAGACCTAAAACAAGAACTACCATTTGATCCAGCAATCTCACCACTGGGTATATACCAAAAAGAATATGAATAGTTCTATTATAAAGACACATGCACAGCGATGTTCACTGCAGCACTGCTCATAATAGCAAAGACATGGAATCAACCTAAATGCCCATCTACAATAGACTGGATAAAGAAATTGTGGTACACATACACCATGGAATACTATGCAGCCATAAAAAAGAATGATATCATGTCCTTTGCAGGAATGTGGATGGAACTGGGGGACATTATCCTTATAAATTAATGCAGGAACAGAAAACCAAATACAGCATATTTTCCTTGTAAGTGGGAGCTAAATGATGAGAACACATGAATGCACAAAGGGGAACAATACACACTGGGGCCTATCAGAGAGGGGGAGGGTGGGAAGAGAGAGAGGATCAAGAAAAATAACTAATGGGAACTAGGCTTGATACCTAGGTGACAAAAAAATCTATACACTAAACCACTGAGTCATGAGTTTACCTATATAACAAACTTGCACATGTACTTCTGAACATAAAATAAAATTTAAAATATTTAAAAAATAAAATAAAAAGACAAATTGGATTTAAAAGAATTAAAAAGTAAAACAGTTTAATACACTTGATAGAGAAAAAATTATCTAAAAGCCAAACTCGAGCAAAAACATTAACTTCTTCTTACAAAATAAACAAACATTTACAAAGTTTATGAGTGGTCAAACACATATTGTCAGGCTAAAATATCAAGGTCATCATTGTTTTCTGAGTAATGTTATCTTTTCCACACATTAGATGTGTGAATATATATACATATATATAGATACTTATAAATATATGTGATATACAATATTTTTTGAGATAATCTCTCCAAGTAAAAATTAATTTTAAATGTCAGCAAGATGTTCAAAATGTTTAGCTAGTTTTCTCATTAACAAAACAGTATAATACCTCTATAAAATACCTAATGGAATAAAACAATATGTTGAGAAACACCTTAGAAAACAACAACATTTGAGCCAGCAAATGGTTGTCAAAGATTTGTCTAAAACTTTTTCATTCGTTTAAAAAAAAAAAAACCAAAATTTCCTAGGCAATACCATTCAGGACATAGGCATGGGCAAGGACTTCATGAATAAAACACCAAAAGCAATGACAACAAAAGCCAAAATTGACAAATGTGATCTAATTAAACTAAAGAGCTTCTGCACAGCAAAAGAAACTATCATCAGAGTGAACAGGCAACCTACAGAATGGGAGAAAAATTTTGCAATCTATCCATCTGACAAAGGGCTAATATCCAGAATCCACAAGGAACTTAAACAAAATCACAAGAAAAAAACAAACAACCCCATCAAAAAGTGGGCGAAAAGTATGAACAGACACTCCTCAAAAGAAGACATTTAGCAGCTAACAAACATATGAAAAAAAGCTCATCATCACTGGTCATTAGAGAAATGCAAATCAAAACCACAATGAGATACCATCTCATGCCAGTTAGAATGGCAATCATTAAAAAGTTAGGAAACTTACATGAACAGATGCTGGAGAGGATGTGGAGAAATAGGAACACTTTTACACTGTTGGTGGGAGTCTAAATTAGTTCAACCATTGTGGAAGACAGTGTGACAATTCCTCAAGGATCTATAACCAGAAATATCATTTGACCCAGCAATCCCATTACTGGGTATGTACCCAAAGGATGATAAATCATTCTACTATAAAGGCACATGCACATGTAGTATGTTTATTGTGGCACTGTTCACAATAGCAGATACTTGGAACCAACCCAATTGATAGACTGGATAAAGAAAATGTGGCACATATACACCATGGAATACTATGTGGCCATAAAAAAAGGATGAGTTCATGTCCTTTGCAGGGACATGGATAACTCTGGAAACCATCATTTTCAGCAAACTAACACAACAACAGAAAACCAAACACTTCATGTTCCCACTCATAAGTGGGAGTTGAACAATGAGAACACATGGACACAGGGAGGGGAACATCACACACCAGGGCCTGTTGGGTGGGGCGTACTAGAGGAGGGATAGCATTAGGAGAAATACCTAATATAGATGACGGGTTGATGGGTACAGCAAACCACCACGGCATGTGTCTATACATGTAACAAACCTGCACGTTCTTAACTTAAAGTACAAAAAAAAAGTTAGAATATGCAATTTGAATGAACTCCATAAGATTGATCCAAGTCAAATCACCTATAATAACCTATTTAATAAGCAGTGTTATATGTACCTGACTTGGAAAAGCAAAATTGGTATCTAAAAGGATATAAATTTAATGTTAAGCGTGGACTCACAGAGGGTTCGAATGGCTGCCTGGTCTTTTCTGAGTCCTTAAAGATTCCATTACTAAAAACTGCAGTCCATGACTTGCCATGGAGTAGACAAAATGGTGTAAATTCCTCTTAATGGCCATCTTTGGTAGAATGTAACTTTATTGGCTTGGCACAAATGTAAATAAGGTTATGATTAAAAATCTGTCTCAAGCATTAGCTATAGTAATAGCTAAGTTTACTGCAAAGGCTATAGGTGCCCAACAAACTTTTCTAAACTCCCTTGCTAAATTTTTTTGTAGATAATCAAGTTGCCTTGGACTGTCTGTTGGATGAACAAGGGGCAGTGTGTACAATAGCTAACACTTCCTCCTGAACTTGGATAAACACATCTGGTATTGAAAAACCTCAGTTATCACTGAATGACCTGTTGCAGTATTCTCATTCAAGCATTCTTGGCAATATGATTTTAATGACTGAAAGAGGGAGACTGTGCCCTTGTTTCTAATATCATCTTCACCAAAACCAAAATATGGTCTTCATGATGTATGGAGACTCCTCACAGGCATTGCAGTGGACATTCCTTGCAGATCAGAAAAACTTGACTGAGAAAGCTCATTTTTGAAAAGTAACCTAAAGAGTGTCATTGAAGTAGATTTTAAGTAAGCATGGTAATTGTTTTCATGGTTTGTCATTGGACTCAATCTCAGGACATGGAATGACAGACATTCTTAAACAAAGAAGCCAGGATAGTGGAATTAAAAGTGTTTCATCTCAGTGCTTCCATAAGTCTGAAGTGTATACATTTATAATTTTCACTTATCACAGAGTAAATATAAAACTGATTCATTTAAAGAAAGTTCTTTTTCAAGAATTCAAGGAACATAGAATTTTGTGAAATCTTGTATTTTTACTTCAATGCTTTTTATATTTCAAATTCTACCCCCCCATCTATTTCTTTATAAACCAATTGATACATAAGTAGTTTCTTGGGGGATGACATATTAGCCAAAGATTTTCTATGTAGTGAACAAGAATATATATATATATATATATTCATCCAACTATTTTGTTGGAATGATCCCCATGAACTGGAATTGCTGGGGCAAAGTATATGCAAAATCTATACTTTGAGTAAATTTCCTATAACTGGAGTAAATTTTCCCAGTATTTGAGGATTTTCCCTTCCTAAAACTATATAAACATTAGATATCAATATTTGTAAGCATTGATAATGTAATTTATAGTGAAATTGCTTTTTCATCTATTAATGGTAAGCTATATCATCTTCACATAGCCTTGTAAGACATTTGTGTTATTTCATTTTCCTCTGTTCTTTTTATTTTCACTTCCCTTGTAATGTTAATCTCCTTCTACTGATTTCTAAGAGCTCATTTATCATTAAAGATATTAGCATTTTGTCAAGCTTTGCAAATAAAATATTATTTTTTCCTCAAAAAACATTTCACTCAACTTTGTAACTTACATTTTTAAAATTTAACATGTATTAGTAAGGAATAACAAATTATAAGAGGAGAAGATGCTTTTAAGCATTTTTATCTGATTTAAAAATAAGTGCCCTATCTTATTTTTAACTTGGAATTGCATATATCAAAATTTTAAATCACAATGCAAAAACGCAAAAGGGGAAAGAGTCGTGTATTCCCTGTGGCAAACTGTTCAAGAGCTTAAATCCTTTTTATTAGTTTTGTTAATTTAACAAGGATAATCTTGGCTATAACTTATCTCATCATTAAGGTGAAATGCTGATGTGTTGGGAAGAAGTTTTTGAATATGAATATATTTATTGCCCCTGAAATGCTTAACAGATATATCTGCAGTAAAAACTCTGACCTCCTGTGCTTTGTATTAAGCATTATGAGAGATAGTCTTTAGGCATTCTTCCTTTTTAAAAACAAGCAGAAACTTTCAGATAGTTTATACCAATAACACCTTGGAATTGAAATTTTCCTTTTCGGTATGGCAAATTAAGCACATTAGCTATTCCTTATTTTTCAATCATAAGTTGTTGAATGAGATATAATAAAAAACATCAGTAATTCATTTTATAGATAAAAAGAAATTCTTTCTCATTACAAAAGTAGTACACTTGTTCTAATGGTGGAATGAGAATTTAAGACATCAGTAAAATTAAAATAGTTATATTGACTTGCAATTATCTTTACCTTAAATGACTTGAGTAATAAGCTCTGCATCTGGACAAAGATATATTGACTTTATAAAAATAATAATAAACTACATTCTCAGTAGCATGTGAAAAACAGAGGAAATTTATATTTGCTTAAGCTTAATAATGCTATTCTCATTCTTATTTAGATGTTCAAGGCAATGTCTGAGAAGGATGCATATAGATTAAAAAAAGATATTTCCTAACTTCCAAAAGTTAACCACCAAAAGGAACAAATAAGCCACTCCTCAAGTCCTTTTAAATATTACAAAACTAATTGCTGCATACATCTTACTATATTTTATATATAGACGGTTGCATATATAATTCTCCAGTAGAGCATTTAACATTTATGAAGTCTTTAATATTCTCTAGATTCTATTCTACCTATCTTGAAGTACAGGTACAGTGAGTGAATTGCTCTCTTTGGGTATTTACCAAATATTGTTGATTCATTCAAGATGAACTGAATCTTTACATGATTTACATAAGACCAAATAGAGAGTATAACCCATATACCTGGAGAAAGATAAGCATTAATTTATTTTTTCAGTAATACCTTTATAGTTCTAAAAGAATTGCTGTTTTTAACAATTCTTGAAAAATTAGAAAGTGAAGGCAACATAACCAACTAATAATTGAGGATTCTATTGGAACATAATTATTTTATTTATTTTTGTTTATTTTTAGTGGACTTTCTCAAATTTAAATTATTCCTAACACCTATGTAATATAACAGCTAATAATAACACTTGATAGCAAGATGACATAACATAGAGTTTGCTCACGCTGAGTTTTCCAGCACAGCATTTTCATTTGTCTTCAACTTGATATATTTAAGACTCATTTTACTTTCTCTTGAGTCCTGTCCTATGTTATTTCATAGAGGTGGATCTATATTTCAAATAATAAATGAAGTAGATGGAGATAGGATATAGCAGATTAAATGCAAATTAATATCATTGTTCTTCATATGTGAAAATTATTTCAGCAAAATTAACCATTAATTTTTCATTAGAATTATCTAGCCCTTAAAATGTACATTTAACTATCTTGGAATAGAATATGAAATATTAGAATGTAGAAATAAAATGCTTTCTGAAATAAACACAATATTTTATTTCCTTGTAAATTTTGAAAAAACAAGCAAAATCTAGTCCTCAAGCACATTTCTATTTAGAGAATATTCAATTAGGCACACATCATGTCAGCAGCTTTAGAACATCACTCTCAAATGAACAGACTATGGAATGAATTTAAAATGAAATTCAGACTATGGAATAGTCTGATGTATGCAGACTATGGAATAAAACAGACTATGGAATGAATTAAAATGTTTGTACACACACAAACATTACTAAATCCCATACAATGCCAAGTATTTGAATGTTAGGCTGCCAGATGACAAAGGAGATTCTATTAAGTGACTAAAAGAAACACTTTTGTATGTGACACTTAACTTTATGTGCCACCTTGACTGGGCTAAGGGATGCCCAGATAGCTGGTAAAACATTTCCAGATGTGTCTTTGAGGGTGTTTTTTAGAGAGATTAGCATTTGAATCAGTAGATGAATTAAGGAAAATCCACCAACACCAATGCAAACAGATAACACCTAATCCATTGCGGGCCTGAATAGATTAAAAAGGCAGAGGAATTCTGTCTATCTCTTCTTCAGCTAAGATGGCCATCTTTCCCAGTTCTTGAATACCAGGATTCCTGGTGCTCTGGCCTTCAGACTCCAGGACTTAATACAACTGCCTCCTGTCTGCCCTCTCCAGTTTTCAAGGCTTTGGCCTCACACTGGGAGTTACACCCTCAGTTCCCCTTCAGACCTTCAGACACAACCTGAATTATACCACTGGCTTTACTGATTCTCCAGCTTGCTGAAAGCATATCATGGGACTTTGTGTACTCTACAATCACATTAGCCAATCCCCATAATAGATCGCCTCTTGTATATTTATATATATCCTATTGGTTCTGTTTTTTTTGAAGAACTTTGTATAATACAACGTGTGAAATGTTGTTTTACATAAAAGAGTCCACAGTGTATTTGCCTTGCACCAGTTAACATCATTTATATAGGAAAAGAAAAAACATATTATTATATAGGAAAAGAAAAAATATTAAGTGAGAATATTGTCATTTTAATTGGTGGTTAGTAATTATTTTTAAGCAATGTTTACCTTGAGGGAGGTTGTATTTGAATGTCACAGAAGAAAATAAAATTAACAAATGTCATTTCAGATTTACAACTTTTAAAATTAGACATATGAATTTGAATTAATTTTTTTCATTTTGAGTTAGTGTTATGCAAGTATTGGTAACACATTCTGTAAGAGACTATTAGTCAGTTTTGCATTGCTATGAAGGAATACCCAAGGCTGGGTAATCTATAAAGGAAAGAGGTTTATTTGACTGATAGTTCTGCAAGTTGTACAAGCATGGCACCAGTATCTTCTTGGCTACTGATGAGGCCTCGGGAATCTTTTGTTCATGGTGGAAGGCAGAGAAGGAGCAGGCATGTCACATGGAGAGAGAGGGAGCAAGAGAGAGAAAAGGAGCTGCTAGGCTTCTTTAAACAACCAGCTCTCATGTGAACTCACAGAGAAACAACTCACTCATTATCATGAAGATGAAGCCAAGCCCTTTATTAGGAGTCTACCTCAATAACACAAACACCCCTCACCAGTCCCCACCTCTAACAATGAGGATCACCCTTCAACCTGAGATTTGGAGGGGACAGACATCCAAACTATATCATTCTGTTGCTGGCCTACCATATCTCATGTCCTTCTCACATTGCAATATATAATCACCCCTTCCCAACAGTCCCCTGGTCTTAACTCATTCTAGCATCAACTCAAAAGTCCAAAGTTCCATCTGAGACTCAAGACACATTCTTTCCACCTATGAGCCTGTAAGACCAAAAACAAGTTATTAATTTCCAAGATACAGTGGTGCTAAAGAAATCAAGTAAACATTCCCATTCCAAAAGACAGAAATAAGACAAAAGATAGGGGAAACATTCCCCATGCATGTCTGAAACCCAGAAGAGCAGGTATTAAAATTTTAAAGCTCCAAAATCGTCTCTGTTGACTCTAATTATGGGTACACTGGTGCAAGGGATGGGTTCCCAAGGCCTTGGGCAGCTCCACCCTTGCAGCTTTGCTGGATGCAGCCCACGTGGCTTCTTTCATGGGTTGGAGTTAAACGCCTGTAGCTTTTCCAGGCTCAGAGTGCAAGCTGCCCATGGCTCTACCATTCTCAGGTCTGGAGGGTGGCAGCCCACTTCTTACAGTTCACTAGGCAGTGCCCCAATGGGGACTTTGTGTGGTAGCTCCAATCCCAAATTTCCTTTTGGCACTTCTCTTATAGAGGCTCTCTGTGGGGCCCCTGCAGGAGCCTTCTCTCTGGAAGGCTTTCTGATACATTCTCTGAAATCTAGGTAGAATATAGCAAGCTTCCTTCACTCTTGCATTTCATATACCTGCAGACCCAACTCCATGTGGAAGCCACAAAGGCTTATAGCTTACAGTCTCTGGAGCAGTAGCCCATGCTGTATCTGGGGCTGTTTGAGCCCAGGATGGCTCTGCTCAGATTCTGAGAGCAGCGTCCTGAGGTGGCATAGGGCAGCAGTATCCTCAGCCTGGCTCCCCAAAACATTCTTTCCTCCTAGGCATCTGGGCCTGTGATGGGAGGAGCTGTCTTCAAGATTTCTGAAATTCCTTTGAGGACCTTCTCCCATTATCTTGAATATTGGCACTTGTCTCCCTTTTAGTCAAGCTAATCCCTCTAGCAAGTTGTTGCTCCACAGTGCATTTAAATTTCTCTCTAGAAAATGCACGTTCCTTCTCTTCCACATAGCTAGAGTGTGAATTTTTCAAATTTTATGCTCTGCTTCCTTTTTAATTATAATTTCCAACGTTAAGTCATCTTTTATGCTCATATATGATTGTACGTTGTTGGATGCACCCACACTAATTCTTGAATGTTTTGCTGCTTAGAAATTTCTTCCACCAGATACCCTAGGTCACCACTCTTAAGTTTAACTTTCCACAAATCTTTAGGGCATGGACACAATGCAGCCAAGATTTTTGCTAGGGCATAGCAAGGATACACTTTATTCCATTTTCCAATAGATTCCTCATTTCCATCTAAGGCCTCATAAGCCTGGCCTTCACTATCCATACTTCTATCAGTATTTTGTTCACAACTATTTAGCAAATCCTAAGTAGTTTCAAACTTTCCTTCATCTGCTGTCTTCTTATGAGACTTTCAAACTCTTCCAACCTCTGCTTGCTACCCAGTTCCAAAGCTGCTTCCCATTTTCATGTATCTTTATAGCAACACCCCACGTCTGTATTAGTTTTGTGTTGTCATTAATGAATATCTGAAGCTGGGTAATTTATAAAGAAAAGAAGTTTATTTGGCTCACAGTTTGCCAGGGTCTAACAAGCATGGCAACAACATCTGCTTGGCTTCTGGTGAGGACTCAGGAAGGTTTTATTCATGGTGGAAAATGGAAGAGGAGCAGGTGTGTCACATGGTGAAAGAAGGAGCAAGAGAAACATGCCAGACACTTTTAAAGAGCCAGCTCTTTCATGAACTAATAGAGTGAGAACTCACTCATTACCCAGGAAGGACACTAAGCCATTCATAAAGGATCCATCTCCTTGACCCAAAAACCTCCCATTAGGCTGCAGCTCCAACATTGAGGATGACGTTTCAACATGAAATTTGGAAAGGACAAACATCCAAATCATGTCAGAGACATAAAACATAATTGAAATTCAGGATAACAGTATTCAGTCAAATCTTATATGGTTTATCATGAACAACTTTCAATTTAGTCTGTTGAAGCATACCTCTCACCCATGGTAATGTCTACAAATTTCTTTGCTTTCATCCTTTACTCCCAGTTTTATTGTACATATCTACAATTTTCTTTAATATCCTATTATGTTACAACTTATTAGCTTCTATTCATTTCTCCTTCATACTCAATTGTATTTCCAATTTGAGTATTTATAGTATTTGGAGGGCTGAATACAGGTGGCTGCATTATTATTCTGTTATTATTACTAGAGCTCTAAAATTTTAGATAAAGTCTTATATACTACCAGCCTTAGATTTTCATATATGCTTGATCTTAATTAAATATTGAGGATGTTACATACTTGACCTGAACCAAAAACATAAAAGCAATGACCTTAGAGATGAAAGCCAGAAGATGTCCCAGAAAAGAAGGGAACATTGCTATTAATGGTAACCTGGGAAGTGGCAGAGAGATTTTAGTAATTTCAAAACAAAGTCTTTTGAAATATTGCTAATATATTCTAACACCAGTACAATTAATTCAGAATATATTATAAAAGGGGCAGTGTATAGCTATGTTGTCTTTGTACATAATATACATACAAACACTCACTTGAGTATCCCAATTTGTCTGTGAAATATCTCTACTCTTTTAAAAAACTCATCCAGCAGTGTAAAAGTGTTCCTATTTCTCCACATCCTCTCCAGCACCTGTTGTTTCCTGACTTTTTAATGATCGCCATTTTAACTGGTGTGAGATGGTATCTCATTGTGGTTTTGATTTGCATTTCTCTGATGGACCCAGCCATCCCATTACTGGGTTTATACCCAAAGGATTATAAATCATGCTGCTATAAAGACAAATGCATACGTATGTTATTGCGGCACTATTCACAATAGCAAAGACTTGGAACCAACCCAAATGTCCAACAGTGATAGACTGGGTTAAGAAAATGTGGCACATATACACCATGGAATACTATGCAGCCATAAAACATGATGAGTTCATGTCCTTTGTAGGGACATGGATGAAGCTGGAAACTATCATTCTCAGCAAACTATCACAAGGACAAAAAACCAAACACCGCATGTTCTCACTCATAGGTGGGAATTGAACAATGAGAACACATGGACACAGGAAGGGGAACATCACACACCAGGGACAGTTGTGGGGTGGGGGGAAGGGGGAGGGATAGCAATAGGAGATATACCTAATGCTAAATGACGAGTTAATGGGTGCAGCACACCAACATGGCACATGTATACATATGTAACAAACCTGCACGTTGTGCACATGTACCCTAAAACTTAAAGTATAATAATAATAAAATTAAAAAAAAAGAAATCCTAGAGAATTAAAGTACCCTCATGAGGCCCAGGTCCCTGCCTGGGATCCACCAAGTACCCCTGAATGCTTACCATAAATATTTCTTTATAGTTTATGCTGCAATGGAATGCTTTCACTTACTATTGTGTGACTTAGACTAATATTATTATTGCTATTATTATTACTATACCATTATCCTAAGGACTCACACAGAGAATGAGACAAGGCTCCCATTTTCAGCTGTGAGGTCCAGCAAGTTGCAGGAAGGACAGGACACAGAGCAGGGCTGGTTGCCCTGGGTTCTCCAACTTCAGTTCAGGGTGGTCCTGGAGGACCAGGAGACCAAGCCTCAGGCAGCCCCTGCATCAAACCTCGGCATCAAGTCCTCACCTCTTTCTATATGATGAAAATGAAGTTCCCTTCCAGCCCACTCTACAAACATGTGCCCTTTTCAAAATTCACCAAGAGAGAAATGATCTGGAGGAGATTATGCAAATACTCCATCCTTTGCAGGTGAACCCCAATTTAATAAATATGCATCTGATTAATAAGGAAAAAAATTTAAAAAATTTAAGAACTCATCCAATAAAATGGTATAACAGTTAAAAGATATTTATGCATTTACCAAATAGGTCCTTATCTTCAATGATTGCCATCTCAACTTCTTTTTTGGTAATGATTGTGCACGTGAAAGGAACTTGAAGAAGGACGCTAATCTCACCAAAGGACTCCTTCTCCTTAAGTTTCCCCATATAAACAAGTTTTTGAGATCTTTTCTGTTAAAAAAATATATTATTGATGTTTAATGCAACTGCTTCCATATAATGAATCAGTATTGTTTTTATCAGAAACTCACTCATAAACCATTTTACTAAATGATATTTAAAATAAATTAGCAATTGTATTTAAATTACAGAAAAATTTACTTACATAAGCATTTCAATTATATTAGAGCAATAGTAAATTCATAGATAACTTAGGCATATCTAAGGTAATTGAAAGCATTGTCCTTTAGAATCCACAAAGATGTTTAGGAAATATTGAACTAATTCCACATTTCAAGGATCTAGGATATCATTTTGTGAGCATAGTTTCATTTAAGATGTTTTGTCAACCACTGTTTGTTACATCAGCCCTAGTCACAAGGCACTCTTGTTGAACCCACAGGGAAGAAGGAAAATAAGCAGAAAATGCCAGGGCCAGAACCGATGGTATTAAGTCAAAAAGGAGGGATTATTCCCTGTCTTTTCTGTTTAAGTACAAAAGAAACATGGAAAATGAGTTTGACTCAGGGAACTATAATTTTGGTTCAAATAAGAGACCTTGTGGAGAAGGGCCTACAGGATGTTCAATATGAATGGTTCTGGAGAAAATTTTGAGACCTCAAATTACCTTTGCGGGGAGATTTGCTAGGAGTTGATGACCACTAAGATATATAAAAGAGAATATAGCCCTCAGGTAGGAAAGTGGCAAGAACTTGGAAGAGGCTAAAGCATTTACTAAATAACCTGGAGTCAAATCCAATATAACTTGAATATTTGCACCTATATAAATGGCAAATCTTTACACTGAATATGATTAGTGCAGCAGAATTCAAGTTAGTTTAGATATTTAATTGAATTCCATTGAAGTCTCCCTGACCAACTAATGATTAGTTCTAACTTTTCTACCACAGTAATTATATATTTTTGCCTGTTCTAGAACTTCATAAAAATGGAATTATATAGAACATGCTCATTCAGGTTTGGCATTTTGGCCCTACATAGTATGTTTGAGATTCTTACAAGTATCCATAATTATTTTTACTGCTATGTGGCATTTCATAGTATAAATATACTGTAACATTTCTATTCATTCAACTGTCAGTGGATACGTGGACTACTTCCAGTTTTTAGTTTGTAAGAATTCATATAAGTTTTTTTTTTTTTTTTTTGAGACAGAGTCTTGCTCTGTAGCCAGGCTGGAGTGCAGTGGCACAATCTTGGCTCACTGCAACCTCCGCCTTCCAGGTTCAAGCGATTC
The DNA here is from genome assembly GCF_000001405.40 of Homo sapiens. Classification (NCBI taxonomy): domain Eukaryota; kingdom Metazoa; phylum Chordata; class Mammalia; order Primates; family Hominidae; genus Homo; species Homo sapiens. Next base: position 87,352,389 of record NC_000008.11, on the reverse strand, counting down.
TTCTGCCTCAGCCTCCTGAGTACCTGGGACTACAGGTGTGCACCACCACACCCAGCTAATTTTTGTATTTTTTAGTAAAGACAGGGTTTTGCCATGTTGGCCAGGATGGTCTCGATCTCCTGATCTCGTGATCCGCCCGCCTCGGCCTCTCAAAGTGCTGGGATTACAGACATGAGCCACTGTGCCCAGCCCTAGGATTCATATAAGTCTTCGTGTAGACATATGTTTTCACTTCTCTGGAGAAACTATCTGGAGTGGAATTAGGTCAAATGATTAAGTGCATCTTAGCCAATCTGGTATGTTTGTAGTAGTACCTGGCTATGGTTTTAACTTGCATTTCTCTAATGAATAAGAACGTGAAGCATATTTTACTGTGTTCATTGATCATTTGTATATCTTACAAATCAATATATCTTACAACTTATATTCTTATATCTTATAACTAAACCAAAAACAAACACAAAAATTTCAAAAAATTGAATAGAAATTTCACAAAGTAATACAAATAAATGTCTAGTAAGTACATGAAAAGGTATCTGACACTATTCTTTAGAGTAGATTAATTGATTAAAAAGAATACATGTTGAAAACTTACCACTTTATTTGATCGTAGTTTCACAAATCCTATAATACTTCTATAAATGTTACAGCATCCAGAGTTAATATAACCCACAAAAGAAATTATATTTCCACTTTCCACTATCACTGAAAAGAAGAGAGATAGTTCATTTCACACATTCTTGTCTTTAATAAATTATTTTAGATATTTTAGCAACAAAAGTTAATGTATTTAATTCAATAACTATTAATAGTAAGTTTCTTAATAGATTCCAGTTTATAGACAGTACTTAATACAAGATGTAAAAGATTACGCCCAGTATTTATATCTCTAACATAATACATGTAATATTGCAAACACTGACAAGACTTTGGCAGTAAAGGCACTGATATGCTAGTATACTGTACAATGCAGGAAGGAAAGGGGAATATAGAAGAAACCTTGATCTGTAGCATTTGCTGAGTTCCAAGGTCTAAATATTTCCACCATGGCTCATTTGAAATTTCTGATAGTTTAATAACAAACCCACAATATTGATAAATATTTGAAAATTCACTTTCCAGAGCCTATATCTTGGGCTGTACTAACACTCTACTGATTATAGTAGCAGTTAAAACAAGGGCTTTGAGGCCACATTGGCCCAGTTTGAACCTACTCCGCTACTTCCTATGTCACCTTAGATAAATGACATAACCCCTCTGAGCTTCAAATTTTTCATCTTTAAAATGGAAAAATTAATTAGGAGTCCTTACTTTAAGCCTTATATAAACCACATGGGGCATATAAAGTATTTAGCATGTTGCCTGGTACACAGTATAACACAATATCATGTTATTACAATAAATCGATGTTATTATCATTATTCTTTCAAACTTGTAAAGTCACTCTAAGGCCAAGATACATTTGAAGGTGAATTCTATTATAACTTTGTAACTATCAACGTATTAAAATAAAAATCCCTTGATCTACATAACATTTTAAATTATCATCATGATTTAAATACTTGGCAATATATAAATTAAAATTAGTATTTCAAAATATTTTCTACGTTATGAAATCTGAAACATATCAATATTTAATTCTGAAAACTTTAAACACAGCAGTAGTAACCTAAATATAAAGACACATATACAACTTTATCATAATTTTATAAAGTATATAAACTATCAAAAACAAGTTTTTTGATCACTTGAAGGCATCCCTATTTGTTTTCTAGCATAAAAGAGCATATATCAACATAATAAAAATTATTGATGTTACCAAAATAGTAAAGAAATTAGAGCACAGCATAATTCTTTAAAAATTATGGCTAAAATAACACGGTAACAATTGTTAAATATAATTTACCACCAGCAAAAAATAAACATCAACATACAATGGAATAAGTACTTCAAGATAAATGAAGTGGGATTCAATAATTTTGTTGGCATAATTATGAGGATAGTCTATCTTTTTCTCCTCATGTAATAGTTACTTCAATATTTATAATAAAAAATTAAAAGGTTATTCTACTGTTGTCAATCATTTATTTTGTTTAAATAAAAATTTATGGTAACTCTTCTGTTGTCTTTTTTTACAGCAGAAAATGATATTAAAATTATATTACAATGTAAAAGTATAACGTATGCGTAGAATTATGTGAAATATTTTCTCACAGATTTTTCTCTTAAAAGTAAGAGGAACTCTTCCACCAAAACATATGATAGTAGAAACTATGTATCTTCTTTTAGTCAATCAGCAAGGATATAAAGAAAGGCATAGAAGCTCCTAGCAATTGTTATAGATAAGGAAATAATGCACTTAAACATGTACCAAAGAAATCCATTATTTTTAACTATGAGACCTGTACTACTATAATTCTTGGAAGTCAAACCCTATGTAGGTCACAGAGAAGTATATATAACAACAAAGAGGAATAAGGCCACAGGAATTTTTCTTTGTGTTGAAGTCAAGACAAAATTGGAAAACCCAAACCATTGTTGCAAAATCTATGACGCAGTCTCATTCCCTAGAGGGGGAACTGGCTACTCGAATCATTGTCTATGGTCTTTATGATAACCATAGCAAATATTCATCTCAATGAAGACAATACAGCAAAACCCTCCTGACCTAGGCAAAAAACTTGAATTCAAATACATATAAAAATCATATATTCTGGTCAGGCGCGGTGGCTCACGCCTGTAATCCCAGCACTTTGGGAGGCCGAGGCGGGCAGATCATCTGAGGTCAGGAGTTTGAGAACACCTGGCCAACATGGCGAAACCTCGTCTCTACTAAAAATACAAAAACTAGTTGGGCCTGGTGGCGCGCACCTGTAATTCCAGCTAATCGGAAGGCTGAGGCAGGGGAATAGCTTGAACCCAGGAAGCAGAGGTTGCAGTGAGCTGAGCTCATGACACTGCACTCCCACCTGAGCGACAGAGTGAGACTCCGCCTCAAAAAAAAATTGTATCTTCACACTTAAATAAGAACATTTAAATATTAATATTACTATTTTGGACTAGAAACAGAATCATGCAATTACTCCCTACCCTGATTGTTGTTCCTAATTTTACTCATTCAGCCTCTGATCATGTTTTCCATTTTTAAGAACTTATGCTGTCAAGATAAATGTTGTTTGGATACCCTTTCCTCCTCCCTTATATAGAAAATGACAAATAACATACGATGATCTGCAGGATTGTAACACATTTTTAAATGAAAAGACTTAATCATGAACTATATAGACAAAATTTTATTTATTATTATCTCAAGGTCATATTCATTTATGTTTACAAAATGTAGTGGAACTTGTAGTTAAAAGTAATATTTAAAGACCCTTATCAAGACTCAGACTCGGAAGACCTGAAAGCATTAGATCATTATGAAAAGAACAAACTTGATTTTATCTTAAGGCAAAGGAAAAGAAGAATATCAGAAGGATTCACAGAAATTAAACATCAGGCCTTGTTCCTTTTCTTTCTGTTGTTTATCATACGCCCAGAAATAGTCCCAAGTCTAATAAAATCATTTTATTCTAATTCTAAATTAAGCCAGAAGAAGTTACGATAAGAAGAATAATTCCCTACTGGCTATTAGCATCAGCACTGGGATAGTGAAGGTCTCAGTTTAAATAGAAACTAATGATTAGAGAGATTATTAAAGGACATCCTCTTATTTTAAGATAAACCTCAGCCTACTAGTCTAACATACCAAAACAGGTTTGGAACAGGAATATATCTCAGGATGGACAATGCCGAGGCAACTTTGAGCACGACATCCATTAGCTGAATGGATTCCTCTCCTTGTAAAGATAGACTACTAAAGGAAGAAAAGTATAAAGTAATAGTACCAATTAATGTTATCTTTGAACTTTATTTTCCCTTTTGAGAATGTTTTCTGAATATATTCTCCTTCCAAATATATATAGTTTGCTTTAAAAATGTTAAGAAATAACTTGGTTAGAAAGGGCTTTACATCTCTGTAACAGTCCATACCAATGCGAATACCATGTAAACATCAATACTTTACCCAATATTAAACACTACTTCTTTATTATTAAAAATGTATATTTATTTGCAGATAAATATAGATAGCATTTATAGCCCTGTAGAGCAAATTCTTAAAGATAAGTGCATCTGAGAAGAATGAAGTTTTGATTAATTTCCAATTATACAATGCCTTCTGAATTCTGTGGCACATTTAAAGAGGTTGTTCTCCTAAAGAATGAATACTATACACAAAATATCCCTTGTATATTAAGTACCTGTCACTTGGCATAAGAAAAAAATAAATGTACACTTATCTAATGTTAGAAATGTGTGATTTGGAAAACAGTTATAGACAAACCTGAGGAAATCTAGAGAAATACAAATTAAAAAATTAAATTTTGAATATGCCTCAGAGACTTCCAAAGAACTTACTAAAATAATATATTTATAGAATTAGTCACAGAAATTATCAGAATATGGTTACTCACTGCAAAATAGGGAAGGTGAAGAAGGGCAATATTTGGTATTAGAGATCCCCTCTTACTATCTATTGCTCCCACATTTACCCCTTTCTCCCCTTCTCAGCAGGCAATGTAAGACAAATGCTATGTCTATGGAGCCATCTACAGATCAAGGAAGAAGAGATTATCCAGATTTGATGTCCAGCCCAATAACCAATTAAACCATACATTTACCTCATCTTTCTTACCAACTTTAAATCTTTGCCCAAATCTCACATTCTCAATGAGATCACCGTGACTACTCTATACTGCTCCTTCTAGCTTTTCATCCTTCTCTGTTGCTATCCCCAAGGTGTGTGTTGCCATCTAAGTTATTGATTTGTTTATTGCTTATACTTATTGTATAAGTTATTGATTTGTTTATTGCTTATACTTATTGTATATTATATTTTCTAGCCATTAGGATGCAAGCTCCATCAAGGCAAGGATATTTATCTTTTGTTCACTTATGTATCTACATATAGGCACTCAACAAATATTTGTTGGAAGAATGCATATTCTCAAGAATCTCAACATTAAACAAAGGTTTTCTTGAGCATAAGGAAAAGCTCAGAATATGGTGGCTTAGATTTTTCTGAAACCCTTCCCCAAGTAGTCCTCCTAAAAATTCTGGATAAAATATTTAAAACTATATGAGGTGGCAGAACAGCAACAGAATTTATCAAAAAACATTAATAAAAAGAAAGTGTACAGTTGTATCTGTCTGGCGGTGGGTAAGAAAGCCCTGGAGGCAGTAGCAAAGTACGTGTGAAAGATCAAATGTGGAAATCCTCCTACATAAGCCCCCAAAGAGCAATACTCTCAGTGGGTGAAGTGGAAAAAGCCCACCTCAGAGAAAGAGCTCCTGGAGATATTTTCCTCTCTTGGTCCTGGCTCTGAATTAAATGAAAAAACAAAAAGGTAGCAAGTCTCTGAAAATTTCTCACTCATGATATTGGGGCTAGAGTCCATACCACCTGTGAGGCAATAAAATCCTTTAACTAAACATTCATTTTCAAACCATACTGGGTTTTAGTGACTCTGAATGCTTGGAATAAAGGAAAATAAATTATTTCTGAATGAATTAACCTTATCCCAAGCTTCAAAGAATCTCTCTATATAATAAGATGCTATTTTAGGGAATATAAACTCTCAATGAAATACATGCTCTATTAGCAAATATATTAGTATATCAGCACATAGTCACTATACTCTTAAAAACATGTCTACATACATATATATATATGCAGACACACTATTATACATTTTTGTGTATATATATGTATACTTTCTATGTGTAGCGAATATACACATAGATAGAGACATCACAATGATGAAATAGCAAATATAAGACTACACTTATGGAAGAAAAAGAGATTCATAATTGGCCAATTGGATTACAAAAAATAACCAAATAGAAATTTTAGAAAAAATATAATTAATAAAAGTATTATTAAATTAATATTAAACACATATCAAACCTGGATTCTCAAATTTTATGAAGAAAATTAAGTATAATGGCCAGGCACGGTGGCTCACACCTGTGATACCAGCACTTTGGGAGGCTGAGGTGGGCGGATCACCTGGAGGTCGGGAGTTCAAGACAAGCCTACCCAACATGGAGAAACCCCATCTCTACTAAAAATACAAAATTAGCTGAGCGTGGTGGCGCATGCCTGTAATCTCAGCTACTTGGGAGGCTGAGGCAGGAGAATCACTTAAATCAGGGAGGCAGAGGCTGTGGTAAGCCAAGATCTCGCCATTGCATTCCAGCCTGGGCAACAAGAGTGAAACTCTGTCCCCCCCACAAAAAAAAGAAAAAAAAAGAAAATTAAACAAAACATGACTTTTTATATTATAATCAGGGCCATGAAACTGTAACACAACCAATATATTTCCATTTCAAAGAACTATGCATTTGAATATCAGTTTATTTTAATCAAAATTTAGAAATTAATTAGTCACCTCTTTATGCAAGGTAGAAATACTCCTTAACTTCTTTTTATTTTCAGTAGTCAACAGACTTAATTACTCTGGGTGTACTCATCAAGATTTTTATTGATACTCTGTTGAAATCACAACTAGTTTTGGTGGAATTTTATGTTTTTGATATTCCAATTTAATTTTTAAGTCTTTTTTATGTTTATTTCATAAAGAGCTTGCATTTTCATTAATTTTCTTGCTTAGTTCAGTTTCGAATCTACAATTCTGACACCATTTAAGTGATACTTCTCATTATTTTGAACAATTATTGTTGATTATATAAATTATGACTTATTGATTGCCTGAAATGAAAATTGATTCTTGTTGATGTAGTCAGAGGGAAGGTTTTAAGGAAAAGACTGACAATTGACCCAAAGTCAATTGCATTTAGACACCACAGTCAAAATAAACGAAGTCAAGTGACTGATACTTGGGGGACTTCTGGCTATGCAGAAGGGGTAGAGCACCAAAAAAGAATTTAGATAGCAGTACCAAATGACTGATTAGATGCTAAGCAAGTAGAAACATTAAAAGGGAAATGTTTCAAATAACATAAGAATTGTATGATTACCAAGTTCCAAAAATATGTGTGATTCACTAATATAACCCTTCAGTTTTTCTAGCACTATGTTGAATCTAAATACACATGGAAGGATGTACTTAAATAGATAAGTGTATATGCTTCATTTCAATAAGATATTGTGTGCTAGGGAAAGTATGTTCAGCCTGACATTCTGAATCAAAATTCTATTTTAGCTGAAGTAGTTAAATGACTTTGTGTCACAGAGTTTGTTAGAGCATCAAAAGAGATACTCTAACTTAATGTGTAAGGCACAGTGCACTATAACTAGCGCAAAATCAATAGAAGGAAAATATTTTCATATTTGTGTCAAAAGGAGAAGTTTCTATGTTTTCAGTTTCTGTAATCATATTTAGTCATACATTCTAGTTAACCAGGGTAACTGTCCATTTAAATATTATACACTGATTAGTTACCTCATCCTAACACTGCCTAACTACCTATAATGATTTCAGTTCAATTATTTAAGCAGCATTGTTTCAGAGATGAATAACTACTATTAATTGAACTGGTCAAAGGAAGTACATGGATGGTACCATGCAACGCATTCACTCACTTGTACCAAGTGTACAGTATGAGTAATTTTTTTGTTATGTGAAATAATGACGTACCTGATTAATTTCACAATAATTAATTTAGATTCAAGACATATTCTGCTTGGTTTACATTAAAGTAGTCTACACAGGGGCAGGTAAACCATTTGTAGTAAAGAGATTTATTTTATTACATCTTGGTTATTTAAACTCAAATGAATTCGATCACTATATGTAAAATCATATTTCATACAGATATTGGTGACCCAACCTTCATTTCTGTACACAATAGTGACAGTAAATAACAGTGAAAATTTTTAAAAATTATTTTTTGAAACAATCTTAAAATGATATGATAAAATCCATTTCTATTTTTAAACTGAAATGTTCATGTTTTTCTTATTAGACTTTGTAAACTCCTTCTTAATACATCTCTTTTGTAATAGTATTTTTGATTATTCTGAAACTATTATTTTACCCTTAATCTCATTATTTTGTATATAGAACCACTGAATAAAAATTGCTTACCCATATTTTCTTCCTATTGATATTTCATTAATAACTAGTTCATTTGAAATAATTTTTGACACATTATGTTGGGTTAAATAACTTGATTATTTTTCCTGTTTGTACAGATAATTTTCTAACACATTTTATTTTAAAAATTACTGGCCTTTTCCCACTGATTTATGACACTTCCTCTGTTACAAACTACATACCATTCTATACATTAGAATATTGACTATCTAGTGCTCAAATCAAAACCTAAGCAAAGAGCATGAAAAAGTTGTTAGAGCTTTTATAGGAAGTAATTTATAATATGTATCAAGTATGATATATTTATACACATTGAGGAAATACCATTAATTGTACAAAATTTTCTTAGGAAAAAAATCAGGTAAATATCTACATATTTATATATTAAGTATACAAAACTGTATTTCAGACATTTTAGGCAATGTAAATGGTAATCAAAAGGTAAATGATTAAATTATGAAAACCCATAGAATATATTATACTGCCAATAAGTTAATATTTTTTAAAATGATTACTGATAGAAATATGCTCACTTTTCAATGTGCAATGAAAAAGTGTTCCACTAACTTTATAGTATTCAACTTTGTTAAAATGTACAAAAGCTCTCTGCTCCTTAATTGAAAGCCTAAACAACACATAGGAAAGGTTAACAGGAGATGTTGACAAGAGTATAGTTATAAGTTACATGTTTTATAATCTGTTTTTTGTTGCGGGAAGTCAGGGACCCCGAATGGAGGGACCGGCTGAAGCCATGGCAGAAGAATTAAGTTGTGAAGATTTCATGGACATTTATTAGTTCCCAAAATTAATACTTTAATAATTTCTTACGCCTGTCTTTAATCACTTAATCTCATCATTTTTGTAAGCTGAGGATGTATGTCACCTCAGGACCCTGTGATGATTGTGTTAACTGTACCAATTGTTTGTAAAACGTGTGTTTGAACAACATGAAATCTGACCGTAAAACATGTGTGTTTGAACAATATGAAATCAGTGCACCCTAAAAAAGAACGGAATAACTGCAATTTTCCAGGAACAAGGAAAGATAACCATAAGGTCTGACTGCCTGCGTGGTTGGGCAGAATACAGCCATATTTTTCTTCTTGCAGAAAGCAAGTAGGAGAAATATCGCTGAATTCTTTTTGCAGCAAGGAATAACCCTGGGGAAGGAATGCATTCCTGGGGGTAGGTCTATAGATGGCAGCTCTGGGAGTGTCTGTCTTATGCAGTCGAGAGAAGGACTGAAATATGCCCTGGTCTCCTGCAGTACCCTCAGGCTTGCTAGGATTGGGAAATTCCAGCCTGGTGAATTCTAGTCAGACCGGTTCTCTGCTCTCAAACCCTGTTTACTGTTAAGATGTTTATCAAGACAATGCGTGCACAGTGGGACATGGACCCTCATCAGTAATTCTAATTTTGCCCTTGCCTTGTGATCTTTATGGCCCTTTGAAGCATGTGATCCTTGTGACCTACTCCCTGTTCGTGTGCCCCCTCCCCTTCTGAAATCCCTAATAAAAACCTGCTGATTTTGTAGCTCGAGGTCGCCATCACGGCCCTACCAATATGTGATGGCACCCTCAGAGGCCCAGCTGTAAAATTACCTCTCTTTATACCCTTTCTCTTTATTTCTCAGACTGGCTGACACTTAGGGAAAACAGAAAGAAACTATGTTGAAATATTGGGGGCTGGTTCCCCCAATAGTTTTTCTCAAATGTATACATAATGTTTACATTATTTTCATAATTAGATAACATAATTACATTTTCTAAAATAATTTTAAAATAACTGATTCATAATGTAGTAACTGAGAGAAATATACTCTAATTAAAGAATACAAATAAATTGGTTTCAAACAAGACAGTGGAATAGGAAGCACCAGACTCTTACTCCTCCCATGGAGACACTAATTCAACAAGAGTACACAGATGAGTTTTCTTTTTTTTTTTTTTCTTTTTGAGATGGAGTCTTGCTCTGTTGCCCAGGCTGGAGTGCAGTGGCACAATCTCAGCTCACTGCAAGCTCTGCCTCCTGGGTTCTGGCCATTCTCCTGCCTCAGCCTCTCAAGTAGCTGGGACTACAGATGCCTGCCACCATGCCCGGCTAATTTTTTGTATTTTTAGTAGAAACAGGGTTTCGCCGTGTTAGCCAGGATGGTCTGGATCTCCTGACCTTGTGATCTGCCCGCCTCGGCCTCCCAAAGTGCTAGGATTACAGGCGTGAGCCACTGCGCCAAGCCCAGATGAGTTTTGTTTGTAAGAAACCCAGAAATCCATTAAGAGGCTTCTGTATCTGAGTGAACATGAAACCACCACATAGATTCTTAGTCTGTTTCGTACTGCTATAATAGAATATCTAAGACTGGGTAATTTATAAAGAGCAGAAACACATTTTTTCACAATTCTGGAAGCTGATAAGACCAATATCAAAGCACCAGAAAGTTTGGTGTCTGGTAAGGTTTTGCTCTCTACTTCCAAGATTATGTCTTGTTGCTACATCCTCCAGAGGACAGGAAACACTTTTCTTCACAAGAGATCAGAGCAAAAGGAAAAGAGAGAGCAAGAGGGATTGGGCTTGCCCATTTATGATTGCACCAATCCCATCAAAGAGGGTGGAGCCCTCATGATTCAATTACTTCTTAAACATTCCACCTCTTAATACTATTACAACAGCAATAACATTTTAACATGAATTTTGTAGATGGCAAAGATTCAAACCATAGCAGAAGACTATTAGAAGAGTTTACACTACCCTCTTGTCATAGTGTTTCTACCCCCAGCACAGCACTATGTGATTAAGAGAAAACTCCCAGCAACCAGTTTCCCCCTAGGGATGGAAAAAAAGACTGAAACATACATTCAATGTTCACACTTTTAAAGAAGACAGGAGCTGCCAGAGGAACAGACATTGTCTCATCTCTCTCAGAGCACTGATGAGACCCAGCATACTCTAGATATCTGGGTGTCATTGAGAAAAAAAGAGCTGGGAAGCATTCTGCTTCTCCAGAGGACCAGTGCTACAACAAGCAGACACTAGGGAGAGCAAGAGGTTATGAGTGCCTAAGGGGAAAAACCAAAAATAGAAAATATCTTGAATTAGAAATTTACAAGCACAAGTCCAAGAAGATACATCTAAAGAAAAGGCTTGAGAAGCCCAAAGAATCTCTTGCCAGGCTAAGTGATAAAAGTCCTTCCCTGTATGAACGTATGTATGAAAAATTAAAGAGATAGATAGTTGTATTTTCAAATACGCAGATACTAACACATATTTATAAGAAACATGAAAAAAATGGGAAAACTGATGAATCAAGATATAAATAAATAAATAAAACTTCAGAAACTGACACTAAAGAAATGGCGGTATAGGAGTTACCCAACAAAAAATTCAAAATAATCATAAGCAAGCTAAGAAAAACAATATGTGAACAAAATAAAAATTTTGATAAAGAGAAAATATAAAAAAGAATCAAATGTTACAACTCAGGAATAGAATATCTGAATTAAAAATTCACTAGAGGGGATTAACAGCAGACTTTATAAAGCAAATTAATCAGTGAACTTGAAGATAGGTAATTTGAAATTTTCCTGACAGAAAAGCTTAATAACAAGCAAAAGGAAAAAAAACAACAACAGAAAAAGAGTAAAAGAGTGAAGAAAAATTAAATGATTTATGGATATCATCAAGGTGACCAACATGTGCATTATGAGAGTTCCCAAAGGAGAAGAGAGAGAAAGAAACAGAAAGTTTATGTAAAGACATAAGGGCTGAAAACTTTCCAAACCTGGGGAAAGAAGTGGACATCCAGATTCAGGAAGCCCAATGCCTCCCAAATAAAATAAATCAAAAGAACTCCACACCCATACAGACACAGAATCAAAGACAATTTGATTTTGATAGGCAAATTGTCAAAAGTCAAAGACAGAGTTAATTTTGAAAGCAGCAAGAAAAATATGAATTATCACCTACTAGGAAACCTCCATACGACCATCAGCAGATTTCTCAGCAGAAACATTGAAGGTCAGAAGAAGATATAACATATTCAATGTTGAAAGAAAAGTGCCATCAACAAATATAATTAGATGCAGCAAAACTATCCTTCGAAAATGAAAACGAGAGGGATGTTTCCAGACAAAGCTAAGCGAGGTTATTATAACTAGACCTGCCTTAGGCAAAACATGCTAAAGGGAGTCCTTCAAGTTAAATTGAAAAGATGCTAAACCACAACATGAAAGCATATGAAATTATAAAAATCACAGGTAAAGATTACTATAAAGACAAAAATAGAATACTGTAATACTATAACACTGATGCATAAATCACTATTAATTTTGGTATAGAAGTTAAAAGCAAAATGAATAAAAATTATAATTATAGAAATACGTTAATAAATAAACAGCATCAGTAACATAAATGTGAGAAGGGAGAAGAGTAAAAGTGTAGACTCATTGTATGTAATTGCACTTAAATTGTTATCAGTTTTAAATAGACAGTTATAACTATAAGGTGTTTTATGTAAGCCCCACAGTAACCAAAGGAAAAAAGGAAATATATATTAAAAATACAGAAAAGAAAACCTGAAGGAAATCAAAGCACATCACTTTAAAAAATTAACAAAATGAGATTTATGGTTCCTGATCCAGTATATAAGAAGCTTGGAAGTCACCACTTCATCTTAATAACAAGCAAAATGCTGAACAAACTGAAATATCAGCAACTCTTCATACATCCTTAAAAAAAGTGAGGTCACAGAGAAAACCACTGCCCCAGAAATTGGAGAGATTGATACACAAAACAGACAATCAAAACTTAACAGAGCAGAAACCCATAAGCTGAAATTTCCATGGGAAATGACGCGAGCGTAGGGAAACCTGAATTGTAACTGACAAATTGTTGGAGCTTGGTGTGGGCAAGCCTGAGACACAAAAACTCCAGGGAGAACCCATTACTATGATGCTCGAATTTTTATGAGTTTTTACATCCTGGAGTTTTAGCATGTACTTATAGTAAGTATCAGATAGTAATCACTTGGTTCTTCCAGTGAGGGGAGGGGAAGAACAATTTGAAATACTTCAGAGCATTTCATTCTCCTTAACAAGATCTTCTCTCAAGAGAAATGGTTTAATCGAACTCTAATCTGCTTGACCTGAAGGAAGAAAAATATTCAACTCTAACTCTAGCTTTCCACTTGGAGGAAAGGAAATACCAAACTGTAGCCCATTTTAGGCCTCTGGTCCCACCTAAAGGAAGAGAAAACTGTGAAGCACATGTGAAGTTTACAGTTCAGAGACATGGGCTTACTAAAACACTGAGGTCTGAGTATAGGATTAAGAGCACTTCCCCTCACCCACACACCTTACAACCACATTACTAAAGGTCTATTTATAGTAGTGTCTTCTATCCAGTACATCATGTCAGGCTACAAAGAAAAATTACAAGACATATTAACATGACTGAAAATTTCTTCAAATGAACGTCAAAGATCAAACCACAGATCCAGGAAGCTCAAAAAACACCAAACAAGATAGCTGCAAAAACAAAAATGAAAACCCAACCTACCAAATAACAACAAAACATATCTAACTATATACTTTTCAAACTAGAAAAAAAAAAACAAAGAAAAAATGAAAGAAAGCAGAGAATAAAAAATACGTTACCTATAGAGGAGAATTACATCTGACTTCTCAGAAATCATGCATACAAGAAGAGGTTGGAGTAAAATATTTAACATGTTGAAAAACAAAACAAAACAAAACAACAACAACAACAACAAAATCACCAACCTTGAATTCTGTAACCTGAAAAATTATCCTTCAAAAGTAACGAGGAAACAATTAATTTATCAACAAATGAGAGAATTTGTTGCTGTCAGACCTGCCTTGCAAGAAATATTAAAAGAAATATTTAGAGAAAAGGAAAATGATATAAAACAGAAACTCATATCTATATAATGAAAGGAAGACTGTCAGATAATAGATATTTATGCTTATGTATAAGCAAAATTCATTATGGCAATGATATAAAGGAAGAGAGGGAATAGATTATTTCATTCTTATAACGTTACTTAAAGGTACTCACACTTTCTGTGAAGTGGTATAGTATTATTTGAAATTAGAATCAGATTAGGTTTAAGTGTATATTGCAAACTTTAAGGCAACCTCTAATTTCTTTTAAGTACACCTGATATGCTCAGTGAGGACATAAAAAATTAAATCATATAAAATAATAAAATTAGGAAAGTCAAAGACAATATAGAAGACAAAAATAGAAAAACAAGGGTGACAAATAGAAAACTAACAAATATTGGTGGGTGGGGTCAAGATGGCTGACTAGAAGCAGCAGCAATCAAAGAATCCCATTGGAAAGATACAAAGCAGCATGCAAATCCTGCACCCAGCAACCGAGGTATTCAGGTTCTGTCATTAGAACTGACTAGGTGGCTGGCATGATCCACGAAGAGGAAGAAAGAACACTGTGGTGCAACAGCTCACCTGAGAGCCACACGGGACACCTGAGAGCCCCCACCCCCAGCCAAGGGAGGCAATGAGTGAGTGTGCTGCCCAGCCTGGAAAACTGTGGTTTTTCCACAAAAGTGTGCAACCAACAGATTGGAAGATCACACTCAAAAGCCCATGTCACCAGGGCCTTGGGTCACCACCATGGAGCCACACAGATTCTCAACAGCCACTCAGCTAGAATTGGCCTAAGCCAGGGGGAGGGAATGGCCATCACCACTGCTGAAGCTGCCTGCAGTCTAAGCCATCTGAGCTCCTTGGGGGAGGGGTGGCAGCCAACACTGTGGCTGCAGGGCCTCCCTGTAGGAAATCCAACTCCAGCTAGAAGCTCAGGGACAGAACTCTGATCTCCCTGGGTCTGAGGACCTAGTTGGAGGGGTAGCAGAAGTCCCCACAAACCAGCAGACTTAATCTTTCCTCCTCCTAGCTCTGATAACTCCGGGCAGCCCAGATGAGTGTGTTTCCCCCCAGCACAGCAAACACCCTCCACCAAGGGACAGCCAAAGTGCCTTGTTAAATGGGTCCTTCTTCCCATCCCACCAAGCTGGGTAAGATCCCACAACAGGGATTATCAGACATCCTATACAGAAGCATTCCTACTGGTATCAGGTCTGTGCCCCTCAAGGTCAGAGATCGCAGAGGAAGGAGCAGGCACCCATCTTTGCTGTTCTCCAGCCTCCTTGAGTGACATCTCAATGTGTGGGAGTAAACTAGATGAATAGGACCTGAAGTGAACCCCCAGCAAACCGCAGCAGCCCTACAGAAGAGGGGCCTGACTATTGAAAGAAAAACAAACAATCAGAAAGCAATGACAGCAGCATCAACAAAAAAAGTCACCAAAAAAACCTCATCCAAGGGTCAGTAGCTTCAAAGACTGAAACTAGACAAACTCAAAAAGATGAGAAAGAATCAATGAAAAAACACTGAAAATCCAAAAGGCCAGAGTGGCTCTTCTCTAAATGATCATAATACCTCTCAAGCAAGGGTGCAGAACTGGACAGGGGATAAGATGGAAGAATTGATAGAAGTAGGCTTCAGAAGGTGGGTAATAACAAACTTCACTGAGGTAAAGGAGCATGTTCTAAACCTATGCAAAAAAGCTGAGAACCTTGACAAAATGTTAGAGGAGCTGCTAACTGGAATTACCAGTCTAGAGAGAAACATAAATGACCTGATGGAGCTGAAAACCACAGCACAAGAACTTCATGAAGCATACACAAGGATCAATAGCCAAATTGATCAATTAGAAGGAAGAATATCAGACGGAAGACCATCTGGCTGAAATAAGGCAGGCAGACAAGATTAGAGGAAAAAAGGGGAAAAGGAATGAAAAAAACCTTCAAGAAACATGAGACTATATCAAAAGACTGAACCTACAACTAACTGGAGTACCTGAAAGGGACAGGGAGAATGGAACCAAGTTGGAAAGCACACTTCAGAATATTATCCAGAAGAACTTCCCCAACCTAGGAAGACAAGCCAACATTCAAATTAAGGAAATAAAGAGAACTCCACTAAGACACTCCATGAGAAGATCAACCCCAAGACACATAATCATCAGATTCTCCAAGGTTGAAATGAGTGAAAAAATGTTAAGGGCAGCCAGAGAGAAAGGTCAGGTCACCTACAAAGGGAAGGCTATCAGACTGATAGTGGATCTCTCAGCAGAAAACCTACAAGCCAGAAGAGAGTGGGGCCAATATTCAACATTCTTAAATAAAAGAATTTTCAACCCATATCCAGCCAAACTAAGCTTCAGAAGCAAAGGAGAAATAAAATCCTTTTCAGACAAGCAAATGCTGAGGGAATTCATCACCACCAGGCCTGCCTTGCAAGAGTTCCTGAAGGAAGCACTAAATATGGAAAGGAAAAACCAGTACCAGGCTCTGCAAAACACACAAAAAATATAAAGACCAGTGACACTATGAAGAAACTGCATCTACTAGTGTGCAAAATAACCAGCCAGTGTCATGACGACATGATAAAATTCACACATAACCATATTAACCTTAAATGTAAATAAGCTAAATGGCCCAATTAAAAGACACAGACTGACAAATTGGATAAAGAGTCAAGACCCATTGGTGTGCTATATTCAAGAGACCCCTCTTACGTGCAAAGACACACGTAGGCTCAAAATAAAGGGATGGAGGAAAATTTACCAAAAAAATGGAGAGCAGAAAAAAGCAAAGGTGGAAACCCTAGTCTCTGATAAAACAGACTTTTAATCAACAAAGATCAAAAAATACAAAAAAGGGCATTACATAATGATAAAGGGATCAATTCAACAAGAAGAGTTAAGTATTCTAAATATATATACACCCAATACAGGAGCACCCAGATTCATAAAACAAGTTCTTAGAGACCTACAAAGAGACTTAGTCTCCCACACAGTAATAGTAGGAGACTTTAACACCCCACTGTCAATATTAGACAGATTAACAAGACAGAAAATTAACGAGGATATTCAGGATTCAAACTCAGCTCTGTATCAAGTGGACCTAATAGATACCTACAGAACTCTCCATCACAAAAGAACAGAATATACATTATTCTCAGTGCCACATGACACTTACTCTAAAATCGACCACATAATTGGAAGTAAAACGCTCCTCAGCAAATGCAAAAGAACTGAAATCATAACAGTCTCTCAGACCATAGTGCAATCAAATTAGAACTCAGGATCAAGAAACTTGGCTGGGCACAGTGGCTCATGCATGTAATCCCAGCACTTTGGGAGGCCGAGGTGGGTGGATCATGAGGTCAAGAGACTGAGACCATCCTGGCCAAAATGGTGGAAACCCCGTCTCTACTAAAAGTACAAAAAATTAGCTGGGCATGGTGGTGGGCACCTGTAGTCCCAGCGGCTCTGGAGGCTGAGGCAGGAGAATCACTTGAATCCAGGAGGTGGAGATTGCAGTGAGCTGAGATTGCGCCACTGCACTGCACTATGGCCTGGCAACAGAGCGAGACTCCATCTTAAAAAAAAAAAAAGAAAAGAAAAAAGAAAAGAAAAGAAAAAAGAAAACTCACTCAAAACCACACAACTACATAGAAATTGAACAACTTGCTCCTGAATGACTACTGGGTAAATAACAAAATTAAGGCAGAAATCAAGTTCTTTGAAACAAATAAAAACAGAAAAACATACCAGAATCTCTGAGATGCAGCTAAAGCACTGTTAAGAGGGAAATTTATAGCACTAAATGCCCACATCGGAAACCTAGAGATATCTCAAATCAACACCCTAATATCATAATGAAAAGAACTAGAGAAGCAAGAGCAAAGAAATCCAAAAGCTAGCAGGAGACAGGAAATGACTGAGATCAGAGTGGAACTGAAGGAGATAGAGACACAGAAAATCCTTCAAAAAAATCAATGAATCCAGGAGCTGTTTTTTTTGAAAAAATTAAAAAATAGGTTGCTAGCTAGACTAATAAAGAAGAAAAGAGAGAAGAATCAAATAGACACAATAAAAATTGATAAAGGGGATATCAACACTGACCCAAAGAAATACAAGCTACCATCAGAGAATGGTATAAACACCTCTATGCAAACAAACTAGAAAATCTAGAAGAAATGAATAAATTCTTGGACACATACACCCTCCCAAGACTAAACCAGGAAGAAATTAAATCCCTGAATACACCAATAACAAGTTCTGAAATTCAGGCAGTAATAAACAGCCTACCGACCAAAAAACAAAGAAACAAAAAACCCAGGACCAGATGGATTAACAGCCGAATTCAACCAGAGGTAAAAAGAGGAGCTGGTACCATTCTTTCAGGAACTATTTCAAACTATTGAAAAGGAGGGACTCCTCCCTAACTCATTTTATGAGGCCAAGATCATTCTGATACCAAAACCTGGCAGGAACACAACAAAAAAAAGAAAACTTCAGGCCAATATCCCTGATAAACACTGGTGCGAAAATCCTCAATAAAATGCTGGCAAACCAAATCCAGAAGCACATCAAAAAGCTTATCCACCATGATCAAGTCGGCTTCATCCCTGAGATGCAAGGCTGGTTTAACATCAATAAACATAATCCATCACATAAACATAACTAATGACAAAAACCACATGATTATCTCAATAGGTACAGAAAAGGCCTTCAATAAAATTCAACATCACTTCATGTTGAAAACTCTCAATAAACTAGGTATTGATGGAACATATCTCAAAATAATAAGAGCTATTTATGACAAACCCACAGCCAATATCATACTGAATGGGCAAAAGCTGGTAGTATTCCCTTTGAAAGCTGGCACAAGACAGGGATGCCCTCTCTCACCACTCTTATTCAACATAGTATTGGAAGTTCTGGCCAGGGTAATCAGGCAAGAGAAAGAAATAAAGGATATTCAAATAGAAAGAGAGGAAGTAAAATTGTCTCTGTTTGCAGACAACATGATAGTATATTTAGAAAAACATCCATTGTCTCATCCCAAAAACTCCTTAAGCTGATAAGCAACTTCAGCAAAGTCTCAGGATACAAAATCAATGTGCAAAAATGACAAGCATTCCTATACATCAACAATCAACAAGCAGAGAGCAAAATCATGAATGAACTCCCATTCACAATTGCTATGAAGAGAATAAAATACCTAGAGATACATCTAACAAGGGACATGAAGAACCTCTTCAAGGAGAACTACAAACCACTGCTCAAGGAAATAAGAGAGATCACAAACAAATGGAGAAACATTCCATCCTCATAGATGGGAAGAATCAAGATCATGAAAATGACCATACTGCCCAAAGTAATTTATATATTCAATATTATTCCCATCAAACTACCATTGATATTCTTCCAGAATTAGAAAAAACTACTTTAAAATTCATATGGAACCAAAAAACGGCCTGCATAGCAAAGGCAATCCTAAGCAAAAAGAACAAAGCTGGAGGCATCACCTGACTTCAAACTATGCCACAAGTCTACAGTAACCAAAACAGCATGGTACTTGTACAAAAACAGACATACAGACCAATGAAACATAATAGAGACCTCAGAAATAAGACCACATATCTACAACCATCTGATATTCGACAAACCTAATAAAATCAAGCAATGGGGAAAGGATTCCCTACAATAAACAGTGCTGCAAAAACTGGCCAGGCATATGCAGAAAACTGAAACTGGATCCCTTCCTTAAACCTTATGCAAAAATTAACTCAAGATGGATTAAAGACTTAAATGTAAAACTCCAAACCATAAAAACCCTAGAAGAAAACCTAGGCAATACCATTCAGGAAATAGGCATGGGTAAATCTTTTATTATGAAATCGCTAAAAGCAATTACAACAAACGCTAAAACTGACAAATGGGACCTAATTAAACTAAAGAGTTTCTTTTTTTTTTTTTTTTCTTTAGACAGAGTTTCCCTCTGTCCCACAGGCTGGAGTGCAATGGCACAATTTCAGCTCACTGCAACCTCCGCCTCCTGCGTTCAAGCGATTCTCCTGACTCAGCCTCCAGAATAACTGGAATTACAGGTGCCCACAACCACGCCCAGCTAATTTTTGTATTTTTAATAGAGACGGGGTTTCCCCATGTTGGCCAGGCTGATCTCGAACTCCTGACCTCAAACGATCCACCTGCCTCAGACTTCCAAAGTGCTGGGATTACAAGTATGAGCCCCAACGCCCAGCCTTAAACTAAAGAGCTTCTGTACAGCAAAAGAATCTATCATCAGAGTGAACATGCAACCTACAGAATGGGAGAAAATTTTTGCAATCTACCCATTTGACAAATGTCTAATATACAGAATTTACAGGGAATTTAAACAAATTTACAAGAAAAAAACAAAACCCCATCAAAAAGTGGGTAAATGATATGAACAGACACTTCTCAAAAGAAGACATTTATGCGACCAACAAACATATGAAAAAAAGCTCGACATCACTAATCATTAGAGAAATGCATATCAAAACCACAGTGAGATACCACTTCATGCCAGTCAGAATGGCAATTATTAAAAAGTAAACCAACAATAGATGCTGGTGAGGCTGTGGAGAAAGACAAATGCTTTTACATTGCTGGTGGGAATGTAAATTAATTCAACCATTGTGGAAGACAGTGTGGTGATAATTTAAGGATCTAGAACTAGAAATATCATTTGATCCAGCAATCCCATTACTGGGTATATAACCAGAGGGACAGAAATCATTCTATTATAAAGATACATGCACACATATGTTTATTGCAGCACTATTCACAATAGCAAACACATGGAACCAACCCAAATGCCCATCAATGATGGACTGTATAAAGAAAATGCGGTATGTATACACCATGGAATACTATGCAGCTACAGAAAGGAATGAGATCATGTCCTTTGCAGGGACTTTGATGAAACTGGAAGCCATCAACCTCAACAAACTCACACAAGTACAGAAAACCAAACACTGCATGTTCTCACTCATAAGTGGGAGCTGAACAATTAGAACACATGGACACACATCGGGGAACAACACACACCTGGACCTGTCAGCGGGGTGCAAGGGGTGGGAAAGCCTCAGGACAGATAGCTAATGCATGTCGGACTTAAAATCTAAGGAATGGGTTGATAGGTGCAGCAAACCACAATGGCATATGTATACCTGTGTAACAAACCTTCATGTTCTGCACATGTATCCTCGAACTTAAAGTAAAAAAATAAAGAATAAAAAAAGAAAACTAACAAATATGGTAAATATTAGAGCAACTATATCAATAATCACTTTGAATATCAATGATATAAATGCACCAATTAAAAGACAGACATTGTCAGAGTGAATCAAAGAATCAAGACCCAACTATATGTTGGCTATGAGAAACCTAATTTATATCTAATATTAATCTATTATGTACATTTTATATATATGTATTTCACAGTTAAATTCTAATTCATATTTTAACTCAACAACATCATCAATCATTTGGTAAAATTGACATCTATAATCTACTTAATCCATTAACAGCAGCATACATATTCTTATCTGAACATAGAACATTCACAAAGATACACCACATTTCAGCCCATAAAACCAACCTTAAAAATGTGAAAGAAAAGAAATCATACAATTTCTTCTCTCAGAATAGAATGGAATTAATCTAGACATCTTCAGCTAAGAGATATCCAGAACAACTGAAAATATTTTGAGACTTAAACAACACACCGCTAAACAACACATGGGTCAAAGATAAAATCTCAAGAGAAATTTTCAAATATGTTGAACTAATTGAAAGGAAAACAACTTATCAAAATGTATAAGATGCAGCAAAATCCATGCTTAGAGGGGAATCACATTAAGAAATCAAGAAAGGAAGAAGAAATTAATCCAAGTAAACAGAAAAAAAATAAAACTAGTAAAAATGAGAGCCAAAATTAATAAAATTGAAACCAGAAAATCAATAGAGAAAATCAACAAAACCAAAACCTGGTTTCCAAAAAGATTAATACAACTGATAAGCCTCTAACCAGGCTAACTGAAAAAAAAAAAAAGAGAGAAGGAACACAAATTACCAGTATGGGAAATAAAATAGGGGACATCACTACAGATCTTATGAACATTAAAAAAATAAATAATGGGATACTATGACTAATTATGCCCACAAATTTGACCATCTAGATTAAAAACTAGATTAAAAGCCTAGATTAAAAACTCTCAGTAGACCTTCTTCCAATTGATATAGAATATCTACAAAAACCCTACAGTTAAAATAATATTTAATGGTAAGAAACTAGGAGTATTTCTACTAAGATAAAGAACAAGGTAAAGATATCTCCTCTCACTAGTCCTTTTAACATTATACTGGAAGTCCTAGCTAATGCAGTAAAACAAGAGAGGAGAAAAATATATATGGATTTGGAAGTAAGAAATAAAACTGTCTTTGCTGATGACATAATCATCTATATAGAAAATCTAAAAGAATAGAGAAAAATTTCCTGGAACTAATAAGGGATAATATATAAGGGTTGCGGATACAAGGTTAATATACACAAGTCAATTCTTCCCTATATACTAGCAACAAACAAATGGAATTTCAAATTAAAAACATAATATTATTTAATTATAAATTAGCACTTCCCATCAATGAAACAGTTACAAATCTAACAAAATGTATTTCTGTATGAATAAAACTACAAAGTTCTGATAAAATATATCAAAGAAGTACTATATAACTGGAGAGATATTATATTTCATGAATGCAAGGCTCCAATATTTTAAGATATTAGACTTTCCCAAAATAATATACAGATGCTATGCAATATCAATTAAAATTCCCATAAGCTACCTTGCAGACATTGACAAACTAATTCAAAACTGTGTATGGAGAGGCAAAAGACCCAGAATAGCCAATACAATATTGAAGAAGAACAAAGTTGAAAGACTGACACAGCCAACTTTAAGAGTTACAATAGAGCTGCAGTAATCAAGACAATGTGATATTAACAAAAAGATATAGATAAATAGATCAATGTAAGCCCAGAAATGAACTCACATAAAAATAGTCAACTGATCCTTGAAAACAGAACAAAGGCAGTACAGTAGGTAGTCTTTCCAAAGAACAGTGCTGAACAACTGCACATCCACATGCAAAAGAGCGAATATAGACAAAGACCATATACTTTTCACAAAAATTAACTCAAAATAGATAACAGACCTAAATTTAAAATAAAAAAAAATAAAACTCCTAGGAGAAAAGTATAAAACTCCTAGGAAGGAATAACTCCTAGAAGATAGAAAATCTAGATGGCCTTGGGTTTGGTAATGACTATACAAAAAGAAAAGCATGATCCATGCAAGAAATAATTGACAAGATTTTTATTAATTCATAAATGGTATTAAGAAAATGTTCTAATTTACAGTAGCATCAAAAAGAATAAAATATTTATGAATACAGTTACCATGAAAGTGAAAGGCTTGCACACTGAAAAATATAAAACATTGTTAAAAAATTAAAGAGGGCATAAATAAATAAAAAGATAAACTATGTTTATGAAGTAGAAGACTTAGTCTTGTTAAAATGTCCAAAATACCCAAAGTAATCTAAAGATTTGATGAAATTTGTATTTAAAACCCAATAGCATTTTATAGATAAACAGACAAAATAATCCTAAAATTGATATGGAATCACAAAGGACTCCAAGCAGTCAAAACAATCTTGATAAAAAAGAAGAAGTCCTCATAGTTTCTGATTCAAAACATATTGGAGAACTACAGTAATCAAAGCAGTATGTTACTAGCACAAAGGCCAATTAAATATAATGAAAAGCCCAGAAAAAAAATTAAACACAATAAATTATGAAAAAAATTAAACATAATTTAAAAAATTATACACAATAATTAAAGTATTAAATATTAAATAAAGTAGTTAAAAGATTAAACAAAATAATTATATTTAAAAGACTAAACATAATAAAAAGCCCAGAAAAATTCACACATATGTTGTCAACTGATCTTGACAAGGGTGCCAAAAATAAACAATGAAGGAAATATAGCCTCTTCAGTAAATGGTTTTAGAAAAACTGGATATCGAACAATGGACACAGGGAGGGAACATCACACACCAGGGCCTGTTGGGGGATTGGGGGCACGGGGAAGGAGAGCATCAGGACAAACACCTAATGCATGTGGGTCTTAAAACCTAGATGACGGGTTGATAGGTGCAGCAAACCACCATGGTATATATATACCTATGGAACAAACCTGCATTTTCTGCACATGTATCCCAGAAATTAAACTAAACTTTTAAAAAAAGAAAAACTGGATATCAACATGCAAAAAAAAAATCACACAGACTCTTACCTTACACAATACACAAAAATCAACTCAAAAATGGATTAAAGATAGTAACATAAAACTTTAAACTGTAAAACTCCTAGAAGAAAACCTAAGAAAAGGGGGAGGAGCCAAGATGGCCGAATAGGAACAGCTCCGGTCTACAGCTCCCAGCGTGAGCGACGCAGAAGACGGGTGATTTCTGCATTTCCATCTGAGGTACCGGGTTCATCTCACTAGGAAGTGCCAGACAGTGGGCGCAGGTCAGTGGGTGTGCGCACCGGGCACGAGCCGAAGCAGGGCGAGGCACTGCCTCACCTGGGAAGCGCAAGGGGTCAGGGAGTTCCCTTTCTGAGTCAAAAAAGGGGTGACTGACGCACCTGGAAAATCGGGTCACTCCCACCCGAATATTGCGCTTTTCAGACCGGCTTAAAAAACGGCGCACCACGAAACTATATCCCACACCTGGTTCGGAGTATCCTACGCCCACGGAATCTCGCTGATTGCTAGCACAGCAGTCTGAGATCAAACTGCAAGGCAGCAGCGAGGGTGGGGGAGGGGCGCCCACCATTGCCCAGGCTTGCTTAGGTAAACAAAGCAGCCGGGAAGCTCGAACTGGGTGGAGCCCACCACAGCTCAAGGAGGCCAGCCTGCCTCTGTAGGCTCCACCTCTGGGGGCAGGGCACAGACAAACAAAAAGACAGCAGTAACCTCTGCAGACTTAAATGTCCCTGTCTGACAGCTTTGAAGAGAGCAGTGGTTCTCCCAGCACGCAGCTGGAGATCTGAGAACGGGCAGACTGCC
Source organism: Homo sapiens (assembly GCF_000001405.40). Lineage (NCBI taxonomy): Eukaryota > Metazoa > Chordata > Mammalia > Primates > Hominidae > Homo > Homo sapiens. The sequence continues at coordinate 87,327,146 of NC_000008.11, read as the reverse complement.
TCCTCAAGTGGGTCCCTGACCCCTGACCCCCGAGCAGCCTAACTGGGAGGCACCCCCCAGCAGGGGCACACTGACACCTCACACGGCAGGGTATTCCAACAGATCTGCAGCTGAGGGTGCTGTCTGTTAGAAGGAAAACTAACAAACAGAAAGGACATCCACACCAAAAACCCATCTGTACATCACCATCATCAAAGACCAAAAGTAGATAAAACCACAAAGATGGGGAAAAAACAGAACAGAAAAACTGGAAACTCTAAAACGCAGAGCGCCTCTCCTCCTCCAAAGGAACGCAGTTCCTCACCAGCAACGGAACAAAGCTGGATGGAGAATGACTTTGACGAGCTGAGAGAAGAAGGCTTCAGATGATCAAATTACTCTGAGCTACGGGAGGACATTCAAACCAAAGGCAAAGAAGTTGAAAACTTTGAAAAAAATTTAGAAGAATGTATAACTAGAATAACCAATACAGAGAAGTGCTTAAAGGAGCTGATGGAGCTGAAAACCAAGGCTCGAGAACTACGGGAAGAATGCAGAAGCCTCAGGAGCCGATGCGATCAACTGGAAGAAAGGGTATCAGCAATGGAAGATGAAATGAATGAAATGAAGCGAGAAGGGAAGGTTAGAGAAAAAAGAATAAAAAGAAATGAGCAAAGCCTCCAAGAAATATGGGACTATGTGAAAAGACCAAATCTATGTCTGATTGGTGTACCTGAAAGTGATGGGGAGAATGGAACCAAGTTGGAAAACACTCTACAGGATATTATCCAGGAGAACTTCCCCAATCTAGCAAGGCAGGCCAACGTTCAGATTCAGGAAATACAGAGAACGCCACAAAGATATTCCTCGAGAAGTGCAACTCCAAGACACATCATTGTCAGATTCACCAAAGTTGAAATGAAGGAAAAAATGTTAAGGGCAGCCAGAGAGAAAGGTCGGGTTACCCTCAAAGGGAAGCCCATCAGACTAACAGCGGATCTCTCGGCAGAAACCCTACAAGCCAGAAGAGAGTGGGGGTCAATATTCAACATTCTTAAAGAAAAGAATTTTCAACCCAGAATTTCATATCCAGCCAAACTAAGCTTCATAAGTGAAGGAGAAATAAAATACTTTACAGACAAGCAAATGCTGAGAGATTTTGTCACCACCAGGCCTGCCCTAAAAGAGCTCCTGAAGGAAGCGCTAAACATGGAAAGGAACAACCGGTACCAGCTGCTGCAAAATCATGCCAAAATGTAAAGACCATCGAGACTAGGAAGAAACTGCATCAACTAACGAGCAAAATCACCAGCTAACATCATAATGACAGGATCAGATTCACACATAACAATATAAACTTTAAATGTAAATGGACTAAATGCTCCAATTAAAAGACACAGACTGGCAAGTTGGATAAAGAGTCAAGACCCATCAGTGTGTTGTATTCAGGAAACCCATCTCACATGCAGAGACACACATGGGCTCAAAATAAAAGGATGGAGGAAGATCTACCAAGCAAATGGAAAACAAAAAAAGGCAGGGGTTGCAATCCTAGTCTCTGATAAAACAGACTTGAAACCAACAAAGATCAAAAGAGACAAAGAAGGCCATTACATAATGGTAAAGGGATCAATTCAACAAGAGGAGCTAACTATCCTAAATATATATGCACCCAATACAGGAGCACCCAGATTCATAAAGCAAGTCCTGAGTGACCTACAAAGAGACTTAGACTCCCACACATTAATAATGGGAGACTTTAACACCCCACTGTCAACATTAGACAGATCAACGAGACAGAAAGTCAACAAGGATACCCAGGAATTGAACTCAGCTCTGTACCAAGCGGACCTAATAGACATCTACAGAACTCTCTACCCCAAATCAACAGAATATACATTCTTTTCAGCACCACACCACACCTATTCCAAAATTGACCACATACTTGGAAGTAAAGCTCTCCTCAGCAAATGTAAAAGAACAGAAATTATAACAAACTATCTCTCAGACCACAGTGAAATCAAACTAGAACTCAGGATTAAGAATCTCACTCAAAGCCGCCCAACTACATGGAAACTGAACAACCTGCTCCTGAATGACTACTGGGTACATAACGAAATGAAGGCAGAAATAAAGATGTTCTTTGAAACCAACGAGAACAAAGACACAACATACCAGAATCTCTGGGACGCATTCAAAGCAGTGTGTAGAGGGAAATTTATAGCACTGAATGCCCACAAGAGAAAGCAAGAAAGATCCAAAATTGACACCCTAATATCACAATTAAAAGAACTAGAAAAGCAAGAGCAAACACATTCAAAAGCTAGCAGAAGGCAAGAAATAACTAAAATCCGAGCAGAACTGAAGGAAATAGAGACACAAAAAACCCTTCAAAAAATCAATGAATCCAGGAGCTGGTTTTTTGAAAGGATCAACAAAATTGATAGACCGCTAGCAAGACTACTAAGAAAAAAAGAGAGAAGAATCAAATAGACACAATAAAAAATGATAAAGTGGATATCACCACTGATCCCACAGAAATACAAACTACCATCAGAGAATACTACAAACACCTCTACGCAAATAAACTAGAAAATCTAGAAGAAATGGATACATTCCTTGACACATACACTCTCCCAAGACTAAACCAGGAAGAAGTTGAATCTCTGAATAGACCAATAACAGGAGCTGAAATTGGGGCAATAATCAATAGTTTACCAACCAAAAAGAGCCCAGGACCAGATGGATTCACAGCCGAATTCTATCAGAGGTACAAGGAGGAACTGGTACCATTCCTTCTGAAATTATTCCAATCAATAGAAAAAGAGGGAATCCTCCCTAACTCATTTTATGAGGCCAGCATCATTCTGATACCAAAGCCGGGCAGAGACACAACCAAAAAAGAGAATTTTAGATCAATATCCTTGATGAACATTGATGCAAAAATCCTCAATAAAATACTGGCAAACCGAATCCAGCAGCACATCAAAAAGCTTATCCACCATGATCAAGTGGGCTTCATCCCTGGGATGCAAGGCTGGTTCAATATAGGCAAATCAATAAATGTAATCCAGCATATAAAAAGAGCCAAAGACAAAAACCACATGATTATCTCAATAGATGCAGAAAAAGCCTTTGACAAAATTCAACAACCCTTCATGCTAAAAACTCTCAATAAATTAGGTATTGATGGGACGTATTTCAAAATAATAAGAGCTATCTATGGCAAACCCACAGCCAATATCATACTGAATGGGCAAAAACTGGAAGCATTCCCTTTGAAAACTGGCACAAGACAGAGATGCCCTCTCTCACCACTCCTATTCAACACAGTGTTGGAAGTTCTGGCCAGGGCAATCAGGCAGGAGAAGGAAATAAAGGGTATTCAATTAGGAAAAGAGGAAGTCAAATTGTCCCTGTTTGCAGATGACATGATTGTTTATCTAGAAAACCCCATCGTCTCAGTCCAAAATCTCCTTAAGCTGATAAGCAACTTCAGCAAAGTCTCAGGATACAAAATCAATGTACAAAAATCACAAGCATTCTTATACACCAGCAACAGACAAACAGAGAGCCAAATCATGAGTGAACTCCCATTCACAATTGCTTCAAAGAGAATAAAATACCTAGGAATCCAACTTACAAGGGATGTGAAGGACCTCTTCAAGAACTACAAACCACTGCTCAAGGAAATAAAAGAGGATACAAACAAATGGAAGAACATTCCATGCTCATGGGTAGGAAGAATCAATATCGTGAAAATGGCCGTACTGCCCAAGGTAATTTACAGATTCAATGCCATCCCCATCAAGCTACCAATGACTTTCTTCACAGAATTGGAAAAAACTACTTTAAAGTTCATATGGAACCAAAAAAGAGCCCACATCGCCAAGTCAATCCTAAGCCAAAAGAACAAAGCTGGAGGCATCACACTACCTGACTTCAAACTATACTACAAGGCTACAGTAACCAAAACAGCATGGTACTGGTACCAAAACAGAGATATAGATCAATGGAATAGAACAGAGCCCTCAGAAATAATGCTGCATACCTACAACTATCTGATCTTTGACAAACCTGAGAAAAACAAGCAATGGGGAAAGGATTCCCTATTTAATAAATGGTGCTGGGAAAACTGGCTAGCCATATGTAGAAAGCTGAAACTGGATCCCTTCCTTACACCTTATACAAAAATCAATTCAAGATGGATTAAAGATTTAAACGTTAGACCTAAAACCATAAAAACCCTAGAAGAAAACCTAGGCATTACCATTCAGGACCTAGGCATGGGCAAGGACTTCATGTCTAAAACACCAAAAGCAATGGCAACAAAAGACAAAATTGACAAATGGGATCTAATTAAACTAAAGAGCTTCTGCACAGCAAAAGAAACTACCATCAGAGTGAACAGGCAACCTACAACATGGGAGAAAATTTTCGCAACCTACTCATCTGACAAAGGGCTAATATCCAGAATCTACAATGAACTCAAACAAATTTACAAGAAAAAAACAAACAACCCCATCAAAAAGTGGGCGAAGGACATGAACAGACACTTCTCAAAAGAAGACATTTATGCAGCCAAAAAACACATGAAAAAATGCTCATCATTACTGGCCATCAGAGAAATGCAAATCAAAACCACTATGAGATATCATCTCACACCAGTTAGAATGGCAATCATTAAAAAGTCAGGAAACAACAGGTGTTAGAGAGGATGTGGAGAAATAGGAACACTTTTACACTGTTGGTGGGACTGTAAACTAGTTCAACCATTGTGGAAGTCAGTGTGGCGATTCCTCAGGGATCTAGAACTAGAAATACCATTTGACCCAGCCATCCCATTACTGGGTATATACCCAAATGACTATAAATCATGCTGCTGTAAAGACACATGCACACGTATGTTTATTGCGGCATTATTCACAATAGCAAAGACTTGGAAACAACCCAAATGTCCAACAATGATAGACTGGATTAAGAAAATGTGGCACATTTACACCATGGAATACTATGCAGCCATAAAAAATGATGAGTTCATGTCCTTTGTAGGGACATGGATTAAACTGGAAATCATCATTCTCAGTAAACTATCGCAAGAACAAAAAACCAAACACCGCATATTCTCACTCATAGGTGGGAATTGAACAATGAGATCACATGGACACATGAAGGGGAATATCACACTCTGGGGACTGTGGTGGGGTGGGGGGAGCGGGGAGGCATAGCATTGGGAGATATACCTAAGGCTAGATGACGAGGTGGTGGGTGCAGCACACCAGCATGGCACATGTATACATATGTAACTAACCTGCACAATGTGCACATGTACCCTAAAACTTAAAGTATAAAAAAAAAAAAAAAGAAAAAGAAAAAGAAAAAAGCCTGATGACATTGGTCTTGGCAATGATTTCTTGGATACGACACCAAAAGCACAGGCACAAAAAAGCAAAAATAGACAAATGAGATTATATCAAATTAAAAAGTTTTTGTGCAGCAAAGGAAATAATCAATAGAGAAAAAGGCAGCCTATGGAATGAGAGAAAATATTTGCAGACTATATACCTGATAAATGGTTAATATTCAAAATATATAAGGAACATCTATAACTCAGTAGCAAAAATCAAAAAACCCTTTAAAAAATGGGCAAGAGATTTGAATAGATATTTCTCCAAAGACATCCAAATGTAGAACAGGTATAAGAAAAGATGTTCAGTATCACTAATTATTACACAAACACAAATCAAAATCACAAAGAGATATTGCCTTACAGGTGTTGGGATGGCCACAATCAAACAAACAAGCAAACAAACACAAACCAGAAAACTACAAATTGGTAAGGACATGTTGAAATTGAAACTCGTGCATACTGTTGGTGATAATGCGAAATGTTGCAGCTATTATGGAAAACAGTATGAAGATTCTTCAAAAAATTAAAAATAGAACTATCATGTGATTCAGCATTCTTACTTCTGGATATTTATTCAAAAGAATTGAAATCAGGATCTCAAAAAACTACTATGTCCTGTTGTAGCATTATTCACAATGGCCAGGTGGTGGAAACTAAGTGATATTGACAAAAGAATGGGTAAATAAAATGTGGTAATTCATCTATAAATAAGAAGGAATTACTCTCATATTCTGCAACATGGATGCAGTTTGAGAATATTATTCTAAGTGAAATAAGCCAGTCACAGGAGGACAAATACTGCATGATTCCACTAATATGAGGTGTCTAAAATAGCCATATTGATAGCAGAAAATAGAATGTTGTTTGCCAGGGGCTGCAGGGAAGGTGAAATGGGAAATTGCTGTGCAATGAATATAAAATTTCAGTTATGCAAGGTGAAAATATTAGAGAGATATGCTGAGCAACATTGTGATTGCAGTTGATAATGCTGTAATGTGCACATAAAATTTGTTAGGATAGGTCTCATGTTTTTTATCACAGTAAAAAATAAATAAACACATAGGTTTTAAGGTGTAACCTTTGAGTTACTGTATTTTTTGTGACTTCTTCATCTAAATGTACCCTGAGCCGCCCCCCCACACACACACGTGCACATACACACACTTTCTTTTGAAAAATAAGACCATTAAATTACATGAAATCCTGTTAATCAATGATTGAACTAAGGGAGGTGGCACATAATTTTAACTCGTGGCAAAATAATTTGCCTCTGTCAGAAACTCCAGAATTATCATCACATATAATGTGTTTGCAGAAACCATTGAAGATAGTCTCAGTAATGTTTTCAGCCAATTTTTATAAAGGTATTGAAAATCTAAGTTATTTTTCAAGCTTAAAAACTGTATCTTATTACTTGTTTTAACTAAACTGTAGAAACAAAAGTAAATCACTTAATGTAATTAAGTGATTAGGATGCAACTCCTATCATGCACAAAACACAATTAGTTATGTCCTTAACAAAGCCTGAAATATAATGAACTTGATAAGGCAAACAATAAAAAGTTAAGCTAGTATAAGAGAGTTAAAAGGTATTTGTTTCAAGTCAGTTTTTAATTTTTTCTCTTTTGGAGTTAAAAGAACATCTATCACAATGTCATGCAATGCAAACAGCAGACACTCAATATATTTTTGTTCAGATGGTGTGAAGTCTGTACTTGATTTTGGAATTCATTATTCTGAGAAGTTTCCAAGCTAGGGGACATACTTTTTGAAATTCAGATCATTTTAAAATAGTGCCATTCTCAAAAAGAGACGGGAAAAGATAAAATTTTGTTGTTAAAACATCAAGAACTTAGGACAAAATCCAATGCAAGGGTATCAAATAAATTATGTAGGCTCATACACATTACCTTTATCACTTATCTAAGCATAAAATGAACATTTATGAGCTATATAGAAACGCTTTTTTGAATGGTTAATTCAAACCCTACTACTTTCACTGTTAATTTTATTCTTATAGAGCATTATTATTTTTCAATCAATATATGTTAAAGAGGAAAAACTTAAATTGAGGTAAAAACATGTTACTTTTCTGTAACAACACATTTAGTTACTGAAAGAAAGTATATTTCCCCTGTTGCTACACAATTCTAGTAATAGTTTTGTTCTTTTATCCTGTAACTTTTTTGTATAGTAGAAATTTTCCAATGAGGTAAAATTACTTTTTTGCTTCCTCATTTTTTATTCTTCAAATAAAGTTCATATAGGTTATTCTATGAGTACTCATCTAAACTCCATTTACGTGAGGTAAAATTTCTGCAAGTATTGTCAAAGGAGAAGAGAATTGTATTCATTACCTGTTGGTTTTATTACTGCTATAGGCAAGGCATTTAGAACAATGTAAAAATACCTATGGGAATATGAGGCTCATTGCCTTTTATTGGGCCCCAGTTTTATTGTCCATTTTAGCCAGTTCTACTTCCACATCAAGCATTGAATTATTACCCCCTTCCTTGCTTCCTCCTGTAATACTATCCTCCTGAAACTTCTCTGTTGAAGGTAACTAGTGTTATTCTAAATGTGAAATCAAGTGCTACATTATCAATCAATATCCTTCATGTGCTCTCAGCATTGAGGGGCCACTTCTCTCCTAATATCCTCTCCTTCCTTGATTTATACTAGTATTGCATTAAACACACACCATTATGTTGATCTCATTTTAATGAACCCATGATTTTATTTACTCTTCTTTTTGTTGCTTAAAAATTTCTTGCTCCAAGTTTATTTCATTATGCTCATTCTTTTCTCTGATGAGCCTTAGCTCTCCTAAAACTCTTACAAGTTTGGCTATCAGTCTTCCATGAAAGATAGTGTTAAGATGCTACTTCCAAAGAAAGAGTATGCTAAGGTGTGATTCATATCACTTACCATGACTATCCTTCCTGTCTCTGAAATCTGACTGAGGGTCTGCCTGGTCAGCCTGATACAATATATATTTTGAAATTGTGTCAATTTCTATATTTATTGCAATTATCCAATGCCCCCCCTCCCCATCTCCTTCCTTCCTCTGAGAGTCTTCCAGGTTTTATTTCAGTATCATTCTCTTTAATTCTATCTAATTCCTTTACTGACTGCCTCCAGCGTTTCTGGGAAGCTGTACTGGGTGAGCATCCTTGCATGTGAGGAAAGCACCCAAAACTGAGAATAATCATCCAGCATTATTAGAGGGAACAACCTCTGATGTGCACGCAGGGGCTCCTTCAAAACGTATGGTGTATTGGACAGAGTATGCAGAACAGTTTTTCCTCAGCAGTGGGGAAAATTAGACCTAAACTAAACACTGTTCTGATCCTGCCTGAGAAAGATTAAAAGCAAGACAAGAACATATAAAATTGTTGCTGAGTACTTAACAGTGTCTCAGAACAAAGCTCAAGAAAACTTATACATATTTAATCCAGCACCCAACAAAGTAAAATTTAAATGCTTGGAATCCAATGCAAAATTACAAAGCATGCAAAGAAGCATGGGTATATAATCTATAATAAAGAGAAAAATTAATTAACTGAAAGAAAACCAGAAATAAGAGAGATATTAGAATCAGAAGACAATTACATAAAAATCATTATCAAACACATATCCCATAATGTTTATGAAGTTAGTGAAAAAAATAGCATTTTAAGTAAAAACATAATATAAAATGAGTCAAATTAAATTTCTAGAGATGGAAACTAAAATGTCTGATATAAAAAATATAATGGTTCTGATGTACAGTAGATTAGACACTGCAGAAGAAAATATTGGTGAACTTGAAGACACACCAATAGAAATTCACCTAAAATAAGACACAGAGAAGAAAAAAAATCAAGTATATACACATACATATTAGAACAGAGAAACAGTGAAACATGGGACAAATTCAGTGAGCCTAATCTTATGTATTTAGAGTGTACTCAGAAAAGAGGAAGTAGGCATTTGAAGATGTAATTTCCAAAATTTTTCCACCCAATATTTGATAAAAACTAATACCTCATCCAATATACCAGAATACACATTTTTAAAAGTGTAATGGAACACTTATCGACACAGACCCTATTCTGAGCCATAACACAAGTCTAAATAAACTTAAGGCAATTCAAATAATACAAAACATGATCTTTGGCCAAAATGGAATTAAGTTCAAAGCCACTAAATGAAAAAATGTATAAAAATACAAAATAATTACACAATTAATAATAACATATAGAAAAATGGTAACTAAATATTTTCAAATAACAATAAAATTTAAAAATTTACTTGAAAATTGATATTTTCAAGTAAACCATGGGCCAAGGAGAAATCTACAGGAAAACTGGAAGGCATTTTGAGTGAGATGAAAACAAAAAGATAATATATTAAAATGTGTGTATACATCAAAAGCAGTACTTAGAACAGCATTAAATGGCTAGCTTAGAAAATAAAAAAAAAGTCTCAAATCAACAACTTGAGCTACTTCCTTAAGCTACTATAAGAGTGAATTAAACCCCAAACAAACAGAAGAATTTAAATAATAAAAAAGGAGAAATCAACGAAAGAGAAAAATCAATGGAGAAAATTAATGAAACCAAGGCTATTTCTTTGAGAAGATAAATAGAACTGATATTTTCTAGTCAGACAGTTCACCCCCACAAAAAAATTTCTTATAACAACCCTCTGAGATAAGTATCATTATTATCCCCATTTTACAAAGAAGAAAAATGAGACCTAGAGAAGTTTATGTAATTCATCTAAGGCCTCACAAATAGGACATAATACAACTAGACTTCAAACTTGAGTACTTGTGACTTCTTAAGTCACATTCTAAAATGCATTCCATTATATAATGAATATTTATATAATAATAAATTCATATCGATTAATACTTGTATATAAATAGGAGTTGTAAATAGATATACACTAGATAACGATACACAACTAAAATCAATCTCTACACACATTCTGGCACTTTTTGATTTTTCAGTATGTATTGGAAATCCTTATACGTCTGCTTATGATCTTCCTCATTCTTTTTCATTGACTACAATCTCCCACTGTGTGAATGTTTCATAAGTTATTTAACCTGTGCCTTGATGGCCACTTGTTTCCTATTGCAAAAAAAAAGTGTAATAGAAATTATTGTACATCTATCTTTGAACCTCTGAACAAACAAGTGTGTTTATATTGGTAGTATAAACTTTTAGACACACACTGTTTTAGTATTCAGATTTTTACTTTTCATAGGTTTGGTTAAATCAGTCCTGAAACATGTTGCATCAATTGACACACCTACCTAAATTACATAAGATTCTTGTTTTCTAACTTCTAGGAAAATTTCATACATTAATAAAATTTCAAAAATTTGCCAGTGTGATAAGCAAAAAATGGAAACTAAATATTTTCAAAATTATAAGTTAAATTGACTTAGACAGGAATTTTTGTTCCTTTTAGAAACTATCTTTTCATTCTAATTGTATTTCTCTTCACCTCCTTGAGATTTTACTATTCGTTGGTAAGAGTCATTTGTATATGACAAAACAATTTCTTTTTTATGTATGCAACAATATTACAGCTTGCTGTTTGTATGTTATGCTTTATTTATTAAACCTTTTGCCATGTAGAATACTAATTTTTTATTATTCTTAGATGAATCACTTCTCAGCCTTTTGGCTAAGATCAAGTATATTACTCTGAGATGAATATTTCAATTTATGTTTTTTACCTATTTTATGATTTTTAAATTTTTTATTAATACACAATAATTGTATATATTCATGGGGCACATCATGTGATATTATGATACATGCATAAATTGTGTAATGATCAAATCAAGGTAATTAGGAAATCCATCACCTCAAACATTTATTCTTTTTTGTGATTGGAACATTCCAAATCTTCTCTGCTACCTACTTTAAAATATACAATAAATTATAAACTATTATCACCCTACTGTGCTATCAAACGCTGAGATATTCCTTCAATCTAACTATATTTTGAAACCATTAACCAACCTACATTCCCAGCTGCTATGGATATTTTACCCCTCCAAAACTCATGTTGAAATTTGACCTCCAATGTTGAAGGTTGAGCTTAATGGGAAGTTTTTGGGTCATGAGGGCTGACCCCTCATGAATAGATTAATGCCATCCTTCGGGGTAAGGCGTGAGTTCTCACTCTGCTAGTTTCCACATGAGCCTGGCACCTTCCTATTCTTTTGCTTTGTCTCTCACCATGTGATCTCTGGTTCCCTTTTGCCTTCAGTCATGAGTGGAAACAACCTGAGGTCCTCACCAGAAGCCAAGTAGATGCCTGCACCATGCTTCTTGTATGGCCTGCAGAACCATGAGCCAAAAAAAAAAATCTCTATTTTTAAAATAAATTACCTAGCTTCAAGTATTCCTTTTTAGCAACACAAACAAACAGAGATACCAGAGGTAAGAAAATAAATCTGTCAATTTTTTATAGCAGTGTTATCACAGCTTGTATAGAGCTTTGTGATCCAGCTGGAATATATTCACCTCTATTCACTATTTGTCTAAAACAAAATATTTGTTACACTATTTTCCCTACTCTCTTTAAATAATATTTTTATTGTATGCCAAATTCTCATTTTTTTCTTTCTGACTTAGTTCTTCAATTAATCTGTCCACTAAAATATTTATGTTCCAATCTCTCAGTATTTTGAAAGTATTTTCTAAGTACTTTTGCTTGTTAAATTTTCCGTGTAGACATTAGAATCAATATAACAACCAAAAAATCCTACTACTATTTTTTAAAGTTTACGTTGGGCTAATGAATTTAGTGATAAAAGACATCTTTGCAGCAAAGCATTTTCCTATCCAAGAACAAGTTCTGTCTGAACTGTCTTATTTTACATCATTTGAGGGTTTTTTGCTTGTTTGTTTCATACAGCACCTTTATATTACTTGGTAACTTTTTTCTAGATATTTAGTATTTGGGGTGCTATCATATATGTAACCTCTTCTTCCTTTAAAATTGACAAAGAGCTATTATAAAATAAATGTGTACATATTCATCTTGCAAGATTTTACCTCACTTAATTTTATATTTCTTAAAAATTTTGTCATTGACTTTCCATAGATAATCAAATCTGATAATATCATGAGAAAAAATAATAATACTGCCTCCCCCTTTAACTATTTCATATTTACTATTTTAGTTAAAAATGTTAGCAAGCTCATCACTTTCATGGCAATGGTTCTGGTGTTTACTGTAAGAATGTAGCTGACTTCTTTTTTTAGATCACTTTATCATATCATGAAAGTTTTCATCTATTCTTATTTTATTAAGAATGTGTGTCAAAAAATAGATGAAACTGTCCTCAAATCCTTTTTAGCTGCCATAAAGATAAGGATATGATTTTCCTCCCCTGACTTATATTTAAGTGAAAAATGGTAATATCTTTTTTTTTAAAAAATGAGATGCTTTATTGAATTCCTAGAATAAATGAACTTTGTTTTGGGTGTGCCATTCTTTAAAGTGCTGCTAGATTATGTTTCCAAATAGAATTTTTAGGATTTTTATATTGATATTCACATTTTAGATCCATAAATAATCTTTTTTTATATTATCTTTGTCAGTTTTAGCTCCCATATTATACTGAATTAGAAAAAAAAAGCATTGGCATCATCTACTTCTTGAAAATGTAATCAAATCAAGTAACTTATGCACTGTAAAGCATTCATGCTATTATTACATGTGCTTTGGTACTCTGGAGGGATCTCTCCAATATTCCAGAAGAGGCTGCTGTGATCAGTCTTCTAAGATGAACACACAAGGTAAAAACAGTTTAGACTAGAAAATGCAAGGTACAAAATGGGGGTAAACACAATTTTTTGCCTTGGTATACTATTATAAAAATTATTTTTGTTGCTGACATGTTTTCCTTACTGTCATTTATGTAAAAAGAGTAGGTAAAATGTTAAAAAATTAAATGCATATAAGCATTTAATCTTATTTTCTATATCTTTCTATTTAAGAACAAGTAATTGTAAAAGGCTGCATATTTCTTTTTCTTTTCTATCTAGTAAAGGGAACATAAGAACACAGTGTAATGTATCAGATCTTCCTGAGAAGAAGAAAAAAACATCACTTTCTTCTCAAAGACTTCCCTTGTTATGCAGGACACAGAATGAGTGGTTGAGACAGTTTGCTAAATGATATTCTATGGTTCCATGCATTAAAAACTATTGATAGTTCCTTCACTATTGAAGAATTTGTTCAAGTTACATACATTATAGTTCTTCTCTTTGAAACTGTCTTAAATATTTGAGAAATGGCATGAATAAATATGAGACCACAGTACTTCTTGAGTGTAACTGCTTAAGCACATAAAATTGTTCTGTGTAAAATACTTGACTAACTCTCATTGCATTATTCAGACACATGTCATTTCTTCTTGGATAGTAACTCCAATTTGATTTACATTTTACATTCTATGACAAATATTTTCTCCAAATAAGTCCCTGCAATTCTTTCTAAAACAACGTTTGTCCAACAAACACAAATGGATAAATAAATATTAACGTAGTATGTGCAAAAAGCATCAAACCTTTTCAAGTTCAATATCACTTTATCCTTTCTAAAGCAGAAGTTGGGTATATGGTATTTTAGTAAAAATCCTTGCCCATCTTTCTGAGTGAAGAGTGGATTAATATTAAGTAACATCAGAAAATGGTACTACCCTCACAAAGCAGCCAAAATTACATAATGAAAATAATTCAAAACACTTAGAGTATGTCGTTTGCGAAATTTAGGCAGAACAATATATCGTTGAATACTAACTGCATGTAAATGCCCAACTTTTCTGGGAGCAAATACAAATCTCATAGCTCTATCTTCCTAAAAACTCCTGTGAAGTTTGGCAATCTAAGACCAAAAGAGAAATGCAGGTCTTTGACATGGCTGCCCTGTACTGACCCAATATTTCTCTTGTTTTTAGAAAAAAATTTTTATGGAATATTCCTAGCTGAAATTTCTGAGTCTTCTAAAGTGCTAGATTTGTTTTTTAAAAAAACACCTCGAAATACTATTTTCATTAAAGCTAAAAAATCAATATATGATATTATGGAAAATTAATTACTCATATGGCTCTTACTTGCATATGGAAGTGCAAAAAAGTTAAAATAGGAAATAAGAATGCTGTAGTCAGAAAAGATAGATTGTCTCTAGCAGAGTCTTAGTTTTCTCTCTTTATAAAAGCAATGTCAAACCCCACTATATTTCACAGGATCTGAAGATCAGCTCATTTTTGTCATTAATTCATAGCTTGGGAAGCCTTGAATTAACATGTGTTTGGGACCCAAAATGTATAGAAATGCCACTGACACAAATTCAAGAGTGGCAATATTCAGAGATCAAACTAATCATGCAGCAATTGCCCCAAGAGAATAGAGAATGTGTGCATATGTAACTCACACACAATTGTTACAAAAGGTTAAAATGAAAGCATTGCAACCTTGCAACAAGGAATCATTTTGTTAAAAATAGATTATGTCAAAATATCGATATAGTAGTTTTATTTTTGGGGGGAGGGGAATATATGTTTTATTGCGAAAATTACAATTTGCACCTTTCAGAGGAAAAATGCCTAAATTAGAGATTTTCTTTTTCATAATTTCAACTCTCATTTTAGATTCAGGGGTATATATGCAGGTTTGTTACATAGGTATATCGCGTGATGCTGTGGTTTGGGGTACAATTGATCCTGTCAGCTAGGTACTAAGCATACTATCCAATAGTTAGTTTTTCAATCCTTGCTCCCCTCTCTCCCTCCCCACTCTGGTAGTCCCCATTGTCTACAGTTGGCACCTTTATGTCCATGAGTGTCCAATGTTTAGCTTCCACTTACAAGTGAGAACATGCAGTATTTGGTTTCAGTTCCTGTGTTAATTTGCATAGGTTAATGACCGCCAGCTGCATTCATATTGCTGCAAATGACATGATTTTGCTCTTTTTTATAGCTGCATACTATTTCATGGTATATATGTGCCACATTTTCTTTATCTAATACACTGTTGATGGGGAACTACATTGATTTCATATATTTGCTATTGTGAATAGTACTGCAATGAACATACAAGTGCATGTGTCCTTTTGCTAAAAGGATTTATTTTATTTTAGATATATACTCAATAATTGGATTGTTGGGTTTATTAGTAGTTCCATTTTTTCTTTGAAAATTCTGCACACTGCTTTCCACAGTGGCTAAACTAATTTACATTCCCACCAACTGTGGACAGGCATTTCCTTTTCTCTGCAGCCTCACCAGCATCTGTTATTTTTTGACTTTTTAATAATAGCCATTCTGACTGGTGGGAGATGGTATCTCCTAGTTGTTTTGATTTGCATTTCTCTGATAATTAGTGATGTTGAGCATTTTTACATGTTTGTTGGCTTCATTTATGTCTTCTTTAAGAAGCATCTGTTTATGTCTTTTGTCTACTTTTTAGGTGAGTTTTTTTGTTTTTTGCTTGTTGAATTGTTTAAGTTTCTTATAGATTCTAGATATCAGACCTTTGTTGGATATATTGTTTGTGAATATTTTCTCCCATTCTGTAGGTTCTGTTTATTCTGTTGATAGTTTCTTTTGTTGTGCAGAAGCTTTTTAGTTTAATTTAGGTCCCACTTGTCAATTTTTGTTTTTGTTGCAATTGCTTTTGAGGATTTAGCCATAAATTCTTTCCCAAGGCCAATGTCCACAATACTGTTTCCTAGGTTTTCTCCTAGGGTTCTTATATTTTGAGGTCTTAGGCTTCAGTCTTCTCTCCATCTCGACTTAATTTTTATATATGGTGAAAAGAAGGGGTCCAGTTTTGTCTGCTTATGGCTAGCCAGCTATCCCAGTACCATTGCTTATTTTTGTCAACTTTATCAAAGACTGACAGTTGCAGATGTGTAGCTTATTTTCTAGGTTCTCTATTCTTTTCCATTGGTCCATGTGTCTGTTTTGTACAGTTCCATGCTGTTTTGGTTACTGTAGCCTTATAGTACAGTTTGAAGTCTGGTCATGTGATGCCTCTGGCTTTGTTCTTTTTGCTTAAAATTGCATTGGCTATTTGGGCCCTTTTTTAGCTCCACATAAATTTTAGAATCGCTTATTTCAAATTATGTGAAAAATGACATTGGTCATTTGATAGAAATAGTGTTAAAACTGTAGATTGTTTTGGGCAATATGGCCATTTTAACAATACTGATTCTTCCAAGCTATGAGGGTGGAGTGTTTCTCCATTTGTTTGTGTCATCTATGATTTTCTAAAGTAGTGTTTTGTAGTTTTCCTTATAGAGGTCTTTCTTTCACCTCCTTGGTTAGATGTCTTCCTACGTATTTATTTTTTTGTGTGGATATTGTAAATGGGATTGCATTTTTTTAAGACAGTGTTGTACTCTATCACCCAGGCTGGAGTGCAGTGGCATGATCACAGCTCAATGCACCCTCTACCTCCTGGGGTCAAGTGATCTTCCCACCTCAGCTTCCTGAGTGCTGGGACTATAGCATGTGCCACCACACCAAGCTAATTTTTTAAACTTTTTTGTAGAGATGGAGTCTCACTATGTTGCCAGGACTGGTCATACACTCCTGGGCTCAAGTGATCCTCTCACTTTGGCCTCCCAAAATGCTGGAATTATAGGTATGAGCCACCATATCTGTCTGGGATTGCATTCTTGATTTGGTTCTCAGCTTGAACATTATTGGTATATAGAAATGCTACTGATTTTTGTACATTGATTTTGTATCTTGAAACTCTACTGAAGTCATTTATCAGGGACTGGTGGCAAAGTTTTTAGGGGTTTCTAGGTACAGAATCATTTCATCCATGAAGAGAAACAGTTTGACTTATTCTTTTCCTATTTGGACACCTTTTATTTTATTTTTTTTCTTGCCTGATTGCCCTGGCTAGGACTTTCAATATGGTACTTTTAGAAGAAAGAGGATAACAGAAGTATGACTTGCTTTTGAAAAATGGAAATCACTTACAGGTATCACTCTATCCAGGAGATGATTGATTATATATAGACATAAATACAGATTTATATGTAGATATAGTTATTCATAGGTATAAGTGATAAAGATATAGATACAGACACACAGCTACAGATATACAGATATGAGTTTTGTTTATGGAAGTCTACAAAAACTTTTCTTATCGTAAGTCTTGAGCAGGAGTCAATTTAGGAATTCTAGAAAATTCCCACAGGGAATTATATTTCCCGAAATCATATGAAGGCAGTTATAAATAGAAATACACAAAGCAATAGCACTAGAAACATTACTGCCTCTGAGAAATTTGGAGGAAAATCTGTAATTTAAATGTTGACCCGAATAAAAGACAGCTAAAATATTAGGTACCAAGAAATGCAAGAAATGACAGGTATAACTGGGGATACAGTGGCATGGAGAAGCAGAGATGATTTGGTAATAAGAAGAAACCGATTATATTATCCTAGTTTTAATGGCTATTACAAAAAGACAATTAACAAATGCTGATGAGAATGCAGAAAAAGGGGAAGTCTTATACATTGTTGGTAGGAATATAAATAAAGCCATTATTTAAAAATGTATGGAGGTTCCTCAAAACTGAAATTAGAACTATCACATGATCCAGCAATCCTATTACTGACTACTTACCCAAAAGAACGAAAATCAGCATTTCAAAGGGATACCTACACCCTAGTGCTTAAGGTAGCACTATTCACAATAGCCAAGTTATGGAATCTATGTAAATGTCCATCAAGAAATGAATGGATAAAGAAAATGTGGCATGCATACATAATAGAATACGATTGAGGTATAAAAAATAACTAAATGCTGTCATATGCAGCAACATGGATAAAATTAGAGGTCGGTATATTAAATGAAATAAGACAGGCACATAAAGACATATATTGCATGTTCTCACCCATTTGTGGGAGCTAAAAAGGTGGATCTCATGGAGGTACAGAGTAGAATTATCAATATGAGAGGCTAGGAAGGGTCAGGGGAGAGGGTGAAGAGAGACTGGTTAATGGGTACAAAATTATAGTTACATAAAAGGAACAAATTCTAGTGTTCCAAATCACAGTAAGGTGACTATAGTTAACAACAATATACTGTATATTTCAAAATAGCTGGAAGAGAAGATTTGAAATGTTTCTAACACAAAGAAATAACAAATGTTTGAGATTATGGATATTTTAAATACACTGATTTGATCATGACACATTGTATGCATGTGTCAAAATATCACATGTACCCCATAAATATGTACATTATATATCAACATGAAAGAAGAAATAGAATCACACAAAAAAGACAAAGCATATCCAAGCTCAAATGGAGACAGTCCTATTAACTAATTCTGAGAGCTGCAGGAATATTTTAAAGATTATGAAATGTCTGACTCCCAGATGGATGAAACATGATTTTTTTGGTAAAAATTGCAAGTGACACACCCATCCTCTTGGTAGTCCAGGGTTCCAAAAAGGACTTTACCAATTCCTAGGGGCAGGTCTGTTACCAAGCAATAACTGAACAACAAATTCCATCCCCTGGCCCAAGTAAATTGTTCATTGTGTGCATGTAACCCAACTCCAGCCAGTAAGTCATAACAGATTTTTCCTAGAACAATCAGGAAAAGGGACTTTTTCACAGGGCTATAAAGATAATGTCGCTTGTTGGCTGTAAAGACAATGTAGCTACTTTTGCCATAACATGGGGAAACTTCCTGGAGAAGGAAGCTAATGCAAAGTGAAAAAAGAACAAAGGATTGGAAAATACAATCCTAGTGAGATTAGTTTAACTTGTGGATACAGGCATTAGTGAAAGATAAATGCCTGAACTTCCTAGTTGTATAAACCAATAAATTATTTTGTTTATTGTTATTTTTTCTCTTGCTTCATTGAGTTTGACTGCCATCACTTAAAATGGAAAGATATTAGTTTAGAATCCATGAAGCTTTCTTGCAATATCCTTGCTAAGTTATATATATATATATATAATTTTTTTTTTGAGACGGAGTTTCACTCTTTTGCCCAGGCTGGAATGCAATGGCACAATCTTGGCTCACTGCAACCTCCACCTCCCAGGTTCAAGCGATTCTCCTGCCTCAGCCTCCCAAGTAGCTGGGATTATAGGCATGTGCCTCCATGCCCAGCTAATTTTTGTATTTTTAGTAGAGATGACACTTCGCCATGTTGTCCAGGCTGGTCTTGAAGTCCCAGCCTCAGCTGATCCACCTGCCTCAGCCTCCAAACATGCTGGGATTACAGGCATGAGCCAGTGCACGCAGCCCTTGCTAAGTTCTGATCACTTAAGTTTTCAGCAAAAATTTCCTAACCAGATTCCATTTTACAAATCTGCCAAATAACCTGACTCTACAAAGCATGACCCATGCCTATGTCCCATTAAATACCTGTAGCTAGTGTCCTACACTTTAATATCCTCATGTACGTCAATTAATGCCAGTTAAATTGTGTTCTTCACAATAGTTGTGTTTGTTCCAAATTCTGTTTATACAATTTTCGTTTGCATTGTAAGTACATATTTAATCAAATGTTAAAACAACAATTATTTTATGTTCGAGAGGGCTTATGTTTTTATGAAATCTAAGACGAATCTGTTAGAAAGATCTAAACATTGAGTTGCAAAATAATATCTTCTATTTAGATGTAGATAAGAGTCTGGGAAAAACAAAACAAATTTTTACGATTATTTTATTTTTTCCTATCATTTTATTTATTTTTGAGGTTAGGTCATTTATTTATTTCAGATATAGTTATTGAGTACATTTTTTTCTGTTCCCCCATATCCTGGGGTACATTGACTTTTATTTTATTTTCCGTAAATTATTTGGGTACAGGTGGTATTTGGTTATATGATTAAGTTCTTTAGTGGTGATTTGTGAGATTTTGGGGCACCCATGACCCAGGCAGTATACACTGCACCATATTTATAGTCTTCTATCCCTCACCCCCCTCCCACTCTTCCCCCACATCCCCAAAGTCCATTGTGTCATTCTTATGCCTTTGTGTCCTCATAGCTTAGTTCCGACATATCGGTGAGAACATATGATGTTTGGTTTTCCATCCTGAGTTACCTCACTTAGAATAATAGTCTTCAATCTCATCCAGGTCACTACAAATGCTGTTAACTCATTCCTTTTAATGGCTGTGTAGTATTCCATCATATACTACTGTGCAGTATTCCATCATCACAGCTACTTTATCCACTCATTGATTGATGGGCATTTGGATTGGTTCCATGATTTTGCAATTGTGAATCATGCTGCTACAAACATGCGTGTGCAAATATCTTTTTCGAATAATAACTTATTTTCTTCTGAGTAGATACCCAGTAGCAGTATTTCTGGATCAAATGGTAGTTCTACATTTAGTTCTTAAAGGAATATCCACACTGTTTTCCATAGCAGCTATACTAGTTTACACTCCCACCAGCAGTATAAAAGTGTTCCCTGCAGCCACACCACCATCTACTGTTTTATTGATTTTTTGATTATGGCTACTCTTGCAGGAGTGAGGTGGTATCGCATTGAAGTTTTGATTTGCATTTCCTTTATCATTAGTGATGTTGAGCATCTTTTCATATGTTTGTTGGACATTTGTATATCTTCTTTTGGGAATTGTCTATTCATGTCCTTAGACCACTTTTTGATGGGATGGTTTTTTTTCTTACTGTTGTATTTGAGTTTGTTGTAGATTCTGGATATTAGTCCTTTGTCAGATGCATAGATTGTGAAGATTTTCTCCCACTCTGTGGGTTGTCTGTTTACTCTGCTGACTGTTCCTTTTGCTGTGCAAATGCTCTTTAGTTTAATTAGGTCCGAGCTATTTATCTTTGTTTTTACTGCATTTGCTTTTGGGTTCTTGGTCATGAAATCCTTGTTTAAGCCAATGACTAGAAGGGTTTTCCTGATGTTATCATCTAGAATTTTTATAGTTTCAAGTCTTAGGTTTATGTCTTTAATCCATTTTGAGTTGATTTGTGTATAAGGTGAGAGATGAGGATCCAGTTTAATTCTCCTACATGTGGCTTGCCAATTATCCCAACACCATTTGTTGAAGAGGGTTCCTTTCCCTACTTTATGTTTTCGTTTGCTTTGTTGAAGTTCAGTTGGCTGTAAGTACTTGGGTTTATTTCTGTGTTCTCTATTCTGTTCCATGGGTCTATGTGCCTATTTTTATACCAATCCCATGCTGTTTTGGTGACTATGGCCTTATAGTATAGTTTGAAATCAGGTAGTGTGATGCCTCAGATTTCTTCTTTTTGCTTAATCTTGCTTTGGCTATGTGGGCACTTTTTTGGTTCCACATCAATTTTAGAATTGTTTTTTCTAATTCTCTGAAGAATGATGGTGGTATTTTGATGGGAAGTGCATTGATTTGTAGATTGTTTTTGGCAATATGGTCATTTTCACAATATCAGTTCTACCCATCCATGAGCATGGGATTTGTTTCCATTTGTTCATGTCACCTATTATTTCTTTCAGCAGTGTTTGGTAGTTTTCCTTGTAGAGGTCTTTCAACTTCTTGGTTAGGTATATTCTTAAGTATTTTTTCTTTTTTTGCAGCTATTGTAAAAGGTGTTGAGTTCTCGATTTTATTCTTCACTTAGTCATTGTTGGTGTATAGAAGAGCTACTGATTTGTGCACATTAATCTTGTACCCAGAAACTTATGAATTCTTATATCAGTTCTAGGAGCTTTCTGGAGGAATCCTTAGGGTTTTCAAGGTAAACAATCATCTTGTTAGCAAACAGTGGCAGTTTGACTTCCTCTTTACCAATTTGGATGCCCTTTATTTCTTTCTCTTGATTGCTCTGATAAGGATTTCCAGTACTATGTTGAAGAGGAGTGGTGGGAGTGGGCATCCTTCTCTTGTTCCAGTTCTCAGAAGGAATGTTTTCAACTTTTTCCCATTCAGTATTGTGTTGGCTGTGGGTTTGTCATACATGGCTTTTATTACATTAAGATATGTCCCTTGTTTGCCGACATTGCTGAGAGTTTTAATAATAAAGTAATGCTGGATTTTGTTGAATGCTTTTTCTGCATCTATTGAAATGATTATGTGATTTTTATTTATTTATTTATTTTTATTATACTTTAAGTTCTAGGGTACATTTGCACAAGGTGCAGGTTTGTTACATATGTATACATGTGCCATGTTGGTGTGCTGCACCCATTAACTCATCACTTAACATTAGGTATATCTCCTAATGCTATCTCTCCCCCCTCACCCCACCCCACAACAGGCCCTGGTGTGTGATGTTCCCCTTCCTGTGTCCATGTGTTCTCATTGTTCAATTCCCACCTATGAGTGAGAACATGCAGTGTTTGGTTTTTTGTCCTTGTGATAGTTTGCTGAGAATGATGGTTTCCAGCTTCATCCATGTCTCTACAAAGGACATGAACTCATCATTTTTTATGGCTGCATAGTATTCCATGGTGTATATGCGCCACATTTTCTTAATCCAGTCTATCATTGTTGGACATTTGGGTTTGTTCCAAGTCTTTGCTATTGTGAATAGTGCCGCAATAAACATACGTGTGCATGTGTCTTTATAGCAGCATGATTTATAGTCCTTTGGGTATATACCCAGTAATGGGATGGCTGGGTCAAATGGTATTTCTAGTTCTAGATCCCTGAGGAATCGCCACACTGACTTCCACAATGGTTGAACTAGTTTACAGTCCCACCAATGTGTAAAAGTGTTCCTATTTATCCATATCCTCTCCAGCACCTGTTGTTTCCTGACTTTTTAATGATCGACATTCTAACTGGTGTGAGATGATATCTCATTGTGGTTTTGATTTGCATTTCTCTGATGGCCAGTGATGGTGAGCATTTTTTCATGTGTCTTTTGGCTGTTTAATATCTTCTTTTGAGAAGTGTCTGTTCATATCCTTCGCCCACTTGTTGATGGGGTTGTTTATTTTTTTTCTTGTAAATTTGTTTGAGTTCATTGTAGATTCTGGATATTAGCTCTTTGTCAGATCAGTAGATTGCAAAAATTTTCTCCCATTCTGTAGGTTGCCTGTTCACTCTGATGGTAGTTTCTTTTGCTGTGCAGAAGCTCTTTAGTTAATTAGATCCCATTTGTCAATTTTGGCTTTTGTTGTCATTGCTTTTTGTGTTTTAGACATGAAGACCTTGCCCATGCCTATGTCCTGAATGGTATTGCCTAGGTTTTCTTCCAGGGTTTTTATGGTTTTAGGTCTAACATTTAAGTCTTTAATCCATCTTGAATTAATTTTTGTATAAGGTGTAAGGAAGGGATTCAGTTTCAGCTTTCTACATATGGCTAGCCAGTTTTCCCAGCACCATTTATTAAATAGGGAATCCTTTCCCCATTGCTTGTTTTTCTCAGATTTGTCAAAGATCAGATGTTTGTAGATATGCGGCATTATTTCTGAGGGCTCTGTTCTGTTCCATTGGTCTATATCTCTGTTTTGGTACCAGTACCATGCTGTTTTGGTTACTGTAGCCTTGTAGTATAGTTTGAAGTCAGGTAGCATGATGCCTCCAGCTTTGTTCTTTTGGCTTAGGATTGACTTGGCAATGCAGGCTCTTTTTTGGCTCCATATGAACTTTAAAGTAGTTTTTTCCAATTCTGTGAAGAAAATCATTGGTAGCTTGATGGGGATAGCATTGAATCTATAAATTACCTTGGGCAGTATGGCCATTTTCACGATATTGATTCTTCCTACCCATGAGCATGGAATGTTCTTCCATTTGTTTGTATCCTCTTTTATTTCCTTGAGCAGTGGTTTGTAGTTCTCCTTGAAGAGGTCCTTCACATCCCTTGTAAGTTGGATTCCTAGGTATTTTATTCTCTTTGAAGCAATTGTGATTGGGAGTTTACTCATGATTTGGCTCTCTGTTTGTCTGTTGCTGGTGTATAAGAATGCTTGTGATTTTTGCACATTGATTTTGTAACCTGAGACTTTGCTGAAGTTGCCTATCAGCTTAAGGAGATTTTGGGCTGAGATGATGGGGTTTTCTAAATATACAATCATGTCATCAGCAAACAGGGACAATTTGACTTCCTCTTTTCCTAATTGAATACCCTTTATTTCCTTCTCCTGCCTGATTGCCCTGGCCAGAACTTCCAACACTATGTTGAATAGGAGTGGTGAGAGAGGGCATCCCTGTCTTGTGCCAGTTTTCAAAGGGAATGCTTCCAGTTTTTGCCCATTCAGGATATTGGCTGTGGGTTTGTCATAAATAGCTCTTATTATTTTGAGATACGTCCCATCAATACCTAATTTATTGAGAGTTTTTAGCATGAAGGGTTGTTGAATTTTGTCAAAGGCCTTTTCTGCATCTATTGAGATAATCATGTGGTTTTTGTAATTGGTTCTGTTTCTATGCTGGATTACGTTCATTGATTTGCATATGTTGAACCAGCCTTGCATCCCAGCGATGAAGCCCACTTGATCATGTTGGATAAGCTTTTTGATGTGCTGCTGGATTCAGTTTGCCAGTATTTTATTGAGGATTTTTGCTTCGATGTTCATCAGGGATATTGGTCTAAAATTCTCTTTTTTTGTTGTGTCTCTGCCAGGCTTTGGTATCAGGATGATGCTTGCCTCATAAAATGAGTTAGGGAGGATTCCCTCTTTTTCTATTGATTGGAATAGTTTCAGAAGGAATGGTACCAGCTCCTCCTTGTACCTCTGGTAGAATTCGGCTGTGAATCCGTCTGGTCCTGGACTTTTTTTGGTTGGTAAGCTATTAATTACTGCCTCAATTTCAGAGCCTGTTATTGGTCTATTCAGAGATTCAAATTCTTCCTGGTTTAATCTTGGGCGGGTATATGTGTCGAGGAATTTATCCATTTCTTCTAGATTTTCTAGTTTATTTGCATAGAGGTGTTTATATTATTCTCTGATGGTAGTTTGTATTTCTGTGGGATTGGTGGTGATATCCCCTTTATCATTTTTTATTTCCTCTATTTGATTCTTCTCTCTTTTCTTCATCAGTCTTGCTAGTGGTCTATCACTTTTGTTGATCTTTTCAAAAAACCAGGTCCTGGATTCATTGATTTTTTGAAGGGTTTTTTGTGTCTCTATTTCCTTCAGTTCTGCTCTTAGTTGTGATTTTTGTTTTTAATTCTGTTTATGTGGTGTATCACATTTATTGACTTGCGTTCTGTTTATATGGTGTATTACATTTATTGACTTGCATATGCTAAACTATCCCTGCATCTTTGGTATGAAACCCACGTTATCATGGCAGATTATCTTTTTGATATGTTGTTGGATTTAGTTAGCAAATATTTTATTAAGGATTTTAGCATCTGTGTTCATCAAGGCTATTGGTCTGTAGTTTTCTTTTTGGGTTATGTCTTTTCCTGGTTTTGGTATTAGGGTGATGCTGGCTTCATAAAATAAATTAAGGAGGGTTCTTTCTTTCTCTATCTTGTGGTATTGTTTCAAAAGGATTAGTACCAATTCTTTGAATGTTTGGTAGAATTCTGCTGTGAATCCATCTGGTCCTGGACTTTTTTTGTTGGCAATTTTTAAATTACCATTTCAATCTTGCTGCTTGTTATTAGTCTGTTCAGGGTATCTAATTCTTCCTGATTTAAGCTAGGAGGGTTGTATTTTTTCCAGGAATTTATCCATCTCTTCTAGGTCTTCTAGTTTATGTATGTAAAGGTGTTCATAGTAGCCTTGAGTGATCTTCTGTATTTCAGTGGTGTCAGTTGTAATATCTCCTGTTTTGTTTCTTAGTGGGGTTATTTGGATTTTCTCTCTTCTTTTCTTGGTTAATCATGCCAATGGTCTATCAATTTTATTTATTTTTTCAAAGAACCAACATTTTGTTTCATCTTTTGTATTGTACAAAAGAAATTTTTAGTCTTCACAAAAGATTTTATTTGTTGTCCCTCTTTAAATGAATTTATGCTAAAATTCATAAGTACACAAAAAAATTCAGATCTCCAATCAGTGGAACCATACTAAAATAAGAGGCCTTCACCCTCCAAACATTGGAAATAGAATGTGTGTGTATATGTGTGTGTGTATCACACACATATACATCTAATAATCTTCCCACCTTGGCCTCCTGAGTAGCTGGGACTACAAGCACTATCCATTGTGTCTGACTCCATGATAAATACTTTCAATTAAAATAAAATGCTTAAGCTATATATGTCATTTTATATGATTTTCTAATGTCTTCAATTAAGTGACCAGCTAGTGGCCCTAACGTACCAGTATAGCTACAAAATTTTAGCTTCTTAGAAGTTAGTGTGTCTAGTTTCTACCTGAACAATGCATAACTTTAGATTTTTTAAAGTTTTTCAATATGGATTTTAAAATCAGTAGTAACAGGTACTCGTTCTGGTGACTCTCCAGACTTTTGGGGTTTTATATATTGTAAATACTTATTGATCGAGATATAATTCATTGTCATTATAGCATGCTGTGTCTGTGTCTAATCTCTGTGGCTACATACATGGACACAAATATTTTGTTAAAATAGTTTCCATTTCTGAGAATAACATTAATAAAATCAATTTGAAAATATTTAAAAATACTTTATAATTCATAAAACTATAATATTGAGTTTTGATATCATATTTATATTTTTTAAACTGCAAGTGATGCTGACTTATGGATAACTGATTTGCATATGTTCTCCACATGTTAACATTTGCCAGGTTAAGCCAAGTGTCCAATGGGCTAAGAAAACTCTTCATGTTTCCCTTTCACTATATTATATTTTTCATTTTTTTCTCCATATTTCTAGGCCATTGGCCCTATTTATAATCCAAGCTCAAGTATATGATTTCAGAATGTTATATGTGGAAGGAGAAAAGAACAGAGAGATGGAAGATCACTGCATATACATGATTTTGCAGGTTGTTCACTGCAAAAGGACACCTGGCTGCAGGGTGTGGTGTGGCTGAAATCCAGCTCATGATCCTACCACTATGTGTTCCCTAGCATAGGGCCACATCTGCCATGAGAAAGTAGTACCTTTTTCTAACATACACCCAGGTGACAAATGATCTGGGACAATTTTCATAGCTATTACTCACTCTGTCTCGTATTTGGACTGAGTTTTCAGCCCTCATTCTGGTCTTCTCCAACAAACAAGGAATCCAATTAACTTATCAAATTAACAATCCAAAATCCATTTAATCTATGATTTTCTGGGAAATGCATTTGGATCTAATTCAGGACTGCATGTTCCCAAAGACTTATTTCATTTACATGAAAACTAAGGAAGATCTATGTGAACAGGAGGAGAAGATGGAATGCTGTGAGGAGCTTTTTAACCATATGTCTATTTCTTTCTGTTTATTACAGCAATAAAAGCTTCTTAAAACACCATTTTGGCATTTTTTTCTGAAAGAGAGAGTGAAGGAAAATCTACAAACCGCATTGTGATCTAAACAAGACCGTCGGGACTAGAGAAGCATGGCCAGGAGAAGGGACAGGGGAGAAAATGTGGAAGGAGAGGAAGGAAGGATAATCCTGAGACTCTCAAAAGCAAATAATTGGAAAAAGTGGAATAGAGAACTGGCTTGAGTTTACAAATGAATAAATAAAACCCAGATTTTTGTACTGACTGGTGTCGTGATACTCTTACCTCTGCAAACCCACAGGCAGTTGCTTCAGACTTTTCCAAACACTAGAAAACCTCTTGAAGAAATTTCATAATGTAACAGAAAGAAGATTTATTTTCACATTTATCAGTTCTGGATTTCAAACATGACATTTACCAAAAGTCTAATCTTGGAATGGTAAACGTTTGAGATTGAGTTTCTGTATTAATAAAGCAAATATACTTTTCTGATAGAGGTTTTGAGAAGTAAATGAGACAATGTGTGTGAAAGTAACTAGAAAGTAGCTGACACAGAGCAGATGTTCAATAAATGCTGATTTTTCCCTTACCCAATCTTCTGGACAAAGCAAAGAAACCAAGGCACATTTGGGCCGGGCATGGTGGCTCACATCTGTAATCCCAGCACTTTGGGAGGCCGAGGAAGGCAAATCACAAGGTCAGGAGTTCGAGACCAGCCTGGCCAACACGGTGAAACCCTATCTCTACTAAAACTACAAAAAATTAGCCAGGCTTCATGGTGGGAGCCTGTAATCCTGGCTACTCAGGAGGCTGAAGCAGGATAATGACTTGAACCCGGGAGGTGTAGGTTGCAGTGAGCCAAGATTGCTCCACTGTACTCCAGCCTGGGCGACAGTGAGAGGCTCCATCTCAAAAAAAAAAAAAAGAGGGAAAAAAGAAACCAAGGCACATTTGAAGCTAAAGGAATATCCATTTATGTTGTTCAATGGGTCAGGGTGTAGTGATCATGGGGTGAGGAGTAGCCCCTCATTTTCAGAAGCAGAGAAGGATACCTTAAGTCTTCCATCGCGCTTTGCCCTGGGAACCTAAGCAGTTAATACTATTTTCTTGAGGGGAGGGGAATACTTAAGATTTCAAATTTATGATACCATGAATCTATATAATTTTTAAACTATAAACATGCATAGTCTATTTGCAAGTGGGGTAAAACTTTGTGGAATATAAAATTACCTTTATAATAAAAAAAAGCAATGTAGTTACAATAACAATAATAAAAATCAGATTTACAAAAAATTTGAAAATTACTTTCTCAAATAATTATTATGTCTGTAAATATTGTTTCCTGATGTATTTAAAATACAGCTCAGCTTATACAAATCTATATTAATAATAAAGCTCTTATTAATATGTTAATGTCTATATTAATAAGGATCTTAATATAGATATAGATATATAGAATATGTAGGGAGAATATATAGAATATAGAATTCTAGATAAAATATAGAATTCTAGATAGAATATAGAGATATAAATATCACTTCATGAGGCCCATTAGCATCCATAAAGATTAAGATCTAAGATATTTAATTCATAATCCTGGTATCTCAACAGATTTATTAGTGCAACATAGTTTATTTTAAAATGAAAATTAAAATATTACAGGTAAATATGTTTTCATTTTCTTGAGATAATCACACACACACACACACACCCCACATTCTCACAAATGCATCTGTAAATGTGTGATTACAGACAAATTAAGGACATTCAAACGTCAGAATAAGAAAAACAAACCTTTATTGACATGGTTCACTCTCTTAGCTCTAGCCACTTTTTAGGAAGTTATTATTAAAGTGATTTATAAGATATTTTAAAAAGAAATAATAGTTAATCTTTACACAGATTTAAAAATTCATATCGTATATCTGTTATGCCAATATTTTTGCCTCTTTTTCTGTTTTACAGTATCAGAAAGAGTATTGCATGTTCTACGACTGTGCTATCCCATAGGGTAGCCGCTAGCCACATGTAGCTATTGAGCATTTAAAATGTGGCAAGATCAAATAGAGATACGCTGTAAGTGTACAATAACACTGGATTTTGAAGACTTAATATGAAAACAAAATATGAAAAAGGTATAAAGTGTCTAATTAGTAATTTTTATGTTGGTCACATATTAAATTAGTTATGTGTATGTGTTACATAAAATATATTATTTAATTTTTTCCTTTTTTTTTTTTTTTTTTTTTTGAGACGGACCCAGGCTGGACTGCAGTGGCACAATCTCGGCTCACTGCAAGCTCCACCTCTCTGGTTCACGCCATTCTCCTGCCTCAGCCTCCGGAGTAGCTGGGACTACAGGCACCCGCCACCAAGCCCGGCCAATTTTTGTTTGTATTTTTAGTAGAGAAGGGGTTTCACCATGTTAGCTAGGATGGCCTTGATTTCCCGACTTCGTGATCCGCCCGCCTCGGCCTCCCAAAGTGCTAGGATTACAGGCGTGAGCCACCACGCTGGCCTTATTTTTTACTTTTTAAATGTATGTGCTAGAAAATTTAAAATGATATATGTGGCTTGCATTATATTTCTGTAAGTGTCAGCCTAAGATACTTCCTCAAACCATATATTATTACACCATGATACTTTATGAATTATAGCCTGTTTTATGATTTAAAGTCTTATTTCTCTTTTTATAGACATCAGATATACAAAGGAAATGAATTCAGTGGTCATTGGTCACGACAGCATTACCAAATTATATAGACACACACACACATATATATGTATATATATGTGTATATATATATACCAAATTATATAGACATATATATAGATACTAATTACTTTTGCAACAGTCAATCCTGCTTCTTTATGTCCTCTTGTTAGACATACTCAAGATGTCACCATTCACAAAGAAACCCTTTGGCCTTATTTACTTTTACACACTAATGACCTGGCCTTAGAATTTGGAAGCAAGTAAGAACCTCTTTTCTATTTTCACTTCTTCCCCCTTTCTCCCTCCCCTACATACCTAACTGACTACTTCTATTATTTTGGGCTCTATCTTTGTTCATTTTATCCCTCCGAATGTGAAGAAACTTTCCATGCAGAAGGCATTCCCAAAAGTATGTATTGCCAAAGTTCATGAAAACTGTCAAATCTAAGATGGCAAGGACTTATGCTAATGCACTCCTATGGGTAGAAGACAGGAATGGTGGATCACAACATCCAATACGAATTGCTTCTTTATTAAAAATATTGTTTTAGGTTTTTAGAAATCAAATTGTATTATAATTGTACCTATTTATTTTGCTATAAACATATGTACTTATTATAGAATGTCTAGAATATACAGAAAAACAGGAAAAAAGACAATCAATAGCACCAAGCAGCAATAATCATTGTTAACAGTTTGGTTATAAATAATATTCATAGCGAAACATAAGAGTTCGCATTTTTAAAAGTTCTACTTTGGAAATTTTAGTAGAAATTACTTTTATTAAAATGAATAGTATTTATAATTTAGCATTTCTCTAGATTTAAATGTTCACATATTTGGTTTGCTTAGAGAAAAAAGTTTCAAATTTATTTTTATATATTAAGTTTGCTTCAAATGTGAGAAAATGAAATTATGCAATTTTATTTTTTAGGTGAAGAGAAATCCAACTTTCCTTCTAAATGTCAGGAGACACAATACTAAAAGTTAATTGCAATAATAGGAAATATAGTTTATGTTGTGACAAAATAAAGAAGCAATGGTCATTTGTGAGAAGTAGAAAGAGGTAGAGAAAAGAGCTCTATAAAGAGCTTCAGTAGTTGCCTGGGTTACTGATGAAAAGCTCCATCTACTCATGGGGAATTTGAATAGATGAGTGTTCCATTATTAAAAGGTGTTTAATTTTATCTTATCTACTTCTGAGGGATTTGAATTAATTAAATAAATTCTTAATTTATTTTAATTTAATTATTATCTAGCAGCTGGATAATTATTTAAATAAGCAGTACTTTAACTTTACATAACTAATATACTGTTCACATTTATCATATTATTAATAAAATCAGAAGGCTAAATTCTGAGTAAGAAATTAAACTATATACTTTCTACAAAGTATGTTTGAAGTATTCTATAGATATAAATATCTTTGTCAAAGTCAAAACTGATTGAAAACAAAATCAGTGATTCTGTAGTGCATTGTTATACTATAACATTATATTTTAATGACATTTCTAGCCATAATAGTTATGAGGTAAATTATTAAAGCTTCTCTGGTAATAATATTAGAAGCTCTTTTCAGAGACTGTTAATGAAATCATTAAATTTTACATAGCCATCACACATTTCTATTACTAATTATTACTCTAGCAAAAAGGTATACTATGAAATCATAAGTAAACAGTTATAAAAAAAGAAGCTTCATGGCAAATAAATTGAAGATTCTTGAATTGTAAAAAAAAATTGTCACAGAAAAGTCTATGTTGAGATACTGGATTATATTTAAGTAATCTTAATAAATATTATTTAGAAAACAATAAAATACATATATTCTGAATTTGTACCTTTAGATGATCAATATCACCATAAATCCTTTCATAGTAAAAAAATATATATTACAGATAAAGCTGAAAAAAGTGGTAAACAGGCCCATAAGAAGCCTTGGGAACATTTGCAGATGGCAGTAGTCAAAGTGCTTGAGTTTTAATGACAAAAGTAAGAGTAAAGGGAAAATAATGTCAATGAAGACTATCAATGAAAATGTGAATTAAAAATATCTTTCCACACATGAAATGAGTCATTCTGGAAACTATCTTTATGCTTGGGCTCTGGGTAGGAAAATAAAAGCAACTCTCCTCTGAACATATATAAATAGTGGCCTGCACTCACAAAAGACTTTGGAGTGGAGACAGTGAGAAATCCAGGAAATGTGTGTTCTAATGCTGCAGGTGGTGGGTGAGAGCACAGGTCCCTTTCAACCCATGCTTGAGAATCCGTTCTCAGTGTCTGATGTGTGTTTAAACTGACATCCACAGACATATGCATCTGTGCAGCAACAGAGCACTCTGGTAGAGATCTGAAAAACCAGAACATCCCCAACATGTATAGACTGTCAGCATTGCAAAGAAGTGGAAATGTATTTGAAAAGATCTATTCTATACAATACTCCCAAATAATGAAAACATTCCTCATATTAATTTATTTCCATTATTACTGTCACCACTACTTCTTATCTCCATTGCCTCTCATCTCTTTGCCTCTGGTACTACCAAAATAGACTCCTAATTGTTCTGGTTTTCTAGTACCTCTCTCCTTTCAACTATCACTCATATTGCTCTGCTATTCCCCTAAAACTTTGACTTTTTCAGGTCTCTTCTGTTATTCAAAACCTTTAATGATGTCACATTATCTGTAAGTTAAAGCCCAAGCATATGAATATGGTATTTAAAATGCCTGAGACTACAGAAAGTCTGACTGATCTCCCAATGTTCATGAATATGCATCTGATTAAATTGGGCTGTTTGATCAACTATTCTAAAGCAAGATCTGAAAACCATATATTGGCTTATGCTATTTTTCCTGCCTCACATTATCAGTCCTACTTTGGGTTAAACCATATCCAAAAAATCCTCTCTCCTATTCAGTTTCCACTGTGTGTGTTGATATTTATTATGTTAGATAATATATATGTCCATGAGATAGTGAAAATCATTTTAAGACATCATATTTTGATCTATCTCATTTGTTTAAAAATCATACTTTTTGTATTTTTCTAATTATTAAATCTTTGAGATCAACAAACTGTCCTACATAGTAAGGAGTACAGTGTAGTTACTGAAGCATTTGACTTTAAGTGATTTTATTTTATTTTGTTTTTTGAGATGGAGTCTTGCTCTGTCACCCAGGCTGGAGTGCAGCAGCACGATCTCGGCTCACTGCAACCTCAGCCTCCTGGTTCAAGAGATTCTCCTGCCTCAGCCTCCTAGGTAGCTGGGATTACAAGCGCCTGCCACTGTGCCTGGCTAATTTTTGTTCTTTTAGCAGAGACGTGGTTTCATCATGTTGTCCAGGCTGGTCTTGAGCTCCTGACCTCAGGTGGTCAGCCCACCTCAGCCTCCCAAAGTGCCAGGATATGGGTGTGAGCCACTGTGTCCGGCCTGACTTTAAGTGATTTAAAAATGTATTTCTTTTCATTGCCACAACAAAAGCAACTAGCATGGTGTTCTGTACACAGATGTTAAAAATATGAAGAGACAAATTTCATATTTCTTATGAAAAAAATTTATTTTTGAAATGAAAAAATGTTGAAAAAACTAGGTATTCACAAAGGAGACCATTGGTAGAATGAACACCCAGTGCGCAGCCCTTTGTTCCTAGGTACAGACAGCAGACTCTTGCGATCTAACTTAAATAAAAAGTCGTTTATCAGAGGGTGTTAGGAAGCTCTAGTAGGGCCATAAAACTAGAATTCAATACTATAGAGCAAGAAAATAGAGTAGCCAGCGGAAATGCCCACTCACAACACAGAGCTCTTCTAAAGGAAACCTCACTCCTGCTGCTCTGTGCCACTCATCACGTGTGAAACAGGGGATGAACTTTAGAACCACCATGCTCATCACCATGGTTGCAAGGAGAGCTGCTCCTGACTTCTTCCAGATACTGCAGAGAAATATATACTGGGCAGAATGGAGGCCACAATCAAAATTAAAACTTTTACAAAGGATTCTAGAACATGTAGTCTTTAGCTGTTTTTAGCTTTCACAGGTTGGTTAGAAGTGCTTGGAAGAGGCATTGAGCCATATAATCTACAGTATTCATCATTCACCAAAATTTTTTCTTACAGTTGTATTAATAAGAACAATACATATGATGACAAACTTAATAAGAAGGAGGGAAATTATACTTGAATTGCATTTATCAGTGATCATTCCATTTCTCACACCCCATGTAGTAGAAAGCTTGCCGCATGCATACTGAGAATTAAACATGATGACCAAAAATAAAAATTAGTTGATAGATTCTACAAATCTTTTACTCTTGGTGATTCACTGAAGAGAACAGACTTTCAAACTTCTTTAACTATTGCTGTCCTTAATGCCGTGCTAATGTTTTCCTTATTTAACCTCACCTTAAATCCAAATTGCCTTTATTCTCTCAGGATTGTGAGTTTAAGACAGTATAGCCTTTCAGCATTATTAATGGTTGATTTATTGCAACGATGCAATTCTGTAAAACATCTACTCAAAGATAGCAAAGCAATAGCTTGTGTTTTAATCAGGAGATTTATCAATAAATGTATTAATATATTTTAAGATTGAATCAATGACAGCATTTTCCTCAAACAGAGAGAATTAATGCCAAATGTTAATACAACCCAGATGTACTGAGCAGCAAAGAGTTAAATTATTTTCTTTTGGAAGAAAAAAGTCATAACTTTGGTCTAAGGGTAAACACTGACATCAAAATATTCATTCACTCATCAACAATATTTTCAAGGGCTTGCAAATTCTAGATATTTGTTGGGTACTAAAAAATAAGATGGTTCCATTCCAAAGAAATTTTAAGTCTAGTGGACAAATTGACCCTTAAGCTATTAATTATGACACAGCATAATGAGTGTTAAGATAATACAAGGAAAGCCAGGCATGGTGGCATGTGCCTTTAGTCTCAGCTACTCGAATGGCTGAGGTTGAATGATCACTTGAGCCCAGGAGTTTGAGTCCAGCCTGGATAATATAATGAGACCTTGTCCCCTGTGCCCCCTCACCCCAAAAAATAAGGCGATTAACAAAATAAGATAGGACAGGAGTTGGAAAACTTTAGACCGCGGACCAAATCTGACCCAAGGCCCATTTTTTTTTATAACACTACAACTAAGGGTGATTCTTACACTGTTAAAGGCATTAAAAAGAAGAAGGAGGCGGATATGTAACAGAGGCACTATATGACCTACAAAGCTAATATTTAGTATCTGCTCTTTAGCAGAAAATATTTCTTGACCCCCAGAGAGACAAAGAGGCATCTCTGCAAGCAAGAAAGAGCAATAGAATCTCAATTGGTCCAGAAAACATTATCTTAACAATAGTAAATATACTGAAATGAGGGGTAAGTAACTTCTCCAGGAAGAAGGAACAACATGTGTAAAAGCCCTCAATGGCGATAGTGACACTAGAAGAACTAATAAAAGTCCAGGTTGGCAGAAACATGAACAAAAAGAGAAGAATTATTAAAATTAAAACTTTGAGATATAGGTATGGCCCAGATACAAATGTCCTTTCAAACTACATTAAAGATTTTGCATTTTACCTGAATAACAATGAGAGGACATAGACTATTTCTAAGTGGGTGAATAACAAGAAAAACTTTAAAACTGATTAGCATAGCTAACAATATATGAGAGAGTCAGAAACAGAGAGATTAGTAATAAATAGGGCTATAAAGTATGTGACAGAAAATTCTAGTACTAGGTAAGAAAATAAGCAAACAGACACATTATGGTAAAACTTCTTTAAGCCAAAGACAAGGAGAAAATATTGAAACCAGCAAGCAAAAGCCTTGTCACTTATAAGTGAATCCCAATAAAATTAACAGCTGTCTTCACATCAGAAACAATAGAAGCCAGAAGAAAGTGGGATTGCATTTTTAACTTACACAAAATAACCCAATTTCAGCTTCAAATCCTACACCCTGCAAAGCTGTCTTTCAAAAGTAAAGGAGAAATGAAGAAATTCTCAGTACAAGAAAACCTGGCAGTATTTGTTACTAGCATATACTCCCTCAAAGAAATACTAAAAAAAGTTCTTCAGGCTGCAAACAAGCATCCCCAGATAGTAATTTGAATCCACATGAAAAATCAAAAAGTACCACTAAAGGTAAATGTGTAATTGTAAAAGGTAGGAGAAATGCATATTTCTTATCCATTCTTCTCTTACTCATAAAGAGTGATTGTGTGAAATAATATGTGTATAATGTTGTTGGATCTATAACATATAGAAATATAATATATTTGCCAATAGCAGCATAAGAAAGCAGGTGGGAGAAAACTGATATTGAACTAAGGAAAGCATATCAGATGACAACTCAAGTCCACAGGAACAAATAAAAATGACTAGAAATGGTAAATATGATGTCTAATATAATGAACCCTATAAATATATATTTGATCTCTTTTTTCTTTGTTTTTGAGACATAACTTTATATAAAATAATAATGTATTGTTAAATTTGTAACATATGTAGATGCAATATGTATAATAATAATAACATATAAAGGAGGAAATGGAAATAGAGCTACATGAGTCACATTTAAAACTGGAATTAAGTTAGTAAAAATCTGAAGTAGATTCTGCTAAATTGAAATTTATATGGTAAGACCTAAAGCAACCATAAAAAGTAACAAATATGGTGAAAAATTATTAAAAGAATTAATATGCTACACTAGAAAATATTGTCCAAGACA
Source organism: Homo sapiens (assembly GCF_000001405.40). NCBI lineage: Eukaryota > Metazoa > Chordata > Mammalia > Primates > Hominidae > Homo > Homo sapiens. The sequence continues at coordinate 87,289,962 of NC_000008.11, read as the reverse complement.
AAAGAGACCAGTGAAGGATGAATGAAGGAATAAAAAGGCATCACCATCACAGGTACTTGAATCACTGGCACCTCGAGGTATCAAACCGGTTCTGGGATGCTCAAGAGTGTCTCATGGGACTAAGACTTTTGATTCCCTGAAGAGTAAATTGAACTGGAAGAGATTGATGTCAAAAAATTGAAGGGATGTAGAGCCTATGTATTTTGTGACTGAAACACTCCACATTTGGTTTGAGATAACTAGATATAATTTTGACTATTACTGTTATTATTATGATTTTCACATACTTTATCTTTCTGCACTAAATATGTTGCTGTAATTTTTTTAGTTTTTCCAATTAACATGTTTGCTATATCAAATCCTACCTGGAGAAAGATGGGGGCATACTGACATAAGCAAGAAAACAACAAAATATGCATAAATAGTTAAATGTTTGCCAAGTCAGTTTACCATTTTTTCTTATATCCATGATACACATGGGAACAGGTTGATTAGTGACCTAAGCTGGTTGTCGCTTTCAAGTTGGCCACATCTTGAAAGAATAACAACTGGGAAGACTTTAGCCGATGTGATATAAACTGGACACACCCAAATTATAAGCAACACTGTACATATTCATTATAATAAGGTTCCCTTGGCATATGAAGCAAAAGTAGGAAGATGTAAGAAGTTAACAAAGCAAATAGAGTCAGATACAAGCTTTACTTATTTCATTGATTGCCAAGGATTAATCCTAAACTCTATCAAGCTTTTGAATAATTAACTAAATCCCTCTGAAACCCTATCCACTGTACATTCTTAAAATAAGATCAAAACACACATAATTATGCTTGGAAATCATACTACTGCTAATTTTCAAACCAGATAATAAAAGTGTAATTTGAGCTACATTCTCTACATTCTCTGATAAAAATTCAAACTAAATCTTGACTAAACAGTCAGGAAGTATTATAATCCAATTCCTCTCTTTGATATATCAAGTTTGTCACTACCATAAAAGAAAATTAGATGAATTTGACAGGACTTATTCTTCACGTAGGTATATTTATTTATAAAAACTACAGTCTTTCAGAACTCATAGGGCTTTGATGATTATCAGATGAAATTGTCATTCTTCTCTAAGGAGGTTAAATATTTTCTAAAACTATGAAAGTACCACACATTTATATGTTTGGGAATAGGTGAGAAAACAATATTATTTTGACTTATTCAATAGACTCACAGATTGTCCAATGCTATCGGTAGTTTAACAAACACCACCGTTTATTTTTCAAGATATTTACAAAAAAGAACTTGAATTCAATATTAGTCTAGGAAACAGTATGTTAACTGTCTCAGTACCTTTTTAGCTCTTTGATGCAAAATTTTAGTACTTTTGATTGATATTTTAGATCAAGAGACAGATTATCATTAGTAATCAAACATATTAAAACACATAATCATTCTCCCCTTTCCAAATTTCAAATTCTTTTGGATCCCCTAATTTAAAATATCTTTATGATGGTCTCTTTCCTCTTTTCTAATCACCTCAAAAATATTAATATAATGATAGATGGGCAAAGATTGGATATTATATTTTTATTAAAAGCATGGAAGAGAGGCAAGGATCAAAATTTGATATTTCTGATAAAAAGTGGGAAACCTGTGACAAAACCATGACAAATCCAAAACAACCATAAAAAATAAAGCAACCATGAAAAATAGCAAATATGGTGAAAAATTATTATAAGAATTAATATGCTACGTTAGAAAAAATTGTCCAAAACAAAAGAGACCAGTGAAGGATGAATGAAGGAACAAAAAGGCATCATCATTACAGGTACTTGAATCACTGGGACCTGGAGGTATCAAACTGGTTCTGGGATGCTCATCTGTTTCTATGTAATAAACATGGGGAATTTAGAAATATTCAATTCCCGATTTTTTACAAGTCAGTTTACTACTTGCCTTCCATTTGTACTTTTGGTTAAAAAAATGCCATTTATAACTAATTAGGAAAAAAATGTCATAAACAAAAACATAATATTACAAATATTCAAATTTATGAGCAAAAATAGTTATTTGACTAAACATGGATTAAATGCTACATCTCAAAAACATGATAAATAAAATATAAATGCAAGCAGTAGAAGGAAATTTGGAAGAAATACGAGAAAGGTTTTAGATTCTCACCAAATTTAAGTGGTTTATTAGAGTATCCCTGCTTTTTAAAGCATAAACTTGCCTCTAATGATATTTACTTTTTTTCAGTAAAAGAACTCCTGGTATGCTGAACCTCGTTTTCCTGTGTTACAGTGTTTCCCTCAAAGGATACCTTAGCCAGATTTCATAACTAGTCTGCCATGTTTTTATTATTAAAATAGTAGCTGTCTAGAATTTACCAATCAGATTCATTCGTTTTAGAACTTTAATCTCAAACTTAAATTAAAAATGTCCCTCACTATAATTGTGGCTTTGCAGACTTGGGGTAGAAGTATTTCTTTCAAACACTTCCTCTTCCATTATAATCTAAGTTCTGGCTCCTTCACTGGCTGTGAGGAAAGAGAGTCGAGGTCGCCATCCTCTCTCTGTTATCTGTGGCTGTCTCTCATGTAGCAATTGTGTTTCCTTACCAAAAGAGACCTAAAGCTCTGGCCCATCCTACCACAGTTCCTCTTGGTTTAGCAACCCTTGTTAAATTGGCTTTCATAGATGGACAAATCATGCAAAATGACTCAATACCACCTACACTTTTTGTGTACACATAATCCAGGAAATCCGTGCATCCTTGCTATGCTGAATATTGAAAATGTAGGTGCTTCACTGCTGCTTTCTCTTATCTAGGCCTCACTCATTCTCCATAATTATTTTTTTCCATGGCTAATATATGTAGCACAAGTACAGATTAGCAAACTTGCTGCTTAAATAGTTATCCACCCAGGAAAAAGGAAAAGAAAAAAATGGTTTTTTTCCTTTTCTCCTGTGTGAGTGGCTATACCCTCTAGTATTTATCCTTTTCAGTTTGGCCCTTATAGTAACTGTCAGGGTGGAGCAAGTGCGGAACAGTTAAAGGGAGTAGAGAGAGATGTTAAAAGTAAGGTTAGTCCTGAGACCACACTTCAAGCCAGTACAGTATCATTTTTAATAAAAAGCAGGAAATAATCTAAATGTCCAATTCAAATGTTATTATCAAATAAATTAGAGAATATTTATATGAAGAAATATTGTATAAAATATTACAACTATGAAGAATTTCAATTCCAATAATATAACAGAATGCAAACAAAATGATCTAAATTGCATTAAACTTACCATGACCTGGAGGAAATTTTTTCCATTTAAGGAGTGCAATTAGCTCATATATGGATAAAGTAGGCCATTCCTCATAATAAGGACACATACGGATTAATTTCAACTTTTGCATATTTTCAAGTTTTATTTTTTCCTAAAACAGAATGTCATTATCAAATTTTTAATAACAGGCAATTTAAAATCAAAGAAATAGCAAATAGATAAATGGTGAGAGAAGTAAAATAAAGGCCATATGAATATAAGTTAGTATAGAATACATTTGAATTTTATCTGAGCATCACTCTATGGCCACATAGACATATTAAAATGTTAATCTTCAGATCTACTTACTAAAATTATATTTGCTCACCTTTCATAATTTATTATACTTCTATAAATGTTTTAGAAGTTTTTAAAAACCCTGTCATAGTCAAGATTAAACTAAAAAGTTGTGTTTGATAAAATCAAGTAACTGGTACTGATATTTGGGAAATAAAAACAAAACATAAAGAATTTTTTGTTAAAGCTAGCCACTCTGAAAATCAAAACAAATAAACATCAGGGATTTGGAATAACGTTGAATTCTGAGAGAATTACCTGCACTACTGACACTGGGACCACTAAATCACAAGAATTCCCCACCACTGGAGACCCAAGAAGATGGATGTCTTCTCAACACCACTCCACATGAGCACTGAACCATGGCTTATGCCAGCTTTCTGCAGGACCTGCACCTGGCTTAAGCTCATTCAAAAAAAGATGAAACAGCAGGATCATGGAAACCTTTGAATCCCATTATTTTTTATTTATTTATTTATTTTTGAGACGGAGTTTCACTCTTGTTGCCCAGGCTGGAGTGCAATGGTGCGATCTTTCCTCACCACAAACTCCACTTCCTGGGTTCAAGCAATTCTCCTGCCTCAGCCTCCCGAGTAGCTGGGATTACAGGCATGCACCACCATGTCCGGCTAATTTTGTATTTTCAGTAGAGACAGGGTTTCTCCATGTTGGTCAGGCTGGTCTCGAACTCTCGACCTCAGCTGATCTGCCTGCCTTGGTCTCCTAAAGTGCTGGGATTACAGGGATGTGCCACCAAGCCCGGCTAATTTTGTCTTTTTAGTAGAGAAGGGGTTTCTCCATGTTGGTCAGGCTGGCTCGAACTCCCCACCTCAGGTGATACACCCTCCTCGGCCTCCCAAAGTGCTGAGATTACAGGCATGAGCCACCGCCCCTAGCCTCAATCTCATTATTTATACAAACTTCTTCTGATATCCAAAGGAGGAAAAATAGGAGTCAAGAAAAAATTTGGATTTGATTAGAAGAGAATAAATTATTAAACTTTAAGTAAATGAAGTTATCTTAAAAACGCAGAATTAGGGAATCAGAATAAGTTGTTATCACTTATTCATGCAGCTCTGAGTTTGATATCTGTTGTAATTATGAAATATCATGGCAATCACATTCAAGTATTTTTCCTTTTAAAGTAGACTACAGAGACTGGGAAAGCAGCAGTACTATTATCTGTCTTATTATTCTAGTATTCTTAGCATATGACATGCTGCGGACATGCAAAACACATATTTGTTGAATGAATGAGTGAGTGAATGAATGAATAAATTAATGAGTTTAAAATTAATGAAAAGCCAAAGGGTATTTAAAAATTACCTGAAATATATTCATTGAGACCTTTGTTTACACCTCACCTACCTATCACCAGCACTCTTAAGTGATTTTTGTCAAATAACATTTTTATGGTCTCTAGGTTAAATTAAAATTTAAAAATAAAACAGATATAGCTGTCTTTGTCTAGAGAATCAAAATGTAGCTTGAGTTTATGCCCAATTTTTGTTTATATAAAATATTAGATATCATCTTACCTCCTTTATCTTTGCATATCCCTTTGCTGGGATTTTAAGAATTTCACAATCGTCTTCTGTCACCACCGAGAACATCTGTGTTTCCGATTCATTCTGAGGCATAACTTCCAGAGTCCCAAAGGTACTCCATTTGCTAAGCTGTAAAAATACCAGAGACAATTTAATGTTTATTACCACTCATCAACATGAAAATGCCAGTGAAGGATTGGATTGTAGGTCAAGCTTTCATTCTATGAAAGAGGGGGTTCTAAACTGTCTCTGCATGGATGGCTCCTACTACTTCTGCTCGATGTCACTTCCCAAGGCAAGAGAAATGGCCATTCTTTTTCACCGACATGAAGAAAATAACATAAAAAATCTTCTGTTTTATTCAGTGATTTAAAGTGCCTATTAGAGTGCTTGGAATATAGCAGCCATTCAATAAATAGTAGTTGAAAGAATGAAGAAATTTTGTACACTTATATATATGATCTTCTGTTTGTTTTATTATCACATGTTGGTAGTATTCAGTAATAACAAAAATGAATAAAATGTTAAACAGTATATAAACCATTAATATTTATGGATGATTGCTTAATTTAATATGTAAACAATAAATATTAGGCATGGAAAAATGTTACTACTAGAATACATGTCATGAGTTATTAGGTTATAATGATATTATATATAGTTGCACAGAGAACCTACATTTATATTTACTCAGGAAAAAGTGGAGGGCATGTGAAGGATAAGGAGCGTATTTTTATGAGAGGCTGAGGAGCTTCTTAGGGAAAACATCAGGTCGATATGCCTATCTAAGATGATATGGGAAAACTTCCATTTTTCTACTTCAAATCCATAGACTATTTTTCTTTTTAGCTAAATGCATAACTGAGCTCGAATCTGCAAGTCCAAATATATAGAGGAAATTTAAAATGTCAAACAGTCACAGCTGAGGCCAAAGTGAGCCACAGTCCTATCAAACCCAAATAAGGTCCTGAAGAACTGAGTTCTGAGGCTTGTTGTACATGTAGGAACAGGAGATGGGACTCAGAGCCATGCAAGGTGAGAGCCTGGAATTGTGCCTCCTTGCCTAAAGTCTAGGAACTTGGAGGATTGCCCCAGTTGTGAAGTGGGGACAGGAAGAACTACATCCAGTACTTTACGAAAGCCACATAGAAGCTGGCTATCTAGCCATGAAACTGGACAGAATTGTTAGAAAATCAAGAACCTAGGTCTGCAACTTGAATGAGTACAGAGCATACACTTATGCATAGTAGAAGACCCAAAGCTGAAAAATCAATAAAAAGCCTGGTACACAACTAGTAAAACTCCTAGGATCCAGGAAGGTATTATACAAACTTAACCTTATGTATAAATTCAGAGAGAAAGGAACTCCCACAGAAAGCAATCCTTGCTGATGACAAAATCTTAATAAAAAAAATTACAAGCCACACAAATGAATAAAACCCTATAAAGGGAAGTCCATGAAGAAGGAGAAAAAAATTGAACAACCTAAAAGAAACTACAAATATTTAAAATGTGTAGACTATAAAAATCAGAACATGACATGATGGAAGCAAAAAGAAGTATTTTGGAAAAGAACAAAATAAAACTTCTGTAAATAATGGTCACAATAATTTGTAGATTAAAGATAATTTTAAAAAGAATTCATTACATGGATAATATACAAGAAAATACTCTGGAATAAAATGTAGAAGAAATGGAAATAAGAAGGGGGTTGTAATAGCTACAGAAGATAGATGGAGACCATTTAGCATATATCTAACAGAAATTCTAGAAGAAACTGAAAAGAATGGGAAAACGGTGATACATAAGTGATAATGGCTGCAAGTTTTCCAGGGCTGAGGGAAGTGAGTTGTCCAAACCAAGCAACACACAAAACTGAAAGATGCATTTGCTTTTATATTCCTGCTCAGGATTTGGTATATTCTCCTAATCTTTCTCCTCTGCTAGATCTCCTATTTACGATCTCATTAGCTAGCAATAATTTCAAGCAGATATTGTCCATTTAATTTTTTCAATTTATCTATTGTTTTAGGGAGTTAGTTGGAATTACCTAATAAGCCATTATGAAAGCAAAAATCATCCATGACTTTGAATAATATTAAGGCTTTCTTTCTCAATTAATTAAAAAATATCATCAGACTCCCTAATATTAATAATTAGGAAATTATAAAACTTCCAATACGCCTTACACACCAATTATTTTAGTTGAATTATTTTTAAAAGTATTAATATTTATAATTTTCCATTTTGTTCTGTAAATATGGTTATCTTAAAAGTGCTCAGGAAAAATAACATTCAACCCAGAATTCTTTATTTACTTGAAATAGCAATTTAGAGTAAGAGTAAAGAAACAAGATAATAATTTTAGACATTATAAGAAACAAATGACTAAAAGATGAATTTCAGCTAGAACAATACTGAATCCAAAATGGAGGGCAAATAATTAGCTAAAAACATTGGTAAATGTAAATAGCATTATTGATATATAATAATTTTAGAATGACTAATATGGTACTCTTTTAAAATAAGAGAGATTTAAATTGCTTTCAAACACTCAGAACAGACAAGCAGAAAGTTAGAATTAAAATATTTGAGAATCTTTATATTCTTGGGCTAGGAAAGAAAAATATTGTATAGGTTTCCTTCAAATTACAAATTTAATTATATACAAGTTGAAAAAAAGTACAATGACAAAAAAATAAAGTGATGAAGTGAGGGATATTTCCTACAAAAATGGCAAATGTAAAGAATAATACCTCAAATATCTAATAAACATCTATAATTTGACTCAAAGAAAATAACCAAAACAGTTATTGAAAAATACCAAAAATATTTTTAGAAGAAAAATTATTTCCAGAAGAGATGAACCAAATGACTCACACACAAAAGAAACCTGCTCAATCTCAGTAGGAGACAGAAAATTGTAATTAATGTCATAATACCACATGGTTTTTATCCACCAGATTGAAAATATTAAAGTCCTCTAACCTATAGGATTAGGGAGATAACTTTCATTTATAACTCTGGAAACTGTAAAAACCTTTAAAAATGAGAAATTATCTGGCAATATCTATTAAAATAAACTAAAAAATGTATGCAGTGTCTTACCCAGAAACGCATCTCCTAAGAATCTACCTTGTAGAAATAAATACATTTTAAGGAATTCAACCAAGTCTAAGTTTTAATATACTGGTAAAAATTAGTTATATATATATATATATATATATATATATATATATATATATATATATATATATATATATATCTTAGCCTAGAAGAATTCTGATGAAAAAAACAAATAGTAGATAGTATATTAAAAATCGTTTTTTAAAAAATGAACAGTTAGAAAAACAGTAATCCATATGTGTATGTAGTTGTTTAAATGCCAGCGTCAATTCAGAGGAAGATGTGCAAGCATACATGTCAGGCTGATATGGTTCATATGTTCAGGGGATAGTGATGGAGCTAAACTGGCAGAATATTTATTAAAATTTCCTCCAACCTCCTTGTATTTGTTTCAATGGCCATAGAAAGTATGTATTACATTTGTAAATTTTAGACACTTATTAAAGAAATTTAAAATGTGACTTTGAAACAGAATGCTGAGTTATCTTCCATACATGTGTTGTTTTGATACCTTTAAAAATATACATAAAATATCTAAATGATATACAGCAGATGATTACAGTTGTTATATCCGAAAACTGCAGGTAATAATCATGGTCTACTTTATATTCTGTATTTTCTGAATTTTTAATAAATATAGCAGTTCTTAAATGAGACAACACTATAAAGCTATTTACTTTATAGCTCAGTCTCTCAATTTTTTTGAAAATATCATCTATTAAGGCTACATAGATAATCCTCTTCTGGTGGGGATAGTTGGTAGAGTTGCACAGATGGAACAGTTTCTCATACTTGTAAATTCTCATGTTATTTTACTGAAAAATAAATTGATAACTAAGTTTATTGAGAAATGATGTATTCTCATGCTTTTTTTCAACTTCTATAATAATACATAACCCGAACAATCTCCCTCTGAATAAGAATTGGTAAATCTATAAATCTTTCTTTTGAATAAAGTCATAATGTTGAGATTTGTTCTAAACTGCATTTTATAAAAATACAATTTCCTGAAAAACAGAAGTATTTCATAGGTATAATTTTTGTCCTTATTTTTTCCATTGCTTTTAGCCTCCAGGCATTTACACATTAAATAAGATCCATAAGTAAAATTAGAGCTACTATTTTTAAATAGTAGCTTGCTCTAAACTTTGCACAACATGTTTTTTCTTTTCTAAGGGGCTGATGAAATGGACCAACAAAAACACAAAGATCAGGCACTCATAATCTCGTCAATAGATGAACTTCTTGAACTTCTAATATATTATTCCATAGTTTGTGATTATTTGTACATCTATTTTTCTTGAATGAGTTTCTATTAGCTTTAATTATATTCTCAAAGTTGTCTAAGTCTCCAAAGAAGAGTAATAAGCACTGCTCCAGATTGAAAAAAATTATTTTTCTCCAAAGATTTAGACTCCAATGGCCTTTATAAAAAGTGCATTCTCAAAACCAAACCATGATAAGAAAAGATTAGAAAGACATTGCATTTTATAATATTTCACATGCTTCGGGAGAATGTGGGACTATACACTGATATCTGGAAGGTAAAGTTGGAACTAACTGAATGTGAGAATCTGATGGGGACCTAACGCATTCCATTGTCTGAGGGATGGGTCTGTATGCTTAAATAGAAATTTTCTGGATAAATTTATTCCAAACCTATATGCTGAATCAAAGAGGATCACCTTTTCAATTATAGAAAAAAAATATCTTTCAGGATAATATGAATATGCACTTTCTAAGTAAAACCTACAAATCAAATCAGTTTGTAAATGTAGCCAATAAATTTCTCTTTAAAAGTTGGCTAAGCATGGCTTCCTATTATGTCCCTCATACATATATAAATATATTATTTTTCAATCCTTGCCTTTCTGAGAAGTGGAAAAGGTAATATAAAGCATTTCCTTTTTATCTGTGGTTTCACTACACATATTTAGTTATATTTATACATATATATAAAAATATATAATCTCGATATAAAACATAAGCATATTTACTTGTATATTTTGAGGTAATAATTTTTACTGCATATACATTTCATACTCATTATGAAATATCTTTATTTTTAATGATGCTCTTGCAATAAAATCTACTTTGCCTACTATAGTACAGCTACTTTGGCCTTCTGGTTAGTATAATCTGGTTTATCTGTTATTTTACTTTGCAACTTTCTGTATCCTTCTAATAAGGTGGGTAATCATACAGGGTATTGCTTTAGGCAATATGACAATCTTTTTTAATGAAAGTATTTAGTCTGTTTACGTTTAATGTATATTTGCTTTTAAATCTGCCATCTTAATATTTGCTATTTTTCTATTTCTTTGTGTCATTTCCTACTTATTGCTAAATTTTGAGCTAATCAAATATTTTTCTATATTTTGTTCTCTTTTAACTTATATATTCTTTCATTATCATTTTGTTGATTAGTCTAGTTATTACCAATGCATCCTTGTCTTACTAAAGTGTACCCTAAATTACAGTGTCCCTCATTATGCATGGAAGATACATTCCAGACTGTTTTTGCATGCAGAAATTGCAGATAATACTGAATCCTATATGTGTTTTTTTCTTTACATATGTATCTATGATAAAGTTTACTTTATAAATTAGGCACAATAAAAGATTAACAAAAATAACTATTAATTAAATAGAAAAATTATAAATTTAGAAAAAAATTTAAACATAATAATGGAATTTTCAGACCAAAGTTGACCTCAGGTTACTGAAACTGGAAAGTGAAACCACAGATAAGAAGGAAGTGCTATATTACCTTTTCCACTTCTCAGAAAGGCAAGGATTGAAAAATTTTTTTACACTATTCTATTGCTGTTTTTGCTTCTTCTGATGTATTTTATTTCTATATACATGTAGGAACTTCACAAGGAATAATATTGATTTATACAGTCAGCTAATACTTAGATTTATCCACATATTCACCAAGAAGTTTCTTTGTTCTTCAGTTCTTTCTACTTTTCTGTACTTGAATTCTGGATAACTTTGTTTCTGCCAAAGTTTGTCTCCTTGTCATCCCTTTTACTGTAACTTTGCTTGCAATGAGATCTTTCTTTACTCTTTGTCTGAATACAACGTTATTTTGCCTTCATTCAAAAAGATGGTTTTACTGGTTATAAAAGTCTAGGTCAGAAGTTACTTTTTTTCCTGAATGCTTTAAAAATATATGTTATTGTTCTCTGGCATTCATTATTTGTTACGAGTTCATTAAAATTTACCTTGGAGTGTGTTTCTTTTTTGTCTACTTTGACTTTTAACTACCTTTGATTTACATTAGTTTAATTTTAATGTGTCTAGTTGTGGTTGTTTCACTTGTAATTCATACAGCAACTTAAATCTGTTATTAGATGTCTTTCCACAGTCAGAAAAAAATTTCAATCAGTACTGCTTCAGGCAGGACTAAATATTGTTTCTACTATATTTCTTATTTATCCTTGTGTTGGGCTTTTAATTGCATACTTATCAGAATTTTTCATTTCTCATATCTAAGTTATGTTCTTTTCTATCATTCATCTTTTTTCTTCTTCATATTTACTTATGACATGTTCTACTAATCAACTTTCCAGTTTAGTAACTCTCTTCTTCAGTGTCTAATCTGCTAATAACTACATCTATTGAGTTATTAATTTCATTTTACATTTTTAAGTTATGAAGCTTCCATTTTCTTATTTATTGTTCACAATTCTAGTTTCTTTCATTGTCAGATATGATCTTGGAAATATTATTATTATTGTGAACTAATAACTCCAATATCTAAATTACCTGTGTGTTTGTTTCTACTGATTTTTTATTGTTTATAAAAAATGTTGTCTTGTGTTTTGACATTCCTGATAACTTTTTAGTCAATGCTGGATGTTGTGTATGAAAACCATTGATTGTTCTAGCTATGTCATCTTTCTCTGAGGTACTTTATTTTTCTCACAGTCAATTAGTATAGGAGCAGACTAAATGGCCCCAACCAATAATTGAGGTATTTTGAGACTGGTTTTCAGTCTTTAGGACAGTGTTTTGGTTCTGGGTTTCAACTGATAGACTGACATATTTTTCAGGACCTCTTATACTTGACAGACCCAGGACTCCTAATTTCTGTCTATAAAATACATGAGACTGGCGAAAGTTCTACTTCTTAAATTTGTAGCTACATATTACTCAAATTCTGTGATGGTTCATTTTATGTGTCAATTTGACTGGATCACGGAGTGTCCAAATATTTGGTCAAACATTTTTCTGTGTGTTTCTCTGGAGATGTCTTTGGATGAGTTCTGATTTAAATTGGTAAAGATTAACATTTAGATACATAGACTGAGTAAATCAGATTGCCCTCCATACTGTGGGTGGGTCTTATCCAAAAAGTTAAAGGCCTGTATAGCATAAAAGGCTGACCTTCCCCTGAATAAGACAGAATTATCCTCCTTGACAGCTTGAGAACAGGTACATTAGCTCTTTCTGGCTCTATAGCAGTTTTCAGCCATCATACTGAAACTTGGACATCACCTCTGCAGATTTTGGACTTGCCAGCCTCCATAATTACCTGAGCTAATTCCTTATAATAAATCTATACATATACATATATGAATATGTGTATATATATATATATAAATGACCCATCATGATTCAGCACTTTCATAAATGTAAGAAGGAACTATTGAATAGTTAATTCAACCAGATGTGTATTTCAAAAAAAAAAAATAATTATTCAAGCTCCATTTTCTCTGGTTCCCTTTTCTCAGTATCTTGGCCCCTCAAGGCCTGACTGCCTGGTAGACTAAACTCAGATTCATGGTGCTCTGGCATTCTAAGGTTCCTGTAAGTTCTATTCACTATTTTCTGCTCATTTATTTATCCTTATGATGCTTGCAAGCTGTTGGATGTCTCTAAGGAAAAGCAGCAGGACATGTCTGGCTCGAAATAATGTATTTCCCTTCTTTCTTGAATTATAGCCACTCTAATCTTGGTTCCCTTGATTGCTCTTCAAAACCTTCAAACTGTTATTAATTTGGTGTTATTCAGCTTTTATAGTTGTTCTCAGCAAGGGGACTGGTCTGAGGCAAGCTACTTCACCATGGTATAAAGCAGACTGACATTCAATAGATTGAAGCAACTGAGCTTCTTTTAAACAAGACCTACTTCCGTTTCTCCATTTCTGTTGTTTGGACTGTTTTTTCTTGCTTGCCCTTATCAACGCATTATGAAGTGAGTAACAAAATTATTCAGAACAAGCAACCAGACCATGGCATCCAAGCCTTTTCTCATAAAGGTGGAGATTCTGGTAAAGTAAACCAAAAATTTCTACATAAATTATTGCTTGTAATAGGAAAAAATGTCCTCAAGAGCCTGAATCTCATTTTGATATTTTTTCCCTTAAATAAAATAAAAACTGAAAGAAGGATCAAGATGACAGCATCTTAATAAAAGGAAGGCATTGGTAACATCCAAGGAAAAATAATTTCTACATATAGATAGGAAGACATTAATTGTAGGTGATAAGCAAGCCAACTAATATCAATGTATTAGTAACAAAGACTCTCCAATGCCTATACTATATATACGTATTAGATAGTAATGAGAGTAATGAATTTACCATTGATTCCTACTGTGAGGGTTATATTTGTCATATGTGTGTATCATTTTTAAAATTTATTTGTCCTTCAGGTCCCTTGTAAGGTGGATTCCTAGGTTTTTTATTCTCTTTGAAGCAATTGTGAATGGGAGTTCACTCATGATTTGGCTCTCTGTCTGTTATTGGTGTATAAGAATACTTGTGATTTTTGTACATTGATTTTGTATCCTGAGACTTTGCTGAAGTTGCTTATCAGCTTAAGGAGATTTTGGGCTGAGACAATGGGGTTTTCTAGATATACAATCATGTCATCTGCAAACAGGGACAATTTGACTTCCTCTTTTCCTAATTGAATACCCTTTATTTCCTTCTCCTGCCTAATTGCCCTGGCCAGAATTTCCAACACTATGTTGAATAGGAGTGGTGAGAGAGGGCATCCCTGTCTTGTGCCAGTTTTCAAAGGGAATGCTTCCAGTTTTTGCCCATTCAGTATGATATTGGCTGTGGGTTTGTCACAGATAGCTCTTATTATTTTGAGATACGTCCCATCAATACCTAATTTATTGAGAGTTTTTAGCATGAAGTGTTGTTGAATTTTGTCAAAGGCCTTTTCTGCATCTATTGGACCTCCTCAAGGAGAACTACAAACCACTGCTCAATGAAATAAAAGCGGATACAAACAAATGGAAGAACATTCCATGCTCATGGGTAGGAAGAATCAATATCGTGAAAATGGCCATACTGCCCAAGGTAATTTATAGATTCAATGCTATCCCCATCAAGCCACCAATGACTTTCTTCACAGAATTGGAAAAAAACTACTTTAAAGTTCATATGGAACCAAAAAAGAGCCCGCATCACCAAGTGAATCCTAAGCCAAAAGAACAAAGCTGGAGGCATCACACTACCAGACTTCAAACTATACTACAAGGCTACGGTAACCAAAACAGCATGGTACTGGTACCAAAACAGACATACAGATCAATGGAACAGAACACAGCCCTCAGAAATAACGCCGCATATCTACAGCTATCTGATCTTTGACAAACCTGAGAAAAACAAGCAATGGGGAAAGGATTCCCTATTTAATAAATGGTGCTGGGAAAACTGGCTAGCCATATGTAGAAAGCTGAAACTGGATCCCTTCCTTACACCTTATACAAAAATCAATTCAAGATGGATTAAAGACTTAAACGTTACACCTAAAACCATAAAAACCCTAGAAGAAAACCTAGGCTAAAATTACCATTCAGGACATAGGCATGGGCAAGGACTTCATGTCTAAAATATCAAAAGCAATGGCAACAAAAGCCAAAATTGACAAATGGGATCTAATTAAACTAAAGAGCTTCTGCACAGCAAAAGAAACTACCATCAGAGTGAACAGGCAACCTACAGAATGGGAGAAAATTTTCACAACCTACTCATCTGACAAAGGGCTAATATCCAGAAACTACAATGAACTCAAACAAATTTACAAGAAAAAAACAAACAACCCCATCAAAAAGTGGGCGAAGGACATGAACAGACACTTCTCAAAAGAAGACATTTATGTA
The DNA here is from genome assembly GCF_000001405.40 of Homo sapiens. Classification (NCBI taxonomy): domain Eukaryota; kingdom Metazoa; phylum Chordata; class Mammalia; order Primates; family Hominidae; genus Homo; species Homo sapiens. The sequence continues at coordinate 87,274,552 of NC_000008.11, read as the reverse complement.
GCCAAAAAACAAGAAAAAATGCTCACCATCACTGGCCATCAGAGAAATGCAAATCAAAACCACAATGAGATATCATCTCACACCAGTTAGAATGGCGATCATTAAAAAGTCAGGAAACAACAGGTGCTGGAGAGGATGTGGAGAAATAGGCACACTTTTACACTGTTGGTGGGACTGTAAACTAGTTCAACCACTGTGGAAGTCAGTGTGGCGATTCCTCAGGGATCTAGAACTAGAAATACCATTTGACCCAGCCATCCCATTACTGGGTATATACCCAAAGGACTATAAATCATGCTGCTATAAAGACACATGCACACGTATGTTTATTGCGGCACCATTCACGATAGCAAAGACTTGGAACCAACCCAAATGTCCAACAATGATAGACTGGATTAAGAAAATGTGGCACATATACACTATGGAATACTATGCAGCCATAAAAAATGATGAGCTCATGTCTTTTGTAGGGACATGGATGAAATTGGAAATCATCATTCTCAGTAAACTATCGCAAGAACAAAAAACCAAACACCGCATATTCTCACTCATAGGTGGGAATTGAACAATGAGAACACATGGACACAGGAAGGGGAACATCACTCTGGGGACTGTTGTGGGGTGGGGGGAGGGGTGAGGGATAGCATTGGGAGATATACCTAATGCTAGATGACGAGTTAGTGGGTGCAGCACACCAGCATGGCACATGAATACATATGTAACTAACCTGCACATTGTGCACATGTACCCTAAAACTTAAAGTATAATAATTTAAAAAAAAACTTATTTGTCAATTAAATTATTTCAAAAATCTTTTAAAGAGCTATACACTTACTACTTTATAAAAAGATAAGAGTGCAAGAAAAGGAGTGGATCAGCAAAGAATAACGATATTCATGATAAAGTAACTGGAGAACTTAGAGAAAACAAGTTACTGGGATAAGTGTCACATTACTCACAACATAAAGTCTCCTGAACAGCTCAGGCTGCATCCTATTAGTCCAAGAGCACAGTTTGGCTGATAACCATGAATTGAATCTCAAGTGGATCTCAAGTACTCCTATTTGCATTGGTTTGTTGTTATTTTGAATTTGTTTCAGAGAAACAAAACCTTCAGCATTGACTGGAACAACAGTCTCCCTTTTCTGTTCAGGTAGATTTGGGCTTCTTACTTAATCGTAAAGAGGCAGAACGTTTCTTCTTCCTATGTGCCCAGTTAGTTATTAACTAAATTCCAACAGTCACCCATCATGATTCAGCATTTTCATGAATTTCAGTAGGAATTATTGAATATTTAATTCAACCAGATATATATTTTAAAAATTAAACCAATTAATAAAATAATTTGAGCTATATTTCATAATTTTCTAAACATTATTGGTTCTCTGTATTGCCGTTACTGTACTACTGTTATATAATCACTACTACAGTACTACTATTATTTGAAATTTTAAAATTTTCCTATTATTAGGGGAAATTGATCTGTCTGATATATAAGGGTAACATCATTCAGTCACTGGAAATAATTATTTCAGCATATCATTTGGTAGAATTGCCCCTCCATACTTGGATGTTACACTGTAAAAAATATAACTATAAGCATATTAACAATTTTTGGAAGAGCGAGCATGAAGAACTAAAAATATTTCTGTGTTATAATGTGAAATTTAGTGTTAATTAAAGAAGTTGTTAGTGACTAATTTAAATAATCATAAATTTTTTAAAGTTAGCACATAAGGTTTATTAAAAACTTAATGGAGTGTACATTTAAATGCATACTTTATATGTATTCATACACAACTGCTCACCACATGTTCACTAGCTATTGAAGTTATAAAACCCTTTGGCTTAATGGATTACCATCATTCATTTGTTATATGCTTTATCCATGTATAAATTGACTGCTCTGATATGATCTGAATTTTGTATAAAAGATGATACATTTTGGGAGCTTAATATCACAGACTTTTTCTTGTCATAAACTAGAAACATTGCTCCTGTCTTATTCAAAGGAAAACATTTCTCCCACATAACACTAAATTCAATTGCTCACATTTTCATTTACTCTGAATTTAATATAGTCTTATAAAGAAGATTCAGTTGAATAAGCTGAGATATAAATTGAAATAACTGTGTCAGCCTAAATTCAATGTGAAAATAATTTAAAATTTTTCAATGTGGCATTTATTTATTGATACATATTAGATGCACATATTTTTTAGATACATGTGATGATTTCATACATTTATATAATCAAATCAGAGTAACTGGGATGTCCATCACTTTAAATATTTATTTTTTATCTAGGATCATTCTAATTATTCCCCGCTAACTATTTTGAAATGTGCAATCTATTAATGTTAACTATAATCATCCTACTGATCAAACACCAGGTCTTATTTATTCTAAGTGTGTATTTGTACCCATTAATCAACCTCTCTTCACCACACATCACCCCCACCCTTCTTGGCCTCTGATAACCACCAGCCTACATTTTATCTTTATGAGATTCACTCTTTCAGCTCCCACATGTGATACCTGTCTTTCTGTGCTTGGATTACTTTACGTTACACAATCACCTCCATTTCCAACCACATTGTTGCAGTTGACATGATTTTATTTTTTTATGGCTGATTAACATTCCATTGTGTATATATACCACATTTTCTTTATTCATTCATCCATTGATGGACACTTAGGTTGCTTCTGTATCTGGGCTACTGTGAATAGTGCTGCAATAAGCATAGGAGTGTGGATATCCCTTTGATATACTAATTTATTTTCTTTTAGGTAAATACCCAACAGTAGAATTGCGGGAGCATATGTTAGTTTTATTTCTAGTTATCTGAGGAACCTCTATACTGTTTTCCATAGTGGCTATACTAATTTACATTCTCATCAACAGTGTACAAGGGTTTTTCTTTCTCCACATCCTCAACAGCGTCTGTTATTCTCTGAATTTTTTTTATAAAAGCCATTCTAACAAGAGGAACCTCGAAAATTACACAAACCCACAGAAGTTAAACAACATTCTCCTGAATGACCAATAGGTCAATGAATAACTTAAGAAGAAAATTTAAAAATTCCTTGAAACAAATGAAAATTGACATGCAACATATTAACATCTGTGGGATACAGAAAAAGCAGTATTAAGAGATAAGTTCATAGAAGTAAATACCTGTTTCAAAAAGTTGAAAAACTTCAAATAAAGAACATAATGATGCACATGGAGGAACTAGAAAAGCAAGCAAGAAAGGAAATAACAAAGATCAGAGTAGAAATAAATGAAATTGAGACTGAAAAAAAATATATACAAGATCAACAAAGTGAAATGGTGGTTTTTTGAAAAGATAAACAAAGTAGAGAAACCTTCAGCTGGATTAATTTAAAAACAAGAGAGAAGACCAAAATTAAATAAGAAATGAAAAAGGAGACATAACAACTGAGATCACAGAGATACAGAGAATCATTAGAGAGAATTACAAACAACTATACAACGACAAATTCAGAAACCTAGAAAAAAATGGATAAATTCCTGGACACATATAACCTACCAAGATAGAACCATGAAGAAATAGAAAATCTCAACAAACAAATAATGAGTAACAAAATCAAAGCCATAATAAAAAGTCCTCCATCAAACAAAAGCCCAGGACATTACAGCTTCACTGCTGTATTCTAACAAAAATTTAAGGAACTAACTAATATAAACTCTTATGAAATCCTTCCAAAAAGAATGAAGAATAAGAAGAAGAAAAAGAAAAGGGAATACTTACAAACTCATTCTATAAGGTCAGCATTACCCACACAGCAAAACAAGACTAGGACACAGCCAAAAAAATAAATAAATAAATTTTTTTAAAAATAAAGAAACTACAGGCCAATATTCCTGATGAACATTAATGCAAATAGGATGATTTATATTTATTTGGTTATATACCCAGTAATGGGATTGCTGGGTTGAATGGTAGTTCAGTTTTTAGCTCTTTGAGGAATCACCACACTGCTTTCCACAATGGTTGAACTAATTTACACTCCCAACCAAAAATGTATAAGTGTTCCATTTTTCTCACAATCTTGCCAGAATCTGTTATTTGTTGACTTTTAATAATAGCTATTCTGACTGGCGTGAGATGGTATCTCATTGTGGTTTTGATCTGCATTTCTCTAATGATTAGTAATGTTGAGTTTTTTTTCATATGCTTGTTGGCCACATATATGTCTTCTTTTGAAAAGTGTCTGTTTATGTCCTTTGCCTACTTTTTAATGAGGTTGTTTGTTTTTCCTTGTAAATTTGTTTAAATTCCTCATAAATGCTTCTTGAAGGTTTTTCACATGAAGAAATGTTGAATTTTATCAAAAGCTTTCTCTGCATCTATTGAGATGATCATGTGGTTTTTATTATTAATTCTATTTATGTGGCAAATCACATTTATTGATTTGTGTATGTTGAGATAGTCTTGTACCCCAGGAATAAAAGCCTAGTTGATTGTGGTGAATTAACTTTTATATGTGCTGCTGGATTCAATTTGCTAGTATTTTTGTTGAGGATCTTTGTATCTATTTCATCAGAAATATTGGCCTGAAGTTTTCTTTATTCATTATAGCTCTGCCAGGATTTGGCATCAAAATGATGCTGGCTTCATACAATCAGGAAGTTCCTCCTCCTTGATTTTGTGGAATAATTTCACTAGGAATGGTACTAGCTCTACTTTATATGTCTGGTAGAATTCAATTATGAATCCATCTGGTCCAGGACTATTTTTGGTTAGTAGGTTTTTTATTGCTGATTCAATTTTGGAACTGGTTATTGGTCTGTTCAGGATTTCAGTTTCTTCCAGTTCAGTCTGGGGAAAGCAATTCCATTTACAATAGCCACAAAGGAGTAAAACACATAGGAATGCAGCTTATGAAGGGGGTAAAAGATCTTCACAATGAGAATTACAAAATACTGCTGAAAGAAATCATAGATGACACAAACAAATGGAAAAATATTCCATGCTCGTGGATAGCAAGAATAAATATTGTTAAAATGGCCATACGGCCCAAAGCAATTATAGTCAATGCTATTCCTATGAAACTACCAACATCATTTTTTCACAGAATTAGAAAAAACAATTACAAAATTCATATGGAACCAAAAAATAGCTTGAATTGCCAAACAAATTTTAAGCAAAAAGAACGAAGCTGGAGGCATCACATTATCTAACTTCAAAATATACTATAAGGCTATAGTAACCAAAACAGCATAGTACTAGTACAAAAGAAGATACATAGACCAATGGAACAGGATAGAAAATGCAGAAATAAAGCCATATACCTACAGCCACCATCCTTAACAGAGTTGACAATAACAAACTATAGGGAAAGGACTGCCTATTCAGTAAATGGTGCTGGGATAACTGACTAGTCATATGAAGAAAATGGAAACTGGACCCATTTCTTTTACAATATACAAAAATTAACTCAAGGTGGATTAAAGACTTAAATGTAAAACCTAAAACAATACAAACCCTAGAGGACAACCTAGAAAATATCATTCTGGATATCAGCCATGGCAAATAATTTATAACTAAGTCCCCAAAGGTAATTGCAACAAAAACAAAACTTGACAAGTAGGACCTAATTAAGCTAAAGAGCTTCTACACAACAAAAGAAACTATAAACGGAGTAAACTGACAACATACAGAATGTGAGAAAATATTCATAAGCTATGCATATGACAAAGATCTAATATCCAGAACCTATATGCAACTTAAATAATTCAACATGCAAAAACCCCATTAAAAATGGGCAAAGGACATGAACAGACACTTCTCAAAAGAAGACATACATGTGACCAGTGAATATATTTTAAAATGCTCATTACTAATTATTAGAGAAATGCAAATAAAAATCACAATGAAATACCATCTCACACCAGTCAAAATGGCTATTATTAAAAAGTCATAAAACAACAGATGTTGGTGAGGTTACATTCCCACAATGCTGGTGGGAATGTAAATTAGCCACTGTGGTGAGCAGTGTAGGGATTCCTCAATGAACTTAAAACAGAACCACTATTCAACCCAACCATCCCACTACTGGGTATATACCCAAAGGAAAATAAATTATTCTACCAAAAAGACACATGTACTCATATGTTAATCACAGTACTATTCATAATAGCAAAGACATGGAATCAACCAAGATGCCCATCATGGTGGACTGGATAAAGAAAATGTGGTACATATACACCATGAACTAACACAAAACCATACAAAAGAACAAAATCATGTCCTTTGCAGCAACATGAATGGATCTGTAGGCCATTATCTAAGTAAATTAATGAAGAAACAGAAAACCAAATACTTTATGTTCTTCCTCATAAGTGGGAGCTAAACATTGAATACACATGGACACAAATATGGGACTGATAGACCCTGGGGACTGCTTGAGTGGGTAGGAGGAGGGTGTGGGTTGGAAGGCTACCTGTTGTGTACTGTGCTCACTACCTGGGTGATGGGACCATTCATACACCAAGACTCAGCAACACGCAATTTGCCTGTGTTAAACCTACATGTGTATCGCCAGACCCTAAAACATATAAGCAAACAGAATACTACTAAACAAAAATACTAGCAGACTAAATTAAACAATTTTTGTGTATAGTTAAAATAAACACTTTGAATTTTATTTTTGCTCCATATTCATTAAAGAGATTAAGTTTCTTAACTATATGCTCTACTTTTATAATCATATATCCATTGAAAAATAATGATAAAATGAATTACTTTGGGCCCACTATCTGGATAAAGAAACCAAATTTCTCCCATTTAGATAAAGGTAGCATATGCAACCATGTTAATGTTTAATGTAGTCCATTCATTTTCCATTGTTGTATGCTATACTCAAATTACTTATTCATTCTTTTGTTGATGAACATTTATATTTTTATCAGCATTTAGCTATGAAGCAATTGTGATAGAAGCATTCTTGTACATGTTACCTCATTTGATATATAATAGTATCTCTAAAATATATGACTATGGATACGATTTCTTTGTTATAAGCCATGTTAGCACTAGAGCATCTAATACCAACCCGTTTTCCAAAACACAAATTCTTATATTCATATCAGCAGTAGGAACACCTCCAATGTTTATTTCTTCACAATTTCTCCATCATTATATATTGTCTAATTTTTTTTCATTTGCCAATTTGGTGTAAGAAATAATATTCACTGTACATTTTTGTTATTTACTGAGATTTATTTTTAAATGTACAAATTATTTATGGTACATTTCCTTGATTGCTAAAGTGGTTGAACATACTTGTACTTGCCAATTTATTTCATAGTTTCTGTTCTGTAATAGACCAATTTATATATTTTGTAATTTTCATTATATTGTCCTTTTTGATTTGTTGATCACTATACATTCCAGGTATTAATCCTTTGCCATTTGTGTATGATGCAGATATCTTCACTCAGTGTGTGCCTTGTCTTTTCATTTACTTAGAATATCTCTGGATGAACAAATGGCTGCTGATTTTAAACAGGTATCAATATAGTTTCCTTCTGTAAGTCTGTTACTTAAGGTGTTTTCTGTTATGATACCATGAAGAAAAGAGCACCTAAAATATTCGAAGTCTTTCCTTTCATCATTAGGCATGTGATGCCTAAATTAAGTTTTATGAATGGTGTAAAGTAGGCATGCAGTTTTATCTTTTCTGTCTGTATAACCAACTGCCCTTACCCAAATGAATGAACCCACATTACTCACTGCTCTTCATGTCACTGTTCTACATCGAGTTCTTTTGTGGCTGGGTGCAGTAGCTCAAGCCTGTAATCCCAGCACTTTGGGAGACCGAGGTAGGCAGATCACCTGAGGTCGGAAGTTCAAGACTAGCCTGACCAACATGGAGAGAAACCCCTTCTCTACTAAAAATACAAAATTAGCCGGGGTGGTGGCACACGCCTGTAATCCCAGCTACTTGGGAGGCTGAAGCAGGAGAATCCATTGAACCTGGGAGGCGGAGGTTGCAGTGAGCCGACATAGTGCCATTGCACTGCAGCCTGGGCAGCAAGAGCAAAACTCTGTCTCAAAAAAAAAAAAAAAAAAAAAAAAAAAAAAGATTTTTTTTTTTTTTTACTTGGACCTCATTTTTGGAATTGCTTACATATCAGTGTGCTTACCTATCAGTCGCTAGTGCCCAGTATTAATTATTATAGCTTTATTTTGTGTTTTTATACCTAATAGGAAAAGCTCCTCTTTCCCAAGTATCTTCTTTAGGGATATCTAGTGTATTCTTAGCCTTTTGCTCTTTGGTATAGTTTTTAAAATTACCTTTTCAAGTTCCACAAGGAACCTGTTTGGATTTTTTTTTCCAATGGAATTGCATGAAATGTATAAATCATTAGGGGACACTTATCTTTAAGATATTGAATGTTTCTGTTCATGAATGTAATTTAGCTATATTGAACCCTTCTGTGATATCTTTCAAAGAAAATGTATAATGTTCTTCCAAAAGTACTGGCTTACAGTGTACTATATTTTTCTTAAGTGCTCAATCTTTTGTATAGCTACTTAAATAGAATCTTTTAATTAATGATATTATCCAACTGATTATTACCTAAGTTTCTGGGAATTTTTTGTTTTATTGCCAAATCAACAATGTGTTTACAAGAATGTTTTCTAATATTTTACTCATTTCTTCAGTAGTTTCCATTTAGAGAGGTGATTAGCAAACTTCTTCTGTAATAGACAATATAGTACATATTTTCAGTTTTGCAGACCATATAGTTTCTGTCACAATTATTCTACTCTGCTGTTTTAGCAGAAAGCAGTCATAAATGATATATAGTGAATGGATGTGGCTGTGTTCCATAAAAACTTTATTAAGAAAAAGAGACTGCAGCCTAGATTTAGCTCAAAGATTGAAACTGCCATCCTCAAATCTAGAGTTTCATTCATTTGATCAAGTCCCCAGATAATTCCTATTATTTACTTTAATTTTTTAAAAACTATAAAATTATTATCCCATTATCTTATGTGAAAAATACTTTTTAACATTTAAGCAAAAAACAGCCCATATTGCCAAGTCAATCCTAAGCCAAAAGAACAAAGCTGGAGGCATCACGCTATCTGACTTCAAACTACACTACAAGGCTACAGTAACCAAAACAGCATGGTACTGGTACCAAAACAGAGATATAGACCAGTGGGACAGAACAGAGCCCTCAGAAATAACGCCACATATCTACAACTATCTGATCTTTGACAAACCTGAGAAAAACAAGCAATGGGGAAAGGATTCCCTATTTAATAAATGGTGCTGGGAAAACTGGCTAGCCATATGTAGAAAGCTGAAACTGGATCCCTTCCTTACACCTTATACAAAAATTAATTCAAGACGGATTAAAGACTCACATGTTAGACCTAAAACCATAAAAACCCTAGAAGAAAACCTAGGCAATACCATTCAGGACATAGGCATGGGCAAGGACTTCATGACTAAGATACCAAAAGCAATGGCAACAAAAGCCAAAATTGACAAAGGGGATCTAATTAAGCTAAAGAGCTTCTGCACAGCAAAAGAAACTACCATCAGAGTGAACAGGCAACCTACAAAATGGGAGAAAATTTTTGCAATCTACTCATCTGACAAAGGGCTAATATCCGAAATCTACAAAGAACTTAAACAAATTTACAAGAAAAAAACAAACAACCCCATCAACAAGTGGGCGAAGGATATGAACAGACACTTCTCAAAAGAAGACATTTATGCAGCTGACAGACACAGGAAAAAAATGCTCATCATCACTAGTCATCAGAGGAATGAAAATCAAAACCACAATGAGATATCATCTCACACCAGTTAGAATGGCGATCACTAAAAAGTCAGGAAACAACAGGTGCTGGAGAGGATGTGGAGAAATAGGAACGCTTTTACACTGTTGGTGGGACTGTAAACTAGTTCAACCATTGTGGAAGACAGTGTGGTGATTCCTCAGGCATCTAGAACTAGAAATACTATTTGACCCAGCCATCCCATTACTGGGTATATACCCAAAGGATTATAAATCATGCTACTATAAAGACACACGCACATGTATGTTTATTGTGGCACTATTCACAATAGCAAAGACTTGGAACAAACCCAAATGTCCAACAATGATAGACTGGATTAAGAAAATGTGGCACATATACACCATGGAATACTATGCAGCCATAAAAAATGATGAGTTCATGTCCTTTGTAGGGACATGGATGAAGCTGGAAACCATCGTTCTCAGCAAACTATCGCAAGGACAAAAAAACCAAACACCACATGTTCTCACTCATAGGTGGGAATTGAACAAAGAGAACACATGGACACAGGAAGGGGAACATCACACTCCGGGGCCTGTTGTGGGGTGGGGGGAGAGGGGAGGGATAGCATTAAGAGATATACCTAATGTTAAATGACGAGTTAATGGGTGCAGCACACCAACATGGCACATGTATACATATGTAACAAACCTGCACGTTGTGCACATGTACCCTAAAACTTAAAGTATAATAAAAAAATAAAATAAAATACTTTTTAATACTCAACATAAAGTAACAGTGATATTTTATGTAATATATGGTATAAAAGAGTATAATAAGATTTGATATTTGTGAACTGTAAAGTACCTTAAAAATTATAGTATTAGATTTTTAAAAATTGATTAATTTCCTCTTAGTATATCTTCTCTGTTGCCTGCTAATGTTTTACATTTAATTTTCTTTGGCCTTGGAAATTCCATTTCCAGGCTTGTTATATTTATATGTTGAGTATAAGTAAAATATGTTATCCATTAAGCTCTTTTAGGAGTAAAGTACCAAAGGTTAGGAATTTTGTTTGCCTTGGTAAAATTTCATGGTCCTGCTCTAAATAATTTTTGGTTTATTTTCTACTAATAATAGAAGAATAACAGAACTGTGTTCGTTGGATGTCATACTATTCTATGTGAATATAATGTAAACGCTTTGAAAAAAACAATTACTTACCTAATTTTACTGAAAACAATTTTGTTTGTGACTGTGTGTATTTATTTACATGTTGGCTGAGTAACATCTTAGTCACCTCTTTAAGGAACCAAAGCCAGCCAGCATGTCCTGATTTTGAATAATGTATTCAACTAGCTATACATGTTGCCCAATTCAAATTATGCATACCAAGTTCTAAAGGTGGGCAAAAACAATTCATTTAAAAATTATCTGAAAAAAAGCTTAAAAATAGAAAAAAGTTTCAACTGCTAGTATTATTATATACAAATATGCATGGTTTTCACACAAATGACAAGCTTATAAGGAGAAATAAATTGTAGTCATCATAGTTGACAAGGACACTAAAGTAAATATAAACATTATTTTTAATTGGAAGAATGATCATCAAGGTTGAAACCACTATATATAATACCATCACAATTTTGATCATTCTTTCCAGGTGACATCTTACAAGGAACACATATAAAAGGAGCTCCACTAACCCTAGGAAGTCTCTCCTCAGCTCTCTAATCTGGGTCTGCTGCTCCAACTTCTTGCGCCCACAATGAACTTTGCTTACTTTAGTCACTCTATTCATAGCATTAAACTGAAGCTATCAGATGCATTTCTACCCATTCCCACTCCATCATCATTATCTCCAATACAGAAACTATTTTGTATTAATTGCCAAATGAACACATAGTAGATGTTAAAACTGTCTATAAAAGTGAATTGATCATAAGGAAGATACCAGAATACAATCACTTAACAGAACAGATAAGGATCTTTTAAAGTGTTTATATTTTTTGGATGCCTAAGCGGTAAATTTTCATAATAATTTATCTCAAGTAGCAGAACCAAGCTAAAAGTTTATAATTCCTGCCTTAGACTAGGAATTCTTCAAAGCAGGCATATTAGTCAAGGTTCTCCAGAAAAACAGAACCAGGAGCACTGATGTCTGAAGGGCAGGAGATATATGTCTTAGCTCAAACAGAGAGAGCAAATTTACCTTTTCTCTGCCTTTTTGTTTTATTCAGATTATCAGTAGATTGGATGTTGGCTGCCCACATTGGTGAAGGTGATCTTCTTTACTCAGTCTATTTATTTAAATGCTAATCTCTTCTGAAATAACCCTTACAGACACACCTAGAAAAAACAATTCACCAGCTAACTCTGCATCTCTTAGTTCAGTCAAGTTGACACATAAAATTAAACATCACATCAGAAAAGAAAAAGAAACCTGTAATTAGAAAGTAATTCTATCAAAGGAGGAAAGCTTATCCTGAAACTTAATCTTATGTTTTTAACATTCTGCTTCTAGTTTTTATATTTCGACATCTAATAAAAACATAATGTTCAACAATTATTTATATTGTGTTTTTTGTTTTGTTTTGTTTGTGTGTTTTAGACAGGGTCTCAGTCTGTCACCCAGGCTGGAATGCAGTGGCATGATCCAGGCTCACTGCAGCCCCAACTTCCTGGGTTCAAGTGATCCTCCTTCCTCAGCCCTCAAAGTAGCTGGGACTACAGGCATGCACCACCACGTCAGGCTAATTTTTGTATTTTTTTTTTTTTTGTAAAGACAGAGTTTTGCCATGTTGGCCAGACTAGTCTTGAACTCCTGAGCTCAAGCAATCTCCCTGCCTCAGCCTCCCGAAGTGCCGGGATTATAGGTGTGAGCCACTGCACCTGGCCTATGTTGCATTTTAATAAGGAACTTACTAGAAACGGTTAAAGCAAACTAAATATGACCTGAGAAGGACTCTGTACTACTATATTTGAGTCCCTGTGGATGAATTGTAACCTAGCTTAATAGTCAGACAAGACTGAAAACCTAACTTAGAAGTAGGCACCTGTAACAATAACGGAGTCTTGGCCAATCCCAATGGCCATAATTTAACCACCCATTGACTGCTAAGTGTTCAAATTCTGTTCAAATAAGGCAAATGCCAACCCGTAACCAATCCAGTTGTTTCTGTACCTCACTGCCGATTTATGTATGTCATTTCTCTTTTTTTTTTTTTTTTTTGTCTATAAATAAAACTTCTTCCACCATGTGGCTGGGCTGGAGTCTCTGTGAATCCACTGTGATTCTGGGGCTGCTTGATTCATGAATGGTTCATTGCTCAATTAAACTCCATTAAATTTAATTCAGCTGAAGTTTTTCTTCTAACAGATGGTGTCAGAAGTGGGATCCAAAGTAAAGCTTCTAGCAACCCCCAGGAGCACTGAACCCGCAAGGTACCTGCAGGACCCATTTGTGTCCATTGATCTCTCAGAGCAGCTGGGGATCGTGGGTAAGCTCCCTTTCAGATTTTGGAGCTCCACAGATTTGTGTTTTGAGCTCTCTGAGTTTCTTTGAGCACATTTCTCATCCAAACTGGGTTTGCAAGTCATGATAGAAACTGGACTGGGTCCGGGAACAAATTGTATTTGGGAATTAACTGTCTTGAATTTAGTTAGAGGTCTCTTACCTCTGACTGGGTCAGAAAGGGACTGGTAGGAAGCAGTAGTATTGCAGGGGTTATAAAATTTGGCTTTAAAAAATTCACAGGGATTTTTGTGTTCTATCCCTTTGTGTCATTTTTCTTGCATGCTTAGGTAGGAAAAATCATTGACTAAGTTAATGAAGAGAACCTGAGAGTAAAGCCAATATTTTAGATAAAAAATGGGATCCTCAATTTTTGGAAAACTGAGTTCCTTCTGGCTTATACATTAGGCCTAGGAGGCAGTAAAGTCTTACAGAAATGACAAAATCTTACTAAAGATAACTTATAGTAGAACATTCCAAATGAACAACAACACAGTGAAAAAAAAAGAAAAAGATTTTCTTCTGTGTTGTGGGTTGGCCTCCATGGCTATGGTATGGTGAGCTGGGTCACTAGGGCCGCTCAAGGAAAGAAAACCCAGAAACCTGGCATCCTGGCAAAAGGGTAAGAGTTTCTTACCAGTCAGATTTCTGGCTTTTCTCTCCCTGTGCAAAAACAGTGGAATGAATGGTAAAAATCACTTTATCTCCCCTGTAAAGTTTTGATTAATGCAAAAAAGAATTCTGAGGCTAGTCTTAAGCTGTAATAAATCTGGTGCATTTTGTGCTATGAATTTGTTTTTCTGTGTCCAGGAGTACCTTAGGAAAAAATACGGGCTTAGGCCCCCATAAGCTCACTGCTCAAGATGACCCAGCAAGATGGTCACTAACAAACTTTGCTGCAGGTCCCTGAAATAAACAAAAAAACTGATGAGGTCTCCATCTTGTTTTATGTCTTTGAGAGCTTAACCTTGTAACCACATGGGGGTACTTTCTCTTGGTCTCTGCCTTCCAGGGTACAGGAATTTTAGGGTTCAGGTCGTAATTAGCTCTAAAAATTATCTGGAGTAGTTAAAAGCCTTTGCAATCTCAAAATTAACTACTACAGACTCCAACTGGCAATGGCAATTTAGACCAGCCTGTGCTGTAGCTCAGTAGCTAAGATTTTTTCCCTTTCACAGTGGCAGTCGAGGTTTGATTCTCAGCTTAAAAAATGAGTCTTTTCTGGTTTAATGTCTGTGTATCCTTGTCGATTCTCTTCTTGTCCACGGACTGTCTTAAATTTTCCTTTCTCCGAGCACCTGGAAGGTTACCTTTCGTAAAGTTCAAAAGTGAGAAATATCAGCCATTTGGCCTATCTAAAGTCAGGTAATACTAAATTTTAAAAGGACTTTATTAAAGAGTCCTGTGGTTAAAACTCAGCTTAATTAAAAGCGGTTATTCAAACTCTCACAGTCTGGACTCCTTAGGAAAAACAGGAGGCACCAGAGAGCCTTTCCTGGCTCTGTTCTTCCAAGGACCCCACCCCAAAGCCAATAACCAATTAAGAAACTTAAAAACAGGCAAATGAAAAATCTTACAACTATTGTAGTAATCTCGTTCTGTCTGTCTGTGTAGTTACATATGTGTTGTGTATGTAATGTTTATATAAAAAAGTGCTAATTAATTGGCTTAAACAAAAATAAGCACTTAAATCAAATATTTTGAAAGTGAAATAAAAACAGTAATGTCTTTTAGTTGTAACTTTAGTAACCTTTGGGAAATAAGAACAGCTTTAAAGATTATTAGTAAAATAAAAACATTTGGTCTAACTTATGCAGGTCAGATATTAGGTTTGCTAAATGCTTTAAGGTCATAAACTGCTTTAACTTTTGAAAATTGTTCAATTTATTTTGGAGACATTAAATTCTAAATAAGGCCTAGGGATATGTGGAATTAGCCATGCTTCCTTGCTATGCAAAGAAAGTTATAAAGAAAAGATAATTCATATAATTCATGGTAAATTCTTGTCCTAAAGTGACGGGTTGTTTAAAAAGAGGGATGTTTAGGACAAGTCAGAAAGTCCAAGGATGTCGTAGATAGCCTGTATAAGTTGTGAAAGGATTTATAAAAGAAAATTTATGCACCAAAAGTGAAAATTGTTAAAAATTACCACTATAACATGTAATTGAGACTACTGAAAAAATAGGTTTACATACAAGGTGTGTAAGGAGAATGAAATGTGTTTTGGTAAGAGATTATTAGAAGGTATGAGAATGTAAATGTTTGCTTAGTTTAGGTTAAAGGATTGTTTTAAATTAAATAAACTAAAGGTTTAAACAAGTTGTGGAAGGTATATAAAAATTAACCTTGTGAAAACACTCTGTGTGAAAATATTCACTAAAGGGATATTATTTGTTTTTCAGTAAATTGGACATGTAAATAAAAGCACAACAGGGTTTTCTTAAAGCACAAGTTTTCTCTTTAACAAAAATTTGTAAAGGGTTATAAAAGGTTTATAAAAATCTCACCTTATGGTCAAATTGATTAGGATTGGATAGATTTGTATACAAGGTTTACTGAAAATTGGGGTTGACATTAATAGTCCACTAGTGCAAGGGTGAAATTTGGCTTTCTCTCTTCAACAAGATTTTCATGTAATATTAAAAGATAATGAAAAATTTTGGCCTGGCATGGTGGTTCATGCCTGTAAAGCACTTTGGGAGGCTGAGGAGGGCAGATCACTTGAGATTAGGAGTTGCAGTGGTTGCAGTGAGTCGAGATCATACCACTGCACCCCAGCCTGTGCCAGACAGTGAGACTCCATCTTAAAAAGAAAAAAAAGAAATAAAAAAAAGAAAAATTTTTGTTTGCCTTTTAAATACACTACACACACAAATAAAGAAGGGAAAGACAAAAGACAGACTGCTTGCAAATCTAAGTCTTCCCTTTATCAATGAGTAAAGGTTTTTGCCTTTTAAAAAATTTTTGAGTCATCATTTTGGCTAAATGAATGCCTTATGGTAACCTGGAATTCTAGTTTACAATATCAAGTGTTTTAAACATTTAACATATTTAATAGGCCTCCCAAAATCAAATTTAAGCTTCAAAATGGTCTTTTCTGATCTCTAACTTTGGGATGATACAGAGGGCACTTAAAGCATCCCAAAGACAGGTAAACAGAATTCTTTAACAAGTTAAGTTACATGGGAAGCATTGTCAACATAAAAATAATGTTTAATCTTCAGGTTATATTTTAGTGAATGATATTAAGATATGTTTCAAAATTGTATGGGATTTCTAAAATTCTAATATGTCTGAGTATATGCTGTCAATCATAATTAACGTTATTATGTTATTGTACACCATAGAAGTAACCAAATTTCCTTGTATAAAAATGCTAACCCAAGTAGAACAAAAATTAATTAAATACCAAGAAAATACTTTTCCAGATATTCATGTTAAACCAGCTGATACTGAAATTGTTTAGGTGTACAATTTGAACTCCACAGTCTAAGTCAAATTACCTGTGATAACCCCTTAGTTATCAGTGCTATATACCTAAATTGGAGAATCAACTGGTATTCAAGAGGACATAAATCCAATGTTAAGCATGGACTCACGGAGAACCAGGATGGCTGCCTTGTCCTTCCTGAGTCCTTAAAGCTTCTGCTATTAAAGGTTCTGCATTCCATGACTTATCATGGAAAATATAAAATGATCCAATTTGAATATATTGATGAGGTGACTTATAAATTGCAGAAATAGTTTAAAACCAATGTGTGGTTCCATATTCCCAGGAAGACAATCAAAGCTTCAGGTACATTTGGCTACCTGATTGGCCACATAAACATTTATAAAGAAATTTCATTCAATTGTCATTTCCTTTTTTTTTTTTTTTTGCGATAGAGTTTTGCTCTTGTTGCCCAGGTTGGAGTGTAATGGCACAATCTCAGCTGACTGCAACCTCCATCTCCTGGATTCAAGCGATTCTCCTGTCTCAGCCTCCCCAGTGGCTGGTATTACAGGTGCCTGCTACCACACTGGCTAATTTTTTTTATTTTTAGTAGAGACAGGTTTCACCATGTTGGCCAGGCTGGTCTCAAACTCCTGACCTCAGGTGATCCACCCACCTCAGTCTCCCAAAGCGCTGGGATTACAGGCATGAGCCACCATGCCCAGCCCAATTGTCATTTTCAATGAATGTTTTCTGATTGTATAAAAGCTTTCCCATGCAAGAGTGTTGATGTTATAACAGTAGATTATTATGTTACAGTATATTTTCACCAGGTAAAGAAAGCTTTTTGTGGTTCACTGAGGACAACCCCTTCACAATCTAGAACCCGAAGATTGGATCTTATGAGAACATCATAGAAAGACTGTCCTTGCCATTCACACTACAGCAAAACTTCAGAACCTTGAACCTTGGATTCATAATCTCACAACTGACAAAGATCTCTTTATACTCTTGGAACTGTATATCCATTGTAAACCTTAAGGGAAAACTAACCAGGATGGTTTCTCCCAAGAAAAGATGACATCCTTGATGTGAACAGCATTTCCCAAAGAAAAAAAGTGCTGTATAGAATCAAATTAAAAACAAATTTCCCCCAAATCACTGATCTTTAGATATGGGGAGAGAGAATTTTGATACTCAGAATTCATGGCCCAAGAGGGTAGAGAGGGATGGATTTGTTGAAGAAGAAATAAACTACTGGCAATTGTGGAACACCTTCTGCTGCCAGGCACTTCATCTGTATCAGTCTTCACAGCAACCTGGGACGAGTGAAGCTCTTCACTGCTCAGGTTCCCATA
Source organism: Homo sapiens (assembly GCF_000001405.40). Lineage (NCBI taxonomy): Eukaryota > Metazoa > Chordata > Mammalia > Primates > Hominidae > Homo > Homo sapiens. The sequence goes on along the minus strand of NC_000008.11, from coordinate 87,256,456 downwards.
GCTAGGCAATAGGAGAGCCAACCAGGACACCTGGATTCAATACTTACATACATTCTAAAAAATAATGTAACTTCAAATAATTATTTTTTCCCCTTGATATGAGTACAGTTCTCTTAATTTAAAAGTATATTTTTGGGCCAGGCACAGTGGCTCATACCTGTAATACCAGCACTCTGGGAGGCTGAGATGGGTGGATCACTGAGGCCAGGAGCTCAAGACCACCCTGGCCAACATGAGGAAACACCATCTCTACTAAAAATACAAAAATTAGCTGGGCATGATGGTGTGTGCCTGTAATCCCAGCCACTGGGGAGGCTGAGGCAGGAGAATCGCTTGAACCCAGGAGGTAGAGGTTGCAGTGAGCTGAGATCATACCATTGCACTCCAGCCTGGGTGACAGAGTGAGACCCTGTCTCAAAAAAAAAAAAAAAAAAAAAAAAATATATATATATATATATATATATATATATATATATATATATATTTGTAGCTGCAAATCATATGAGTATTTTATATATATATATGAATCTTGCAACATCAGTCTTTTTTGTCTTATTTTATTTAAGGCATAATATGCTTCCTATTAAGCACCATGCTCAAGACTCACTGAATTCTCATAATTACCCTATGAAGTAGTTTGTTAAAATAGTCATTTTAAAAAATAAGAAAAATGAGACCCAGAAGGCTAAGGCACATTCTTAAGGCCACACAGATGGTAACTGGTAGGGTCAATGTTGGAAGTTAGGCAGTTTGGCTCTAATGTGTCAGCTGACTCAATTCCTGTCCTTTGTTAACTGTGTGAGCTTAGAGTCACATACAGAATGACTGAGGAAAAGATTTGTATTAAATGCTAAAAAATTATAACAACAGATATTTATTTTTAGTATTTTTTTAAAAACCTGATTATATTTATATAGATTTTTCAAATATTTAAGATTATCAAATCTATATATTAAATGGCAGGTATATGTTAAATTGTTATATTGTTATTTCTCTGATCTCTTTTCTCAAAAAACTATAATCATTTCTTCTCTTTTTACACCTTAGCTCTACTTTCTTGCACAGGTATCATTTTATCAGGCTATTAACAGTAAGTATAAATTATAACTACTCAGTACATTTTTTTACATGCAGAGAGTTTATTTACTGGACCCTCTACATCTTGTTTCCTGTGGTTCTTTCTCAATCTTCCATGCCACTCCCTTCCCTGAACACCAATTGTCCCTTGATTCCACAAGTTTCCACAAGTTGTCTCTGTCGACTTTTTTTTGCAAATCCATAAGGTAGATGACATAATCCAACTGAAATGCAAAGGGTCTTAAGTAACCTTGCATTAAGTAATTTTGCATGTAGACAGACTTGTCCTCTACAGAATATCATTACATCATTATGTTCTATAATCAAACCCCTTCTTTCGCACATAGGCCATACTGAATGCATAAAGATCAGGTAGTAAAAATCTTTTTTAAAAAAAATCAGTGAATAGAGTTTTTAATTAAAACTAGTCACTGAAATATAACCAGGAAAAAAAAGTATTTTGCTTTTACTTTCTTTTTAATTTAGCAAGCTAAATATTTCAATGACATTCTTCTTGCCCCATTTTCTATTACAGTAGCCTCAAAACAGAGTAAAAGCAAGGAACTGACCTAACGCTAAATAAAAGGAGTGCTGAAAAATAGTTTTAAAAGGTCCAGTGTCTGTTAAGGATGGGAGGGATCTGGGTGCTATTGCACTTCACATATTGCTTGAACAGGTGATACGTGAAAATCCCCACCTGACTTATTTCCTCCAGAAGAACTTGCAAAACAATAATGAATGAGGGTTCCAAATTATCCATATCTTTGTTACAGTGAAGTCATTAGCACCATCCCTCTACATGCATATCTATACTGAGAAGAATATTCAGTTGATGAGAATCCTCTACATTGAAACCAAAACCCAGAGAGGGAAGAGCAGTTGATACCACTTGGATGTGTTGGGCCATCCAAAGAAATAATATTCCTTTTCCTATTTTAATCATGTTATAATACTTATCATGACAAAAATTATATCACAAATTATTGACTATTAAACAGAAATGCTTTGATTGAACCACATGATAAGCTACACAGCACTGAAATAGCCTCTTTATTAATTGTTACCCTATGAGTCCTTTTCCAACTATCTCTCTGGAATTTTTTTCTCAGTTCCTCTTACTGCCTTCTTTTTATTCTCAGGCTTGCTTAGTGGGAGTCTTTTCCAAGGATTTCGTCCTCAGGTCTCTGTTCTTCACTTTAGGTGGCTGCGTTGCCTGAGAACTCATCAACTCTGATGACATGGTGTCACTACTATTTGGAATATTCCTAAACTGTTCTCCATTTCTGACCTATTTCTGTAATGCCAGTCACATCTCAAAGTTCTACTAGACATTACTCCATGAACATAGGAATGTAATCTAAAACTTGCAATCTAAAATTCTTTTTCTCTCCTCTAATTTAGAGATCTTTATCCTCTACTTTGTGTATGATACTAGAATTTTACTAGTGACTCAAATTTCATCCTATACGTGTTGATTTTTTATGTAACTAAATTCCAATTCCCGTCCAATTCTTATATTCTTGAAATCCTCATGACTATTTAGTTTATGTTTAATGTTTTGTTGTTGTTTTTGTTGTTCATCACTTTTGGTCACTAATCAATCTCCCAATGGCAACTGTACTTTCTTTACCTTGATTTGGCACTTAAATGCTCATTTCTGTTGGTTAATTTTCTCCCTAGTTCTAGTTTGTCAATCTATCTATTTCGGCCACAATATTAACCTTCTTAAAACAATTCCTTCATTATTTCCCTCTCTACCAGTCAGGAACCTACCAGAAAAGAGATACCACATGGCACTTGGGTACTATGAGAACGAATGAAGAAACTACCTATTAAGGTTGTAGGCAAATCAGATGGAATATCCTGGGGCTAAGGGCAGGGCACAGGCACCTCCTGCAGGCCTAAATAATGAAAGGTGGACGTGCTTTCTAGACCTCACGACCCAGAGGGCTGTGTGGACAGGGCCATCTGACAGGAGCTGCAACCTTCAGACTTAGATTCAGCCAGCAATTCTGCAGAGGATGCCAGGGAAGAAACACTATGATCTCCACTCTGTTACTTCTTTCTGGTCTCCTGCTCCCTCTCTCCCCGGGCTGACTCTAACTGCAAGCCAGAAGGCAGAAGAGCCCTTAGACGTAATCCTCCGGGCCAGTCTTGGGGTAAAGGGCAAGGGAGAGAAGGGTGGGGAGTGGCCCTGATAAGTGAGTAAAGGGAAAAAGAGAATATATTCAAACTTTCCACTGGCTTGGCTGTTTTAGCTTATTTTTTAAACTACCCTTAGGAATCTGACGTAGTCTGACCTCTGCTTTCTTTCTCTTCTCTCCTTTCTCTCTAGACCTGCCTATTATTCATTGTCCACTGAATTTCCCAAACTTTTCACATACCAGGCATTTACTCATTTCTAAATCATTGTTTAAAACGTGATTCTTTGCAGTAAACGTATGTGCCCTCTCTCCTTTCTACTTAGTCAAGCCCTACTTTTCCTTTACAGTGCATCACAAGCTCCCCATTCTCAGTAGGCATATTTGGCCACGCAGCTCATCCCACCCCTGACATCCTGTAGCATCTGTCCCTGTAATTTAGCACTTTAATTGAGACTAACTCATCTTGCCACTTACTGTGTATGTTTTCATGTTTTAAGCCCCCAACCAGACTGTAAACTCTTTAGAGGCAAGAAAAAATCCCTCTGAGTTTTGGATTCCCCATGACATCTATCAGAACTTTACTAACAATATATACTAGATTTTAAATTTGAAAACAGGATCAAGGTTGCATTCATTTTTGCTTTCCCAGTTCTCAGCAGAGCCGTCAGTTTACAGCTCAAGTGCTTCCTTAAGGTTAAGTTAACCATACTAAAATACCAGTGGAAAAATAAATTATGTGTTTTAATTAATTTATTCTCTAAGTAAAATAACTAATTGCTCCTCTGATTATAAAGAAGTTTACAGAGTGTAGATATGAAATTGTCTTTCTTCATGTAAAAATAATTATTGGAATAAAAACGTAATTGATTTTGAATAATATTAAAACTCTCACTGCAATAGGAAAATATTGAGAGTCAATTATCATTGTTTGATATTCAATTGTCAACAAATTTTATATACTTAGATATGAAGGGAAAGTGCACTTTGCTTCTCATTTAAGTAAACCTAAAAATGGAAAAGCCTTTTCCTTTTTCTGATGTAAGATTTAGTATATCTTGGACCACTGTTGAACCATATTTATCATAATAATGAATATAATTCTGATTATAACAGAATGGAAAAATAGAAATGAATGTCAGAAGGGTCACCAGGGACTAAGTCTAATTTAAATGTTTTTATATGTTTGTTGTTTCTTCAAAAACACTCAAATTCTTATCAATTTATGTGGGAATAGATGAGTCTGCCCATCAGATATAGTAATCAAGATGGATTCCACAATGATGGGTTTCAAATCTACCTATAAGCATCATCTCAGAAAAAAAAAATACTTTCTTCAAAGAAAGTTTGCTTAGAAGTATACATGTATTTTTTTAAAAAGATAAATACAGAAGAATTATTCATATAAGAGATGAGTGTCTGAGACCCAGCCAGTGTAAGAAGAATGAAATGTTTTACCTAAACTTCCTATTGCCCATTGTGGCCCTAAAATGACTAAAGAATACAATTAGAAAAATAGCGTGATGAAATATATTTATGGTCATGTGACTCTGAATGGTACCATAGCATTTGGAAGGAATAAATCCTAAATGGTACCTAGACAAAAGTAGTCAATCCAATTTTTGTTCTTTTTTTTTTTTTTTCTTTTTTGAGACAGAGTTTCGCTCTTGTTGTACAGGCTGGAGTGCAATGGCGCAATCTTGGCTCACTGCAACCTCTGCCTCCCGGGTTCAAGTGATTCTCCTGCCTCAACCTGTCAAGTAGCTGGGATTACAGGTGCCGGCCACCATGCCCAGCTAATTTTTTGTATTTTTAGTAGAGATGGGGTTTCACTATATTGGCCAGACTGGTCTCAAGCTCCTGACCTGAGGCAATCCACCTGCCTTGGCCTCCCAAAGTGCTGGGATTACAGGCATAAGCCAATGCACCCAGGCCTCAATCCAATTTCTAAGAAAGACTGTTGTATTACTAACAGTCATGTCCAACATTCAGAACGTTAGGAAGAACTAGGGCCCTAAAACATCACAAAAACTAGGGCTCTGAAATTTTACTAATGATCTCAAGGGTCCTGTATTTATAATTTATAATTTTTATTTAATTTTAATTTTTTAATTATTAAGGGTACATAACAGTAATATATATTTATGGGGTACATGTGATGTTTTGATATAGGAATACAATGTACAGAGATCAAATAAGGGTAATTGGGGTATCTATCACCTCAAGCTTTTATTGTTTCTTTGTGTTAGGAACATTGCAATTCCATTCTTTTGGTTATTTGAAAATATGCAATAAACTATTATTGATTATAGTCACCCTATTGTGCCACCAAATACAACATCTTACTTCCTCTATCCCATTGTAGTTTTGTACCCATTAGCCATCTCACTTTATCCCCCAATCCCTGCTATCTTTCTCTGCCTCTGACAAACATCATTCCACTCACTATCTCCATGAGTTCAGTTTTTTTTCTTAAGCTCCCACATTTGAGTGCTAACACGCAATATTTCTCTTTCTGTGCCTGGCTTATTTCACTTGATATAATGTCCTCCAGTTCAATCTATGTTGTTGTAAATGATAGGATTTCATTCTTTTTATGGCTAAATAATATCCCATTATGTACATATACCACATTTCTTTATTCATTCAATGGTTGATGGACACTCATGTTGCTCCCATATCTTGGCTATTGTGAATAGTGCTGCAATAAACATGGGAGTGCGGATGTATCTTTGATATACTGATTTCATTCCTTTTGGATATATACTCTGTAGTGAGATTTCTGGATCACATGGTAGTTCTGTTTTTATATTTTTGAGGAACTCCCATACTGTTCTCCATAGTGCCTATACTAATTTGCATTCCAACCAACAGTGTACAAGAGTTCCCCTTTTTCCATATCCTGGCCAACATTTGTGATTACCTGTCTTGGATAACAGCCATTTTAATTGGAGTGAGATAACATATCGTTGGAGTTTTGATTTGCATTTCTTTGATGATTAATTATGTTGAGCATTCTTTCATATATCTGTTGGCCATTAGTATGCCTTGTTTCGAGAAATGGCTATTCAGATCCTTTGTCCATTTTGTAATTGGATTATTTCATTTTTTGCTATTGAGTTGTTTGAGCTCCTTATAAATTCTGGTTATTAATCCCTTTTAAAATGGGTGGTTTGCAAATATTTTCTCCCATTTGGTGGGTTGTCTCTCCACTTTGTTGATGTTTCATTTGCTGGGCAGAAACTTTTTAGCTTGATGTGATCCCATTTCTCTATTTATGCTTTGGTTGCCTGTGCTTTTGGGGTATTACTCAAGAAATCTTTGTTCAGGCCAATGTCCCAAAGAGTTTCTCCAATGATTTCTTCTAACAGTTTGAAGTTTTATATTTAAGTTCAAGGGTCCTGTTTTTATAATGAGCCTTTCTAATCTACTGGATGATTAAGTTATCTTGCATACTGTCAAACTAACTCCTGAGAATTTTGCATCAGAAACATATTCATCTGCTCAATAGCACTTCACTCCTGTTTTGCTTGCTAACAGAAGCCTGATTTGGTTAGGAATTAGGCTGCAAAGTGCACATAGATCATGAACCTAGTTCTTGGGACTGAATCTTAATTGATTGCTTTAAACTAATAATGGTGATTATATTCACTTTTATCAATTTGCGGTTGAAAGATAGACCTATAACCTAGTCTAGCCAATGGGATGGAAATGGGAGTCTGTGCCTTCTGTGCATTTTGTGGAAATGTTTTCTCCACAGATAAAGGGGTAAAAACATGATGAAGAAGCATCCTCTACCCTAAGGGTCCCTGACTCCTGGGCCACAGATTTATACTGCTCTGTGGCCTGTTAAGAATCAGGCCACACAGCACAAGCAATGGGCAAGCAGGAAAAGCTTCATCTATGTTTACAGCCATTCCCCATAACTTGTATTACCTCCTGAGGTCTGCCTCCTGTCAGATCAGTAGTGTCACTAGATTCTTATAGGAGCATGAACCCTATTGTGAACTGTGCATGGGAGGGATCTAGGTTGTGTGCTCCTTATGAGAATCTAATGCCTGATGATCTGACGTGGAGCTGAGGCAGTGATGCTAGTACTGGGGAGCAGCTGCAAATACAGATTCACATTAGCAGAGAGGTTTGACTGCACAGAGACCATAATAAATCAATTGCTTGCAGACTCATAACAAAACCCTATCAGTGAGTGGCAAGTGACAAGCTGCATCTGGTGGCAGGAGTTATAGTAGTGAGTTGATATACTTCAATTGTATAGTTGCATCTGGTGGCAGGCTTTAAGTCAGAATCTGACACTTAGTTTAGTCCATACGTGGCCCTCTCATTATTTTATTTACCACTTCTGTTCACGCCTCTTTCCTGCACTGTGTACTTGTCTCAGTCACAGTTTTGGTAAGCCCACAAGCTAACCATAGCCAAAATGAGTAAAAACCAAATGTCACTGGAAGATTTCTTTGAAAAGGGGGAAAGACCCAATGAGGGGACATCAAAAGACTCTGTGACTGCCAACAAAAGAAAGTTGTATTTAAAAGAAAATACCAAGAATCCTACTTAAATTGCAGATTCACTGCAACAGGTGATTCACATTCTCCAATCCTGCTTTATATAATATGTGGCAACAGGCTATCCAACGAAGCCATGAGACCTTCAAAGCTGCTTCTCCACATGGCGATCAAGCGCCCTGTATTAAAAGACAAGCCTCTGCAGTTTTTCAAAAGAAAAAAATGTGAACACAAAGAATAGAAGCAATTATTGAAGGCCACCACTTTATCAAATGTGTCTGCACTGACAGCATCATTCTTAGTGGCTAACTGCATTGCTAAAGCTAGGAAGTCTTTTACTACTGGTGAAGGTTGATCCTACCTGCTACTAAAAACATCCATTGTGAACTTTTAGGAGAGGCTGCAGTTTAAAAGGTGGCATAAGTTCCTTTTTCAGCTAGCACTATAACCAGATGAATTGATGAAATAGCAGAAGATATTGAGGCACAATTGCTAGAGAGGATTAATGAGTCACCATGGTACACAACCCAGATTGATGAGTCTACCAATGTTGACAACAAGGCAACAATTCTTGGTTTTGTGTGATATATTTTTCAGGAGGATGTGCATGAGAATATGTTATGGGCAATTTTTTGGCCAACCAACAACACCACAGCTGCAGAACAATTAAAGTCTTTGAATGATTACACATCAGGAAAATTGGTCATTTTGTGTAAGTATGCATGGATGAAGTGGCTTCCATGACTGGACAGCTTTCTGGTTTCACCACTCAGGTCAATGAGGTCACTTCTGAATGTGAGTCCATGCACCGTGTCACCCATACAGAAATTGTGGCTAGCTGAAAAATGCCATTTCACCTGAACTTAACAACTGAAAAATGTCACCTGAACTTAAAAACATTTTGCAGGATGTGATTAAAAGTATCAACCGCATTAAATGCCCTTAACTCACATCTGTTCACGTAACTCTATGAGGAAATGGATGCAGAGCAAACACGTCTTCTCTTACATACAGAAATGAGAGGGCTTTCTAAAGGTAGATCACTGGCCAGAGTTTTTGAGTTATGAGAGCCACTCCAGAGATTTCTTATAGAAAAAAAATCACCCCTGGCAGCATATTTCAGTGACGCAGAATGGATCGCAAAACTTGCTTACTTGTGTGACACATTCAACATGGTCAAGGAATTTAATCTGTCACTCCAGGGGAGACTGACAACTGTGTTCAAGTCATCAGATAAAGTAATTGCATTCAAAGCCAAACTGGAATTATGGGGCAATGAGTGAACATTGGGATTTCTGACATGTTTCAAATATTAGTAAAGATTTTGAAAGAGACACAGCCAGGGCCGTCTTACTCAGAGCTGGTGCGTGATCACCTCTCTCAGCTTTCAAAAGAGTTGGAGCATTACTTCCAAACCAGAAAAGAGCCCTTAACTGGGAAGGAATGGATCTGCAACTCATTTGAGAGTAAGCCAGATGAATGGACTTTGTCCGTGCTAGAAGCGAATCAACTGCTTGAGATCACAAATGATGGTGGCCTTAAAAGTATGTTTGAGACAACTTCAAATCCCCATATGTTCTGGATTAAAGTCAAGGTGGAGATTATCCTGAGATTGCCACAAAAGCACTGAAAAGCCTGCTCCTGTTTCCAATATCCTACCTTTGTGAAGCAGAGTTTTCTGTAGTGACAGTAACCAAAACGAGATTATGGAGTAGACTGGACATAGGCAACATAATTCGGGTGTCACTGTCTCCAGTTGCCCCCAGATGGGACCGTCTAGTTCCAGGAAAACAAGCTCAGGGCTCCCATAGGTTCTACATTATGATGAGTTGTATAATTATTTCATTATATATTACAATATAATAATAATAGAAATAAGGTTCACAATAAGTGTAATGCTCTTAAATCATCCCAAAACCATCCCCCACCCCTAGTCCGTGGAAAAATTGTCTTCTACAACACTGATCTCTGGTGACAAAAAGGTTGGGGAGTGCTGCTCTCCCATGCCTGGAAGAGTGCTAACAATTGAGGTGCAAATCTGAGGAAGAAATTCAGCATTCTAAAAGGGACAGGATGGAAAGACAGGGGAGCCTCTGTGTCCAGGTAATTTTGTTGTGGTTCTAAATTAATCCCTAAAGTCATCTATCTCAAAGACTTTCTGTGAGATAAAAAATATTCTTATTGTTTAAGTCATTAGCAGTAATTTAGATAACATAAAACCAAAACTCTCTTAACTGATACAGAGATTAAGACCAAATTCTCTAACCAACTTTCATGAAATGGTTTTCAGTCTCGAGAAGAAATAAAATCTATATTTAAAAGTTGCAGACTATACTCAAAGCTTATGTTGTTGTCAACAATTCTGATAGTTATTGGCATCATCCATTTGGGGTTTTGCAAACCCAAAAGCTTCTCATTCCCAGTCTAATTAATGACAGAAAGAGATAATGGAAATTATGACATGGGAAATGAATATAAATAAGCTTTTTCCAGAAGTAATGGAAAAATTACAGAACAGGTTTGCCAGAGTAAAAATTATAGACCAGGCTTGCCTCATCTTTTCATCATTTTGTGTTTGTCAGAAAAATTTAAAAATTAAAGGAGTAAAGAATCCCAAGGCAATTACAAAAAAACACCAAAACTGAAAACAATCGGCTTAAGGCAGTAGTTCTGGAAAATTTTATGAAGATAAAATAGGCACTAAAGTAAAATAAACCAATGGATATGAGATATTAGTCCAAGAACCTGCTGTACTTTAAATGAAATGGGCATATAGTATGTACTCAATTATTACTAGTTTTCTTATCATAAATACTGCTAATAATGGGAAAGCAAACATCAATAAAGAAAAAAACAATATATCCATAATAATAAAAGAATGATAAAGTGAGAATATCAACAATATATTTAAAAATCATATTTGCAACACGTATATTAAAAAATTATATCACTACTATAATCAAAAGTCTTATAAATTAATAGGTAAAAAGACAAAGAAAACAAAAGTAAAACGAGTACACAATATCAGGCGCTTCACAGAAGGCATGCAAACATCCATAAACCAGAAACTATACTTATTTTCCTACCTTCAAATATAACACTTTTTTTTAATCTTACATAAAGTTGAAATTATTTAATCTCCAAATACAATACTTAATATCATGAGATAAACAACAGCAAGCTTGATTATATTTTGATGTCTTCATAAATGTAGTAAAATAAGAAACAGTTATATTAAAAAAATGGGAAGATGTAAAGAAACAAAAGCTTCAATTGTATTTAAGTGTATGTTTCTGAAATGAAATATCGGAGTTAATGTTTATATGTGAAGTCCTCTTATTTTATGATGTTATTAAAAAAGCGTTGGTAAACAGACTTACTATGTACCAATAAACATATCTCTTTTATTGCTCTTATAATACAAGAGTTGTAAAAATTTTACACAAAGTATAATTTTTACTTTTTCTCTAATTTATGTTTAAACAGTAGTAAATTTACTATGACCCAATGTTTGTTTTTAGTTACAGCACACATTTTAACTCTTGATGAAAACAAAAGGCAACTACATGTTGTGATGATTAAGAAATAGCTTCATGTTATAAATATATTACAAGCTATCTGTATTAAATGTTTCGATGATCGGAGAGACAATTAGATGTTAAGTTCCAATTCCATTATTATAGTAAAAATATTTCCTGATTGACATTTTAGTTTTGAACATTTGAATATTCTAATGTTTACATTTTATTTTAAGAATAAAGCAATCACATATATTTTAAACATCAGTTTAGATAAAATAAATGTAATAAAACTGAACTTTAATCAATATAGATTAAATCCTCTATCAGTTGCAATTTAGTTGAATCAAAACTCATTTCACAGTTCATCTTTGACATTTTGAAGTCTCTGTCTAATTAAATTTAACTGGATTTAATTTAATTTATTCTTATTGAACACCTTAAAAGCTCCTAGCATACTTATACTACGCATTAGAGAAAAATAAGATCCCTGACTTAAAGGAAGCCATCTTAACACTGGGGGTTGGGATATGAGTCAGGGGACATCTAGAAGTAGCAAAGAACCATTTAAATGTCTATGAGTAAGTGGAGGAGGGGCAGATGAAGAGAACTGGGTTAAAGGGTATAAAAATACAGTTACTTAAAAGGGATAAATTCAACATTTGATAAGCAAGGAGGACGATATTGTTAAACAAAAATGTATTATACTCAGGAGATAGACACCCTAAATGCCCTGACTTGATCACTCTCAATTATATACTTATAACAAAATTGCATATGGGTCTGTGAAAAGAAAGTCTTGGAGCTCCAGAATTACTAAGCTAAAGGAAAAAGTCAAGCTGGCAACTTCTCAGGGCCAACCTGCCTCCTATTCTATTCAAAGTTATCCTTCTGCTCATTGAGATAGATGCATAGCTGATTGTCACCTTTGGAAAGGTTTATCAGAAACTCGAAAGAAATGCAGCCATTTGTCCCTCACCTACCAGTGACCTGGAAGCCCCCTCCCTACTTCAGGTTGTCCCCGCCTTTCTGGATGGGACCAATGTACTTCTTACATATGTTGATTGATGTCTCATCTCTCCCTAAAATGTGTAAAACCAAGGTGTGCCCTGAACACCCTGGGCAGATATCATCAGGACCACCTGAGGCTGTTCATGGGTGCGCATGTTTAACTTTGGCAAAATAAACTTTCTAAATTAACTGAGACCTGTCTCAAATTTTCAGGGCTCATATTCCCCATAAATTTATACAAAATTTTTTTTAATTAAAAAAACAAAACATAAACTTTATACTCCAGTCACACATAGATCAATACTAAACAGCAAATCACATTCTGTGTCTTTTTTCACTGCATATATATATTACAAGTTTTGATTCATGGTATTTTTGTTTTGATATGTGACATTTATGTATTTTTGTTTAATTGAAATAGTTTTGATTTTTTATTGTGACTCCTGTTTTGTGTCACGAATAATTTAGATGTGTTTCTTAAATTGAAAACTTATTTTTCTAGTTGCCGTTCATTTTGTTTTTTATAGTAGTTGTGTTGCATATTAAAAATATGCTCTATAAAACACCACTTTCAAAAATGCCCATGAATAAATGAGGTAAAAGATTTAGGGAACCAGGGTAAGACCATACCAGGAATGAATCTGTGAAGAATGTTGGATAATGAAGAGACAAGTAAAAGAATATGGAGCACTGACCGCAGGGAATGGCGTACTCAGAAGGTCAGGCAGCACCCATTATCAGAAATCTGGAGGCAGCAAAATCAAATAGCTTAAATTCCTTGTCCTTATCAAACATGACTTTGCCTTTACTCTTCCAAGATATCCCAATAGTCACTTGATGCAGAACTTACAATTAATTGGAATATGTTCTTGTTTGAAACAAATTGGTTGAGTTTTATCCAGGATCTGAAGATGAAATTGCTATTCAACTGCTTTACGAAATGAGATATTCTTTCTTTAGTTGGATCCACCATTTATCAATGCCTTCTGAATTTTCTCTAGATATCTGATAAAACCTCAGATGTACTGGGCAGTATGCATAAAATACTCATGGCTTCATTATCCTCAGCTTGAATAATACAGGTTGTGCTGATAACACAGGTTAGAAATATTTTGTATTTGGGAAATGGAAAAGTTAGGATTTGATGGTTTAGTGATTAATTTGTTCAAAATAACTTTACTGTAAATTAAGGAAATATACATACTGGCAGCAGGTTGATTTTACCACATTTCCTCCCTCCACCCTGTCCTTTTTCAGAGGTTTTGTTATTGACAGACTAGCTAGTAATTGATACAAGAAAATAAAGAATATTTTTGAGTTGGGATTTATTCCCATTAAGAATATAAATATCAACAATTAAGTTTATGCCATAAGCAATTAAATTATTGTCTATGAAAAAAGTTAAACTCTGAGATATTTGAAGTGATTTATTCTGAGCCAAATATAAATGACTGTGGCACAAGGCAAAGTCTCAAGAGGTCTTAAGAACATGTGCCCAAGGTGGTTGAACTACAGCTTGGTGTTATACATTTTAAGGAGGCATAAAACCTCAATCATTACATGTAAGATGTGCATTGGTTCTATCTGGAAAGGTGGGACAACTTGAAGAGGGGCCTTCTAAGTCATAGGTGGATTCACAGACATTCTGAGTGGCAATTAGTTGAAAGAGTTAAGCTATTATCTAAAGACCCTGAATCAATAGAAGAGGGTTAATTAATATAAAGGGTTAATTAATATAAAGGATCTGCATTAATATAAAGGGTTGTGGCTACCAAAGTTCTTATTATGCAGATGAAGCCTCCAGGTAGCAGGCTTCAGACATAATAGATTGTAAATGTTTCATATCAGACTTAAAAAGGTGCCAGATTCTTAGCTAATTTTCTCTTGTATCAGGAAAAAGACCTGGAAAGGGAAGGCGATTTTCTATAGAATATTGATTTTCCCCACAAGAGACAGCTTTTCAGGGCCATTTCAAAATATGTCAAAGAAATATATTTTGGGGTAAAATACTTCAATATCTTCCAGGGCCTGCCATCTGTCATGTTGGCATTTTATGGCTACAAAGAGTGTTTTGTCAGTCTTAAGGTCTCTGTTTTAACATTAATGCTGGTCAGTTGTGCCTGAATACCAAAAGCAAGAGGGTATAATGAGGAATGTCTGACCCCCCTGGCAATTATGTCCTCAACTAGTTTTTCAGGTTAACTTTGTAATGTTCTTGGCTAAGACGAGGGGTCTATTCAGTTGGCTGGGGGCTTAGAATTTTATTTTTTATTTACATTCTCTACATATGCTTATTATCTCTGGTTCCCCAACTTATACACTTACAAAGAGAGGTAGAACCATTGCCTTTTCTTATCTTACCAAGAAAATAAATGGTATTATTATAGCTTCCAAAATGATCACAAATAAGTATCATTTTGTTTTTTTAATAGGTATTGATATCCTATTACTTAAACTATTTTTTTACATAGGCACAAACTAAGAATTTAATCACTGTGTATTCCCTGCCTTTGTAATCTCACTCCTAGACCAAAGCAGTGAACCTATAATTATTTTTCCTGCGTTAGTATGTGACACCCTGCTAGACACTTTCATTGTTATCCATTCAAAAATCTTCCATGGGCGGGGTGCAGTGGCTCACGCCTGTAATCCCAGCACTTTGGGAGGCCGAGGCGGGTGGATCACGAGGTCAGGAGATCAAGACGATCCTGGCTAACACGGTGAAACCCCGTCTCTACTAAAAATACAAAAAAAATTAGCCAGGCGTGGTGGCAGGCCCCTGTAGTCCCAGCTACTGGGGAGGCTGAAGCAGGAGAATGACGTGAACCCGGGAGGCAGAGCTTGCAGTGAGCCGAGATCGCGCCACTGCACTCCAGCCTGGGCGACAGAGCGAGACTCCTCAAAAAAAAAAAAAAAAAAAAAAATCTTCCAAATACAGATTTTTGTGCCCAATGCTATTTTAAGTATAAGATTCAAAGTCCATAATTTCAACTACTGTCTCAAATGAGTACAAACTCCTTCAACTGTAAATTCAAGATCCTCTTGAGAAATGAGATCAGGAAGTTGGCAGCAAAGATTGAAAGATACCTGCTTCATGACAATTTTTAGAGTCCTGAAGTTTTCTTTTTCCTCCACTCCCAGTGACCTCTGGGCTCAGAGTGAGGACACAGCAATTTAGTGGAGTAAACTTGAAACTTTCCCTAGCCCATCAACTGGGGGGACCCACAAAAAGTATCCAGCTAAACTGTACGAAAAGGGAACAACCCTGGAGAACCTCCTGGAGAGATGAATTTTGACCCTAAAAAGCGATTCAAGTGGTCACTGCCTGAAGCCAGGGATCAAGGGTACGGTATTAAAAAGCCCTCTAGGAGGCAACACCAGCTCCAGGGAACTGCAGGAGGGGAAACACCCTGAGAAAACGAGCCTATATTTGGACATCCAATCACATAAGGTCCCATTACCATTTTGCCTTTAATTCCCAGCCTCCTTCCTTTCCTGACTGGAAAGAGCCAGAAAACCAAGCTAGTGAGTAAAAGAGTATGCAAAGTAAGAAAGGGGAATAGACCAATTTAAACTATTCTTCCCACTGCTGGATTCTATGGCACAATAAGGCATAAGCTGAGTATCAAGCATGAAAGTTTGAAAATTTGATATAAAGACAGGACTGGAATTTGTAAGACCAAAAAGAGTGAGGTTATTCATTAATACCTAGGATCTGATTGAGGTGCTAAGATCCAGGTATCATGGAAGAGTAATACTACACCACTTGTTTGAAAACTTTGGTGTAAAAAAAAATTACTATTTTATAATTTACCCTCACTGGGCCCTGCCTGTTGAATATATTAATATATTTTTATCAGTTTTTTCCACATAATTCCAAATGTATTTCAAAGAAAACTACTTTAACAAACTAGAAAGTTCTTTTAATAATTATTGAGAATCTTCAACTTAATAATTTGCTTTTATAATTTTGCTAAATTTAATCATAGCAAAAATAGATTTTAGTAAAATATGTTTAACTGCAGATAGTAATATATGTTGAATATAGAAGTATATAAATATGAAATATAGAAGTGCATGTTTGTGTCTGTGTGTGTGTGTGTGTGTGTGTGTGTGTGTGTGTGTGTTTTGGCACAGACCATACTATATTTATGCTGAGATGTCTCTAAGAAATTTGAATTTATTATTATAATTTTAAAAGTTGTAAGACTAATTGGAAAAATAAAATTAATGAAAGATTTTAAAGCTACTTAGAAGCATTAAGTTGGTGATCTTGTAAATAAATGTGTAATTTTTTATCTCTTTCCTTATATAATCAACTCTAATGAAAAAGCTTTCAGCTTCAATGTGTAAATCTATGTTGAGAAAAGCAAAAAAAAAATTGTTTCACTGTACATTTATACTGCACTTATTTTTCGTCCAGGGTGTAGTAAAGAGTTAGAACAGCAGATGCTTGGAGCTTTAACAATTTTTATTCACAACTATACATTATCTCATGAGAAATAAATTTGATCCTTGGATTAGATGTTTTTCACCTTATGTTTGTTATACTCAAATGATGCCCATTAGTTTACCAAACTGTTGGAGGGTGAAATTGAAGAGTGAAAATGTTATAACTTTTTTCTTCTTCTTAGTTGTTCGGTTCTCTGTTGAAACTCAATAAAAAAGCAAATAATGTTTTTTTATAAAGCCAAAAAAGGGAGAAAGAAAAATATAGCCCTTTATGTGTGCAAAACTACAAAACTCTCCTAGACACAAATCTTTGGAAATAGTAATATTTTTATTTGAAAAAGGCCCACTAAGTAAATACACAAAAAGGCAAATTTTTAAAATAGGGAAAGAGCAGCATGTTTCATAACACCAGCTAAACTCATAATTTCTACAGGGGACAGGGTTAGCAAGGATACTTTAAATTTTTAGCAATGTGAAATAAGTTTATCAGTAATCATATACTTGTCCTTCTGCAAACTTAAACAACAACAAAAACCACAGAGTTGCTGCAAGTTAAAATTGTCTGCCTTGATTTCTATCTTTTCATTTTTTCAAAAAATTTTATTAAACTAGAAAAAATACTGGATTTAGAGCTTAACTGCCTGCCAGCCAGCTAGCAATACAAATCCATCACTGGAGTACTGGTAGTCTCTGACCAGTTGTATCAGTACCACTGATAAAATTTTAATGATGTTAAGCAGGCATTAGGTACTAGTAGAAGGGAATGTACTGGAAGGTACAATATCTCAGACGTCTGAGATATTGTAGAATGAGTATTTATAAGGACCATGGCATAGGATGATTGCTGCTGGGAGCTCTCAGTGCACTAAAGGAATACAATAAAAGGAAGAGGAAAATTAATCACCCATTTAAGATGAATGATCTAATCCCAGGGTTCTTTGGCAGCACATAAAGAAAATCTCATTTTCAACAGTTAGAGGGCAGAAAAATCTGAGAATCTGACTTGGTATATAAATAGGCCGGTAGGTAGGTAGATAATTGGTAGGTAGGTAGGTAGACAGATACATACATGATAGAGAGATAGATATGCACATAGATATAAATATATTCATATTTATCTTCTCTGGAGCTCTGCTATAGCAGTCTCAACCTCTGCAAGTATTTTTTTATTATTATTTTATGCTAAGGCTAGGGCCCTGATGGAGAAGTGGAGCTGTAAAATTTGAGATAGTGACATTAAAGCCTTGATACACAAAATGTCATCATGGTCACCTGTTACAGAGAATAAACAGGCAGAATTCCTAAAAAGTAAAGTTTTGGTTTGGGTCTGTTTCCCAGTGGCTTCACTGGGTCCATAAGCCTACCCCATGGGCAATATCCATGGTCCCTAAAAGCAAAATTTAAATGGATACTTGGTAGTGGGTAGAGTTTCCACATTGGTTTCTTGGCCTGTGCAGTAAGAGCTATCACAGTAAAGATTAAGTGGAAGCCTCTGAAACTTCTCTCTACCCTTTCCCCCACTCTGGCCAAGATAGGAAATTGAAAACCATATCACATCTCAGGTGGAATGCCAGAAATTAGTACTGCTCCTAAAGACCTAAAGCAGAATGCAGATCTGGTGATTCCCATCATATCCCCATTTAATACATGAGTTTGAACATTAAAAAAAAAAAATCGGTCTTTGAAGCCCTAATTACAGCTGTTGTGCTAAACGTGGCATATTTGCTAGAGCAGACTAAAATAGCATTAGGTCCATTATATGTGGTCACTGACATGGCAAATGCATTGTTTTCCATCCCTAACAAGAAGACAATCAGAAACATCATTCATTCATGTGAGATGAATAATATACTTTTATAGGCTTGTTCATTTTTATCCTTGTCATTCTTTCTGGATATGATCCATGCTTATTTCTCTTGAATATGATATTAGTTCTGGATTTTTCTGATTGTACCCCATAATGCTAAATTATTTGGTTTTAATTGGTTCTTTGACTCTTTTCTACTCTGAACATCTTGATCACCCTAAATTGAGAACTGACTATCAGCCACAATTCTAGTCAATTCAGACCTCTATCCCATGTGGAGTATCCAGAGATTCGGAAAGATATGGAACTTTTAATTTTTGACCAGCTAATAGTCTTGAAATATTATATAGATGCAAAAGATTTTCCTCAATTAAGAATTTCTGATTGTAATGTAATTAACTACTTGACTATCTTAGCATTGCTCTTGAGACAAACATAATAAACATACATTCTTGACTTGATTTAAAGGTCTTTCATAATCAATTAGTCTTCCTGTCTCTCCCTCCTCAAATCACCTATTCCCTCTCACTTATCTGAAACTACTATTATCCTTCTTTCAGGGATCCAGCCACATCAACCTTGTCTGTTACCAAATACACCACACAAACCCTGCCAGTGGTCAGATGCTGTTGAAGGCATCCTTTATCAAAAATGTTTAATCAAATGTAAGTATTAATAATATCATTTATATTTTAAAGGCTATATTATCGTAAATATTTCAGGACTCTAAAGATATTGGATCTTAATGTCTGGAAGAGATAAAGTTTTACAAAAGCCCGTTACCTTGTTGCTTGTGGAAAAAGCAAATACTCATCTCTTACCATTGAGTCATATGAAGGTAGGTACATCTCAGCAAGTGTAGAGTTTTTGAATTCTTCACTCCAAATGAAGCTGTGGAAACTCTGAGATATGAACGAGTCTGGTGAATCACTTCCTTCAATCAGATTTTTATACACGTTTGTTTGAGGTCGAGCTAGGCCTTTCAGTATTACATAAAATCCATCATTTGCAACCACTGAAAAAAACAAAGCCAAAAAATATATACTGTGTGCTCAGGCTCCTTGATATAGATATGACTAATATATATATTACACTTACGGTACTTTCAACGTATTTCTTTCAGTGTATTCTGTAACAGTGAATTTAATGTAATAGGCATTTTCAAATAGTTTACTCAAGTAACAAGAATAACAAAGGCATGTTTATACATTTGGAGTATTCTTTTCAGACAATTACATATAGTAGCTATCCTCTCACAGAACTGATGGGTTCTAGTGGAAGAAAACATGGTTACATATAATTATTAATAGATTTGAGACATTGTGAGAAAAATGGGACCAGAAAAGCCCTTGAATGTTTTTTAATGTTTATGAGCCTCCCATACACAAAATGCCATTTTTCCTATTTTATATAAATAACAATATATACCTACCCTTAATTTTCATTTATCTTTGCTCTGGACATGATGACAATCACTTATAGAACTTAATAATGGAGACAGTTTGGAGAGGGTGGCTGATTATTACTAGAAAGAAGAGTTTTTCCCATATCTGTCCTACTCTTACATAAATCTCTAAAAACTGTCATCCAACCCCAATTCCTAAAGTTAAACTGTGTGCCTGTACATCTGAAAGACATACTCATTTGTGAATATTTCTAATGCAACTTAAATTAATTCCAGTTCTTCTGAAGCCTTTGAAGAATAAGGGGGTAAGAGTGGGATGGTGTCTTTCTCCATTTCTTATTTACATTACTTCATAAGATTGAAGCAAATTACTCAAGTGCTGTCAGGAGATATTTTCTTACACTTTGCTTATGAACTTGAAAGAATTAGAAACTTTACAAATTGCATTTTCAGGGCCAATCATTTTTTTTAATGTCCTAAAAGTCATCAAATGCTTGCCATGTCTGCTTTTTTTCTGAGTGCTTATTAGTGTGACTTTCTTAGTCACAATTCATACACAGTGACCATGGGGGAGTGATTTTCATGCTTCTTTAAAGTAAAGGTTGTTCTTGCTTGGATGTCTGAGCTTAAACTAGACCTCCTTCTAGGCAACACAATACAAGCATATCTTGTTTTACTGTGCTTTGCTTTTCAGTGCTTCACAGATATGGCATTTTTTATACATCAAAGATTCGTGCAACTTTGCATCTAGCAAGTCTATCAGCACCATTTTTCCAACAGCATGTGCTCACTTTGTGTTTCTGTGTCACATTTTGGTAATTCTCACAATATTTCAAACTTTTTCATTATTATTATATCTGTTGTGATCTGTGATCAGTGATCATTGATGTTACCATTGATGTAATTGTTTTGGGCACCGCAAACTATGCACATATAAGATAATGAACTTAATTGGTAAATGTTGTGTGTGTTTGGACTGCCCTATTCAATGGCTGTTTCCCCATCTCTCTCCCTGTCCTCAGGCCTTTCTACTCCCTGAAACACAACAATGTTAAAATTAGGCCAATTAATAGCTCTAAAATATCCTCTAAGTGTTCAAGTCAAAGGAAGAGTCATGTGTCTCTTACTTTGAATCAACAGCTAGAAATGATTAACCTGAGTAAGGAAGGCTCGTTGAAAGATGAAATATGCTGAATACTACGCCTTTTACACCAAATAGTAAGCCAAGTTGTGAATGCAAAGGAACAGTTCTTGTAGAAATTTAAAAGTGCTATTCCAGTGAACACACTAAGTAAGCAAAACAGCCTCATTGCTATACTGAGAAAGTTTTACTGGTCTGGATAGATGAAACCAGCCACAACATTCTCTTAAATGAAACCTAATCCAGAACAAGGCCCTATTTCTGTTCAATTTCATGAAAGTTAAGAGAGGGTGAGGAAGCTCCAGATGAAAAGCTGAGAGCTAGCAGAGTTTGGTTCATGAGGTTTAAAGATAGAAGACATATCTATAACATAAAGTGCAAGGTGAAACAGCAAGTGCTGATATAGAAGTTGCATCAAGTTATCCAGAACACTAGCTGAGGTCATTGATAAAGGTGGTTACACTAAACAGATTTTCAATGTAGATGAAACAGCATTCTATTGTAAGAAGATGCCATCTAGTACTTTTATAGCTAAAAGAGAGAAGAAGTCAATTCCTGGTTTCAAAGTTTCAAAGGAGAGGTTGATGATGACATACAGCTCGTGATGGTGACATGCAGGTCAGCTGACTGTGACATGCAGCTGGTGACATTAAGTTGAAGCCACTACTCCTTTACCATCCCAAAAATTCTAGGGCCCTGAACAATTATGCTAAATCTACTCTGCCTGTGCTCTATAAATGGAACAACCAAGCCTAGATGACAACATATCTTTTTATAGCATTCTATAATGAATATTTGAAGCCCACTGTTGAGATCAACTACTCAGAAAAAAGACTCCTTTCAAAATACTACTGCTCATTGACAATGCATCTGGTCACCCAAGAACTCTGACGGAATTGTGTAAGTAAATGAATATTGTTTTCCTGCCTGCTAACACAACATTCATTCTGCAACCTATCAATCAAGAGGTAATTTCAACTTTTAAGTTTTATTATTTAAGAAATACATTTCATAAGTCTATAGCTACCATAGACATAATTATTCTGATGGAGCTGGGCAAAGTAAACTGGACATTCTGGAAAAGATTCATTATTCTAGATGCCATTAAGAACATTTGTGATTCATGAGAGGAGGTCAAAATATCAACACTAACAGGAGTTTGGAAAAGTTGATTCCAACCCTCAAGGATGACTTTGAGGGGTTCAAGGCTTTGGTGGAGGAGGAAACTGCAGATGTGGTGGAAAGAGCAAGATAACTAGAATTAAAAGTAGAGCTTACTTACAGATGTGACTGAATTGCTGCAATCACATGGTAAAACTTAAACCAAATAAGGAGTTGCTTCTTATGGATGAACAAAGAAAGTGGTTTCTTTAGATGAAATCTACTTCTAATGAGTAGGTTGTGAACACTGAATTTTAAAAAAGATTTTGAATGTAACATAAACTTAGTTGATAAAGCAGTTGGCAGGGTTTGAGAGAACTTACTCAAATTTTGAAATGTTTTGTGGGTAAAATGCTATCAAACAGCATTACATGCTACAGATAAGTCTTTTGTAAAAGGAAGAGTCAATTGATGCAGAAAACTTCATTGCCATCTTCTTAAGAAATTGCCACAGCCAAACTGGGCATGGTGTTGTGTGCCTGAAGTCCCAGCTACTTGGGAGACTGAGGTGGGAGAATCACTTGAGCCCCGGAGTTCAAGTTCAGCCTTGGCAAAAACAACAAGACTATCTCTAAAAGGAGAGAGAGAGAGAGAATTTGCTGCAACCACCCATATCTTCAGCACCCTCCAGCCTGAATAGCCAGCAGCCATCAACATTGAGGCAAGACCCTCCACTAGAAAAAGATTAGGATTCACTGAAGGTTCACGTAGTCATTAGTATTTTTTAGCAATTAAGTATTTTAAATTAAGGTATATATATTTTTAAACATAATGCAATCACTGCTTAATAGACTACACGATAATGCAAACATAAGTTTTATATGCACTGGGAAACCAAAAAATCTGTGTGACTCACATTATCGTGATATTCATTTTGTTGCAGTGCTCTGAAACTAAACCTGAAATTTCTCTGAGGAGTGCCTGTATAATAAATGGATCAAATGCTAGTCTAGAAGGCAGGAGAAGGACTGATTTTTAGTCCCAGTGTTACATTCATTGTGTAATTATGGGAGAATCATATACTCCTAGGATCAACGTCCAGATCAAAGATTGTCATGCTAAGTTATCTACATGTATTTTAAACGTATTATTTTGTCAATTATTCATTGAATATAATAATTTTATGTTGTTGTAGTTACTATTAAAGGGTTTAAATGAATTTTAAAACTAATATACATAACCAAATTTTACCAATGCAAACATTATCTTAAAAGTTTTGGCCAATTTAAATTAGTGAAATTTTAAACATGTAGATGAAAAAGACTGTATCTAATAATAATAATTAAATTAGTTAACAATAATGTTAAAAACCTCATATTACATACTATTACTTCGGAAAAACTGTGTTTAATTTAAAAAGCATAAATATTCAAATATCTCACATGACTCTTCTCTTTTAGTTTCTTCATCATAGTTCAGATTATTTCTTTCATCATCCAACACATTTCCCTGAAACCATTATCTTTACTCAAGTTGGTTTGGGATACAGTATATTTGCATTTTAATGTAAAGAAGTCCCTGAAATTATATCGCAAGCTACAAGTACTGTAATCATTTACACAACATTGACAAGTATTTATATAACGTTTTTTAGCTAAATTTATTTTTTAATTTTGTAAAATGCTGAATTTATTGCTAAAAATGCTTTTACAAAATTAAACTTACTGAAAAGGCACAAGAAAAAATAAGAATCACCCATACTTATACAAATCAGAATTTTTGAATAAGCGCATTTATTTGGAAACAGAAGAGGGAGACTGCAATAGCCAAAAGTTTAAAAACTGAAAGAATCAAATATTGGCATAGATGTGAAACATCTAGAATTCTCACACATTGTTACTGGGAGTATAAATTATACAATTACTCTGTAAAAATATCTGGCAGTTTTTTATAAAATGAAACATACATCTAACGTATGTCCCAGTAATTCATTCTTAGGTATTTGCTCAGGAGGAATGAAAGTAGATGTCCAAAAAGGACTTGTACAAGGATGTTACTAGCAGCTTTATCATAATAGCTGAACTCTATAAAAATCTCAGGTGTCCCTCTGGAAGAAAATGTGTAAAGAAGCTCTTGTATGTCCATGCAATGGAATACTACTCAGCTATGAAAAGGAATGAACTATTGATTCATACAACATGGATAAATCTCAGAAGCATTATGTTGATTGGAATAAAGTTTTCACAAAAGGGTACATGCTGTCTGACTTCATTACAAAGTTTTAAATGATTCATGTGAATTCAATTCATAGTGAGAATTTAAAAAAAGAAATAGAGAGCCATTGCCCCTATGGGACAGACAACAGACTGACTGGGAAGAAATATAAAGAGAACTTTTAGGGTGATAGTAAAGTTCTGTATCTTGCTAAGGATCTGGGATACAGTATTTGTCTAAACTCATCAAGTGATACATTTAAGGTATACATATGCACATCACTGTATATAAATTTTGCCTTAAAAAATAAAGTGTCAGAAACAAATATTGAATCCTAGATACACTCTGAAGTGTTTAGGGGTGAAATATCCTGATGCTATGATATGTCAATTAAATGGAAGCTTATGCAAATATAGTGGAGAAAAAAACTAGAGAAAAAAATCTGTTCACAAGATGACAGCAAATATTGTTTGACTTTCTTTGTTTTGAACATTTTATTATATGAGAGACACTATTCTAAACATATTATAACCCTATGAGTCAGGCACTGTGATTGCTTCAACTTTACAACTGAGGAAACTGAAAGCAGGGAAAAATTAAACATCCTTCCCAAGCTTGATGAGCTAGTAGTGGTAGAGCCAGTATTTGAAGACACCCAGTGGCAGTTCCACATGACTATACTAGTCTTTGTAATTTGACATAGAATTCTTTCTTCCCCTCCCCTCTCTGTCTCATTCTTGAAATATATTGCTTAGAGATAGTGTTTCAATTATGATAAAATAAGACTACAGTGTGTTATTTAGCATGTGACATTTTCAGTTAAAAAATACATTACAAAGTAATATATGTTCACTTAAAAAGTTTAAAATAAAAGTAAATATATGTCTGCCTATGAATACATGTTTATGATATAAACATTATAATACAAAAACAAGTCTAGAAAGAGATTTGGTAGTATTAGTTACTTGTTCATAAGAGAATGACTTATGTGGCACCTCCCCTACTCTCTCTTCCTTCAGCTCTCAGCCATATGAAATGCTGGCTCCCATTTCGCCGTCTGCCATGAATGTAAGTTTCCTGAGACTTTAAAAACAAGTCTCTTTTTAAATACTTATAAAGAAAGACATTGTTAATTATTGAGCAAAATAATAGTTCTTGATTAGAACTCTAAGTATACCTTTCACTAGATATTCTCCATAAAATAGAAGTTAATGTTTTCAGATCTTAATGACAAGTGGGTTGATTGGCTATTCCTAAATAAATGACTCCTTAAGAAGCAACCTCTTAATCTAGATTTCTTAAATCTAGAAACAGCTATTCCTGTTATTCATATATACCAAACATGCCATGAAGAGTAAATATCATGTACCAAGCATTAAATATTTGTCATGCACTGTGCTAGGTGTTCTAACACTAATTATTCCAATAACCCAGAAAACCATACATTGTTACTGCATATTGCAGATGAAGAAACCAAGGCTCAGAATGATAAAATAACTTGTCAAAAGTTACAAAGTACATTAATTTCTGGAAGTTTTCAAATGTGTTCTAACATCTGAAGGACACACACACACATACAAACATACATACATATGAGTGCTCTGTGTGTGTGCTGTACGTGCATATTTAAGTAGTGATGTGTATGTATAAAATGTATATATAGATAAATATATACCTACAAATGTATGTTAGTTTTATAGATTTTATAAACAACCTCAATGGGAATTAAAATAATTCTTACCATTCGATATGGTTTGGATCTGTGTCGCTGCCCAAATCTCCTGTCGAATTGTAATCCCCAGTGTTGGAGATGTGGCCTCCGTGGGAGGTGATTGGATCATGGGTGTGAATCATTCATGAATGGTTTAGCACCATCCTCTCGATGCTGTTCTAGTGATAGATTTTTCATGAAATCCCATTGTTTAAAACTATGTGGCACCTCCCTCTTCTCTCTGTTCCTCCTGCTCTCAGCTATATAAAGTCTTGGCTCCCATTTTGCCTTCTGCCATGATTGTTAGTTTCCTGAGGCCTCCCCAGAAGTTAAGCAGATGCCAGCATCATGGCTCCTATACAGACTGTGGTACCATGAGGCAATTAAAACTCTTTTCTTTATAAATTACCCAGTCTCAGGTATTCCTTTACAGCAGCGTGAAAACGGACTAATACATTATTTGTAAGAGAGTTCAGAAATTGACCCTCAATTATTTCCTTAAATTAACATAGTTGGCATATTCATAAATCTATCAAAATTATTTGAGAAGAAATTTGAAAATAAAAGTTTTTTTTTAATTTCAGACATATATGCAGAGTGAGACGAAATTTTGGTTGACTTCTGTATAGATGTACTAGGGGAGAATAAAAAAGGAAAATGATCCTTATTCAAACAAAAAATTTAACATTGTAAATGGAGTTAAAATGAAGAGTTCAGAGAAAAGTATAAAATTTGGCTGAAACTGAATTTACAAAAGCTTCTCAAAATAGAATTCAAAGAGTATTTGACATAATCCCAAAATTTATAGACAAATTATTAAAATACTATAAAATTGTCTAAAAAAGATTACTATCTAATTAAGGTGTCAAAGAACAATTAAAATATTACTAACAGAGCACAAAGTGGTGTTAAATGTATGAATTGTGAGAAAAGAGACATTTGTTAATAATGCAAGCTAAATATAAGCATTTGAAATTTTTAACCTGTGAGAAGAAACAAATAGCATGGATTCCTCATTCAAATATTCAAAATACATAAAACGATTTCATGTATTTAAAAAAAAAACCAGCATTTAAGAAAAATCGGGGGGAGGAGCCAAGATGGCCGAATAGGAACAGCTGCGGTCTACAGCTCCCAGCCTGAGCGATGCAGAAGACGGGTGATTTCTGCATTTCCATCTGAGGTACCGGGTTCATCTCACTAGGGAGTGCCAGACAGCGGGCGCAGGTCAGTGGGTGCGCGCACCATGTGCGAGCCAAAGCAGGGCGAGGCATTGCCTCACTGAGGAAGCACAAGGGGTCAGGGAGTTCCCTTTCCTAATCAAAGAAAGGGGTGAGGGACCGCACCTGGAAAATCGGGAAAATCGGGTCACTCCCACCCGAATACCGCGCTTTTCCGACGGGCTTAAAAAACGGCGCACCATGAGATTATATCCCCCACCTGGCTCGGAGGGTCCTACCCCACAGAGTCTCGCTGATTGCTAGCATAGCAGTCTGAGATCAAACTGCAAGGCAGCAGCGAGGCTGGAGGAGGGGCGCCCGCCATTGCCCAGGCTTGATTAGGTAAACAACACAGCCTGGAAGCTCGAACTGGGTGGAGCCCACCACAGCTCAAGGAGGCCTGCCTGCCTCTGTAGGCTCCACCTCTGGGGGCAGGGCACAGACAAACAAAAAGACAGCAGTAACTTCTGCAGACTTAAATGTCCCTGTCTGACAGCTTTGAAGAGAGCAGTGGTTCTCCCAGCACGCAGCTGGAGATCTGAGAACGGGCGGACTGCCTCCTCAAGTGGGTCCCTGACCCCTGACCCCCGAGCAGCCTAACTGGGAGGCACCCCCCAGCAGGGGCACACTGACACCTCACACCGCAGGGTACTCCAACAGACCTGCAGCTGAGGGTCCTGTGTGTTAGAAGGAAAACTAACAAACAGAAAGGACATCCACACCAAAAACCCATCTGTACATCACCATCATCAAAGACCAAAAGTAGATAAAACCACAAAGATGGGGAAAAAACAGAACAGAAAAACTGGAAACTCTAAAAATCAGAGTGCCTCTCCTCCTCCAAAGGAATGCAGCTCATCACCAGCAACGGAACAAAGCTGGACGGAGAAGGACTTTGACGAGCTGAGAGAAGAAGGCTTCAGACGATCAAATTACTCTGAGCTATGGGAGGACATTCAAACCAAAGGCAAAGAAGTAGAAAACTTTGAAAAAAATTTAGAAGAATGTATAACTAGAATAACCAATACAGAGAAGTGCTTAAAGGAGCTGATGGAGCTGAAAACCAAGGCTCGAGAACTACGGGAAGAATGCAGAAGCCTCAGGAGCCGATGCGATCAACTGGAAGAAAGGGTATCAGTGATGGAAAATGAAATGAATGAAATGAAGCGAGAAGGGAAGTTTAGAGAAAAAAGAATAAAAAGAAATGAGCAAAGCCTCCAAGAAATATGGGACTATGTGAAAAGACCAAATCTACGTCTGACTGGTGTACCTGAAAGTGATGGGGAGAATGGAACCAAGTTAGAAAACACTCTGCAGGATATTATCCAGGAGAATTTCCCCAATCTAGCAAGGCAGGCCAATGTTCAGATTCAGGAAATACAGAGAACGCCACAAAGATACTCCTCGAGAAGAGCAACTCCAAGACACATCATTGTCAGATTCACCAAAGTTGAAATGAAGGAAAAAATGTTAAGGGCAGCCAGAGAGAAAGGTCGGGTTACCCTCAAAGGGAAGCCCATCAGACTAACAGCGGATCTCTCGGCAGAAACCCTACAAGCCAGAAGAGAGTGGGGGCCAATATTCAACATTCTTAAAGAAAAGAATTTTCAACCCAGAATTTCATATCCAGCCAAACTAAGCTTCATAAGTGAAGGAGAAATAAAATACTTTACAGACAAGCAAATGCTGAAAGATTTTGTCACCACCAGGCCTGCCCTAAAAGAGCTCCTGAAGGAAGCGCTAAACATGGAAAGGAACAACCGGTACCAGCCACTGCAAAATCATGCCAAAATGTAAAGACCATCGAGACTAGGAAGAAACTGCATCAACTAACGAGCAAAATCACCAGCTAACATCATAATGACAGGATCAAATTCACACATAACACTATTAACTTTAAATGTAAATGGACTAAATGCTCCAATTAAAAGACACAGACTGGCAAATTGGATAAAGAGTCAAGACCCATCACTGTGCTGTATTCAGGAAACCCATCTCATGTGCAGAGACACACATGGGCTCAAAATAAAAGGATGGAGGAAGATCTACCAAGCCAATGGAAAACAAAAAAAGGCAGGGGTTGCAATCCTAGTCTCTGATAAAACAGACTTCAAACCAACAAAGATCAAAAGAGACAAAGAAGGCCATTACATAATGGTAAAGGGATCAATTCAACAAGAAGAGCTAACTATCCTAAATATATATGCACCCAATAGAGGAGCACCCAGATTCATAAAGCAAGTTCTGAGTGACCTACAAAGAGACTCAGATTCCCACACATTAATAATGGGAGACTTTAACACCCCACTGTCAACATTAGACAGATCAACGAGACAGAAAGTCAACAAGGATACCCAGGAATTGAACTCAGCTCTGCACCAAGCGGACCTAATAGACATCTACAGAACTCTCCACCCAAATCAACAGAATATACATTTTTTTCAGCACCACACCACACCTATTCCAAAATTGACCACATAGTTGGAAGTAAAGCTCTCCTCAGAAAATGCAAAAGAACAGAAATTACAACAAACTATCTCTCAGACCACAGTGCAATCAAACTAGAACTCAGGATTAAGAATCTCACTCAAAACTGCTCAACTACATGGAAACTGAACAACCTGCTCCTGAATGACTACTGGGTACATAACGAAATGAAGGCAGAAATAAAGATGTTCTTTGAAACCAACGAGAACAAAGACACAACATACCAGAATCTCTGGGACGCATTCAAAGCAGTGTGTAGAGGGAAATTTATAGCACTAAATGCTCACAAGAGAAAGCAGGAAAGATCCAAAATTGACACCCTAACATCACAATTAAAAGAACTAGAAAAGCACGAGCAAACACATTCAAAAGCTAGCAGAAGGCAAGAAATAACTAAAATCAGAGCAGAACTGAAGGAAATAGAGACACAAAAAGCCCTTCAAAAAATTAATGAATCCAGGAGCTGGTTTTTTGAAAGGATCAACAAAATTGATAGACCACTAGCAAGACTAATAAAGAAAAAAAGAGAGAAGAATCAAACAGATGCAATAAAAAATGGTAAAGGGGATATCACCACCGATCCCACAGAAATACAAACTACCATCAGAGAATACTACAAACACCTCTACGCAAATAAACTAGAAAATCTAGAAGAAATGGATACATTCCTTGACACATACACTCTCCCAAGACTAAACCAGGAAGAAGTTGAATCTCTGAATAGACCAATAACAGGAGCTGAAATTGTGGCAATAATCAATAGCTTACCAACCAAAAAGAGTCCTGGACCAGATGGATTCACAGCTGAATTCTACCAGAGGTACAAGGAGGAACTGGTACCATTCCTTCTGAAACTATTCCAATCAATAGAAAAAGAGGGAATCCTCCCTAACTCATTTTATGAGGCCAGCATCATTCTGATACCAAAGCCGAGCAGAGACACAACCAAAAAAGAGAATTTTAGATCAATATCCTTGATGAACATTGATGCAAAAATCCTCAATAACATACTGGCAAACCGAATCCAGCAGCACCTCAAAAAGCTTATCCACCATGATCAAGTGGGCTTCATCCCTGGGATACAAGGCTGGTTCAATATACGCAAATCAATAAATGTAATCCAGCATATAAACAGAACCAAAGACAAAAACCACATGATTATCTCAATAGATGCAGAAAAGGCCTTTGACAAAATTCAACAACCCTTCATGCTAAAAACTCTCAATAAATTAGGTATTGATGGGACATATTTCAAAATAATAAGAGCTATGACAAACCCACAGCCAATATCATACTGAATGGGCAAAAACTGGAAGCATTCCCTTTGAAAACTGGCACAAGACAGGGATGCCCTCTCTCACCACTCCTATTCAACATAGTGTTGGAAGTTCTGGCCAGGGCAATTAGGCAGGAGAAGGAAATAAAGGGTATTCAATTAGGAAAAGAGGAAGTCAAATTGTCCCTGTTTGCAGATGACATGATTGTATATCTAGAAAACCCCATTGTCTCAGCCCAAAATCTCCTTAAGCTGATAAGCAACTTCAGCAAAGTCTCAGGATACAAAATCAATGTGCAAAAATCACAAGCATTCCTATACACCAACAACAGACAAACAGAGAGCCAAATCACGAGTGAACTCCCATTCACAATTGCTTCAAAGAGAATAAAATACCCAGGAATCCAACTTACAAGGGATGTGAAGGACCTCTTCAAGGAGAATTACAAACCACTGCTCAATGAAATAATAGAGGATACAAACAAATGGAAGAACATTCCATGCTCATGGGTAGGAAGAATCAATATCATGAAAATGGCCATACTGCCCAAGGTAATTTACAGATTCAATGCCATCCCCATCAAGCTACCAATGACTTTCTTCACAGAATTGGAAAAAACTACTTTAAAGTTCATATGGAACCAAAAAAGAGCCCGCATCGCCAAGTCAATCCTGAGCCAAAAGAACAAAGCTGGAGGCATCACACTACCTGACTTCAAACTATACTACAAGGCTACAGTAACCAAAACAGCATGGTACTGGTACCTAAACAGAGATATAGATCAATGGAACAGAACAGAGCCCTCAGAAATAACACCGCACATCTACAACTATCTGATCTTTGACAAACCTGAGAAAAACAAGCAATGGGGAAAGGATTCCCTATTTAATAAATGGTGCTGGGAAAACTGGCTAGCCATATGTAGAAAGCTGAAACTGGATCCCTTCCTTACGCCTTATACAAAAATCAATTCAAGATGGATTAAAGACTTAAACATTAGACCTAAAACCATAAAAACCCTAGAAGAAAACCTAGGCATTACCATTCAGGACATAGGCATGGGCAAGGACTTCATGTCTAAAACACCAAAAGCAATGGCAACAAAAGACAAAATTGACAAATGGGATCTAATTAAACTAAAGAGCTTCTGCACAGCAAAAGAAACTACCATCAGAGTGAACAGGCAACCTACAAAATGGGAGAAAATTTTCGCAACCTACCCATCTGACAAAGGGGTAATATCCAGAATCTACAATGAACTCAAACAAATTTACAAGAAAAAAACAAACAACCCCATCAAAAAGTGGGTGAAGGACATGAACAGACACTTCTCAAAAGAAGACATTTATGCAGCCAAAAAACACATGAAAAAATGCTCACCGTCACTGGCCATCAGAGAAATGCAAATCAAAACCACAATGAGATACCATCTCACACCAGTTAGAATGGCGATCATTAAAAAGTCAGGAAGCAACAGGTGCTGGAGAGAATGTGGAGAAATAGGAACACTTTTACACTGTTGGTGGGACTGTAAACTAGTTCAACCATTGTGGAAGTCAGTGTGGCGATTCCTCAGGGATCTAGAACTGGAAATACCATTTGACCCAGCCATCCCATTACTGGGTATATACCCAAAGGACTATGAATCATGCTGCTATAAAGACACATGCACACGTATGTTTATTGCGGCATTATTCACAATAGCAAAGACTTGGAACCAACCCAAATGTCCAACAATGATAGACTGGATTAAGAAAATGTGGCACATATACACCATGGAACACTATGTAGCCATAAAAAAGGATGAGTTCATGTCCTTTGTAGGGACATGGATGACATTGGAAACCATCATTCTCAGTAAACTATCGCAAGAACAAAAAACCAAACACTGCATATTCTCACTCATAGGTGGGAATTGAACAATGAGATCACATGGACACAGGAAGGGGAACACCACACTCTGGGAACTGTTGTGGGGTCGGGGGAGGGGCGAGGGATAGCATTGGGAGATATACCTAATGCTAGATGATGAGTTAGTGGGTGCAGCACACCAGCATGGCACATGTATACGTATGTAACTAACCTGCACAATGTGCACATGTACCCTAAAACTTAAATAATAAAAAATAAATAAATAAATAAATAAAAATTAAAAAAAAAAACTTCAGCCAAAAAGCAAAAAGGTGGGGAGGTAAAGGGAGGATAGATTAAATACGTATGGCAAACTTGATGGCTATTGAAACTGGTTGATGGGGTCACAGGGGTTTTTATGTAAGTCTGGAAATTTTTATAATAAAAGTGGTTTGTTGAAAAAAAAAAAAAAGAAAAATCAGACAATAAGGAAACAATACTGATTTCCAGCCCATTAAATAATGATTCCCAGACTTTGCAAAAGTAATTTATCAAAATCAAGTTGGTTAGGAATAAGTTTCATAAAAGTATTTATATACCTAGTTTCTATTACATGAAAAATCAAAGAACCATTCTCATGAGGACTTGTGAAACCCCTAATGCAGGACCCCATATTTGAAAATAGCTCTTAACTATACTTCTATTAATGAACAGAAGGCATTAAAAAGAATTAAAAATACTAGTTAGAGAAAGTTTAATTAATCATTTTGATAGTGACTTTTTGAAAGGTTAACGGCCAATTACAAAGTCTGATTAAAGCAAACATGATTGTGAATCTTGCTAAACATTTCCCACTCTCTGGTACAAAGACCTTCAGCTAAAATCAGCCATTCTAGAAGGACTTAAAAGTTTCAAGGAACTATAATTGGATGAATAAGGTCATATTGTCAGTGGTGAATCCCTCCTTGCCCTATAAAATTGAGTTTAACTGTTATCTATCTACCAGGGAAGCCTTTTCTGACCTCAGCCCTGCCCCCATCCAACCTAATTAACAGGCCTCCTCTGGGATCTTTCTTCACAGAATTTTTGCCATGGCACTCTTTGTTTTCAGTCTCTGCCAGTAGACTGTAACCTCTTGAGAGAAGAAACTGACTGCTCTCTGTATCTCCAGCTCATATCACACAGCCTAGATAATTTTAGGCATTTAGCAAAAACACTCGTCGAATAAATGAAAGCTTAATTAATGATCCCCTACAGTATTTCTCTCCAAAGAATTTTATAAAATATTTGAAGATCAACTCTTTTTTTTTCCTTAGAATTCTGTCTATTGAGGAATAAGATAAAACTCTATGATGGTCAATTTTCTTCTCAGGCCCTTAGATGGAAGCCTAGGAAAAATATAAGAAAGTTATATAAATTTTAAGCCAGATGGATTAATTTATGGAATCTCTTTATAAGGTCTAAATGATTGCAGAGATAAGATAACAAAGCAATAAAATGGCCTTTTCATAGCTTTTATTATATTAAAGAATCTTTGGAAATGGGATTATTTTGCATAGGTCCAATTTTTCCTCTTCTAAGGTACCAGGAGTAGTTATTTTAAGACACAAGTCTAATAACCTCGCTTAGAATAATGCAATAACTTGTAGAAGACAGCAGGCAAATAAAACTGGATATTTATTTTGAGATTAAAAAAGCAAATACGTAAATATTACACAGCTAACTGGACGGGATGTAAAGAAATTTATTTCATTTTATTTTGAGCTCAGAGCGTCTATTGAAATAGCCTTCAAATATTGATACTCTCTGTTCCAAAATAAAAATAAATACTCTTCTGGTATTGTGAAAATTACAAAGTATATAATTATAAGAGGCAATACAAGGCAAACATCCTTAAATGAGTACATAAAATGATATGAAGGTCTGGAGAAGAAATAAATTGTGTCTGGTGGGAAATATATGGAATGACTTTATGAAAAAGAAGCATTTATGATGGATCTTGAAATGTAGATACAATTTTGATTGACAGATATGGAAGGAAAAATATTTGTATAGTAGGAAATCAAATGAACAAGACCAGAAGCAGGTAACATGGAGTACTTGATGGACTTCAATCAAGCTAGGAAGGTTGATAAAGAACAGTGAATTACCCAGTTTGTCAGAAGCACAGTACAGGAAAAAGTATTTTAAAGAATTCACTTAAAAGCAGGTTAGGACACACTTAGGAGAGCACTGGAAATTGGAATTATGTTTTAAATAACCAATTACACAATGTTCAATTAGAATAAAAACAGTGCTAATTTTTAAAATGAAGTATGACTGGTTTAAGATGGCTGACTAGAAGCATCTCATAGACAACTTATCCACTTATAAGAACCAAAATAATGTATGAGAAAACCATACCTCAAATACATTATCCAAGAGAGAACACTGGAGTTTAACAGAAAAGTGACAAGAAACACCAAAAATAAGGATGGAGAAAGAAAAGGGGCAGCCTGCTTGGCCAGGACAGCCACAGTCAGGAGTGACTCTCAAATATGGGGAGAGGGTGATTTTTCAACATTTAAATTACCAAAGCCTTAAAATTTAGAATGCAGCAATAGTGGCATTCTCATGTAACACTGGGATGATATATTTCTGATCATTTGTAGACAACTATCGAGATATTAAAATATACCCACATTTTGATTCATTACTTTTAACTTTAGAAATCTGTCATAAATAAATAATCCAAAATACAAGTAAAAGTTACTGTAAGTATATATTCAGGACCACAGTATTCATGATAGGAAAATATGTACAACCTTTTTAAAAAGATTGATCAAGTATAACATATCTGTATGACAAAAATATGCAGTTATTCAAAAGTGGTGTTTGCAGAAATATTAGCAGTTCAATTATGTGAATGTTGAGCTGAGGTAAGGTCTAAAAACCTATGAATTTGAAAATCAGAAGCATATACATTAAAGTTGAATCACAGCAATGAATTAAAGCTCTCATCAAAAAAATGAAAAAAAAAAAAAAAAACTTGGACAGTTAGGGGAGGTTCCAGGAGAACTCTTGTAAGGGACAGAAAGAAAGTGAAGTTGCAGAGACAAGAATGAATCAAATTGTTCATAAAGGACCTTTGTCAGATGCTGGTCTTCTTCTGGACTTGCTCTCCCTAAAAGGATATCACTAAATCATCCTGGCTTGAGGTGACTGGTCAGAGGACTATTGGTAAGGCAAACTACGAACATTGCAAACTTTTAAAATCGACCCTCTCAATGAAGCCAATTGCAGAGGGAATAAACACGGAAATGAGAATTCATCATATTCATAGCATTAAGTGAATTCATCATATTCATAGCATTAAGTTACTTTAAAAAATAGTTAAATATTATTGGCGATTGCATAAAGGAATAATTTATAATTTTATAATACACAAATGATTGTAACAACCTATTAATTATTAATCCTTTAAAAAATCACTAAAACATTTTCAAAAATGTTATTTTGCTTAACTTTAAAAGTTTAATCCCAAAGTTTATAGGAATTTATGATAATTAAACTTTTTTATTGCCTATTATTTTTTAGTATAATAATATGAATTTTTTAGACTTGTAAAATATATGAACTAGTGAATGGACATCTATTAAGATACTAATGAGTCAAAATATTAAGAAGTATGTGAAGGGTACCCAAAATATAGTTAACTCTTATTATTCCCGTAAGTGATTGTATAAGCATGTGACTATTTTAACATTGTTTGGTTCAAAACTAATGTAGATATGCCTGATTCCAAACAGTAAGCATGAACAATAAATATTGAACAGTTTAGAAACTGTGTTTCTTATTTAATTACGAATTTCAGTTGTTCATGACTTGTCCATCCAACTGTTCAGCTAAGCTCCAAGTCTGTATTTAGTATTTTATCACTTGCTGATCATCACTGTGTACTTAGAGTTACTATAGGAGTATTCTGGCTATATATATGCATATATATTCTGGCTATATATACATATATATGGTCTTTAGACATCCTGTCATTAGGATGTATTCATTGATTTGTGGTTAAGCTGAAGGTATAATTTGTCTTGAAGGGTATTTAAGTATTTCAAGACCACACTGTTATCAGTAAGACTTTACACATCTCTGTGTAATCACGTCCACATGTAGAGGACCTATGTGCTGATGAGAGTCTGTTTTCATTTATGTCCCACATTTTCTTCAAGTTCAGTCACATTCATCCTTACCTTTTATAATACTTATTGTAGTTTTCAAGTTATTCTTCCAAGATTTGAAGTACTTACTGAATTTGTGTTTTTATAGTCGAAGTAATGAAAATGCTTTTTGATTTATATTTAGATATTTAAGACAGTTATCAAATGACACACGTATGTCTAAGCCTCATGTATCAATTTGAAGTCAGATTTAAAAATATATACAGATTGTTATTTTTTATAATTTCTTCAAATATTTTGTTTACATTAAAAATTTCCAGAGAAGGAAAACAGTTTCTTATTATGCATAACAACACATATTAAAATCAAAGCCTTTGACTTTTTTCAGTAAAGGATTTCATTTGTTATCTAAAAGGATTTATCTTGTGAGCATACAAAAATACAGATAATATTGTTTAAAAAGTTAATGAAATACAGTGAAGATAAACATAGGAAAAACTGATGAAGGCAAGAATAATATTAAATTACAAAACATATTCTGTGAAATTCTATATATTTTCAAGGAGGTAATGCTGGATACAGGGACAATTTTAGCTCCATTTTCCTTACTTTTAAAACATTTCAATCTTTTAAAATTTATATCAAAACAATATCATATCTATTTAAAATCAAATAGTTTTTAAAGGCTTTCTAATAGCCAACATATAAGAGGAAATATGATCAGTTACAGGATTTAGTAACTATAAAAATTCTCAATAACATTGAATATATTTCTCCCAAAAGTTTACACTTTAGTATAAACATAACTAAGATTTTCACAAAAGTAATTAATAGAATACCCTTTACCAGGCATAATAGACTATTTCTAAGAATTTAAAAATCACTTTTACATGGGAAGGTCAAAAGAATGGCACCGTGATATGTGGCCATAGAATTCAGCATTATAATTGAATGATAATCATTAGTTTATCTGGAAGAATGCATGAACTACATCTATTTCAGATTATCATCTAGCAATAAATATTTTGTTCCTGAATGAACTTTAGATCAGTACTGCGTATTAAAGTTTACATTGTTGGAAATTACCTCCAATGCTAGTTAATGCATAGATTCACCTATCAACTATTTTTTGAGTAACTATTATGTCTAACCACTGCAGATTAAATTATGTTTCAGATCAAGAGCATGTGTGTGTTAGAGTCAGCCCTGCCAGGAGTGGGGAGGAACAAATAGCTTTGGGATATTGAAGAAGCCCCCACATGCCTGAAGAAAGTATTATGGTTCTTACACCCATAGGTATTCGGGTGGAAGAGCTAAGAATTTTTTACCTCTAAAAATAAATCAAAGCACCTATACCACCAAAAGAAGGTGTTTTTTCTGACTCCAAGTTATATACCATCAAGCTTTTAAAATTTGCTATGAAACGCCCTTCTACTAAAACAAACAAAAATCTCAGAAAGGTCTTTTAAAATTTGTTTAAATACCAATTCTCAATAAATATAAAGTCCAGATGGTTTCTCCACTTTTTACGGATTTTAAAATATATCCCTGGATAACCAGATGAATTGGCTTTTCAAGATTTCTAGTATAAGCCAGTCAATCTTGAGAATAATCTACAAAAACAATAATATGAGCTTTAGAATTGGTTTCTTCAGTCATTCTTTCTGATAATAAATATCATGAATAGTTGGCTATTAAAGTCAAACTTTTTTCTCTCCAGTGAAAAAGTTATTTTAACTTCAGACATTAACATTTAACAGTCCCTGTGGCTATTTAAAAAAAAAAAAAAAGCTTAATAAAAAATATCTACCTTAAAATTCACCAATAATTGTTATGCAATCTTATTTTTTCCATGTTTGTTGTCTAGATTAGATTTTGATTGAAGTACATAATGACTCACAATATTTTTCTGAAATCCTCATTCTGATTCTAATATTAAGTCATACCACATTTTAATCCTAAATGTGTCAATTTTACTAAATCTCCAATTACTTGGGGATAAAACTGTATCCCCTTATGGGTACAAAACTGAGTGACGATTTGATTCATTTTCCCATAAAACACAAGATTTTTAGCCAATACATCTTATTAGAAGTTTATTTTACATCTTCTTTTGACTTTTGGTCTATTTATAATGTGCCATATAATCACATTTTTCAATGCTCTAAGTTTTAAAATAAACACATATTTATTATTTTCCTTTGCCATTAAAAATCATCTTCACTCTCTTATTGGTGTCACTTTCATAAAAAAGAGTTTATTTTGCAGACATTTAAAAGATTAAAATTTACATTGAACATTAAATTCAGGCCAGTGCCATAAAAAGGACATATTACATCAAGAGCCATTCTCCTGATAACAGATAACAGGGAGAGAATTAGCATCACCATGCAAGACTGTTCTCACACTAGAAAAGATCGTAAAAGCAATGGCACTGATTTCTATAAGCCAGTATTTCAGCAAAGATATTTTAGATTACCCATCAAAACCTGTATCAATTAATGCCACATATTATTCTAGTGAAGGCTCTTTGATGATACATGTTAACAAACAAGTTTCCTTGATACTATAGCTTAATTTTATTCATGGAAAAATGTAATTCATGGAAAAGGGTAAAACAAAGCTAAAGGTTGGCTTCAGAAGACCCAGACTCAAAAGGCTTGCTTCTACCCTTCACTGGTGTAGAACTAGTAAGATTTTGAAACTCAGAGTCCTCAAACATAAGAAAGGGACAGTGAGCTTTATCCTGCACAGCTAAGAGGATTGTCTATCAAAGGATTAATGGTAGTAAAAGGAATGTACACATCATAAAATACTGTTACTCTAATATAAGAGATTATAGAAAATCTATAAGAAATAAATTTCTTTCTCATATGACAGAATTCCACACAGTATGTTATGCAAAGGTGCTTTCTGAGGGGAGTGGGAAAACACAGGTAAATTATATTTCTGAAGTTGTGTAGTGTACGTGTATGATATATTCAATGTATGGTGGCATACTGATGTCTCTGATATGCTAATTTTTCATTTTACTTAACTTTGTTTAAATCATTTCACAGAAAGAGTTTGTCTCAGCTAACCCATTTCTAGTGGATTTTTAAAATTTCTTTTGTATTTCTCTTTTCATATTAAACAAATTTATTAAAAGAAATTGATTTCAATCACAGGGCTCTCTAGGAGCTGGCTTGCATTATTGGTGTCCATTGGTCTCCAATTGATTTTTAAAAAGCATTTTAAAAATAGCTTACATAAGAGGATATTATTCAGCTATTAAAGAAACAATTAACAGCTCATGAGGTACAATGAAGTACATAATGCAATGCAGATAAACCACGAAAACACTATGTTAAGCGAAAGAACTCAACACAAAAGGTCACATATTGTATGATTCCATTCATGCAAAATGTTCAGAATAAATAAAACCATAGAAATAGAGAACAGGCTAGTGGCTACCAGGGTTTAGGGGAATGGTGAGTGATTGCTTAATGGGCATGGGCTTCCATTTTAGGATGATAGAAATTTTGGGGGAACTGGATGCTGTGATGGTTCCAAAATATTTTTAATGTGCTAAATGTCACTGAATTGTACACTCTAAAAGATTAACATTATCCCAATTTTTTAAAAGGCTTAAAGATACAATTCAATGAAATTCACCCTTTTAAAATGTACAATTCCGTTGAATTTTACTATATGTAAAGATACATTGAATCTCGTCACAATCTAACGTTAGAATACTTTTATCATTCCCAAAAGAAACTCTTTTTTTTTTTTTTTTTGAGAAGGAGTCTCACTCTGTCGCCCAGGCTGGAGTGCAGTGGCGCCATCTCGGCTTACTGCAAGCTCCGCCTCCCGGGTTCACACCATTCTCCTGCCTCAGCCTCTGGAGTAGCTGGGACTACAGGCACCCGCCACCATGCCCAGCTAATTTTTTGTATTTTTTTAGTAGGGACAGGGTTTCACCATGTTAGCCAGGATGATCTCGATCTCCTGACCTCGTGATCCGCCCACCTTATGCATCAGCAATAATGTCCCTTACCTCATATCCCAAAGGTGGCAACCACTATGTTACTTGATGTCCAAATGAATTGGCCTATTCTGGAGATTTCATATAAAAGCAGTCATAAACACGTGGCCTTTTGTGACTGGCTTCTTTATCATAATGGTTTCAAGGTCTACACAAGTTTTGGCATGTATTAGTAGTTCATCACTTTTTTCACCCCAAAATTTTCTATTATAATGATATGCACATATTTTTTAAAAGTTTCTTCACTCATTGATGTAAATTTGGTCTTTTTCCACATAATGGCTACTGTGAATAATACTGCTATAAACATTTGTATATAAGTTTGGCATTAATGTATATTTTCATTTCTTAGATGTGTATTTAGGAGTGGAATTCTGGGGTGATATGGTTTAACTGTGTCCTCACCCAAATCTCATCTTGAATTGTAGCTCCCATAATTCCCAAGTGTTGTGGGAGGGACCAGGTGGGAGATAACTGAATCATGGGGGCAGTTTCCCCCATACTGTTCTCATGGCAGTAAGTCTCACAAGAGCTGACGGTTTTAGAAGGGGTTTCCATTTTCGCTTGGCTCTCATTCTCTGTTGCCTGCTGCCATGTGTGATGTGTCTTGCTTCAACTTTGCCCTCTGCCATGATTGTGAGGCCTCGCTAGTCACATGGAACCATAAGTTTATTAAATCTCTTTCTTTTATAAATTACCCAGTCTCAGACATGTCTTTATTAGCAGCTTAAGAACAGACTAATAAAGTAAATTGATACTGGTAGAGTGGGGTGCTGTTGTAAAGATACCCGAAAATGTGGAAAAGATTTTGAAACTGGGTAACAGGTAGAGATTAGAACAGTTTGGAGGGCTCAGAAGAAGACAGGAAAATGTGGAAAAGTTTGGAACCAAAATGCTGAGAGTGATATGGACAATAAAATCCAGGCTAAGGTGGTCTCAGATGGAGATAAATAACTTGTTGGGAACTGGAGAAAAGGTGACTCTTGCTATGTTTTAGCAGAGACTGGCAGCATTTTGCCCCCGCCCTAGAGGACTGTGGAACTTTGAGCTTGAGGAAGATGATTTAGGGTATCAGCAAAGCATTCAAGAGGTGACTTGGGTGCTGTTAAAAGCATTCAGTTTTAAAAGGAAAACAGAGCATAACAATTCAAAAAATTTGCATTCTGATGATGTGACAGAAAAGAACAACTGCAGACACTCAACACTAGCCCATGAAAGTAGCTGGGATCCTGCAAAGCCACAGGGGTGGAGCTGCCCAAGATATGGGAACCCACCTCTTGTATCAGTGTGACCTGGATGTGAGACATAGAGTTAAAGGAGATCATTCTGAAGCTTTAAGATTTGACTGCCCAGCTGCATTTTGGACTTGCATGGGGCCTTTAGCCCCTTGGTTTTGGCCAATTTCTCCCATTTGGAACAGCTGTATTTACCTAATGCCTGTACCCTGATTGTATCTAGGAAGTAAGAAATTTGCTTTTGATTTTACAGGCTCACAGGTGGACGGGACTTGCCTTGTCTCAGATGAGACTTTGGACTGTGGACTTTTGCGTTAATGCTGAAATGAGTTAAGACTTTGGGAGATTGTTGGGAAGACATGATTGGTTTTGAAAAGTGAGGACATGAGATTTGGGAGGGGCCAGGAGTGAAATGGTATGGTTTGACTGTGTCCCCACCTAAATTGTATCTTGAATTGTAGCTCCCATAATTCCCATGTGTTGTGGGAGGGACTCAGTGTGAGATATTTGAATCATGGGGTTGTTTCTCCCATACTGTTGTCATGGTAGTGAATAAGTCTCATGAGATCTGATGGTTTCATAACGGGTTTCTCCTTTCACTTGGGTCTCATTCTCTCTTGTCTGCCACCATGTAAGATGTGTCTTGCTTCCCCTTCACTCTCCACCATGATTTTGAGGCTTCCCCAACCATGTGGAACTGTGAGTCCATTAAACTTCTTTCCTTTATAAATTATCCAGTCTCAGGTATGTCTTTATTAGGAGTGTGAGAACAGACTAATACATGGGGCAAATGTAACATTATGGTTAATATTTGAGGAATTGCCAAAGTGTTTTACAAAGTGGCTTCATCTTACAATCCCAAGACAAATGTATGAGTTCCAACTTCTCTACATCCATACCAACGCTTAATACTTTCTTTTATATT
The DNA here is from genome assembly GCF_000001405.40 of Homo sapiens. Lineage (NCBI taxonomy): Eukaryota > Metazoa > Chordata > Mammalia > Primates > Hominidae > Homo > Homo sapiens. The sequence goes on along the minus strand of NC_000008.11, from coordinate 87,213,179 downwards.
TTAATCATGTTAGTGGGGATGGAGTAGTATGCCATTGTAATTTTTATTTGGAATTGCTTAATGACAATAATGTTGGACATTTTTATGTGCTTATTGGCTATTTTTATATCTTCTCTGAAAATGTATCTATTCAGCTAATATACTCATTTTCGAAATTGGGTTAATTGTCTTCTTGTTACTCAGGTTTACAAGTTATTCATATTCTGGACATGAGACCCTTATTAGATATATGATTTGCAAGTACTGTGTTCCATTTCAAGGGCTGCATTTTTGCCTTATTGATTCTATTCTTTGAAGCTCAAAATATTTTAATTTTTATAAGGTCCAAATTATTCAATTTTTTCTTTGTCTCTTGTACTGTCAGTGTTATGTGTAAAAACACATGGCTTAACCTGTGATTATGAAGATTCTTAAGTTTTTCTTCTAAAAGTTTTATAGTTTTAATTATTACCTTTATATCCTTGATTCATGTTTGGTAATTTTTTGTGTATGTTGTAAATTAGGGGTCTACCTTCATTATTTAGCATCTTGATATTTAGGTCTCCAAGCATAATTTGTTGAAAAGAGTTTTCTTTCCACCACTGAATTGTCTTAGTAACCTTGTCTAAAACCAATAGACCATCAAGTTAAAACATTATTTCTGGACTCAATCTGTTCCATTGATCTCTCTATATATTTATGCCAATATCACACTTTTATGTTACTATAGGTTTGTAGTAAGTTTTGAAATAGAGAAGTGTGAGTCCTTCAACTTTATCATTTGTTTTCAATATATTGTGGCTGTTTTGCATCTCCTAAATTTCTATATGAATTTTAGGATCAATTTATTAACTTCTGCAAAAAAAAGACAATTGGTATTTCTGTTAGGGATTGTGTTGAATCTGTAGATCAATATAAATAGTATTGCTATCTTATCAATATTAATTATGTAGATCAATGAATATTGGATTACTTTCTATTTAATTTCTTTCAACAATGTTTTATAGTTTTCAATGTACAAGTCTTGCACTTCATTTGTACAATTTATTCCTAAGCAGGTTATATTTTTGATGTTATTGGCAAATTGAACTGAATTTCTTAATTTCATTTTTATAAATTAATTTTTATTCTTAACTGTTCATTGCTTGTGCTCTAAATTCTCCTTTAAGTACTAGATAGACTTCATTATTAATCCATGTGGGTCAGGGATTTTCTTTGTGAGAATATTAAGTTACCAATTTAATACATTAATTTATTTTAGTTATCCTTCTTCAAGTTATCCTTCCTTTGAGTCAATTATGATAGTTTGTATCTGAACTTGTTCATTATATCTAAGTTATATGAGTTTCTATAATATAGCATGTGTTAGGTCATTCATGCATTGCTATAAAGAAACACATGAGACTGGGTCATTTATAAAGAAAAGAGGTTTAATTGGCTCATGGCTCTGCAGGCTGCATGAGCATGGCAGGTGCTGGTATCTGCTCAGCTTCTGAGGAAGCCTCAAGGAGATTTTACTCATAGTAGAAGGTAAAATGGAAGCAGACGCATCACATGGAGAGAGAAGGAGCAGGAGAGAGAATAAGGGGAGGTGCCATACACATTTAAACAACCAGATCTTGTGAGAACTCACTCACTATCATGAGGACAGTACCAAGTCACAAGGGACCCACCCCCAAGAACCAGAAACCTTGCACAAGGCCACATCTCCAACACTAGGGATTATATCTCAACATGAGATTTGGAGGGGATGTCCAAATTATATCATTCTGCCCCTGGCCCCCAAATCTCATATTCTTCTCACATTCCAAAATAAAATTATCCCATCTCAACAGTCCCCAAAAGTCTTAACTTGCTCCATCATTAACTCAAAAGTCCCAAGTCCAAGGTCTTATCTGAGTTTGAATCCATGTTCCTCCCACCTATGAGCCTATAAAATCAAAAAGTACTATTTACTTCCAAGATACAATGGGGAAACAGGCAATGGAAAAACATTCCCATTCCAAAAGGGATAAATTGACCAAAAGAAAGAGGCTATAGGCCTCAAGCAAATCTGAAGCCCAGCAAGGCTTAAGTCTTAAAACTCAAAATTAACTTCCTTTGACTCTGTGTCCCAAATCTGGAGCACACTGGTACAAGTGGTGGGCTCCCAAGGCCTTGAATAGCTCTGCCCCCATGTCTCTGCAGGGTATGGCCCCTGAGGTTGCTCTCAGGGGTAGGAGTTGAGTAGCTGCAGCTTTTCCAGGTGCAGAGTGCAAGCTGCCAGTAGATCTAACATGCTGGGGTCTAGAGAACAGTAGTGCCCTTCCCACAGGTCCAACTAGGTAGTGCCTTAGTGAGGACTCTGTGTAGGACCTTCAATCCCACATTTCCCTTTTGCATAACCCTAGTAGAGGTTCTCTGTGAGGGCTCTACTCCTGTAGCAGGCTTCTGCCTGGGCATCTAGGTTTTCTCATACACCCATTGAAATCTTGGCAGAGGCTGCCAAGCCTTCTTCACTGTTGCAGTCTACATGCCCACAGGCTTAACACTACATGGAAACCACCAAAGCTTATGGCTTGTACCCTCCAGAGGGGCATCCCAAGCTATATATGGGCCCCTTTGAGTTGCAGCTGGAGTGGCTGGCATGTAAGGAGCAGCATCCTGAGGCTATGCAGGGCAGCAGGGTTCTGTGCCAGGCCCACAAAACCATTGTTTCATCCTTAGCCTCTGGGCCTATCATAGGAGTGTCTACCTAGGAGATCTCTGAAATGCCTTTGAAGCCTTTTTCCCACTGTCTTGGCTATCAGCACCTAGCTCTTTTTTAGTCACACAAATATTTCTAACAAGTGGTTGCTCCACAGCCTTCTTGGATTCTTCCACCCATAATAGCTTTTTTGTTCTTGTTGTTGCTGTTATATGGGTAGGCTGCAAATTTTCAAAACTCTCATGCTCTGCTTTCCCTTTAAAGAGAACTTCCAACTTTAAGTCATTTCTTTGCTCCCTTATCTGAACATAGGATGTTAGAAATAGCCAGACCATATCTTGATCACTTTGTTGCTTAGAAATTTCTTCTACAGATACTGTAAGTCGTCACTCATAAATTCAAACACCATTTATCTCCAACACCATTCATTAAAGAGACTGTCCTTTCTCTGTTGAGTGTTTTTAGCACCTTTGTCAAAACTCAAGTAAAGTGGGAAGAGCACCTTATAAAACCATCAGATCCCATGAGAACTCACTCAGTATCATGAGAACTGCATGGGGGTGACTGCCCTCATGATTTAGTTACCTCCACCTGGTTTCTCCCTGAACACGTGGGGATTTGGGAAGATTATGGGCAATGCAATTCAAGATAAGATTTGGGTGGGGACACAAAGCCTTATCATATCAACATATCTGTTTTTATGCCATTGCCTTGTGTTTTTATTATAATCACTTTTCAGTGTATTTTGAAATCAGAGAGTGTGATGCCTCTAGCTTTGTTCTTTTTGCTCAGAATTGTTTTGGCCATTTGGGTTCTTTTGTGGTTCCATATGAATTTAAGAATTGTTTTTCTATTTCTGTGAAAAATGTCCTGGAATTTTGATAGGGAATGCACTGAATCTATAGATCAATTTGACTAGTATGAGCATTTTAACAATATTAATTTTTTCAACCCATGAGCATAGAAAGCACAGCTTTCTATTTATTACTATTTTTCTCAATTTCTTTTATCAATATTTTCTAGTTTACAGTTTACAGGTCTTTCACTTCCTTGATTAGATTTACACCTAAGTAATTTTTTATTGTTATTCATAAATGGAATTGTTTGCTTATTTTCCTTTTTGAATATTTTATTAGTAGAGAAACACTACTAATTTTTGTATGTTGATTTTGTATCCTGCAATTTTACTGAATTCATTTAACTTGTCTGCCTTTAGTGTCAGGGTAATGCTGGCCTCATAAAATTAGTCTGGGAATATACCCTCCTATTCAATTTTTGGAAGAGTGTCAGAATAATTGATATTAATTCTTTTTAAAATATTTGGTAAAATTCAGCAGTGAAGCCTTCCTTTCCTGGGTTTCTCTTGGATCTCCTTTTTTTCTTGATGAGTCTACATAAAGACTGGATTTATACTAAATCTCAGCTAAAGATTTTATTTCTTCTATTATAAGAATAAATTATTTGAATTATGGTTAATTGATGTCTAGAAAAGATGCCCACTACATATTTCATGAGATTTAGCTACCATATTTTTAGTTGTTAAATAAAATATAAACCACAACAGAAAATAAAATCTATGCAGGTTAAAGAAATGTTAGAACCTTAGTAATATAAAAATATTTTCAGCATTAAAAGTAAATATACAATTTAATGAAAATGAGGAATTACGGAGTTTTTGAGATACAATCTCATAAAAGTGGGTTACAGAATGAAATAAAGTGAAAGAAATAGAAGAGAAATAATACTGTAAGACAAAGGACTACACAAAGAAAACAGTCAAGGTGACATAGATATAAAAGAGAAAAACATTATTTTATAGAAATGGGTTTTAATATTAACATAAAGCTAGATAATAAAAGTTTGATCTGGGATATTGTTACAGGTTAGTAACTAAACTGGCAATTCTTTTAGTTTTCATGAGCTTTAGGTTATCAATCATAAAAATGTCCCTTGTTCAGGCCATAAAAATGTGATCTAATGAAAAATCCTTCCATTTGACTTCAGTAAATTATATCTACGTACACATGTATATAGAGAGATGACTATATGTAAAATACATTACATACAGTAATTTTAATATAAGTACTCATATATAGTAATATTAATATAGTCAGTAAATAATATAATAATATAGTAATCATTTTTTGTAGCATTTTAACTTAGACACACATAATGTGTTTTATTCACTACTTAGAAATATAATATTGTTTTCCTATTACTGTTCGATTATTTATAAAACCTGAATGATCAAGAGGCTTAGTGAATAATGGTAAGTTTAGGAAGCTTTATTAAATAATGAGGCTTTAAGAACTAGTGGCCAGAAAAGAGACCAGAAGGTACAAACAGCTGTGTGGAATTGCACCAGAGAAATGGAAGCCCCAGCAGCAGATTGAAAGTCAGCAGCCTGGTGATGAGGGGCTACTAGAAGGAATAGTTTAAATAATAGCAGAGGGAGGGAAACACATACATGAATAAAGAAAAAGGAGAGAGACAGACACCTAGTTGGGCCTTTTTACTAAACTGGATGAACAAAGAAATCTACAAAGGTCATATATTTAATGAGTTGACTTCTTTGGTAGTGAAACAGATCTGAGCTGTCGGAACTAAATGCTTTAAAAACTTGAGAGGGATTTTGACACAGGTAGGTGTAAACACAGAGTCTCCTAATTTTTAAGTGTTGAAAGTACACCCTATTGAAATGCAAGTTGGAATACCTGACACTTGTGAAAGATTGAAAATTCATATTTTAATCGTCAATCACGTGAGTTAAGGTGCCATCAAATTAAATGTTTGTTTCTAATTTTAATTTTAGAAAATGTTTGAAAAAAATAAATGTATAATTACAAATATTAACAAATAAATAAACACATTGTGAGAGAATAAAACCAACTCAAATATATGTAGAAGAAAGAGTTAATTTTAGCCCTTTATCACCCCTCAATTTCACTCCCCTACACTAAGGCAACAATTTTTAAAAATATGTATTTTTGAAATGTCCTTCTGGACCCACTTGTATAGTTTAAAAAGATATATGTTTATGTGTGTGTGTGTGTGTGTGTGTCTATGTGCATAAATTTAGATTTTTTCATAAATGTGTTATTAATATAATTTGCAATTATTCTATTTACTCTTTAATGTTTCCATATCAATATATATAAATCTAGTTCATTCTTTTTAATCACTGTCTAGAATTCTATATAATAGATATATCAAAATATGTATAGCCAATCTTCTATTCAAGGACATTTAGATTGTTCCCATATTTTTTACTGTTACAAATATGTTTTCAGTGATTTATAAAACAAATTAAGTTTTAATTACTATCCTCAATCTAATAGCAAAGCAATGTTGAATGTTTGTCCTTTATTCCCTTTCAAAATTATTTTATCCCCTTTAAAATTCCTTTGATTTATTTTTCATTGCTTGATCACAGATTAAATGGAACTAATTATGAAAGAAGACCATGGAGGGAAAACTCTGGAAATATGTAAATTTTTTCAATAGACACATATTCTTTAAAATTCCAGTTAAGTTTTAAATGTCATGATCTTGATAAACCAGTTTGTACTAACAGTGACATAATACACAGAGAACAAGTTAGAATTAGGCTGAAGTGTGTTTGAAACTCGATTCTAAGCAAGAATGCTCTGTGTGATATTTGTGCCTCGGGGTCCTCATCTGTGGAGAATAATAATAGCAATATCTTCCTTCATTTATTTTTCTGAGGAACAAAAAGGGATGCTTCTGACATAAAGAATGTATTAAATTATATGCCTAGCCCCCGTAATTAAAATATAACAAGTCTATTAATATATCCACTAAATCCTTCATGAAGGGACCAAAAGCTAAAATTGGGAAATGAAAATCTATCTAGAGAGGCTTTTTTCCCTATATCTGGGTTAGTATCTGACTTAGTCAAATAATCATGTTGACTATCTGCTGTTTTACCTATGAAAATCAACACTATATTGTTACTAAATGTGTATCTCAGATATTGGTTCCACAAGTGTGGTCCCTGCACTGGTGGCATCACCTGAGGTATTATAAATGAAATTGAGGCCTCATCCTATACCTACTGAACCAGAAATTCTGATGTTTAAACCCGACAATATGGGTCTCAATGTGATCACTGGGTAATTCTGAGTCATGCTCCAGGCAGAGAAACACAAGTATATATCTTAAACTCTAAGTACTAAAATGTGAGATGTTATTCATTTCACTACTTATAAACTTACAAATGAAACACACCCAAATAGTACATTTTTACCATGTCAACTGAAATTGTTAAGTGAAATTATAAGCATTATAATGATAAAGAACTCGAAACAGTGGCCTGCATTTTATCTCGCCAAATTTATCCCACATTAGTCTATTACCTGTGCTGCCTTTCAACCAGGTTTCGGAAAAGACAGTCTTACTAAGTGTTTTCAGATGCTTATCATTTAGCTGAAAGGTTAAATCTGGAATTGTTTTCAGGAACTTCCACACAGTTTTGTGTTCATATGGCGTCCTGTGAATGGGCCTCAAAAAAAAAAAAAAATACAAATTCAGAGACCATGGCATAAATGCAAAGAAACAAACAGATCCTTAATTTTTAAGTTTCCAAATTTGTATTTTCTGTTTAGTTAAGGGTTTTTAAAAAAGAACTGTGATGCTATTCTATTTTTTCTTACTAATCAACTTTAGGATTTGTTACCCTTCCGACATTAAGATGCGCTTTCACAATACTTCAAACTTTAGGAAATTACACAATGCCTTTTTAAATAGAAAATTTCTTTTTAAATAGAAAACTTCTTTTTAAATAGAAAACTCAGTACTCCTATTGTAAAGTTGCATCTCTTATCAGTAGTTATTATAATAGTAATAAAGACCTCTTTTAGATATTAAAAAGATTAATGTTGTTTCCACTGTTTATTCTTAATTCTTTTAAGTACTATTAAAGTTAGATCAAATGGAAATATACTTTAACACTTAAGGGTATAAATCGTTAAGTGAAAAGATACGTATGTACTTTTAAATGAAACATGATTATCATATAATACATGGTATTTATTATTTATTTTTAATCATTAAAACTCTTCAATAAATGTAACACTAAATCAGGATATAAAATTCCTATCAATCTGATGTCTCAAAGGACTAACCTAGCTGTCATAAATACCATTTCAAAATACTCAGCAGTTGGCCAGGCGTGGTGGCTCACGCCTGTAATCCTAGCACTTTGGGAGGCCGAGGCGGGTGGATCACGAGGTCAGGAGATCAAGACTATCCTGGCCAACATGGTGAAACCCTGTCTCTACTAAAAATACAAAATGCTCAGCAGTTTTCAAGCAAATTTTTAAAATTTCATGTGAAAAACCAATTTAGCATCATAAAGGGAATTTCAGATACCCATACCACACATATGGGTTTGACAGTAATAGTCCCAGTTTAGATATGACATAGTGTTGGCCCATCTGGTATCCATGTGTATGCATACAGGTTTATGTCTGTGTGTGTTTATAGAATGATATAAATTGTGTTTTTTGTTTTGGGTTGTAGCAAAAAAAAAAAAGTTTAAAAATACTAGCTTAGTATACAGTCCTGAGAAATAGTTTTGAGAAAACTTGCTCCCTACCTAATGTCATTTACAAATTTGTTCTTCAGATGCAATAAGAAATAATTCGTATTAGAAATGGCATGATATCATAACCAAAACCTAAAATATGTGCCATTGACTTAGCAGCCAAACAGGAGGTGGCAAGGAAATAATATCACAGGCTGTAAAGACAGAGGTTTTTCTTTTTTTGTTTATTTTAGTGGTAATACATTTATTAGTTGCCTGCAATCATTTGTAAGGCAGATCAAGTGCCTAGAAAACTTGCTACTTCATAGAAAGTAGCTGGAAAGAGCCAGAAAGTTATTCTGTTTTGTTTGCTTAGTTCTGCTTGTTTGTAGCAATGTATTATTAACTGATTCAAGTTTGATCAGTTTTCAAGTATAAATGAAAGGGAATAGAGAGGCTCTAGAAAAGTGGGACATGGTTATAAAAAGCCCAGTACTTCCTCATCCCATGTAGCAAGAAAAGACTTGAAAGTCTTCTCAGTTAAATAAAGGTGCTTAACCCTATGGCAAAGGTCTGATGAAATAGTTTGGCCTTCCCATCCAAGCCTACCTTTTCAGAAGGCCTTAAAGTAGCCTCCATTAAGAGAGAGATGGGCACAAGGAATAAGCACAGAAATTAGAAACAACTTAAAAACAATGTCTACAACATAACCTTGGCTTTGGCTGCTGCCTCATAGAAGATACTGAAAACAAATAGATACAAATTCTGTTATGTTTTTGAAGCATCTGTACCACTGAAATACCTAATATTATGCTCCAAAAAAAGTTTTGACTCATTGAACTTGCAAACCAAAAGAAATTGTGCCACACTCCTCATCCTTCAAAGGGAACATGATCTCCAGTGTTCTTACATTTGTCCAACAGGTCAAAAGATAAGACAAAACCTCCCAGGTAGTGGAGCCAGGTGTTCCTCCCAAAAAACAGATCTAAGGTCTAATTTTTAAAACTTCCAGTACTGTTAGGGTGGAGGATTTTACAATACTAGCCCAGCAAAACAGCAATGTTGCTCTGAATCAATGACTGTAATGTGTTTCCATTTCTTCCTTTTTTCTTAGTGTGAGTTTTTATTGTAATAGCCTATTCCTGGCTCTGCTATTGTGTATCGTGTAAGGGGATAGCAACAAATAATCATATTTCTGGTTTTTATGTTAGCAGACCAGAAATATACATATTCATTCTTGATGGGGAGGAGGGTATGTCCTCTAAAATTCTGGACTTTGAAATGCGTAACTAGTGAAACTTTCTGTTTTTTCTTTTGGTGAAAGAGTTAATATATGTGTTGAAAAAGGGTATGCATAGTAGTTGGTAACTAGAAAGAGGCAAACTACAGAAGAGATGCTAACTGTTCAAAAATGGGTTCCTTCTATCTCTAGTTACACAGCTAGAATGCATTTCAGAATCATTCTGTTGTCACCATGTGACTGAATTCTAGCCAATGGGAAGTGAACTGACACAGAGATAAAGTGCAGCATATCAAATGGCCAAATTTTGTAAATATTTCATTTAAATCTGAAAGAATGTGTATGTGCATTTGTTAGGTACAAAAATCATTTGTTTGTGTAAGTGTGTACATATATAAACACATATACAATAAAAATGTATAATAGTATGTATGTACATCAGATATATTCATAATATAGATATGCATGGATACATGTGTGTTTGTGCCTATGTATGCATATAAACAAGTGCTAACAAATTTATAACACTATGTGTCTGATATTCTTTCTGTAGATAAAATATATTATATCAGTATACTTCCTTTACCAAGCGTATTCCCATTCAACGAATAGAAAAACTCATGCACAGAATTGTTAAATAACTTACTCAAGATCTCATGTCTAGTCAGTGACAGAACTAAGTGGCAGGGTTCAGTTTGGCCTTGAATTGTATGTTTGAGAGTTTCAGCCCATGGTCAAAAATTTTTTGTGATTTTTCAGGTACAACCACAAGCAATTATAATGGCTTTAGCTGGCAGGCCTCATGGGGGAAAGTTGCCCTCCCCACACCAGACTGGCTACACAGCCAGTGCACTGCAGTCTCTGACAGGAATTGCAGTCAAGAACTCAGCTTCCTGGCCAGCCATGCTCTCATGCTCATCTGCATTCCTAGTCGAGGCCTTCTATTTGGAATTCTCCTTGTTGGAGGATCTTGAAAACACTTTCTGCATTCGGACTCATTCAGTACTCAGGCATTTTCCACTTCTAGCCTTGCCCCAGACCTCACCCCAACCCCCAGGTCTATAAAACTGCAAAAGTCTTTCCTCAGAGCTCCCTCAACAGTCAGACAGCCATTATGTTAGTACTAATCTACCCGACCCGTAATTGGTGCATACGCTCATGGGGCAGGTGGATGTAACATGAGGTCAGTGCTACCTCCAGTTTGAGATTCTTGCTTATTCCTTCACAGTAAGTGATTAAAGACTTGACTATTACTTGCATTTGGGCTTGTTGTTTTATCAGCTATTCTGATACTTGCTGCTCCACGTTCTCTCTCTCCAGCTCTTCTAAGTTCCTGACAATGTTTTTAACCATGATCCATATTATAATTTATTACTGGTTATTATTCTAATCTTCTGTATCTTTCCTTGTATTGTATGTTTTCTATCAATTTGGTCTATATATTTCTGAGGTATTTGGATTAATATTGCTATTATGGACTTATCTATTGCTCCCCAGAATTCAGTCAGTTACTGTGTTAACATATTTTAAACTGATGTTATCTGATGAAAATAATCGTTGCTTTTACCAGTACATAAAGTCTATCTTCATTCCTTCTGAAAATTTTCCTTCAATTTTATCTTGTCAGCTACTGGGTTTGCGTATTCCAGCTTCTCTTGGCTTATATATTTGCCTACATATATTTGTTATTACATTTTCAAAATGATGTCTATTTTGTATTTTAAATGCTGAACTTCTATCAAACAAACTATGTTGGATGTCTGTTACCAATATTAAGTTTTTTCCCCTTTCTCTATTAAAAATACAAAAACTAGCTAGGTGTGGTGGCAGGCTCCTGTAAACCCAGTTACTCAGGAGGCTGAGGCAGGAGAATGGCTTGAACCTGGGAGACAGTGAGCCAAGATTGTGTCACTGCACTCCAGCCTGGGCGACAGAATGAGACTGCATCTCAAAAAATAAATAATTTTTTTTAAAAATTAAGTTTTTCAACCTCTGAACATATCTTTTCATTTACTTGGACCGTCTTTACCTTCAACAGTTTTATTAGTGTACAAGTCTTGTACATTTTTCTTAAATTCATTTCTAAGTATTTTATGTCTTTGAGGGTATTCTAAATGGTTTTGTTTTCCGCATTTCATTTTTGGATTTTTCATTGATGGTGTGTAGATTTGATATTTGTATATTGATCTTGTATCCTGAAACACTGCTGAATGTGTTTATTATTTAAATTGAATCCACTAGATTCTTTTGGATTTTCTATATGCAAAATCATATCATTTGCAAACAGAGATAGTTTTAGTTTCCTTTTCCATTCTGATGACTTTTACTTCTTTCTCATGAATGACTGTCTTAACTAGAACATTCACTATAATGTTACATATAAGTGGCCAGAGTAGATATCTTTGTATTTTCCTGCTATTCAACAGAAATCATTCAGTCTTTCTTCAAGTTAGCTGTGAGTTTTCCACTGATGCTGTTTATTAGATTAAGGAAGTTCTCTTCTGTTCTTATTATGTTGAGTACTTTTTTTCATCATGAATGGGTGTTGGATTTTGTCAGTTTTTTCATATTTATAAAGAAAATCATGTGGTTTTTTTATTCTAATAATATGGTATATTACATTTGTTGATTATTAGATGTTAGAGCGACCCTGCATTACTGGAATAAATTCCATTTGGTCCTGATGGAATGTTTTTTATATGTTTCTGGATTTAGTTTGCTACTATTTTGTTGAGAATATTTGCATCAATATTCATAAGGGACATTGGCTTGTAGTTTTGTTTTCTTCTGATCCCTTTATTTGGTTTTGGTATCAGGCTAGCTTCATAGAACGAGTTGGGATGTGTTTCTCCCTTTTCTATTTTTTGAAAGATTTTGTGAAGAATTGTTTTTAGTTCCTTAAGAGTTTGGCAGAAATTACCAGTGAAACCATCTAGGACTGGCATTTGCTTTGTGAGAAGTGTTCTTTACTTGGCAATTTAATCTTTGTTATAGGTTACTTTGGAGTTCATTTTTATTCTTGAGTCAATTTTGGTAATTTGTTTATTTCTAGAAATGTTTCCTTTAATTCTAGGTTACATCATTGTTAGCATACGGTTTATTACAGGATTCCTGTATAATCTTTTTTATTTCTGCAGGATAATTAGAGATGTCCTCCATTTCATTACTCATTTTAGTCATTTGAGTCTTCTCTTTGCTTTTTTCTTAGTCAGCCTAGGTAAATTTTTCTATTTTGTTGATCTTTTTAAAGAACTAATTGTTTTTTCTTATTCATTTTTTATTCTCTATTTCATTTATTTCTTTTAGCACTTCAAGTATGTTATGAAAATTCGTTCCATTTTTGTGAGCATTCATTTCACAGCATGAGTTATTTTCTCTTGCTGCTTTCAGTATTCTATGTTTCTTCTAATTTGAACACTGACTGTGATGTTTTTAGGTATGGAGCTTTTTGTGTTTCTACTACTCGGAGTTCACTGATTTCTTCTGTGAGTAGATTAACAGTTTCCCTCAGGTTGGGAGGTTTTGAGCCATTCTTGCTTTAAATATTCTCTGCTCTTTTTTCTCTCCTATTCATCTGGGATTCCCATTATCTTTGTGCTGGTACAATGGATGGTAGCCCACAGGTCTCTGAGGCTGTATTCACATTTTGTATTGTTTTTATTTTTTTTATTTTAAAAACCATTTTATTGGGATATGACTGACATACAAAAAGCTGTACATATTTAAGGTAGACAACTTGATGAATTTGGAGGTAAGTATACACTCGTGCAACCATTACCAAAATCTATGATCAGAGTGTCTCTCCAAAGTTAACAGCATCTGAGAGCCACTAGTTTTCATCTTGGTCATTTTTGTTATAAGTGTTATTTACATTAATTATTTTTAAAAATAAAACAATACAGGTATATGTAAAGTTAAAATGGAAGGTACACCTACTGACTGAACACCCACCAAATCTTCACCAAGAAATACTCATTGTTGACAATTTGGTGTGTAAAACCCCTGCTCTAAAATGAGGGGAATCTTGTGAGGAGAAGGAAACAGAAAGTTATTTGTCAAAAGGTACAAATTTTCAGTTACGGAAGATGAAGAAATTCTAGCAATCTACTGTACAGCATAGTGCCTACAGTTAACAATACAGTATTGTGTACTTTAAACATTGGCTAAGAGGGCAGATTTTATGTGAAGTGTTCTTATCACAAAAAAATAATAATAAAGAACATAAGAAGAAACTATTGCAGGTGATGGATATGTACATAGCATAGATTTTGGTAATGGCTGCAAGAGTGTATACTTACCTCCAAATTTGTGTTGTTTTTCTTTCTATTCTTCTGACTAGATAATCTTAACTGATGTATCTTCGAGCTTACTGAACCTTCCTTTTGGCAACTCAAATCTGTTGTTGAACTCCACTAGTAGTTTTTTGTTTTAATTTTAGTTACTTACTTTTCAATTCCAGAATCTCTGTTTGTCGCTTTTTAATTTTGTGGCACTTTCTCTCATTCTGTACGTGTTGAGACACCATTGCCATTGATGTAGTTTGGATATTTGTCCCTGCCCAAATCTCATGTTGAAATGTCATCCCCGCGAGGTGTTTGGATCCTGGGAGTGGATTCCTCACAAATGGCTTGGGCCATGCTCTCAGTGGTAAGGGAGCTTTCCTTCTGAGTTCACATGAGATCTGGTCATTTAAGAGTGTGGGGCACCTCCCCCTCTACATTTTCGCTTGCTCCTGCTTTCACCCTGTGACATGCCTATTGCCCTTTCACCTTGCAAGATGATTGTAACCTTCCTGAGGCTTCCCTAGAAGCTGAGCAGATGCCCGCACCAGGCTTCCTGTAAAGCCTGCAGAACTGTGAGCCAATTAAACCCCTTTTCTTTATAAATTATCCAGTCTCAGGTATTTATTTATGGCAATGCAAGACTGGCCTAATACAGTCATACTTTCCTCTAATTCTGTAAAGTCCATATTCCCTGCAGTGTATAGCCACAGAAATATCCACTAATTTATCTCACTTGTCATCTAATAATTGTTCAAATATTTCTGTAAATGCTTCAAATATTTCTATAAAAACTTCTGCTGATTGGCAAAAGTTGTGTGTTGTCATGCTTTTCTTGAACTCTTTGGACATGGTTTCCTTTACTTACTTGTTTCTAATCATAATAGTTGATTTAAAATCTTTGTCTGCTAAGTTCAGCATTTGAATGTCCTCGGGATATTGTTTGCTGTTAACTGCTTTTTTTTGTTTCCATATATGGGATACCTTTGCTATTTCTTTGCATGTATCATAATTTTTGTTGAAAACTAAACATTTCGAATAATATAATAGGGGAACTCTGGAAATAAGCTTTTCTCTCCTTCCCAGGGTCAAATAACAACAACGCCCTGTGAATGGGGTTTTTCCATGGAGCTGGTAGATAAGTCACATTGTGGTATGCTCTCAGAGTGGAGCTTTGTGAGGAGTTCCTCACCAGCTGTCTCCTCCAGTGGCTGCAAGCCTGCTGGCTTTCATAGCTGCTATGATTCAAGGCTATCACATAATTGGAAAAAGGAAGATTAAAACAAGTCAATATAAAAATGTTCTGCTTTTCTTACCTAGGCTCTGCTACTTTTGTTGAATAAATGTATATTGTTGCAAACATTTGACTAATTTCCAGGTTTTGAAAAATTTTATTTTGACAATTTTTTCTAGCATTTCATTGCTTTCATAAAGGAACAGTTTCACAGAGGTTTTCACTCCACCATTCTCAAAGTCCTGCACTCAACATTGACTCTTGAATCTCTCCGATCTACAGCAATACCTACAATTTTCTCCCACAGATAAAGGTCAACCTGTATCTCAAGCACCTAATGACAAGGGGTTAGGGAAGTGCACATGAAACCTGAGGGAGGGACAATAAAAATATCTGATAAACACTATTGACTAACAGAAAAGATTAAAGTCACTCAAAAGTTACAGCTCTTTATCATTTTGATGAATGAATGGGCTTGTAATTTACATATTCTAACTCAAAAATAAAAAATATTATTTTATATAACTACTATAATCTTTTTCTGGAAATATCATTCCTGATCAATTTCTATTTTTCACCTTCCTTCTGACTTTCTACATGAGTATCCAAGAACGTATTTAGAATGCCTGATTTGGGCCATGGAGAAACAGAAGTGCTAGAAACACCCATTTCACCTCCTGTTACCACCTTTCTCCCTTGTTTGTATTAACTTATTTGGCCCTGGTCTTAAGGCTTTCCCAGGCTACACTCTGGTAAATGATCAGCAGCAACTCTGCAACTCTGAAATTAAACCTCTTGAGTCTAACATACACCCCTGTGTGTATCATCCTTGGGAGGATAAATAAAAACATTCAGGTATGAAAAATTGGCTTTCACTTCTCTAAATTTGGCTTTCACATCTCTCTTAACCTCTAGTCTTCTAAATTGTCAGGCACACCGTTTACACACATTGTACCCATTCCTTTCTTACCAGTGCTTCCTGGCACACTCTCACTGTAGGAAATACTTCAGTGAATAAAACTAGATTAGCAAAAAGTCATACATTGAGAGGTGTTTCATAAACTGCAGTCCCCAAGGTATTACTAACAGTAGCTCTTTCTTCAATTGTGTCATTATTAAAATTATCCTTATTATGAGTTATCCAGACCACATACAGTGGTGTATAAAAAATACTATTCCCTTTATATTTTCATTAATTCACCTTTCTATCTATTTCTAGACCCAATTCCAGCTGACGGCCAAATTATCCTTATTATGAGTTATCAGACCACATACAGTGGTGTATAAAAAATACTATTCCCTTTATATTTTCATTAATTCACCTTTCTATCTATTTCTAGACCCAATTCCAGCTGACGGCCAAAAGCAAAATTTTAGTGTATTCCAGAGATTTCAGGCATTTCAGTGGGAAACAAAATAATTTCAGGTTGTCGTTTCTTCTCTTTCCTCTCCCAGTGATCACCTCAAACCTAGGGGCTTATAGTCATACCAAGTGGTATCTGGCTTCTGATCATTAGTATCCATGTGGGGTGGCATCTGCTGAGCTGTAATTATCATGTATAGCCTTTGGCATCTGTGCTGACATCCACTGAATTGCTCAGTGTTCCCAGTTGTAGGTACTCATGACCTTGGTGTTCTAAAGCTCTTGCAAATCTGTTGACTTTTCACTCTCAGGCAATTCTTCACACTTCTTGCTGATAAGAAGAGACTTTGACTACTTTAGTGAACATCTGTGAGGCCATGAAAAATTGCTTAGGACTCTCTTAAGGTTTCTATACCCCTAATACTAATTACTCACATTTACTCAGATGTACAAAGGAAAGGGAGCTTTTGCATTTTTCTGCAACTTATCTAATCTTTCTAACAATCTCTAATCTGCTCAGTTGAAGAGTAACCCAAAACAAAACCAAAAAATCTTTGCTCTTGTCTCTTAAAAATATCATATCTTCTGATACAAACAATTTCTGTTCAATTTAAATGTTGAGACTAACACAAAGTTTAGTTCCCCCTCCTAGCTGATTTACATGGCCTTTCTTAAGGGCTTAGGCTCTTAGTAAAGATGCTTAGTCTTCCAGAGTTACTCCACCCCAAATTTTTCTACCTGTGAGGGAGTATAAGTGTTCAAAAGGATTGATTATGTCCTGTGGCAGTGGGTAGGGGAATAACTGATTTGAATATGCTCAAAATTCTGAAGTAACATAATCAATTTATATTACAGAACACATAAAAAAAGCCATTAACTTGGGTAGGATGCGTGCCAAAAAAACAACAGTAAATCAGAACTCTCAGGTACAAGCAAGGGAAGAAATCAGTGAAGAAGTATGCTATAAGAAGCAATATTTAAGTCGGGCGTGGTAGCTCATGCCTGTAATCCCAGCACTTTGGGAGGCCAAAGCAGGCAGATCACTTGAGGTCAGGAGTTCGAGACCAGTGTGGCCAACATGGTGAAACCCTGTCGCCACTAACAATACAAAAATTAGCAGGTGTGGTGGTGCATACCTGTAGTCCCAGCTACTCAGGAGGCTAAGGCAGGAGAATTGCTGGAATCCAAGAGGCAGAGGTCGCAGTGAGCCGAGATTGCACCATTGCACTCTAGCCTGGGCAACAGAGCAAGACTCTGTCTCAAAAATAAAAATTAAAAAAAAAAAAAAAACAATATTTAAACTGAGGATCAAAAAGTCAATATTCAGCTGGGCATGGTGACTTACGCCTGTAATCCCAGCACTTTGGGAGGCCAAGGTGGGTGGATCACTTGAGGTCAGGAGTTCAAGACCAGCCTGGCCAACATGGTGAAACCCTGTCTCTACTAAAACTACAAAATTAGCCAGGTGTGATGGCATGCACCTGTAATCCCAGTTATTTGGGAGGCTGAGGCAGAAGAATCACTCGAACCTGGGAGGTGGAGGTTGCAGACAGCCAAGATTGTGCCACTGCCCTCCAGCCTGTGTGACAGAGTGAGACTCCATCTCAGAAAAAAAAAAAAAAAAAAATCAATTTTCTCAAAGAAATTAAAACACTAAAAAATACTAAACGGGCCGGGCATGGTGGCTCATGCCTGTAATCCCAGGACTTTGGGATGCTGAGGTGGGTGGATCATGAGGTCAGGAGTTCGAAACCAGCCCAGCCAACGTGGTGAAACCCTGTCTCTACTAAAAATATAAAAAATTAGTTGGGTGTGGTGGAAGGCGCCTGTAATCCCAGCTACTCGGGAGGCTGAGGCAAGAGAATTGCTTGAACCCAGGAGGCGGAGGTTGCAGTGAGTCGAGATTGAGCCATTGCACTCCAGCCTGGATGACAGGGCGAGACTCTGTCTCAACAAAACAAACAAACAAACAAAACAAAAAACAACAAAAAAAGACACTACATGAAGAACAAATCATGTTGCAAATGCACATACATACATATGCACACAAAACACACATACACAAAACCTGAATGTAAATCAAATAACTCCAGTCCCTCAGGATAAATTAGTGAACTACAGAATAAGGAGGGGAAACATACAATTTACTCATTTAAAATGGAATTAAAATATTCTATGTAGAAAGATACACATATTAACATTAGTCAAAATATTAAAAATTAAAAATAAGTATTCAGTAATAAAGAAATGGTTAAAGCCTTATATTTTCCAAAGGGGATATTGGTTAGTTTATTGTAGAATCAGGCATATAATGCAGAATTTTAGGTGGCAACAGAAATCTACAATACTGGTGACATATTATTAGGCATTTGGTTACATAATTAAGAATATATCCAAAATACCTATCCTAGGGCCAAGATTATAAGTGATTCTTAATGATCTATTTTTACAACTGAAACATGCCATAATTAAAATGTTCACTTTAGACACTCAGCTTTACAAGTCTTAATGATTCAAAACTCACTGCCTTCTTAAACATTGTTCCCCTTAACTACCTGCTTTTCAAGTGTCAATTTATCGCACCAGTTATTTCTATTGCCTGGTTTCTTCTTCTTTCAAAACAAGAGAACTGTACACTAGGCCATTGTTCCCCAACCATTTTGGTACTAGGGACTGGTTTAGTGGAGACCATTTTTTGTGATGATTCAAGCGCATTAATCATTAGATTCTCATAAGGCACACATAGCCTAGATCCCTTATGTAAGCAGTTCACAATAAGGCTCATGCTCCCATGAAAATCTAATTTGCCGACTTGACAGGAGGCGGAGCTCAGCTTCCCTCCCTTGCTGGTATTCACCTCCTGCTGTGTGGCCCTGTTCCTTAGGAGACACTGTATCAGTCTATGGCCCAGGGTTAGGGACCCCTGCACTAGGATATACATGAAATAGTAACTATTGCTTATTTTATTTTATCCGTTAAACTCTTATTCTAAATTACTGGGTATAGCTTAGCAAAGGAGCTGAACATTCTCTTTATTTATTTATTTATTTGTTACACTTAGTTTTAAGACATCAAATTTGTTTAATTTGAAGGAATATCTGACCACCTAGGTATTAGAAATTCTGTTAAGACAGTTCCCTGTTCTTACGCAGACAAATATAAAAGAAAAAAATTAATAAAACAGGAATATCTTGATTACAAGAAAGACTTCATTCATGGAAAATTGCCAGAAGGCTTGGGTCTCTATAAGTGAAAGGAAATTTCAGAGATGCTGATTATTGTTACTTCTCAATGACATGTAAGAATCAAAGAAAATATCTCTATGTCCTGTCATAAAACAATCAACTTTTAATTGGAAGTGAATTTATTTGGGGATGAAACTGATTCATTCATTTGAAAAGCTGTCAAATTAAAGACGGACTAAGATTATTCTGTCTGGCAATTATGAGTAGCAATTATTAAAATGTGATTTTTTTCTAATTAAAAAGTACAATTAAAAATACTAAATCAATAAAGCAAGTCTTTGGGGAGCTATACATAAAATGCCAGTGTTAGCTCTTTATCCAAGTCCTCCTGCTGTTTGAGTTTACACATTCTTTTAATATTGGTCAAATATAAATAACCAAATATTAACATGAGGCTCAGTCCCATATGCTATGGGAAACTTGATAATCCTTTAATATCCCTGAGAATTTGGGGAAGCTTATGTTTCTCTCAATCACTTCTTGTTAATTTTCTATTTTCATTGAATGCTTAATCTCTGATCTAGAAGGAAGAATTTTCTGTGGTTATTTTGTTTTATTTTAAATAAAAACATATCCTTCCATCCTTCCTACATATAAGATTGAAGTCAAATAGAGAAGCGATTACCACTTATTTTCTGTTTGTAATATTTTCACTAATGTTATCACATGATTCTTGTGATAGAAGGATTGGGCAAGGGCAGTTGTATTCAAATACACATATGAACACACATATACAGACACAGAGCACCTTGTTCAAACTAAAGCTTAGAGTGTAAATGAAGTTAATAAAAGCGGGACTATGCTAGTTAAAAGAATGGACAGGTAGGTCAGTTGCCACACTAGACTTCTTCTTACTCTACACATACCTGAAAGAACAATTAGGAATCCATAGGGCTGATGTGAAATTACAGGGAATCCAAGGTTTTCAACATGCATACTAATTTTAATTAGTTGGTTACTCACTATGTTTCATGTTACTATCACACAGTTATAAAGAGCATCAAGGAATTACGCTTTCTAATCCAGTCTCCTTTTTAAATGAGAAAGCTGAGGTTTAGATATGCTGAGTAACTTGCCCAAGGTCACAGAATAATAAGTTGTGGAGCAAGAATTTTTATCTCAGGGAGTCTCATTCCAGAGCGTAGATTTCCATCCACTTTAGCCCCTACATTAAATCAAATTTTTATTATAGTGATTTCCACTTATTTTGAGTTATTGGGGCTAATTGAGTTAGGGCAGGAGATGTTCCAGGTTTATTGGATCTGACATACAATAAATTAAAAAGAATACAAATTTATAAATTACAAATTTGGTGCAAATGTGAATAATTATTTAGAAAAAGAAGAAAGTACAACAAATCACAAAGTTTGAAAAGCTGGATAATTTTAAAACATCATCAAATCTAGAAAAAAATTATAATTTTATGAATTAGTTGTCTATGTCACTCCATTCTACTTATTTTTCTTACTTTTTAAATTGAACTTAAAAATATTTTCACCCCTTTGTATGACAACAATTTTTTATCATTTTGATAGAACAGACTCTTCCCTCTAGCTTGGTTGATATATTTTTTAAAATTATTCTCAATAACATAGAAATATTTCCTTTAGATTCACAACCAATTATTGGTAATGTTATATAAATTTTTAGAATTCTTGTCAAATTTAGGAAAATCTCTATCTGAATTTCTTTCATATATGCGCTAGGAGATTTAGAAAGGTTTTCCACAGATTTTGATTCTCTCTCCACTTTTAAAAGTATATGCCACTTCTGTGCCCAAACGCTTCTGGTGCCAGGTAGCTATAAGCCCTGTTACTTCGTGTCAAGATGCTGCTGGGTCCACACAGTGGGCAGTCGGGGTGTTTCTTGATAGGCATTTCTACACTAGCACAGCTAACAATAATTGCACATACAGCAATGACTAAGAACTAAAATTTATATCCCACTAGACTCAAATGAAATGTATCTCTAATTTAACTTTCCCTAAACTGGATCCTTAAAATGCTCAACCCAACTCCAACACCAGGTGCCATGAAAACTGAGTATAAGAAAAAAAGTTGACAGGTGTGATGGTTAATATTAGGTGTCAACTTGACTGCATCGAGCAATGCCTAGATGGCTGGCAATGTATTGTTTCTGGGGGTGTCTCTGAAGGTGTTACCAGAGAAGACTGACATTTGAGTTGGTGGAATGGGAGAGGAAGACCCACCCTCAATTTGGGTGGGCACCATCCTATCTGCTGCCAGTGCAGCTAGAACAAAGCTGGTGGAAGAATGGGGATAATTTTGCTTGCTGATTCCCCTAGTTCTCTCTGTCTTTGCATGCCTGATGCTTCCTTCCACTTCTCCTGCCCTTGAACCTCAGATTCCCAGTCTTTGGCCTTTGGACTCTGGGACTTGCACCAGCATCTTCCTGGGGACTCTTGGGCCTTCTGCTATAGACTGAAGTCTACACTGTTGGCTTTCCTGGTTTTGAGGTTTTCAGATTTGGACTGAGCCACTACTGGCTTTTTCTTTCCCCAGCTTACAGATGGCACATGGTAGGGCTTTGCTGTATAATAGTGAAAGCTAATTCTCCTTAATAAACTATAACAGAGTTTATTAAGGAGAATTAGCTTTCATTAGATACATATATATATCTTTCATACAGATACACATATATGTATCTATATCTATATCTAAATAGATATAGATACATGTACCTATATCTAAATAGATATACGTACATGTATCTATATCTATTTAGATATAGGTACATGTATCTATATCTACATATGTACCTCCTATTGGTTCTGTACCTCTGGAGAATCCTGACTAACACAGCAGGCAAAGGAAAAACACATGACTATAGTGAAAATGTCTTACTCTTACAAATATTACAGAAACTTACAAGCATGTGAATATATTTCTAGAGCCTCTTTAAGGGCCTTCAAAGTGACACATGCAAATTAAATGGCAAGCCTAAAGCTTAAGCGTCATTACCTTCAGGGTAAGTCTACCTCTGAGTTAAGATCAAGTTATTACACAAAAGAAACAGTAAGAAAATAGACCCATTAATGAAGCTGGATTAAAAATATATAAGACATTGAACTCGGAGCGAAAGAGGGTAGTAATGGACAAAAAAGAATATGGAATAAGGCACACAGAGAATGGTAAAATTATGAGCTTGAATCAGATGGCATGGAGGAATCAGCTCAGATTTACAACCTGGAAAAATAATGGTAGAAATGAAAATTTAGGTCATCAGCTGGGAACAGAACAACTGGGAGTCTCCTACGTTTGGATATATATGTCCCTAGAAAATGTATCCTGCACACCCAGCCATGTGAGTTCCTCAAGGATCCAAAAAACTTGCTGAAATTTGATAGCATATGTTTGGGGGTACATGAACATATTCAGAAATTGTACAGCTAAAATCCCTGGACCTTAGCAAGTATGTGACATTTGACCAAATGTTCTATGAGCCACAGATTAATGGGATAGAAAAATCCACCTGAAAAGTTCATTTTAATTAAAGGATGCACACAGGCAAGCTCTTGGACCTTCTTAATAGTTTTAGAAGCAGCATTGTGGCTGTTATGAAATTATTTAAAACTGTTAAAAATGTGACTTTCTTCTCAAATATCATTTTTTTCTATGTATCCCTTTTTCCTGCATGTTTTCAAGCAACCTACTGTAAAATTCTTTTCCTGGAATACAGTGTGTACTTGAAGTATTTCTTGAATAATTAATCATTAATATGCACATCACCTTCTGTCTGACTTTCCATTTGAATTCCCTAATCAGTCAAGGATGAATGAACAGAATAACAATTGATTTTATTTGATCATCCAGATTCATATGACAAATGCTGATCATTATCAGTTTTTCCAGAAATTGGGTTTGGTCATTCGCGGAGTGCACACATCAGAGGCACAGCACGCTTTTGGTTCTCTCTGCTATTCCTATACACCATTGAAAATTGAAAGGTTAATGCCAACAAATTTAACTCTTCTTTTCAAGCTTAAAAAACCTCTTATAATTAGAAAATAGATTACTAATTTTTTTACATGCTTCCTTTTGTTGTTTGGGGAGGATAGCTGGGCTTTTTTCTTGTAGAGAGAGAGGAATTAAAGGACATGGTATACCCACCAGAATACTATAGTAGCATATTTCCTTTCATTTCAGCAGAAGAAAATTGAAGAAAATAATAGGCTTGTCTGCCAACTGCACAGTTTTTAAAGGGGGGTTGGGTCATAAAACACGCTTATTTTATCTACATGTTTATAGTTCCGATGCCAAACTTGAAAATTATGAAAATCCTTAGGCAAGGTACTTCATCAAAGAGCACTTCCTTAGCATCCATCACAAACTCGGTTCATAAGATCTGAGTGGTTAACAATAGCCACACAAAAAAGGGTATAAGTAAGTTCTCAAAACACTTCAAAAGTCACCTGTAATCTCACTTCCTGAACACACTCAGCAGCCATAAACACAATAATCACAGATTACTGAAATACACAGATGCTTTGAACTAATTTTATTGAAGGTTTTCTACATCTTTTGTACTTAGACATTTGAAGAAGCTGCTTCTACTACACACAAAAAAGTTGATAAGCTGCATTTCTCTGTGAAAAAAAAACGAACACCATTCTGTTGGAAATCTTAATTATTCTTCATATAATCACACTATTTATCTTTTTCTTGTGCTCAAAAGTTTACAATAACTACATGTCAGGTTCAGAAGTCAAACAATAGCTTCTACCTACATGTTAGATGTTTTAAATCAACCAAAAAAAAAAAAAAAAAGACGCTTTACTGTCTGTTCATTCCTTCATTTATTTATTTACTTATTTTTTATTTTTATTTTTTTTTTTTTTTGAGATGGAGTCTCTCTGTTGCCCAGGCTGGAGTGCAGTGGCATGATCATCGTGATCTTGTAGTGGCATAATCTCGGCTCACTGCAACCTCCACCTCCCTAGTTCAGGTGATTCTCTTACCTCGGTCTCCCAAGTAGCTGGGATTACAGGCACCTGCTACCACACCTAATTTTTGTATTTTTAGTAGAGATGGGGTTTCGCCATGTTGGCCAGGCTGGTCTCGAACTCGTGACCTCAGGTGATCCACACACCTTGGCCTCTGAAAGTGCTGGGATTGCTGGTGTGAACCACCGCACCGAGCCTCCTTCATTTATTTATTCAGCAAATAGTTTTGTGCAATGGTTAATTTTCAGGTAATAATCCAAACACTGGCATATAACAAAGATAGAGACAGACCTTGTCCTTGCCTCACACAATTTAAAATTCAAAAGGGAAGTCATACATTAAACACAACTTATGCATGTGAAAGAGATATAAAAGGCAGAGTACTATGTGTCATGGAAAGTAGTGGAGAGACGTAATCTAGTCTAGGGGAGCAGAGACATTCGCAAATGTTTCCCAGAGATCGTGGTGTATGAACTGACATCTGAAGAATAAGTTGGCAGTGGGGAAAGAGAGGATATATCAGTGTTTCAGGAATAAAAAATTCCTTGTACAAAGATCCAGAATCAAGTATTCAAGAAACACTTGGGAATGAAAGTTCAGTGTGGTTGGAGCAGAGAGAGCAATGAGGAAATTGGACATATATTGAAGCTAAGATGATAGGCAGGGCAAAATCCTAGAAGGCATTATAAACCTTGTTAAGAATTTTAGACATTGTCATTAGGAAAAATAAAGTCATCCAAGGATTTTATTAAGAGGAATTACTGGGCAGATTTACATTTTGAAAGTTCAGTCTGGCTACAGAGAGGAGGATGGATTAGGGTATTGTAAAACCAATGTGCTGAAATCAGTTAGAGAGATATTATAATGAATTATGTAATTAGCAACTCCAGATCAGGTTATTAAAATTAGTTTGGAATATATTTAGTGAACTTAAGGGTCAAGAAAAAGGCAGTGCAATTCAAAGTTAGGCAAGCAATTTGTCCTTCCATAGGAGTTAACACTGGTGTCATTGCTATTACAAACAATGATGACTTGAGGGGCTTTCTTTGTCAGGATTGCTGACTGATAATGCTGGTTTGAAATTTTTCCAGTCCAAAATAATCTGTTATGTTTGGTGTCTTAAACTGGTGACAATATTTAGTTACTGTCAAAATGCTAGCCAAAAAAAAAAAAAGAGAAGGATATATGAAATATATTATTCCCTCTTTAGCATATATTTTAAGATATGCTCTATCCTCATATAAAGTTAGAACCATGGTAATTTACAAACATAAACTTCAAAAACTCTTATTCTTCCATCATTTATGGGAAAATATCTGCATAGCAAAGACAAAAAAATCACATGGATCAGATGGATAGATAGGTAGATAGATATAGGAATAAATATATACATAATTTAAATATTTATATAGCTATGTTTTAATATTTGGCATATAGATAGATATGTGCAGATATATATTGAGATATAGCTATATAAATCTTTTAATTTTTCAATATAAAAATGTTGCCTTTTTGGAGATTGATTTTTAAAATGGCAATATAGGGAAAATGCCTTAGATACTGAGTAAAAGAGAAAAACAAATATGTTGCATAATATTGTCAATTATGTACTTCAATATTTTCTTCTTGGTAGGAAAAATTGATACTTGAAGAATTGATTTATCAAATCAATGATAATTAATCCACTTCTATTGCTTTTGGGATGCCCAAAAATCTCTAAGCTAAATTTAATGCTACGACAGATCAGCTAGGTCAGCTAAGGTGGTTAGTATATCTCCCTTCCTTTTGTCCATAACTTTTGCTTCCTTGTTTCCATTTTAACAATCTTGCCATATGCATGCGTTTGTAGTAGTCCCTCAAACCATTTTTAAAAAATTACTTACACTATATATTTCAATAATAAATTTAAAATGGGAATTTTTATTTAAATAAATAAGTTAAAATAAGAATTCAAAAAGAAATTTAAAATAGGAATTAAATTTTTAATAAATTATAAGTAGGTACATTATATTGTGGTTCATTGATTAAAATAAGATATAAAGAGCTGCTTATATTTAGTTTCTCCCAGCAGTGTATACAACTGTCTTTAGAAGAATTCTCTCATTTATTTTTGTTGTTTGTTTGTTTATTGTTTCTTTTAACTTTGGAGAAGTTTGAAGTAGATATGGAAAAGGATAATAACTAGGAATAGGGTAGAGAATGGAGCTGGAATGATGGTTGTAAATTCAGGAGATGGTCAAGAAATATTTTTGGTGCTTGATTAGATTGGCTAAAGAGAGAAGAAATCTTTGAAGACTGCCAGTTTACTGGTTTATGAAATTATAAATATTATGCAGAATTTATTGAGATGAGGAAGGCTGCAGAAGAAAAACTTTAGTAGAATGAACAAGAGTTCAGCTTTAGATATGGAAAATGAGATACGCCAAGTAAGAATATCAAATAGGTATTTAATTATATGTCAATCCAAATTACTATAGAAAAAAATTAAAATTAGAATAAATACATTTTGGCGTAGGTTTCTGTTAAATATGGATTAACAAGTATAGATTTAAATACCTGCTGGAAACATCTAAAAAAGAGACAACATATGCAAAATAATTGTTTTGCAGATATTGAACATCAGGCAAAGACAAACAGTAAACCTTGGAAACGAGGAACAAATAAAGTTAAAAACTATGATTTCTCTAGTATACAGAAGAGAGAAAATTTCTATGATAAAGAATGGGACGAGGGAATCCAGACAGTTTCCTTAATTGAGGAGACATAACTGAGGAGACAGTCAAAGGAACTTACGTGGGTCAGAGTTCCCAGAGAAAATTATTGTAGAGGAGAAAAATGCAGAGAGGGAGAGAGAGCACCAGAGATTTTCAAAAAGAATCTGTTGAATTATTAATGAGTATTTATCATTGCTCACATGTGAAGAAACTATCATGGACCGGAAACTGAAGCACCTAAAAAGATTAGAGGGAACAATATCTGGAGCTCACACAGACCTGGGAATAGTTCTTGTTTCTAAAAAGCAGAGTAGAAACCTTATAATTCACAGGAAATAGGATAGACCACATATGAGTTTTACCTATGCATTAGGAAAAAAATGTGCCATAGACTAAATGCTGTGCTGATCCTGCCTAACAATATCTAAAAGCAAGATTTGAAAGTATCAGTGTGTTTCCAATAAACTTAACTAATTTTGGAACAAAGTTCACACTATGTATGATGATATAAACATGTTCAGCAGCCACCAAGGTAAAATTAAAATAACTGGCACCCAATAAAAAATTACTACGCGAAGAAGTAAATACTAATAAAACTGCAGAGAGAAACGGAAAAAATATGCAAGTGTAGTCAAATTTCAACATCATTTTTCAAGAATTGATAGAAAAATAGAAAAACAGTAAGGTTATAGAAGGCTTGAATTTAATCTCATTGATATTTATAAAACAATCACCTCAAAAAAGAGCAGAATATACATTCTTTTTGATTGTATGTGGAACATTTATCAATACTGTATTATATACCATAAGACAAACCTCAGTATATTTGTAAAAATCATACAAAGTATATCCTTAGACCACAATATAATTAATTTAGAAATCAGTAACAAAGTTCTCTGAAAATTTCCCAAATATATTCGGAAAATAACATATTTATGAAAATCCAGAAGTCAAATAAAAAACTCAAAAGATAATTTTAAAATACTTTAAAATAAATTAAAATGAAAATGCAACATATTAAAACTTGGAGATGCAACTAAAATAGTAGCTATAAGAAAATATACAAGGAAATAGCCAAGATGGCTGACAGACACAGCCAGGAAGAGCTTCTCCCACTGAGAGAGACCATGCCATCAAGTACACCAGCAGACTCTGAATAGATCTTCAGAAAGCAGGTGTTGGGAGTGGATATAGGGAGGATGTAGACCCGGAGGCTGAAAGGGGAGGAAGTTAGGTTGCCAAGCACCAGACTCCTTCCTGGCCCCCAGTGGCTTCTAGGGAAAGGGTGAGTGAAATAAGCATGGAGCAGCCCACTCTAGCCATAGACCTCCAGGATCCTAGCTGCAGGAGACCCCATGACCCCCATGGACATTAGAGTTGGCAGGGAAAACTGCCAGGAGAGATGGACAAGATAGAACTCCAGTCTGCATGAAGCCCAGAGGGTTTGGCGTGGGAAAGGCTGGAGAGGAGCACTGTCATGGGTGTCCACAACTAAGGCTTGCCATACTCCTCCTCTAGGTGGCTTTAGCGTTTATTAGCAGCTGGGCCTGCAGAGAGCAGGGCTGTCTTTCCCATGCGGTCAGTCTGATCTGAATGGTCCTCTGTCTGCTGGTGTCTTCCAAGGTCCTGCCTGGCCAAACCCATTTGCCACCCAGCCTCAGCTGCCCCACTAAAAAGTTTGCCGTCAGCCATGGTGCTAGCTCTTTTGCTCACTGCCTATTACATTCCTATCAGAGCACTTTTGCAGATGAATCCCTGCTGGCACAAACCTGCCTGCAGCATTCTCCCACTGGTGCACACTACCCCCAACAGCCAACCCGTGAGCACATGCGTGCAGCCCCTTCTGTCACCCCATTGGCCACAATCATCTGTGGCCCCCGCCACCCCAGTGGTGAGCACAGACCCATTACCTCTGCTGCAGTGCACACGTGTATGGCACTCCCTGCCATTCTACTGCAGTGCTTTGCTGGCAGCCCTTATTGGAGTGTTGTCGCCAGTGAACTGGGAATGCCCCAGGCTCTCTAGTGTAGCAGGTGTTTGACCCCAAAGTGCCACAGAACAAAGTGATAGGCCTGGTCCTAGTGCCCCCAGGGTTAGAGCATACAGCCCAGCAATGCTGAACTGAGCTTTGTCCCCCTGAAAGCATCCAGAAATGAAACCAATCAACTAAACCCAACATGTACCACAATCAAATCCTCAAGAGTATCATAGAATACAAAAGCAAAAAGCCCTACCTAAAGGACAGCAACTTCAAAGATTAAAGGACTATCAGCCCATACAGATGAAAAAGAACTAGTACAAGAATTCTGGCAACTCTAAAAGCCAGAGTGTCTTCTTACCTCTAGATGACCACATTAGCTCCCCAGCAATGATCCTAAACCAGACTGAAATGGCTGGAACAACAGACATAGAATTCAGAATCTGGATGGCAAGAAAACTCATCGAGATACAAGAGGAGTCTGAAACTCAATCCAAAGAAAGTGGTAAAACAATACAAATGTGGGAAAATAATATAGCCATCATTAGCAAAAAAAAAAAAAAAAAACAAACAGCGCAAAAACAAACAAACAAACAAACAAAAGAAAACAAAGCTGAAGGTATCACACTACCTGATTTCAAACTACAAGCCTACAGCAACCAAAACAGCATGGTACTGATATAAAAACAGACACATATACCTACAAAAGAGACTAGAAAGCCCAGACATAAAGCTGTGCACCTACAACCATCTGTTCTTTGACAAAGTCAACAAAAATAAGCAGTAGGGAAAAGACTCACTATTCAATAAATGGTGCTGGGATAACTGTCTAGCCATGTAAGTTAGACTAAAACTGGACCCTGCCCTTTCACCATATTCAAAAATCAACTCAAAATCAATTAAAGACTTAAATGTAAGACCCTAAATTGTAAGAACCCTAGAAAAAACTAGGAAATGACATTCTGAACATAGGACTTAGCAAAAATTTCATGTCAAAGTCTCCAAAAGCAATTGTAACAAAACAAAAATACATAAGTGTAACCTAATTAAACCAAAGAGGTTCTGCACAGGACAAAGAAAGAAAGAAATTATCAGCTGAATAGGCAGAAAACCTACTAAATGGGAGAAAATACTTGCAAACTATGCTTCAGACAAAGTTCTAATATCCAGAAACTATTAGGTACTTAAACAATTCAACAAGCAAAAGCAAACAACCCCATTTAAAAATGGGCAGAAGACATGAACAGACACTTCTCAAAAGAAGACATACATTCAGGCAGCAAACATATGAAAAAATGCTCAACATCACCAGCTATTAGAGAAATGCAAATCAAAACCACGATGAGATACCATCTCGTATCAGTCAGAATGGCTATCATTAAAAAGTCAAAAAATAACAAATGCTGGAAAGGTTGTGGAGAAAAGGGAATTCTTGCACCCTGTTGGTGGGAATGTAATTATTTCAGCTATTGTGTAAAATGGTTTGGTAATATCTGAAAGAAACTAAAACAGAATTATCATTCAACCCAGTAATTCCATTATTAGATATATACCCAAAGGAATATAAATAATTCTACCATAAAGACATGCACACATATGTCTATCACAGTGCTGTTTACAGTAGCAAAGACATGGAATCAACCTAAATACCCATCAATGGTAAACTGGATAAAGAAAATATGGTATATATACACCATGGAATACTATGCAGCCATAAAAAAGAATGAGATCATGTCCTTTGCAGTAACATGGATATAGGTGAAGGCCATTATCCTAAGTGAACTAACATAGGATCAGAAATCCAAATACCACAGTTCTCATTTATAAATGGGAACTAAATATTGAGTACACATGAACACAAAGATGGGAAAAGTAGACACTGGGGCATACTTCAAGTGAGATGTTAGGAGCAGGGTGAAGGTCAAAAAACTACCTATCAGATACTATGCTCACTACCTGGGTGACAAAATCATGTGTACAACAAACGCTAGTAACACACAATGTACTCATGGAAAAAACCTGCACATGTATCCCCTGAATCTGAAATAAAAGTTGAGAAAAAATAAATACCACGTAAACCAATTTACACATGAAAAGGAAAAATATACCACAAAATGCCTATATTAGAAAGAAGAAAGTTCTAAGAATCAAGGACCTCAGCTTTCACCTGTAACCCTAGAAAAAGAAGAAAAATTAAATCTAAATTAAGCAAAATAAACAGAGTGTTAAGTATCAGAGTAGAAATCAAGGAAAAAACCTCAGAAATCAACAGATTTTAATGAAAGCATAAGTTGGTTTTTTGAAGATCAATAATTTTGAAAAACCTGTAGCCACACTGAGAAGACATACAGTAGTAAAAACACAATTACTAACACTAGGAGTGAGGGAGGTGACAGCTTTACAGACTATTTGGATATCAAAATATTAACCAGTGAATATTTTGAACAACTTTATGCCAATAAATTCAATGAAATGGACAGAATTATTGACAAACTTCTGAGTCTCACCCAAGAAGACAGATAATTTGCAGGGCCATATTTCTAATAAAGAAATAAAATTTGAAATTGTAGAGATGCACAAGGAATCTTTGTGAGGAGATGGAGCTGTTATTTGTATATTATATACTATCTCAATTGTAACTATGGTTTCACAGATGTGTACACATGTCAAATGTATTAAGTTGCATACTGTATATATGTGCAGTTATTGTGTATTCATAACTTAAGAAAATATATTTTTAAAAAGGAATAGATGCTTTTGATTCAACCTGCAGACATAGATCTGTTCATCACTCTCCTCTCAAAATGACTCTTTAAAATGATGATAGAAATATAAAAATAATGATAAAAACATCAAGGAGGTAAGGGAGGACGTTATCAGTTGATGAGTGTGCAGCACGTTTCTGGGGGAAGAAAGTGAATAGAAGAGCATAGACAGATTGCAGAGTGGAGAAATTCAAAGCCCAGAGCAGGATTAGGAGAGGCAGCTGCAGCAGAGATGGTGGCCCATCTGCTTTGTGGAACCCCAAAGACCCTCGATACTTGTTTACAGCAAATAAAATCAATAAAAAATAGGAGTGGAGCTGCAAACAATATTGTTAGTTGAAGTGCACTATTCTGCAAAATTATATCCTAACTTCCTTCCCCATTCCCTAGTACATAAAATATGGACTGCCTGAGAGTCAAACACACACTCCTCCCTCATTCCCATTCCTTCCTTCTTTTTTAGTCCAGGTGGAATAAGGGGTAGGTTTCTTTGCTAAAAAATTCTAAGTTTTAATTGGTACAGATTCATCTTTACATTATCAAATATGTGATTAAATTATAGGTATTGTTTTAAATTATATATTCTTTAATATATAACAAAAATATGTAAATTTCAGGCTCACACCACCTCCGGAGTTACTTTTTGACACATCCAACTATTTATCTTAGTCATTGTACAGGTGAAAGCATGAAATGCCATGATATATTGTTTTATCTAAAGTTAAAACTGGAGTATGCCAATAATAGGTGAGAAAATAATACAAGACAACACACAGTAACGTATTAGGCTTATTTTGGTGAAACTACTTTCAGAAATGATACAAAGTCATAATTGAGTAAAAGGTGATAAAAATATATAATATGTATTTTCCAAAATACATGGAAAATATGTTTATAGAATATATTTATTCATGATTTCTGCAAACAACCAATTCATGCTTAAAATATAATGAATAGTTTCAGTTTTTCTCCACACTAACTTTTCTAATATTTGCAGGAAATATAGTAATCATGGCTTGGGTATTTTTTTTTCTATATGCATTTCCTGGGCAGTCTCATGTGTATCTTGGCTTCTATTTGCAGACAAGCAATTCAGAAATTTAAGTTTTCACTTCGTGCTTCCTTCTTTGAACTCTTTTATACCGTTTTCTATTTACATGTCTCACTCTTCATACAAAAAATAAATCCTTTACATTAACTACTGATAACCTACAGATCATATCTGGCAAGCTTCCAAATTAGCCCTCCTGGGAAATGTCTTGTGATTCATGGTGACATCCTGTTTGTTAGTAAATAATCTTATCGGAGTTACTCCAGTTTTTGACATACTGATTAATGTATGAAATCCTGACATTAAAAACGATGCTGATTTGATTTTTTGCATCATGAAATTTTACTGATTATCTTGTATGTAGACATTTTAGCCTATATGTTGCAATCTGTAGTGAATGATTATAAACTCTATATTGCACCTTCAGTGTAAAAGGACAACTCCAATATAAGGAGTCCTGTTTCTTCTCTTAAACTTTAATAAAACCCTTCCAACTTGTAGCCAACTCTGGGTCGTGCCAAGACTTGTTGCTATGCCTTCCTGGATCAATCCTTACATTTGGCTTCCATTAAACATTTATCAAGTTATTTCTGCTTCAACAGCCTTAATTTCAGTTGATACTCTGAATTCCTTATTTTAGAGGGCATTTAACCATGTTTTCCTTTTATTTATACTGAGTAGAAGATCTACATTTAGACTCTTCTTTAAGAGAGCAAAAATTAGACAGCCATTTAAAATAATACCTTCAAGATAATTCTTTAAAGTCATAATCATATTTAAATGGTACTTATATCTAATGTTTTAAAACTGCAGTTTTTAAAGCGAATTCTATACATTATTTTATGAATATCTTTTATCTCCAATTAACTCCAAATATGATAAAAATGTTTCTTCGAAGTTTCCTGCATATTTTTACTCAATTATTCAATTGAAGTCTTTAAATCCTTCTGTTTTATAAAAACTATTTTGGGAGGCCAAGGCGGGTGGATCACGAGGTCAAGAGATCGAGACTATCCTGGCCAACATGGTGAAACCCCATCTCTACTAAAAATACAAAAATTAGCTGGGCATGGTGGCACGCACCTGTAGTCTCAGCTGCTACTTGGGAGGCTGAGGCAGGAGAATCGCTTGAACCCAGGAGGCAGAGGTTGCGGTGAGCCGAGATCACGTCATTGCACTCCAGCCTGGGCAACAAGGGTGAGACTCCGTCTCAAACAAACAAACAAACAAACAAGCAAAAGCTATTCAGGGATTCAGTTACTTTTCTGTAGAAGAAATGTTCAAGATCTTGGTTCTAGGTATCTATTGCCATCAAGGTGAAACTCTACCTTTGGGTTCTGTGAAAGCCCTGTGTATTCTGGACATATTTTGAAGGTAGCATCAAGGGAATATTACCACTTTTCATCCTGCTACTATTACAAGCCTAGTTCAATCCTCACTGTTTACCTGGATTAATGTAGTACTCTCTTAAATATTCCCTCTGTTTACACCTTTGCTCAATACTGTACTATGCCAGGCAATGGAAGTCAGGTTTGTCGCTAGATTCCATCAGACTCCAAGTAAAAATGGCTGAGGTTTTACAATGGGCCAAACTATCTCTCCGACTGCATCTAAAGCTTTCCCACTTTTCCATTTCCATTTAGTCATCATGTTGGCCTTCTTTCCATCCCTCTCATATACCAAGCAAACTCTCGACTTGGGATTTTTGCATTTCCAATTTTGTCTGCTTCAAATATTCTTTCTCCAGATATCTGCATTGCATGCCCCCTCTCCTCCTTCATGTTTCTGCTCAAATGTCAACTTCTCATTGAGGCTTTCTCAGAGTATTTCTAAATACAACTGAATTATCCACCTCTACTCTTGTCAGGACTCATCCCTGAACTCATTCATAACACTAATCATGTTCCAATACATTACGTATTTTCCTCTTTGTATTGTCAGTTACCTCCCACTGGAATAAACACAGAATGAAGATGGTCTGTATTAAGTTCTGTACTATGAAGAGTGTCTGGCATTTAGAACGTGCTCAATAGATTTTTATTGAAGGAATTATTATTTCACCTTTTTTCTTAAGATAGTTCCACTTGCTAGTAAGTTCCTCCACATTGCTTTTAAGCTTCATGACAATTTGCTCAAAGCAAGTAAATTGTACTTTGATGTCTGTTCATACAACATTACATTATATATCTTCTTTATGTACCTTTCCACAACTACCCACACTCATGCCAGGCAAAGCCAAACCTACTATTTGTTAAAATTCTCCTCATAGCTTTCTTCTTTCTAATATGTTAGAAAACTATGATTATTTTACAATTCATGCAATTCTTCTACATTAAAACATTAAAAAATAGATATTTATTTAATGTAACATTATCAATTAATAAGAACTTAATTGCATCTATCTCATAAGTACTAGTTAAAATGCAATTAAAACAAAAAGTTAGAACTTCTGGGTAAAAATAAAATTTATCTTGAGTGCTTTGTGTTTTATTTATCATAAAAATGTGTGAAAAAGAATTTATAAGCAGCACTGTGTTAATCTCTGTGTCAGTGGTTTTAGGAAAATAAAAGACATTTTTGAGCAGATGCTGATGTGCATTATCAATGCTCGATTTGTTCAGTAATGTGTAGAATTTAGAACTATGCAATTGTGCTAATAAAAAAACTTCAGTATTAAAATTCTTGAAGAAAAAATACTTCCATCACTTAGAGGATGAAATTCTCCATCTCCCAATTTTTTTCCATATTGGAACAATTATTTTATAAATTAGTTTTCAACACTGTGAGATTCCTTGGGAATAAAACCACTGATATAGCAAGAGTCTATTCTTGGTAAGTGGCAAAACTATCTATACAATTGCAATTGGATCATGATGATTTCTTCCTAAAGGTTGCCTTTTACATTTTTCTTCCACTTTATATCCCTTTAATTTTCTCTATTTGCTCCAAGGGAAAGAAATGAATACATAAAACAATAAAAATAATTAACATTTGAATAACCTTTAAATTTTTCAGTGCAGGTTTACTTACATTGCCTCATTTAACCTTAGTAACAACTCTGTACATTTATATAGTTGGTATTTTCTTATTATTTAGTTAAAGAACATGAGCCTCAGATTTCAAGATCATACTGGCAGTGTCAGACATGGCTTAAACCTGGTTCTAGATATCATTTTCTTCCTAATCCTGTCATTCTCTCTAAGGAAGATTATAAAAGATAATGTATTTTTAAAGTATTCTATTTAAATGACTATTGTTTATAGTTATCTTGATTTACTTTCATAAAATATGAAGCCAGAAATAATAAGAATAAACAAAAAGTATCCTTTGTATTAAAAATACTAGCAAAGCCAGGCACGGTGGCTCACGCCTGTAATCCCAGCACTTTGGAAGGCTGAGGCGGGCAGATCACCTGTGGTTGGGAGTTTGAGCAGCCTGGCCAACATGGAGAAACCTCGTCTCTAATGAAAAAAAAAAAAAAAAATTTAGCCGGGCGTGGTGGGCCACGCCTGTAATCCCAGCTAATCGGGAGGCTGGGGCAGCAGAATTGCTTGAACCCGGGAGGCAGAGGGTTGCAGTGAGCCGAGATTGTGCCACTGCACTCCAGCCTGGGTAAGAAGAGTGAAACTCCATCTCAAAAAAAAAAAAAAAAATACTAACTTAAAACTGAAAAGTGAGGAAATATCCCTAGTAAGAATTATGAAAAATCAGTTTCATTCTGAGTTAACAACTGACATATTCCTTGGCAGATGATATTGAATGCAAATATGATTTAATTAAGCCTATTACTGGGTTTGTTATTTGAATTCAATACTAAAGAACATAATAAAGATATACAGAGGGGGGAGAGCAAGATGGCCCCACCAATCATCCTCACTGCAGGAGCACCAAACTCAACAACTATCTACACAAAAAAGCACCTTCATGAGAACCAAAATCAGGTGAGCACTCACAGTACCTGGTTTTAACTTCATATTGTTCAAAGAACCACAGAAGAGGGTAGAAAAGACAGTCTTGAATTGTCAATGCCAACCCCTCCCATCACCCACCCTGCCCCTGCAGCGGTCACGTGGCATCACTGCACTTGGGAGAGGTACAGTGCAGTGATTGTGAGACCTTGCATTAAACTCAGTGCTGCCCTATCACAGCAGAAGACAAAACTGGGCTGAACTCAGCTGACCCCCACCAATGGAGGGGGTATTCAGACCCGCCCTAGCCAGAGGAGAATCACCCATCCCAGCACTCAGAACTTGAGTTCCAGTAAGCCTGGCCACCATAGACTGAAATGCTCTAGGACTCTAAATAAACTTGAAACACAGTCTAGGACACAAGGACTAAAATTCCAATTACTGACCTTGGCTTGGAGCCAGCGAGCTTGGGGGGCAGGCAATAACTGAGACACCCAGAAGGCAGCTAAAAGAGTGCATGCACAACTGCTATGGCCAACCCCAGGCAATACAACTGATGGCTCCAAAAGAGACCCCTTCCTTCAGCCTGAGAAGAGGAAAGGGAAGAATAAAGAAGACTATTGTCTTGCTTCTTGATGGCCACTCAGGGGGCAGAGCTACAAAGCTCCCATTCAAGGCCTTAGCTCTTGGATGACATTTCTAGACAAACCCTGGGCCAGAAGGGAACTTCTTGCCTCGAAGGGAGTGACCTAGTCCTGGCAGGATTCATCACTTGCTGACTGAAGAGAGCTTGGGTCCTGAATAACTGCAGCAATAATACCCAGGCAGTACACCATGGGTCTTAGGTGAGACTCTGAGATGTGCTGACTTCAGATAAGACCCAGCATATTCCCAGCTGTGGTGACTCTGGAGAGAGACTCCTTCTGCTTAAGAAAAGCAGAAGATAAAGTAAAGGAGACTTTGCTTGCACCTTAGATACCAGCTTGGCCACAGTGAGACAGAGCACCAAGGAGGCACTTGTGGTCCCCAGTTCAAGGCCTTGGCTCAACAAAGCCTGGGGAAACTCAACACCCTGAAGCGAAGGAAACAAGCCTAGTTGGCTTTACCACCTGAGACTGTAGAGACATAGGGCCTTGAGCAAACACAGGCAGTAGCCAGGGTGTGTTATCAGAGGGCCTTGAGTGAGACCTAGTACTGTGCTGGCTTCAGGCCTGACCCAGTGCAATCCTAGTGTTAGTGGCCACAGGGTTGCTTGTGTCACTCTAGTCTCCACACCAGGCAGCTCAGCACAGAGAGGAAGACTTCACTGATTTGGGAGAAATTACGGAAGAGAACAAGAGTCTGCCTGGGAATCCAGAGAATTCTTCCTGAACTTATCCATGACCACCAAGGCAGTACCTCTATGAGTCTGCAAGAACCACAGCATTACTGGGCTTGGGGTTCCCCTAATGAAGGCATGGCTTAGATCACAACACCCAAGTCCTTTTCAATACCTGAAAAAGCTTCCAAATAAGGACAAGTTAAAAAAAGAAGCCCAGATTGCAAAGACTACAATAAATACCCAACTCTTCAATGCCCAGACACCAACAAATATCAACAGGCATCAAGACCATCCAGGATAAGATGACCTGACAGAACTAAAAAAGGCACCAGGGACCAATCTCAGAAATACAGAGATATGTGACCTTTCAGACAAAGAATTCAAAATAGCTGATTTGAGGAAACTTAAAGAAATTAAAGATAACACAGAGAAGGAATTCAGAATTCTATCAGATACATTTAACAGAGATTGAAATAATTAAAGATAATCAAGAAGAAATTTTAGAGTTAAACAATACAACTGGCATACTGAAGAATGCATCAGAAATCTATTAATAACAGAATTTATCAGCCAAAGAAAGAATTCGTGAGCTTGAACACAGGTTATTTGAAAATACACAGAGAAGACAAAAGAAAAAAGAATAAAAAAGAGGCCAGGCGTGGTGGCTCACGTCTGTAATCCTGACACTTTGGGAGGCCGAGGCGGGCAGATAACGAGGTCAAGAGATCGAGACCATCCAGGCCAACATGGTGAAACCCCATCTCTACTAAAAAATACAAAAATTAGCTGGGCCTGGTGGTGTGCGCCTATAGTCCCAGCCACTCGGGAGGCTGAGGCAGGAGAATTGCTTGAACCTAGGAGGTGGAGGTTGCAGTGAGCCGAGATCGTGCCACTGCACTCCAGCCTGGTGACAGAGTGAGACTCCATCAAAAATAATAATAATAATAAATAAATAAATAAAAAGAAACAAGCATGCCTACAAGATTTATAAGATAGAATCAAAAGAGCAAATCTAAGAGTTATTGGCCCCGAAGAGAAGGCAGAGAAAGAGATAATGATAGAAAGCTTACTCAAAGAAATAATAACAGAAACTTTCCAAACCTAGAGAAAGTTATCAATATCCATGTACAAGAAGGTTATAGAACACCAAGCAGATTTTACTGAAAGAAGATTAATTAAAGGCATTTAATAATCAAACTCCCAAAGGTAAAGAAAGGATACTAAAAGCAACGAAAAAAAAAAATAACATATAATGGAGCTCCAATAGGTCTGGCAGCAGACATTTCAGTGGAAACCTTACAGGTATGACATATTGAAAATGCCGAAGGAAAAAACTTTTTACCCTAGAATAGTATATTCAGTGAAAATATCCTTCAAACATGACAGAGAAATAAAGACTTTCTCACGCAAACAAAAGCTGAGGGATTTTATCAACACCAGACCTATGCTACAAGAAATGCTAAAGGGAGTACTTCAATCAGAAAGAAAAGAAAGTTAATGAGCAATAAGAAATCATCTGAAGGTATAAAACTCATTGGCAATAGTAAGTACACAGAAAAACACAGAATATTATAACACCGTAATTGTGGTGTGTAAACTCCTCTTATTTTAAGTAGTAAAACCAAATAATGAACCAATCAAAAACAACTACAACTTCTCAAGACATAGACATTACAATGAGATATAAATAGAAATAACAAAAAGTTAAAAAGTGGGAAGACAAAGATAAGTGTAGTGTTTTTTACTTTTCTTTTTGCTTCATAGTTAATTTGTATGTTTATCCAAGCAATGTTAAGTTGTTACCAGTTTAAAATAATGGTTATAAGGTAGTATTTACAATCCTGATGGTAACCTCAAGTAAAAAATATACAACAAATACACAAAAATATAAGGCAAAAAATTAAATCATATGACCAGAGAAAAATCCCCTTCACTAAAAGGGAGAAAAGAAAGAAGGAAGAGAAAGGCCACAAAATAACCGGAAAACAAATAACAAAATGGAAGGAATTAGATCCTTAGTTATCAATAATAACATTGAATGTAAATGAACTATATACGCTAATAAAAATACATAGAATGTCTGAATGGACAGTAAAAAGAAAAACCCAATCTGTTGCCTACAAGAAACACACTTCAATTATAAAGATACACACAGACTGAAAATAAAGGAATGGAAAAAGATATTCTATGCCAATGGAAATGAAAAAAAGAACAGGAGTAGTTATACTTATATCAGACAAAATAAATTTTAAGACAAAAAATACAAGAGACAAAGAAGATCATTATATAATGATAAACAGGTCAATTCAGCAAGAATATATAATAATTGTAAATATATATACACGTAACATTGGAGCACCAAGATATATAAAGCAAATATTATTAGAGCTAAAGAGAGAGAGAGAGAGAGACCTCAAACAACAATACCTGGAGACTTCAACACCCACTTTCAGCATTGAACAGATCTTCCAGACAGAAAATCAACAAAGAAAGATCGGGTTTAGTCTGCACTATAGACCAAAGAGACCCAGTAGATATTTACAGAGCATTTCATCCAATAGCTGTAGAATAAACATTCTTTACCTCAAGATATGGATTATTCTTGACATGTGACCATATGTAGGTCACAAAACCAGTCTTAAAACATTCAGAAAAACTGAAATAATTTCAAGCATCTTCTTCGACCACAATGAAAGAAAGCCAGTTAATAACAAGAAGAATTCTTATTATTATTAACAAGAATTCTTCTTGTTAATAACAAGAAGAATTTTGGAAACTATACAAACACATGGAAATTAAACAATATGCTCCTGAATGTCCATTGAATCATTGAAGAAATTAAGAAGAAAATTGAAGAATTTCATGAAACAAATGATAATGGAAACACAACACACAAAACCTTTGGGATACAGTGAAAGTAGTACCAAGAAGGAAGTGTATAGCTGTAAGTCAAAAGCGAAGAAAATCTTCAGCCCAGGCGCGGTGGCTCATGCCTGTAATCCCAGCACTTTGGGAGGCCAAAACAGGTGGATCACGAGGTCAGGAGTTCAAGATCAGCCTGGCCAAGATGGTGAAACCCCATTTCTAGCAAAAAAAAGAAAAATTAGCCAGGCGTGGTGGTGGGCACCTGTAATCCCAGCTACTTGGGAGGCTGAGGCAGAGAATTGCTTGAACCCAGGAGATGAAGGTTTCAGTGAGCTGAGATCATGTCACTGCACTCCAGCCTGGGAGACAGAGCTAGACTCTGCCTCAAAAAAGAAAAAAAAAGAAAGAAAAAGAAAAAGAAAAACTTCAAATAAACAACCTAGTGATGTATCTTAAAGAACTAGAAAAGCAAGAACAAACAAAACCCAAAATTAATAGAAAAAAAGAAATAATAAAAATTGGAGCAGAGATAAATAAAATTGAACCAAGGAAACAATATAAAAGATCAACAAAACAAAAAGTTGGTTTTTTTTTAAAGATAAAATGGACAAACCTTTGGCCAGACTAAGAAAAAAAGAGAGAAGACCCAAATAAAATCAAAGATAAAAAGGAGATATTACAACCAATACCACAGAAATTCAAAGCATCAGTAGTGGCTACTCTGAGGAACTATATGCCACCAACATATTGCAAAATCTAGAAGATATGACAAAATTCCTAGAGACACACAACCTACCAAGATTGAACCAGGAATAAATCGAAAAGCTGTACAGAACAAAAAGTAATGAAATCAAAGCCATATTAAAATGTCTCCCAGCAAAGAAAAGCCTGAGACCTGATATCTTCACTGCTGAATTCTATTAATACTAAACAATTAAAGAAGCACTAATACCAATCCTACTCAAACTATTACAAAAAATAGAGGAGGATGGAATACTTCTAAACTCATTCTGTGAAGCCAGTATCACCCAGATACCAAAACCAGACAAAGACACATCACATACACAAAAAAACCTACAGACCAATATCTCCGATGAATATTGGTGCAAAATCCTCAAGTAAATACTAGCAAACCAAATTCAACAACACCGTAAGAAGATCATTCATCATGACCAAGTGGGATTTATCCAGGGATGCAAGAATGGTTAAACATATGCAAGAATAAATCAATGTAATATATCATATCAACAGAATGATGGGAAAAAACATGTGATCATTTCAATCGATGCTGAAAAAGCATTTGATAAAATTCAACATCCCTTCAAGATAGGTATACTCAAAAAGCTGGGTATACAAGGAAACTGGGTATAGAAAGAACATGCCTCAACATAACAAAAACCAAAAAACTAGGTGTAGAAGGAACATGCCTTCAACATAATGAAAGCCACGTATGACAGACCCATAGCTAGTATCATACTGAATGGGGAAAAACTGCAAGCCTTTCCTCCAAGATTGGGAAAAACTGCAAGCCTTTCCTCCAAGATTGGGAACATAACAAGAATCCCCACTTTCACCACTGTTTTTCAACATAGTAGTGGAAGTTCTAGCTAGAGCGATCAGATAAGAGAAAGTTTATTAAGGGTATCCAAATTGAAAAGGAAGAAGTCAAATTATCTTTGTTTGCAGATGATATAATCTTATATTTGGAATATATATAATCTTATATAAAGACTCTGCCAAAAAACTATTAGAACTGATAAACAAATTTAGTAAAGTTGCAGGTTATAAAATCAACACACACAAATCAGTAGCATTTCTATATGCTAACAGAGAACAGTCTGAAAAAGAAATCCAGAAAATAATCATATTTACAATAGCTACAAATAAAGTTAAAATATACCTAGGAATTAACTAAAGAAGTGAAAGTTCTCTACAATGAAAACTGTAAAACATTGATAAAAGAAATTTAAGAGGCCAAAAAATTGAAATATATTCCATGTTGGATTAGAAGAATCAAAATTGTTAAAATGTCCATAAATACACAAAGCAATCTACATCTACAAACTCAATACATTCCCTATCAAAATACTAATGACATTATTCACATAAACAGGAAAAACAATTCTTAAATTTATATGGAACCACAAAAAGACCTACAATAGCCAAAGCTATCCTAAGCAAAAAGAACAAAACTGGAAGAATCACATTACCTGATTTCAAGTTATACTACAGAATTATAGTAACCAAAATGGCATGGTACTGGCATAAAATCAAACACATAGACCAATGTAACAGTAGAGAACCCAAAAAGAAATCCACACATCTACAGTAAATTCATAATCAATAAAGGTGTCAAGAACATACATTAGGGAAAGGACAGTCTCTTCAATAAATGGTGTTGGGAAAACTGGATATCCATATGCAGAAAAATGAAATTAGACTCCTAAATCTCACTGTATACAAAAATAAAATCAAAATAGGTTGAAGACTTAACTCTAAGACCTCAAGCTATGAAACTACTACAAGAAAACATTGGTGAAAATCTCGAGGAGGTTAGGGTGGGCGAAGATTTCTTGAGTAATACCCCACGAGGACAGTCAACCAAAGCAAAAGTGGACAAACGGAATCACATCAAGTTAAAAAGCTTTTGCACAGCAAAGGAAACAATGAACAAAAAGAAGTATCAACCCAAAGAATGGGAGAAAATATCTGCAGGGGATTAATAACCAGAATATATAAGCTCAAACAATTCTGTAAGTAAAAACCTAATAATCTGATTAAAAATGGTCAAAAGATCTGAATAGATATTTCTCAATATCTGAAGACATACAAATGGAAAATGTGTATGAAAAGGCCCTCAACATCAGTGATCATCAGAGAAATGCAAATCAAAACTACAATGACATATCACCTCACCCCAGTTAAAATGGCTTTTATCCAAAAGCTGTAAGAAATGCTGGTGAGGACATGGAGAAAAGGGAACCCTGTTATGCTGTTAATGGGAATGTAAAGTAGTACAACCACTATGGAGAGTGGTTTGGAGATTTTTCAAAAAGCTAAAAAGGGTGCTACTACACAATCCAGCGACCCCACTCCTGGGTGTATACCTAAAAGAAAGAAAATTAGTATATTGAAGAGATATCTGTATGCCCATGTTTATTGCAGTACTATTTACAATAGCCAAGATTAGGGAGCAACTGAAGTGTCCATCAACAGATGAATTTTAAAAATGTGGCACATATACACAGTGGAGTACTGTTCATCCATAAAAGAAGAATGAGATCCTGTCATTTTCAACAACATGGATGGAACTGGAGGTCATTATGTTAAGTGAAATAAGGGAGGCACAGAAAGACAAACTGCATGTTATCACTTATTTGTGGGAGCTAAAAATCAAAACAATTGAACTCATGGAGATAGAGAATAGAAGGATGGTTACCAAAGGCTGGGAAGGGTAGCAGAGGGAGTCGGGGGTGGGGAAGTAGGGATGGTTAATGGGTATACAAAAATGGAAAGGATAAATAAGACCTAGTATTTGATAGCACAATAGGGTGACTATAGTCAAAAATAATTTAATGGTACATTTAAAAATAACTGAAAGAGTATATTGGATTGTTCATAACACAAAGAATAAATGCTTGAGGTGATGGATACATTATTTACCCTG
Organism: Homo sapiens; assembly: GCF_000001405.40. Classification (NCBI taxonomy): domain Eukaryota; kingdom Metazoa; phylum Chordata; class Mammalia; order Primates; family Hominidae; genus Homo; species Homo sapiens. Next base: position 87,168,375 of record NC_000008.11, on the reverse strand, counting down.
ATGTGATTATTATGTGTTGCATGCCTGTGTCAAAATATCTCATTTAACCCATAAATACATTCTTTTACTATGAACCCATAAAATAAAAATAAAAAACTAATTTAAATAGATACGCAATCATACTTTATGGATGTTTAAATGTGTTCATATATTTATTCTTCTAGCAGTGCCATGTGGATCCATAGCAATGCCAGTGTGGATCCAGAAGGCAAACTGAAGCAAAAATAAAACTGTGCATACATATACAGTCATGCACATGCACTGCATAACAACATTTTGGTCAATGATGGGATACACATATAGCAGTGATCCCATGAGTTTATAATACCATATTTTACTGTATCTTTTCTATGTTTAGATACATAAATACTTACCATTGTGTTACAATAACCTATAGTAACATACTGGAGAGATTTGCAATCTAGGAGCAATAGCTATGTTATATAGCCTAGGTATGTATTAGGCTGTATTATCAGGTTTGTGTAAAGTATACCCTATGACATTGGCACAATAATAATGCCAATAAAATGGCACAATAAAAATGCACCTAATAATTCATTTCTCAGAATTACTCCTGTTAAGTGACACATGACTATATTTACTTACCAAATATCCTCCCATATTTTGATCCAAGTGGAAAATAAAACCTCTTAATAAAAATTATATAATAAAAAAACATGAGTATGTATAAAGCCCTGCATTATCCAGTTGGTTCACATACCATTGTCAACTCTTATAAATCCACCTTGCGAGAACCAGACCACCAGGTGGTTCAGAAAGCATGGGATGCTAGGAAGTTAAACCCACTGAAAAAAAATGCAGTGTCATAAAAATTCTGTCTATTTAAAATTTTGATATTTGGTGCACTCGAGCCTGGGTGACAGAGCGAGACTCCATCTAAAAACAAAACAACAACAACAAAAAATGTTCTAGTGTTCTATACACTGAAGGATGTATAGAATGATCATAACAACAATTTACTGTATAATTGAAGGATGATCATAACAATTTACTGTATAATTTCAAATAGCTAGAAAGCAGATTTTGAATGTTTCTGACACAAAAAAATGATCAATGTTTGAGGTGTTCGATATACTAAGTACCCTGATTTGATCACTGCAGATTATACACGTGTCAAAGAAATGTCCGTAGAAACAAAGAATGTTTGTTATAACCTCAATTATTTAAGTATAAATGTGCTTGATTGAATATAAAAATAAAAATTTGAAAGGGTAGGCACAGAGGTGTTAATGGTTACAATATCAAAGTTGTGGGATTTAAGGTAAATATTACTTTATCCTAATATTTCCATGTATTTTTTACTTTCTTTTGCAATAAACATATTATTTCTACAATCAAAAATGTAAAATATTTTATATGGTCACATTGCTATCTACATTCATTTTGGTTAAGCTTCAGCAATAACTTTGAGAACTGTTCAAAATGACAGAATGAGCATAGGATATAATTCCCTTTGTAATAAAAAAATTAAATATATAGTTACATACTATACTGGAAAATAGAACAATTATGAGTTTGTGGTGGGGTTGCAGAATGCCTGACATAGGGTGTTCATAGCAGGCATCTCTCAGAGAAATGCAAGGGTAAACAAAATATGCAACGGAGGCTGTCATAAAATTTTGTAACAAGCCTAGTTAGGAAAGAACTGTCCAAATAGAAACAAACATGTGCAAATATCAGAAAACCTGAGGAACAAAGAGGAACTGACAAGAAAGTGAAAGAGCCAGAGAACTGTGAGAAGGGCTGGACTTTGGAAATAATGAACATTGAGAAACTGAGCTGGGCCAGATCCCTCAGGCCATGTGTAACATTGTTAAGGAGTTTAGATTCTATTTGAAGAGCAATGCTAAGTCAATAAACAGATTAATGGGGCAACAAATGAAATCAGTTTGTGTTTTGAAAAGAGCATTTCAGCAGCTATGTAAATACTAGGCTGGCATGCAGAAGTAGTGGAAGATACAAACCTGCCAAGGAGGCTATTGAAGTATCAAAGCGAGAAGCTATGGTGACCTGGAGACAAGCGACATCAGTAAAAATGGAACCAAGCAGACAGATCCAAGATATATATTGGAGATGGACCTGAAAAGACTTACTGATACAGTGGTGTAAAAGGGACAGAATGTATGAGCATCAAGTATGATGCTTAGGTTTGTCACTTACTCATCTGGATAATTCCTAGTCTCATTTATTGAGAGAGAGGAAGGGAAAAAGAACAGTTTAAGAGGTTTTATTAGTGGGACAGATCAGCAGAGGAAACCAAGAGTTAGTTTTATTTCAGATATGGTAGAAGATGCCCTTATAAGGCCTTCAAAATGACAATTCAATACGTGAATGTAGATCTCAGAGTCACGGTTTATTCATTTTTATAATTTCACAATGCCTAGAAACTGTATTTTGCTCCACAAGTTCATATCCTCTGACTTTGAAATTTTACTTCTAGAGAGATATATTTAGGACATAAAAATGTAGACAAAAAATTTGTTTATAATAATGCTTTATATATGACGGCAAATAAACAATAGGTGAACGTCCATAAATAAAAACCAAGTGGTAATGCAAAAAAATAAAAAAGTTTAGACAGAATTTAGTGACTTATTCATTGTGAGTGCTAGGGTAAAGAAGGAGTTATGAATGAGTCTTGGTACACAGAGTGGCTGATCATAAAACACGAGATCCAACTATATGCGCCTACTAGAAAATCACTTTAGCTTTAAGGACACATAGGCTGAAAGTGAAGGGATGGAAAAACCTACTCAATGCAAATCTTAACCAAAAGAAAGCAAGGGTGGCTGCGCTTGTAACAAGCAAGATAGATTTTAAGTCAGAAACTGTCACAAGAGACAAACAAGGTCATTTTATAATAACAAAAGTGTCGATCCATTGAGAGGACATAATTGTAAATATATATTCACCCAACATCAGAACACCTAAGTATATAAAGCAAATATTAACAACTGAAAGAAGAATTGGACAGCAATATAATAACAGTAGGGGACTATAATACCCCATTTTCACTATTAGATAGATCTTTCAGGCAGAAAATCAATAAAGAAACAGCAGATTTGAACATTACAGACCAAATGGAGTTACAGACATACACAGAACATTCCATTTAATAGCAGCAGAATACATGTTTTTCTTAAGTGCACACAGAGCATTGTTCAGAATAAATCATACGTTAGGCCACAAATAATTATGAACAAATTTAAGGAGACTGAATTTAATCAAGTATCTTTTCAGATCATGATAGGATGAAAATAGGAAAAAATGGAAAATTCACAATATGTGGAAATAAACAGCACACTCCTGAACAACCAATGGGTAAAAGAAAATATCAAAAGAGAAGTAAAAAAAAAATCTTGTGACTTATGAAAATGGAAACACAAAATATCAAACTTATAAGATGCAGCAAAAGTAGTTCTAAGAAAAAAAATAGTAGCTATCAATGCATACATTAAGTAAAACAAAAGATCTCAAATAAATAAACTACCTTCATACCTCAAGGAATGTGGAAAGGAAAAAACTGAGCCCAAAGTTAGCAGAAGGAAGAGAGTAATAAATATTAGAGCATATGTAAATGACACAGAGACTAGCAAAACAACAGAAAAAAGCAATGAAAGTAGGAGATTTTTTAACAAGATAAACAAAATTTATGAAACTTTAGATGGACTAAAGAAAAAGAAGATTCAAATAAAATTATAAATTAAAGAGGAGACATTACGACTGATACCACAGAAATACAAAAGATCATAAAAAAACTACTGTAAACAATTATATGCCAACAAATTGTATAAGCTACAAGAATGGATACATTTCTAGAAAAATAGAACCTACCAGAACTGATTCATGGAGAAATAGAAAATCTGAGGAGATTAATCAATGAGTAAAGAAATTGACTCAGTAATTAAACACCTCCCAACAAAAAGGAAAAAACATCTAGGGTCAAATGACTTCAATGGTGAATTTTACCAACCATTAAAAAAAATTAATACCAATCTTTCTCAACTGCTTTCAAACAATTGAAGAGACAACACTTCCAAACTTATTTGAGGAGGCCAGCATTACCCTGATAGCAAAGACAAAGACTTTACAAAAAAATAAAATTACAGGCCATTACCACTAATAAACATGGATGCAAAAAAACTCAATGAAATATCAGCAAACCATATTCAATAGCATATTAAAAAGATCACAAAACATAATTAAGTGGGATTTATCCCTGAGGTGCAAAGATGATTCAATATATGCAAATCAACAATGTAATATACCACAGTAACAGAATAAAGGATAAAAATAATATGATCAATTCAATAAATGCTGAAAAAGCGTTTTACAAAACTAGGCATTCTTTCAAAAATAGAAATTCTCAACAAATTAGGTACAGGAGGAAAGTATCTCAATACAATAAAGACCATATATCACAGGACCACCTCTAACTTTAGACTCAGCAGTAAAATGTGGAAAACTTTTTCTCTAAGATCAAAAACAATACAAGGATGCTCACCTGTCTTCAACATAATAGTAAAAGTTTTAATGAGAGCAATTATACAAGAAAAAGAAATTAAAGACATCCAAATAAGAAAGTAAAATTATCTTTTTGCAGATGACATAATCTTATATTTAAAAAAAACCCTAAAGACGCCAACAAAAAAACTGTTAGAACTAATAAGCAAATTCAATAAATTTGCAGGAAACAAAATCAACCTACAAATATCAGTTGCATTTTCATACACTAACAAAATATCTGAAAAAAAGAAATTTTAAAAAATGTCAATTACAACAGCAACAAAAAAATATTTAATATTTTAAATACTTAGGAATAAATTTAACCAAGGAGGTAAGAAAACTGTACACATTGAATAGGAAATTGAAGAAGACACAAATAAATGGAAAGATACCTTGTATTCATGGGTTGAAGAAATTAATATTAAATTATTCATATGACCTGAAGTGATCTGCAGATTCAATGCAATCTCTATCAAAATTCTAATTTTTTTTTTTACAGAAATGGAAAAAACAATTCTAAAATTCATATGGAAGCAGAAAATATCCTGAATAGGCAAAGCAATCTTGAGCAAGAAAAACAAAGCTGGGGACATCACACTTCCTGATTTCAAATTATGTTACAAAGCTTATCTCAGAAATGAGATGTTATTAATACCAAAATATTGTACATTTGTTAGTTCAATCTACTTTTTCATCTTTCTAATCAAGAAAACATCTGTCTTAGTTCATTTGTGCTGCTATAACAAAATATTAATACCTAAGACTGTGTACTTTGGTATGTGGTGAAGGCTGCTCTCTCTGCCCCCAAAATGGTGCTTTGAAAGCTACATCTTTTGGAGGACAGGAATGCTGGGCCCCACATGGTGCAGAAAGCAGAAAGGAAAAATGAGACAAACTCTTTCTATCAAGTCTTTTTATAAGGGGACCTAATCCAATTCAGGAGGGAAGGAGTCCTTGTGACCTAATTACCTCTTAAAGGTCTCTCTTCTTACTACCATCACGTTGGCAACACCTGAATTCTGGAGGCAACACATTCAAACCATAGCACTTCCCTCCCTTTTGCCCTTCTGCCTTCTGTCACATGAAGACAGCATTCCTTTTGTCCAGAGGAAGCAGCATCAAGACACACAATTTTGGGAGCAGAGAGATCAGGCCTTCACCAGGCAGCACCTTAATCTGGGCTTTCCAGCTTACATAGCTGTGGAAAAATTAATTTATGTTTTTTACAAATTATCCAGTTAAGATATTTTGTTATAGCAGCACAAATGGATTCAGACAGCATCTGTCTCTTATTAAATCCAAAACCTCTATGTTTTTATCAATTTATGATCAACAGGGAAAACAACTACCACAAAATTATCATCAGCATCATTTTAAAATTAAAAAATAAACTTTATGCTAGTTAATATTTCTCCAACTTATGCAGATACTTAAAGCAGACATTTTCAAATATTTAAAATGGTGAGAGCAGCAAGAAAATAAACCTTAGTGATTAAATACAATTTTACCATCACAAAGCTTTAATAAATTGAATAATTAAATGGTGAAATACTATTAGCTGCAATGTACAATCATTTATCATTTTCTGTTTCAACATATTCTGAGTATTAATTATATCTAAGCATTATTATCCAAATTTAGAAAAATTCTTCTATGCTCTATTTAGTTTTTTCTTGATTTTAAATTTCTAATTCATGCAAAAGGAGAAGCAGGCAAAAAATATTAATCTAAGATTATGTTTTAGAAAGACTTTGCATGTGTTTGAAGACTCCCAGTATCTCTGGACTCCATGAAGAGTCCCTGTTCAGAGTAATTCTCCCACACCAAGACGTAAGTTTGAAATTGTTTCATAATCTAATGAAATCGTATTATCATCATATTTTTGTCTTTAGTTTTACTCTCGATTTTACATTTCTAATTCATGCAAAAGAAGTAGGCAAAAAATAAGAATCTAAGATTGTGTTTTAGAAAGACCTTTTTTGTTCAAGAGCTTTACCATGTTGAATAAACTAGTGAAATGTGTACTCTGTTTTAACAATATGACATTATTTTCTTCAGTACTTAGATGTGGATATGTGCTTACATAAGTTGAATTACTTTTGTAAGGCATATCTGACAAAATACATTGTCTGAATAAGTTATACTGAGTACTGTAGAAATTGGTTTAAAATCTTCAGAGAATTCTTCAGTCAACCTAAAACTCATCAAATTTATTATTTCTAACAATTCAAGATCTCTATCTTTCCTATTTTTAAAACTTTAGACTGATTTTATGTGTACTTAATTGTTCTGTTTAATAATTTTGCTGTCCACCTTCTCTATTTATTTTATTAAACAGGTCATCCATATTTTATAATTTTATTAGTCCTTTTTGATATTCTTCAACCTTGCTTTGTTATTAAGAAGTGTAGAACAGATTGTGAAGTATCAGTCTTCCTTTCATAATTTTTGTGGTAGAACTATCTGCAAGCGTTAGCTGTGCCATAGCTGCTTCCCTTCCAGCTGGTTGCATCTACGATTGTAAGTTCTTGCCATTCCACTAAATGAAGGTGATGTGGGTAACTTCCATATTATATGCATAAAGGGTAAACTGTTTTCCTTTCACTTCCACTCTTTCTTTTTTGCTTGCAGGCTAGAAAACATATGTGAAGGTAACCTGTCATTCTCCCTTGACTCCAGGACCATATCCCAGGAAATGACAGAGCAACATAATGGAAGCAAATTTAGTCCTTGAATATCCTCATGAAGAATTGGCTCCCTCCAGCCCAAACCTCTTTTCTCTAATCTGTCACACAAGAGAAAAATAAAATCTAGATGATGATGATGATGATAACAATGAAGACAACATTGATGATGCCACTTCATTTTAAGACCTTTTTGTTAGAACAGTTAAGCCAATTCCTTAACACGAGATGTTTGTGTCATAGAAAATACACCCTGTTGTAGTTCCAAAATGTGTAATCCACTTTCACCTTTACATAGCCAATCATCAAAGAGTGTTCTCCACGATAATACATCCTGGAGTTTGTAACTGGCATGGGGCACTGTGTCTGGTTATGGTATTTTCTGTTTTTTTTAAAAATAGTATAAATGAAGTTTCATGTACTTCAAGAATCCTCCCCCTATCCCTTATTAGTTCAAGACTCAGTGCCTTTTGATTCTACCATGCAGATAGGATTACAGATTTTTATTTTGACTTTTAAAGGTATTTCCTTAGAGAAAGTCTTCCTCAAAGACTATCTTTAAAGCAGATTATGAAATTATTAATAATTTTAAAACATCCTATTGTTTTATGTTGTTGCCAAAATTTTTCTGGAAGAATATATTGATAATGCAAGGGCTTAGTCAATGTTGACCTTTATGTCAAATGCTACTCTGAAACAAACGAAGTCATAGAGAATTTCTATATACCAGTTTTTCTTTTTCAGTACTAGTTTTAGATAGTGTTGATGGGCTTTGTTTTATGATAAAATGATATTATAGACTACAGCCAAAGAAAAATGTATTGTAAAAAGCAGATAAAAGCTTTATTATTTTTTAATAATCTATACCTGTGACAGACATATTTTAACATATTTTATAACATATTTCAGAAAAATATAGTTTTTAAAAATAAAATTAAAATACATAAGAATTTGTTCTTATAAGTTGCATTAAGAAATAAGTTTTTTCACAATACTATTTCCATAAAAGTAACTTACAGTGAAAAGCACTTCAAATGATATGATAATCATCTTCCAAATATTAAAAATTATAGTTTACTTGATAATTTACTCATACAAAAACACATCTGTGTATATATATCTAGGAATGACATTTTCTGGACTTAAACATCAGATATGAGGCTTCATCCTAATGGAGAGCCTTGTTGTCATTGTCTGTATTGGTTGGTGTGTATGGTTGTTTCTGGAAAAAAAAAAAGCTATGTATCTGTTAAAATATTAAAAATATATCCACCCCCTTTAAATATAAATGCTACTATATCATTAGTTGAAATGACACCTTGTGCAGTGGTCTGATGAGAAGCAGCTCCCAACAGCCAGGAATAAGTGCACAAGCAATTTTGGAAGCAGAAATGCAGACCCAAGAACTGGCAGCCCTGACACAGCCAGGATGCTTTCCAGGGGTAGACCTCTTGCCTTAGGTTGGCTGCAGAGGTGCTACTCAGATAACATCAGAAACTGAGTCCAAAAGAGCAATTTCCACACCAGCAGTCCAACTATAGCAGATGTGATACTGGTCATCCAGCATCACTACCTTAAAAGGTGGGACACAGATTTATCATGCCCCAAAAGTGAAGAAAGTCATCTAAGTGCAAAAGCTTCCCCTCCCATCCTATCCCACCCCAGGCACAGAGAGCCCTCCAAGACAAAGGAGCTATCGCAAGAGCTCTACTCTCCATTGCACAATGTTGTATTTCATTAATTATAACTTTATTGTTTTAATTTTACCTTCCATAAGAGCTAGAAGAATATCTGAATCAGCCCCATTCTCTTTTTATATCCCATGAAAACTCCTAGAAATTATATGAGGGGTTCAGTTTTAGGGCTGAACTAAAACAATGTTTCTCTGCTTCATTTAAATCAAGAAAGGCCACTGGTGTTTATATAGCCTGAAGGATTATGCACTAGCAAGGATGATGGCAGGTACTAATAGAAACTGACTCTGCACTGATTTGAAATTCAGTATTAACCTTTTATAATCTAATGCAAATAAGTATCCATCAAAATTCAACAAGTAAAATGATATACTCAGATTTTACTAAGAAAACTAAATGTTTGGCAGCTCATTAACTACAAAAAATATTACTTAGATCTTACAAAAAAATGAAATAAATAATGGATTCCATAAGCCTTCCTCAAATTGTATAAAAACAGATTTATAGCTTGATCCTGTCAAATGATAACTGGAAGACCATTAAATTGCTTGGAAAATGAGATATGTTATTTTCTGCATGATGTCGCTTGCATTAACAATAAAAAGTGTGCATTAAAAATGGTTCTGTTTTAGTTCTTGCTTGCTGTCTTTGTAGTTTATATAAACCCTTGGATGGATAGCATGCTCACATTCTTTATGAAGGACTGTGAACTAATCAGACTAAGCAGTGGACTCAGTGTAAAAAGTCCATAAACACAGTACCAGAGCATCCATTACTTTGCTGTAAGACCACAGACATGTCTGTCTCTGGATTTAAACTCCCATCTCCCCCAGGCTCAGAGGGGTATCTACTGCATAAAGTTGATGAGATCATTAAAATTATGTTGATCTTCACATTTCAAAGCACTAGACAAAGTTCAAATGTAATGAACAGAGTTCAAAAGTAATGAGGAAAGGAAAGTGAACCCTTAAAAATGAACACATTTGCTGTTTAGCACAAGCTCCTTGGATAGAAATCAAGTTTTCATTATAGTTTTCCATTATACCTTTGACAGCACTGCATGCTGATAGTAATTTTTATATAATCAATTTCATCAAAAACATTTATTAAGATTTTACTATGTCTAGCACTGTTCTAAGAGCTTTATGTAGTAACTCACTTAATCTTCTCATGAACTTACACAGTAGACCCTATTATGAATCCCTCTTAGCAAACAAGGAAATGGAGGCAGAGAAATGTTATATAACTTAGCAAAAGTCATAGCTGCTAGGTATGGAGTCCAGACTTTATCCCAGGTAGTTGGACTCAAGACAGCTCAACTCTAAGGTAGACTCCCTTTATTGAGTGTCTTCTGAGGATTAGACACTGTCTTATGCACTTTGTACACAATAACTCCTTATATTTTTCATGAATATATACTAAACATTATTAACTCAATTTTAGACATTAAAAAAAGAATCAGTAGTATAGTAACTTGCTCATACTCATATGAGCAATAAGCAGTAAATCTAGAATTAGTCGCCTGACTCCAAAGCCCATGCTACTGACAAGAATATGTGGGTTCTCTTTGGTAAACTCTAACATTGCAAGATTTATCAGAGAGAGAAATCACAGCTATTTATCCATGCCAAACATTCTTTTGCATTTCAGAAATTAAATAGACTGTTTTGAATAAAAGAAAAAAATAGGCAAATGTGCTAGGAATGAAAACAGATAAATAATTCAGACTCCAAATTCACAACCAAGTCCTCAGGATTTTGAGACCCCTCTGCCCTGCCTGAGCTTGTTTGGCAGGAGGAGCCCTGGGAAATCCCCAGGCAAAGCCCCTGTGTATAGGCACTTCAAAAGGGGATGGAGAAGGGCAGAAGGAGGAACATAAATGTTTTTTTATATCTGCCAAGCTTATTCTGCTGCATTCTGCTGAATGCAAAAGAATACCAAATGTGTCCCTATGTTTAGTCAGTTGTCAACGACTCCAAGTAACAGGACAGTCATAATGCGTGAGGTACTATATATCTCTTAACCAGATCAAGATTGTCACCTTATCCTTATTACTTTGGGCCTGCATTCTGCAATTCTACATTAACTCTGCCATTGATGTTAAGATTTCTCTTCCTTGTTTCCCATTGTGTAAGCTCCATATTTATTGTTACAATATCATTTTTCTACTGTTTTCAGAAGGAACACACAGACACAAAATCTTATAAATTAGCCAGACCAATGATAAAAAAGTAGATTATAAAAGAAAGTGCATTGTTAATCAGCGTTAAATCTAGAAATCAAGTGGTATGTAAACAATTGCTGATAAAACTACAATATTATCTTGTTTTTTGGAGAGGATTGCTTCTTAAAATAATGTTCATCTGCTTGTACATCTGCTTCATTAAAACTCATGCATGCAGAGACTTGTTCTAAGATTTAGCATCCTAATAACTCCCTCAATGTACAGGGTCATAAGCTCATTTAGCTCTGTGCCTTAGAAGTTTTGATTGGTGCTAATTTATTTAATAATCAATCTGACTCTCAGGTAGGTGATTTTCATCAAATTCTAGGTCATCGACCATGTCTCTTCCCCCAAATGCATATAGAATTCTCCTTTTTTTCTATTTACTTTCTGAGTAGAATTCTAACAGGGAACTGAGTTTCTGACGAATAATTGCTATTGTACACTATGCTCCTGAATTTGACCCTTAATAGAAGAAACAATAAGAGAATGAGAGCCCTGTGGTTTTCTGTTCTTTAATCCCATAGCAGGCTTAACCCCCAACCCTGAATAAAGTTAAATTTGTCAAAGAGCATTGCATAGCAAAACTCTCTGAATATACGTCCCCTGTAAAAAATAATTAAAATAGCAAACCACAAAGACCATCTGTGTATGTTACTGAATACAAGTGTATTTTATCAAGTATTTTTAAAGTATCATGGGAGGCCAGGTGCGGTGGCTCACGGCTGCAAATCCATCATTTTGGGAGGCCAAGGTGGGCTAATCACTTGAGGTCAGGGGTTGAGACCAGCCTGGCCAACATGACAAAATCCGCTTCTATTAAAAATAAAAAAATGTAGCCGGGTATGATGGTACGTGCCTGTAATTCCAGCTACATGGAAGGCTGAGGCACGAGAATCGTTTGAACTCAGGAGGCAGAGGTTGCAGTAAGTAGAGATCATAGCAGCACACTCCAGCCTGGGTGACAGAGTGACATATGTGTGTGTGTATATATTATATATCATGGGAAGGTTTATGAACACAATAAATATGATTCCTAGTTGCCAAATCAAGTGGAAACTCTTCAGCTTCTATTTCACATCTATGAAGTATTTGAAATTGTTGACCAGTTCTTCTTTTATTTCAGCACCATGCTTCGTGTTAAAAGTTATTTTCTCTTCAACCACTTTTTCTTTTCTTACTGTTTATTTCTTCCCTTCAACTGCCCCGTAAATGTTAGTGTTCCTAGGATGCCATTTCTAGTCCGTCTGTTTTCCCAAGTTTCATTTGGAAAGTGATGATAATAGTGTAATAGTGCTCACCTTAAAAAGTTTTCATGAGAATTAAATGAGAGCATGTGTGTAAAGTGTTTAATGTAATGCTGGTACATAGTGGGCATGTAATAAGTATTCAGTATTGATACTGGGTAGTATTCTTGTTCCACACACCCTCCTAAAGAACCTGATTGATGTCATGACATTGAGTACCACGAATTAATCAACAACTGCCATGTCTGTATTTCTAGACTATAAATGTCTCTGGAATGCAGACAGGTATATACAACAAACACCTAGACATCTCCAGTTGGATTCCTAAGGCATGCCCACTCAGTCTGCTAGAACTAGTTTTTCATTTCCACCAAAATTAATGCAAACCAGCTCTATTCAGAAATCTGAGAGTTGTGCTAGATTGTCTCTCTCAAATATCATACATCTAATCAGTCTCCTAATTCTGTTCATTCAACCTCCTATGTGTATTCCATATTCATCCCCTTCTCCAATGAATTGCTACCATTGATGTAGTTCAAGATCTGATTAATTCTTGTCTGGATTACTGCTGTCCTTTTAGATTGGTTTCTCAGACTCTATTTATTCCTCCTTTAATATATCTTCTACACTGCTATCTAAGCCGTCAAATGCAAATCTGGCAATGTCACTCCTCTGTTAAAATACTTTAGTGGTTCCCAATTATCTACAGGATAAAGACAAAATCCTCAATATCTGGATCTCATGAAGGTCAACACATATCACCTCCTTGCCTATAAAAAATGTTGAAGAGATTGAGAAATAAAACAATGAATGAGGAATGGCTAACTAAGACATCTCCCTTATTGCCAATGAAACTATGTTGGAAATATTGTTTATTCTTACAGTCAAATGCACCTCTTAATATTGAATCCCAAAAGAGGAAAATTGCCCTCCCAGACCCAGGTGGTGCTGAACTAGAGCAAATCTTCCCACCTGGAGCAGGTGCTCCCAGCTGGCAGCACACTCCAAGAGGAGGAATGGTACAGCTATGATACTCTCATTTAACTCCTCCTAAATTTACCTTTCATATGAATCACTCCCCACAACCCCATTAGCGTGGAGTGAGTAAAGTTGGATGTGCCACATCAATGGAGTACCTTTCACCTGGAAGGAAATGGGTGCGTTCTACACTAACGATCTGCCTGGCAGACCAAGGTCTTCATGATCTGACCTTCTGTAGCCCCATCCTCTGACCTCCTCCACCACCCAGTCTAGGTTCTAATATCAACTTCAAGGTGTATTTAATGAATGTTAATAGGTTTTAAACTAAAAGAAGACAGTAGAGGAAATTCTGTGGTCAAATTGTTCTGAAAAACACCATATGAAATAAAGTTAAACAGCACTCCCCACTGTGGATATTTTCAGATCCCTTACTGCACTAATAGGCATTGTAACTTTCCAAGAAGTACACAGAGTGTCTCCAGATCCTCTTGCAGATTGTTTACTGAGGCACACTTTGACAAATGCTACTGTAATAAAAGCATTCCCCTTGCAGTTCTGAACAAATCTTGTTCCTTGTGCTTCTAAGCCACTGGACACGTCGGTACTACTGCCTCAACTGTTCTTCCCTCCTCTGCTTCACCAGCTTCCGATGGCCTTTAAGACTCAACCCAAGAATCACCTCTTAAGTCTTTCTCAGGCTCTAGACCTTCCTCCTGACTTTCCTTCTTCTGTTTCTTTAGCAGCTTCTGGCTTTTACATTCATATCACTTTTTACTCTGTATTACTGTCATCCTTTTATTTCACTTTCTATTACACCAAATTGGAGATGCGATAGGTTAAAAAATCGTTCTTTTTTAATCTTTGTATCTTAAACAGCTTGAAAAAATGTAGGAATTTGATAAATAATCCTAGAAAGACGAATGCACTTGGACTTATTTGGGTGTCAGTTGTAATTTAACAGGTCATACAAAGCCTGCTGCCTGCCGCCTGCCTGGCTCTCCACTCGTCTCAACACTTGCCATATTCTAGCCATCCTGAACTTCCTTCAGTTCCGTGCCACTACTTGTCTCTCTGGCCTTCCCATATAATTTTACCTCTTTCCAATGCTCCCTAAACCTTCTGCTTACTTAACCACCTTACTTATTTTTCATGCACTTTTGTTCTACGGTCTCCCAAAAAGAAATGAGATGTTCTTGTACAGCTCTCAAAGTATAGTCTACAAATGTTATCACCATTGATTATTTCATTTTCAATCCTATGTAAGTGCAGAAGCCACATCTACTCTGCTCACTCATGTATCTCCATTGCACAGCACAGTGTCTGACCCCATTATAGTTGAGCTATAAGTAGCCATTGAATGGATAAACAATTAGTTATATTTCTCATACAGGCTTTAAGTATTGGTCTATTTGAAATTTCGTGACATTTATTAAATCAACGTCCCATTACATGTCCACTTTTAGGTAGTGTGATGAGTGCAGATTTTTCTTTTCTTTTCTGATCTGCATTGCCTTGGTCCACGATTTGTTACTCTGCATGCCTTACATGACTTACAAATCAATCTCTAACTCATTTGTGTTATGCTGTTGTCTTTCTCTATAAATTATAGCTTAAAGGTCCCTCAGGTTAACTGGAGCATAGAAAAGGCAGAGAAACTCTACAAGAGCTTGTTTCTGTTGACATTAAAATAATGGGTCCCACGATATCCAGAAAATTGATGTAGAAATGGCAGTCTGATATATTTCTTCAGAGAGCAAAATAATTACAGACACAATATGCAATTTTCTTTCCCAAGAGACTAGTAAAGTGCTTTTTCTCCATCACCTTTCAATATTTTATATTGTGGTGGGTAACTATAGCTTTTCTATTCAATTAGGAAAGTCATCAACAAGCAGAAAAGTAAATAGCTAACTAGTCAATTAAAAGACATATGCGAGCATACAGCCACATTACCACTGTTTTTCAAAGTTGATCATCTGTAGAACGAAGGCTATGGAGCCTCCTTTCTCAACAAATTTGAAGGAAATCATACTAATATAATTATTTTCCTTGCACCTAGTGTTTATTTACTGGAAATTGTTTTGATATTATTTAAAAAGAGGAATTTCTGGGTTAAAAGCCTTAATGGAGGTGAAACTAATATAACACAACTTCCTAAAACTACAATGGCTCCCCTACAGCAAAAGTATAGTATTTCAATCAACTTGCAGACCTTTGTTTTTCAACTATTTCCTTTTGTTTTTAAAACTGATAAATTTTTACTATAATTTGCAAAATAAATATATAAAAATAATAGAAATCCCACTGTAAAAATGTGAAACACATGTGAGGATGGAGTTCATCCATATAGGCATTTGGAATTTGGGGATGATGGACAGCTCAGTATCAAGAGGGCTTGGGAGTTTTCAGTCTAGAGCCCTCTCACTCAGGAATATAAGGTTGGTTCGATACCAGCCTTGTCCAGCCCACAGCCTGTGGGCCACATGCAGCCCAGGATGACTTTAACTATGGCCCAACACAAATTTGTAAACTTTCTTAAAACGTTATGAGATTTTTTTGAGATTTTTTTTTTTTTTTTTAGCTCATCAGCTATCATTATTGTTAATGTATTTTCTGTGTGGCCAAAGACAATTCTTCTTCCAATGTGGCCCATAAAAGCCAAAAGATTGGACACCCCTGTTACAGAAGTGTGAGTTAAATGAAATATTGGTTATCATTCGTTCCAAAATGTCTCCTTAGCCTTTCTCTTTAGCAAAGCCCTACTATTTCCTTCCCTCTGTAACTATACTCATGTCTCCCTCCATCAATACCATAGTCAACTCCAGTTCCTCCCCAAATCATTCCACTCTGGGTGTAACTTACAGGTTTTTTTAATTTTTTTCAAAATAAATATTATAATGCCAGTCTTCACATTAAACACTTTCAATTTTCTCTTATTGTCAAAACTTTAATGTGCATACTAGGTCTTTTATATTCTAGCCTCAACTTCCCTAGACTCATTTTTGAGGTTTTAAATAAGATGATAAAAAAGAAAGTGCTTAGTACTAAAAGTGATTATTATAATGATGATGATTAAGTTATATAAGAAGCTAAACTTTTAAAGTATCAAAAATTTTCTAATTATCAAGGTAAAAATATGCCCATTGATGAAAATGTACAAAATATGAAGAAGTATAGACCAAAATATGACCCATAACCTTCCAATCAACTAAATTAGTAAACCAATACTAGTATGTTATAATACAGCCTTTCAAAATATTTTTAATATGCATTTAATTATCTTAAATTAAGACAGTTAATTTGCAAATTAATGGTAAATAATGAGCCTGTATAGCATAGAAATAGAAGTCAAAAGGGTGTAACATACACCAATTTGGTTATTTCCCCATGTCATAAGTGTTGTCTCATACCTAGCAATTGCCCAGAGAATATGCATGGAATAGCCCCAGAGTGGCTAGGGGTCCATACATTGGACTATAACATTGTAGATGTGGTATATTCCCCTTCCTTGCTTTAATTTTCTTTGCAAAACTTAACACCATCTACATACTATATACTTGTATTGCTTACAAAACAACACCATCTACATGCTATATACTTGTATTACTTATTTTGGTTACTATATGTTGCTTTCCCACTAGAATGTGAGTTTCATTAGTATGGAGAATTTTGAACATTTTGTTCACTGATAAACATATCCCTAGTGCTTAGAACAGTATCTGGTAGATTGTAGATACTTGGTATTTGTCAGATGAATGAATGAATATGTACGCACCCCATCTAAATTGGGTCAAAGGATGCTCCTGGTAATTTTCAAAGGACAGAAAACGATGACATCTTAATGATGGTGTATTGGGGAAAACATACAGACTTCTGGCCACCAAGGTACCTGCAGTCTTTCTGCTTCCTGCCATTCTGAAGTTTGGTTGGCAACACCTTTTAGATCTGTGAATTCCTCTGGTAATTGAAGAAGACAGCATTAACCTTAAAGTTACCTCAGCTTAGCCAAACTTTAGATAGGCTTCTTCCTGAAGATAGGCCCCGACCTTCTTTTTCCTAAAGCATTTATTTTAGAACACTTACAACTGTAAATTCTTTCTCTGCTTCTTGAGATGTAATTTTTTCCCCAGCCTCTTTGTTATTTTACAACCCAGAAATGTCCTTCTCAAGCACCCAAGAGCTATCTCTTTGAAATATAATCATCAAGAAAGACACAGCCCCTATCTGCTAGTCTCTGTTTGGGAGTAGGGGCCTAACTTCAAAAAGTATCAATTAGCAAACACAAATGGGCTAATCACATTGACAACCTCCCCACAACATTCTGTAGTACTTTTCCATTAGCTCACCCCAGAGCTTAAAAATCGACCTGCCTTTTGTTTCAAAGGAGTTGAGTTCAATCTCCATTACTGCAATAATTTTGACCTCTATTACAATTGAATAAAACGTTCCTTGCCTGTTTCATTCTATCCAATGCACTTTTTCTTTGACAAAATCTTTAAATAAATTGTGGGTTTAAATTAAGCAATTCAGATTTAGTTCTCTTTCTTGAGAGGAAAGGAATATTAGCTCATTCAAAAAGAAACAAAGAATATTAATCTAATATGGTTTAGCTTCACAGGAACTGGTACTGAAACACTATTTAGGATTCAATGAACTCTACAGACTTCAACAGCAGTGAAAAGCCATATAGACCTTCACTCTATTGTACGGTCATTTTTTGTAACCAAATGTTTCTCTATTCCTAATGATATGGGCTTTCTAAATCAAATACCTGCCTTGTTCTTTTCCATCCTACAAAGCTGTTTTCTACCTGATTTTTGTTTTTGTTTTTGTTTTTGTTTTTTGACAGAGTCTTGCTCTGTCACCCAGGCTGGCGTGCAGTGGTGCCATCTCGGCTCACTGCAAGCTCCGCCTCCCGGGTTCACGCCATTCTCCTGCCTCAGACTCCCCAGTAGCTGGGACTACAGGTGCCCGCCACCACGCCAGGCTAAGTTTTTATATTTTTTTGGTAAAGACGTGGTTTTACCGTATTAGCCAGGATGGTCTCGATCTCCTGACCTCATGATCCGCCCTCCTCCACCTCCCAAAGTGCTGGGATTACAGGCGTGAGCCACCGCACCCAGCCTCTACCTTATTATTTTTCCTTATTAATTATCTTCTATTTTCTCATGATTTGGGATGACCAATGGCCATTGATCCTTATTCCGTAAATCTGCTCCATCATTTCACCTTCTATTCTCATTACAGCCTGATTTAAACTATTTTTTTTCTAGTTTGACTTGCTAAGAGAAAGACACATCATATCCCTTTACAAGAGTCCACGTCATGCTCTGTAGGTCAGTCTATGAACTCCCTACCTTAGATCAGGGTCTCATCCCCAAGTCCAATTATATATGCTCAAGAGAGTCAAGATACCTGAAATTTAAACATGTTTATCTGTAGCCACCAACTGAATCAGGATAGGGGGCAGCATGTGAAAATGGCAGACACTATGATGGATATTCTACCCTTGGATTTCCAACACACATACATTTCTTCCTGTGCACAGAGTGCCAAGGATGCCTCTTATTTAACATCACCTTCCTATTTGGATTCACTATAAATGCATCTTCACCACTTCCAATCACGTGACAACACAAAATTATGCAACCCTTCATCTCGAAAAAAATGTCATAATGCCATTTCAAAAAATTCTTGCCAATAGTCTGACTATAATCCTCAATCCAGGGGAGGCCCATCTCTCCTCTAGTACAGTGACAAACCACCCAGGTATTCTTTTTTTCCTTTATGAAATCAGTACACTCAATGTTAAATGTGATCACCATCAATACACACTATATATTTAGCAGTAATAACAAAGAAATAACATATCCTACCTACGTACAGAAAGAAATAAAAGACATTTCAACCTCTAGATTTCTGAGCCTAGGTATTCAAGTTGTGTGCCCCATTGATTCAAAGCATGTAAGAGAATCTGTAGACCACCACCTTTGTGATATGAATTCTCATGACTGTGGTGGGAATGGTGAGAAAACTGGGACCTCATTCCTTTTGCAGTGAAATGAATTGTTTCATCAGATAGGGAGATTGCCTGAGTTTTTTGTTTGTTTGTTTGTTTGTTCTTTTCTTGGCAACTAATCCCCTATGAGTAGTAGCAGCTGTAGTATCATAACAGTCATAACTTATCACCTAGCTTACAGAGACTTCTGAAAATATAGGCTCAAATTTATTTGTTTTTATCCTTTATACTCAGGTCTGAATATGTGACTAAGGCTCCTACCATATTATTTTGAGTTGGATCCAGATCCCTCTTCATCAGGGCAGGGGAATTTTGGCAGCACATGACTTACAAAAGCTTGGTGGGTTGCCTGTCAGTGCTCTCCCCAGGAGCTCTGTGTTCCATAGTTAAATTAAACATCACAGCACGTTAGTCTATGCCTGTTTCTAGATTAGTATTCCCCTTCTCTGCCACAGAACAGCCTGAATGCAAATCTAATTCTGCCTCTTCATAGTTATATCTTGCCAGAAAAGTCATTAACCCATTTGAATCTCTGTTCTGTAAAATAAATAATGACAACAATATTAATAAACCTACTTCATAGGATTTGCCATGGTAAATCACCAAATTTAAAAGTATAATTTTGTACACATGTTTACGATCAAGTTCAACATATAGTAGTTCCAATTAATTTAATGACAAATCACGCCATCTCTAAGGCAAGAAAGTTTTTGAAAAATGTAAATGCCTTTATAAAGACTACTACCTAAGATGAAACCAAAAGGAAACAGAAAAAGAGAATACTTTAAATCCTGACAAGGTTGAAGGTAAAAAATCTGAATCATTTATATGAATTTAATTTGTAAAAGCACCATTCAGAAAAATATTTTTCTACAGTACTTATTCAAAAGTTCAACTGATTGCTATTGGAATGCATATATGAATATCTCCTATTTGACAGTGTATTTTCTTCAATACATACACTTTTTAAAAAACTCTAATTTAACATGCTAAAAGAAAAATACATTGCCTAGAAATTTTAAACGGACCCTTTTCAGAAAGGTATCCTGCATAAAGAAAGATAATTTATACTAAAGATATGAAAACCTGTAACAAATACTCCTAAAAAATAGAAAGTAAAAGAGTTAGAAACAGAATTAATGTAGCTTTAAAACCACAACCCAATCAGTCCTTCATTGCAGGGGAATTCACTAAAAACTAGATCAGTGCTGACAGTTTCCTTTTTTTGGGCTAGGGTGCTCAAAATTAAAATTTATTATTCTTGAAGTTATGAAGCATCCCATGTACTAAAAAAATAGGCTAAATCATGTCATATTCAAACAACTTTGGACTAGACAGAAATAAATTACTATTCATGTGCAGGTTTTAGAAGCTCTCAAAGTTCAACCAATTTAGTAGAAATTACTCTGAGCATTATTTCAAGAAGGTTTAAGTTAATTTAAATATTGAATAAGACATTTACAAATGTAGTCAGAAATATATATATTTTAAATTCTTGGATGATAAGACCACTAGCCATTATCAATAAGCAATCACATTAACAAAATTTGCTACATAAGTAAAAAAAAAATAAAGTATTAATTCAAAACAGCAGAAAAGTATGTCCTTCATGTATACAAGAGATATTTAATGAGCACCATCAAAAGCCCAGGTAGTATTCTAATGGCTTGTGTGAAAAATAGTGATGAGGTTGCTGCTGCTCTCATGGATGTTATATTCTGGAAATTAGGGGGTATTACATAGATGATAGAGAGATATACAGAGATAAAAATAAATAATAACATATCACATAGAGAAAAAATAAGGCATTTAGTACAGAGTGACTAGGTAACTCTAGTAGTCAGAAAAGCCTCTAAGAAATTACATTAGTCTGAGATCTTAATGACAAGAGGGTCAGTCTTAAAAAGATGAGGGAGAGAATTGAAAGAAGGAACAGCTAGCACTGATGGCATGGTGGTGATGGAGGAAATGGTATGGAAGGGAGGATTTTGCAGACAAGCAACTGATTCCAATTTTATTTTAAGTATCATAGAAAGCCACTGGCAGATTTAAAGCAGATAATGAACATAATTTGATTTGTGTCTTTAATGTATTTTTAAATCATAGATACATATATATACACATACCTTGGTTAAAAAATAAATGATTGAGGAAAGCCTGAGTAGAAGCAGAGAAATCAGTAGGAGGTTATTACAGTGAGCTAGGTGACAGATGATAGTGTTTTGCACTAAGGTAGTCATAATAAGATGGAAAAATTAAAAGATTCAAGACATTGTTTGTTTGAATGCATACTTAATAGGACTTGCTAATGTGGACAGGAGTAAGAGAAAAAGAGGAACCATGGAAAATTCCTATGCTGTGGCTGGAATAAGTAGGATAATGGCTCAGCACTGCTCACCAAATGGAGAGGTCAGTACTACAGGATGGGTAGGGGAGGGGAATTCAAGTTTATGCCTTTTATGTTTACCAGCATAAAGATGATATTTAAAGCCATAGGGCTCAATGAATTACTAAACAAAATAAATTAAGTTGAGAGCACAATTTGACACTTAGGACTAAAGACTTTGGAGAAACGACTTAGAAATATCCATTTCATTGGTGTCCTCAAGGCAAGTGTCATAACACATATTATGCAGTTGAAAAAGTAAAGGTGTAGACACAAATATGTAACTGGGTTACCAGTTCTAGTATAGATAATTTGATTAACATTTTTAAAATAATTCCAACAGTCATAACAATTTTATTTGTATGCAAATATATTATAATTTTAGGAGAGTAAGCACTAGCAAGACATTTTATCTCACTTGGAAGAAAGAAAAGTCTATAATTATAATTGTAAAACTTATGTAATTCTAAAATGAACAGAGGACACTGGGCACTATTAAGTTTTAGCAACGTAGAATCTAAACACCATTTATATTGAAAAAGAATTCGAAAATATTTGGAGACAGGACTTCACCTTCCAATGCAGAGTCAAAGAAGGAATGAAAATAAGTCCTAATCTCTAAATTTTTATCCTGAGATATAAAATACAACCAATATTTTTCTATAATAATGATAATATAGCTGAGGTAGCCAAAAGTAGAAAGTAAAATATGATCCTGCAGACTGTTAACTTCTGTTGAACACACCAGTTAAGTATAAATTGGGACTGTTAAATGGGAAAGTCTGGTACACCATGAACTGAAATAGGGATAAAAGGATCCCCAAAGGTCGACAACCCAGAAATCCTCAACCCTTCTCTATAGTGTTCTGTTCTTTCTTGTTGCAGATATGTTAATATTTTGGTTTAACACATTTAAAGTCAAGAAGGATTATAAACCCTCTCACAAATAGTAAAAGGATTTTCCAACACTTGAAATCTAATCAATCCCATCTTATATGCTATGGTTTTTCATTATTCTCTTTCCTTTTGTATTTAATTAAAAATAATTGTTCTCATACTTATCATTATTACTTTATACAAACAGTATTTTATTTACATTATGTTATCTAGATTATTTGCCTATGATTTTTATTTTGTATCTCAAACCTGGGATCTGGGGTTATTTCATTTCTTTCCAAAATACGTATTTTAAAAGTTTCTTTGGTTAACATGTGTTAAATGTTGCATATCTAAAAAGATATTTATTTTGCCTTCATCCATGAAAGATATTTTTGACAGGTACAAATTCTAAAGTTGACATTAATTTTTCTTCATATTTGAAAGATTATTAATCTATTGTTCTTTAGTTTTCATTTTACTCTTAAGCTATCCACTCCCAATCTATTTGTCATTCTGTTGTAATTGATGTGTATTTTCTCACTGGCTGCTTTGACAATTTTCATTCTGTCTTTGTTCTTCAAACTTACTAAAAAGCACCTAAATAAAAATTTCTTTTGACACCTTAATAGCATATGCTATAAATTTTTTGTTACTTCTGGAATATCATCACCCATTATATTTGCAAATATTGTCATTCTGCCATTTTCTTTATTCTGTCCTCTAGAACTCCAGTTAGATATTTGTTACTGTTCCTTTTAGCATACATATTTCTTAACCACTCTTTTATATTCTACTTCCTTTTATGTTTTGTATTACATTCTGGTTAGCTCCCAAAACTCTATCATCCATTTTCCTATCTCTCTACTAAACTTTATCTATCTTTTTCACTCAAGTATTTTTTTTTTTTTTTTTTTGAGGCATAGTTTCGCTCTCCTTGCCCAGGCTGGAGTGCAATGGCGCAATTTGGCTCACTGCAAGCTCTGCCTCCTGGATTCAAGCCATTCTCCTTCCTCAGCCTCCCAAGTAGCTGGGATTACAGGTGCATGCCATCATGCCTGTCTAATTTTGTATTTTTAGTAGAGATGGTGTTTCTCCATGTTGGTCACACTGGTCTTGAACTCCTGACCTCAGGTGATCCACCTGCCTCGGCCTCCCGAAGTGCTGGGATTCTACAATTACATTTTTTTGCATCTAAAATTTCTATTGGGATAGTTTTTAAACCTACCAAGACATTATTGATTGTTTCCTGTAATTATATCAGTTCCATTTTATTTTTATCCCTTTATATGTTTCAAAGTAATTTATATCTTAAATTTGATCATTCCAATATCTGAAGTCATTGGGGGAAATAAGTCTATTGTTGTTTCCCTATATATCAACCATGGTGACTTATTCTCTGCCATGCTTAGTAATTGTGTTTCCTAAAGTAAACTCATTTTAAAATATAATCTGTGAGATTGGTTTGGAACCAAATGAAAGATGTTTTCTCTTGAATTTGAATTTGCATTTGCCCTTTCTGGTTTTAGAAGGTTTTATCAACCGGAGAACACTTTTGTCCCTTCAAGGTTCCAAGCTTAACGTAGGAATTTCAAATTCAGCTTCTCTATATTGCTGGACTCCCATGGATTTATCTTTCCATCACACCACTGAAATATGCACTTTCCTTCAGAACAAACTGCTTTATTTTATCATTTCATTTTATTTTAGGCACCTTTAAGATTTAACTTATTTTAGCAATTCTTGAAGTGCAGTAAACTTTGTATTTGTCATAATTTACCCAGGACGCAGTGTTATTTTATCATAGGGACCCTTTAACAGTTGTTTTATCAGAATTTATTCTGCAGCACTGCAAAAAGTAAAACTAAGGTTTTGTCTTAAAATAATGTTTTTTAAAAATTACATATAAAAGATTTTATTCTCCATGTAACAAACAAGACAGTGAACTCCCAATAGAGATGATGTAGTTCTGGCCATCAGAAAACATTACTATTTCACATACTAAGATCACTCACAGTCCTGATTCAACACAGGTTTGGATATTTAATTGCTTTGTACAATAATTAAAAATCTATTTTTTAAATGCTCTGATTCCTTAATAATAAGTATAAATTTTATAAGACAAATAAGTATATTCATCAGAAAGAATCAATAGCCTTGTGAAGTTATTGTAATACTCATTTGACATTTTCAGGATTACTTTACATTCTTTAAATAATGTCTAAAATAACCACATATGGAAGTAAATTATTTTGATCAGACTGATATAAATGGAAATCTGTGCATGTTTAATAACAAACACTACAGCATATTTGTACATATTGAGTTTGAGGGGACTTGAGTGAACTAAATGTGTTGATGTAGGTGCCCTTAGCAGACAATCTGCCGGCTTGAAAAGCTCACTACATTCATAATGGTATGGTGGGTTAGTTAGCCCAAACTTAGAACCAATGTCATGCCCACTTCAAAGAATTAAGGTTTCAGACATCCCTTGGCATACTGTAGAGAAAAGAATATGAAGACTTGATGTTAGGAATTAAAGGTTAGCTATACCATAGCTACAAAAGCAGGTGAACCTGCTGTAATTCAATTGAGTTGCCTGTTTCTAGTGGAGCTAGGATGACCCCAGGTGCAAAGGCCAAGTAAAAGCTATTAACTATAATAAACAAGGTACCCAAGTAATTAAACGGTTTGACTTGTAAGTGATTAATTATTTACAGAGCCCCTAATTTAGAATCAGATCCTAAGATTGAGAACAGACACTAGGTTTGTTTTGTTCACAACTATATTCAGGATGTCTAGAATTATGTCTGCTACCTAACAGAAACTCAACATTTGTTGAATGAATGCATACACAGACACACGAAAATCTCACGAACAACGAGCACAACAAAAAAACTCCAGGTTTGTTAAAAACTGGCCAAACAGCCAAGATTGTGAAAATGTTCACCAGAATCCGACATTTTAGTGTATCTACAGAAGCCTATTCATTTTTAATCTAAAGTTCTTCAAAATTAATGATTGATTTGAAGCAAAAAGTAAGATATCACAAACTGATTAATTCTGTATAATTATGAATGTAGGAGAGAGACACAATGTACACTTTTGCATATGTAGATAAATATGGCACTATGTAAGATTTAGTACCAATTTAATGTAATTTTTATGTTTTATGTTTTATTTCTAAACATTCTCATAACCTTATGAAGAGTTAAATGTATTTAGCCTAATTACACTACAGTTTAGTTATATATTGTAATGTTAAAACAAGCCTGTCTTCATGTAATTCTATATCCACCTTAAATCTCGTAACTAAATATTTCAACCAAACGGTCCCCAATCCTACCCTTCACAGGTTATCTGTGGAAAAACCTGCAGTTCATTTTATCTGCTCTTACTTGAAGCTTTTGGAAAAATACATAAAATTGTGGCAAAGGACTTCATTACTGATTATTCCCAACCTCACTTTTCTTCACAGAATTTTACTCATCTCCAAATAGCAGTCTTTCTTATTTGCCATAATCACTCTTCCAAATTTTCACACCTCTCCCAAACACAACCTTCTTTTCATAACGTTCCCTGGTAACCTCATCTGTTATCCTTTTTCTCTCTTCTCTACTTTCACCAAATAGATTTCAAAAATTTCTTGACAAATAAATTCATAAACAGACACATTCAAGTGAAAGACTAGTGTCGTAATAACTGAATGTGAATGTTCCAATGTATTTTATGCAATGAATTCTGTTTCACAGTTAAGGAGTCTTTTTAAAACCACTGCCACTGGTTGAGTCTACCCAATTTTAAAGAAATAATTACAGTATAAATTTAATTTTTGCAAATGAATAATTTGAAAACATATGAAAGATTTAGTATAGGCCCTGAGTGCTATAAAATTTTAAGAGAGATTGTTTCCATTCTTTCAGAATATAAAATATAATTGGGCAAAAGGCTAGATGAAAACTTTTATGAGTGCTCCTATAGGACCTTTTCTAATTTATCCTGTCCATTTTATATGTCATGTTAATAATACGTCTGCTGCTCTTCATTTGCTTAATATTATTACAAATCTTTTATATCTTCACCCTTTGGAGTTATTGTTATTTGAAAATATTACACATAGAGACCAAAAAAAAATCAACCACTGAAATAAGCTGTACTTAAGAGGACTTGGAAAATTCCTAAACCCAGAAAATATTAAAAATGGTTGGAAAAACAGCTGTCTTAAACGGACATTGCCTATAGTTAGGAGAATTGGCTGTGTGCTGTGATTTGCTGATAATTTAGAATATAGGTCTGCACAGTAATTGAACTAACCTTTTATAATATTCTGTCAACATATATATTGACAGTGTAAGAACATATATGTTTACACAGTCTCTTCCTCTTCATGGAACATAGAAATCAACATCAAATGCAACTCTTATACTTCCATTAAGTTAGTAACAACAGCATTGATTTCTACATCATATCACTGGAAATATAGAATGCTGAAATAAGTCACCGTAGGATTTTATAAGAGAATAATCAATTTTTATGTGGTACTTATATAGCTAAATGAAAATTAGATGACTTGTTTACAAACTAAGGGTATTTCTACTAAGTAAATTGATTCTACAAAATCCAATAGTAAATACCATGTGTGAACTGCACAACCTTTACATGTTTAAAAATAAAAATAATTAACAACGTTGACAGAATATTTTATTAATGTTCAGAAGTAAAAACTTTAGGAAACATGTTCCTTTTATGGTCTTTTTTTACAACTTAATATTCGCTAAAGAAAACAAAAGATTTAGGAGACCCAAAAAAGTCACTATGTATTATTTAATGATGGAAAGACAAGGGACTGGAATGTGTGGCATCCTGCAGAGGAATGTGGTAATGACACCACACATACTGTCACCAGTTATGCCTACTCTAGGGCTTCTTGCCATTTCATCTTTTGATAAACTTTTTTTCTTATTAAAGTTTGCGATTCTACATGCTTGACAACTGAAATGGCTGAATCTTTGAATTTTTAATACTTCTAACTGAATCTTGATATAGTACTGTAATTTAAAAAATTGAACTTAAAAAATTTATAACACAATGCCTTCTTTCTCTAGATAAAAATTCAATACCCCATTGTACTCTCTCCTGCCATCTCATGACTTCAATAAATAACAATATTATAATAAATCAATCTTTTTACTATTAACAGATTACTTAAGCCATCAAGGCTCTTTTCCATTCACTGTTTTTTAGAAGTCATCTGCAAGCTGAAGGTTTTATCATTTGCCAGCAATTAGTAAGAAAAAAGTAACAAGGTTATGTTTGAGGAAGTATCAATTCTTTCAGGTCACAATAATAAATGAGAAGTACAAAATCTCTGAAGGGAGATAGACCTCAATCTATAACCTATCTCTGCAATTTATTTTGTGGCTTTGATCGAATACATAACATTTTCACATTATTTGTTATTTCAGTAAGGTGAGCTATATTGTACAAGGTGTGTGTGTATGAGAGACAGAGAGAGAGAGAGAGAGAAGAGAGACAGAGACAGAAATTTAACATACACAATATAAAGTCCTGAAATAACATGTTGTTGGCAATAAATGGGAAAATATGTTTGTCAGCATTAATGGACTATTCTGTGTGGGACACAGAAGATGGATCCCCATCTTGAAGTTATTACAATTTTTTTTTCCTTTTCATTTTAGAGAACTGGATCTTGGTGAAACTAATATAATGAGTAAGATAATGTCACACTAAGAAGTCAGAACTGCAAATGTAACTTTTGATCTCTCTGAAAATTATTCTGTAATTCAAGCCTCCATTCCAAATAAAGGTAGATAGCATCAAGTCAATATGTTCATCATAGTCAGTTGAGGTACAAGTTAAAGCTGCACAGTTTCCTTGATCTTTTCTCAGGGGAAGCTTTGACATTCAGTGTCTACAGAGGAGAGGCTGTCTTACAACATCAACAACTTGTGGAGGAGGCCTTTGACCCCTAGTCTTTGCTGGCATCAATTTTTCCACCCATTTCTTCCGGTCCTTCGGCTTGGTTGTGCTATCATTTATGGCTGCCTCTTCCATCTACCATGAGACACCTTCAAGCCAAGCCCTCCAACTCAACTAAAAACCTCACCTGCTCCCTGACACCACTCTAGGCAGCAGCAGTCAAGGTGGCTGTTCCCAAGTTCTCTCTGCCCATACATGCCAATTAGTCAGTGTATTCCTCTGCTATCAAACCTTGATCACATGGCACAGGGAAATATGAAACGAGGACTGCACTGGCTTCCTGGGTTCTCTTTCTGCCCTCAGATCCCTAAATAAGTCTGAAGATTTGTTTGTGTGGTTAGAACTCAATGTAATAGAAATAGAAACAGGTTCCTTCCTGAGACACAATTGTTTCACAATACCTACTCTAGTTAGGTGTTATCCTTTCTTCAACCAGTCCTATGAGAGTTTATTATCTATTTTTGTGATGTAATAAGAGTAATAAAACCTATGACTTTTTCTGTTTTACTTTGAATTTCTGCTATCACCTTCCTTTCCATGGCAGGGCTTTAAAGCCAAGGCCTAGTTTGAAAATAAAGAACTAAGAAATAAACAAAGGAATTGCAGGGATTATAAAAATAAAGGGTGTACACCTTCACAATATCATCCTTTCACAACAAGAACAAGAATTTGAATGAAAAATTACGACAAAAGAGGCCACTATGCCAACCAATAGCTGCTAAATTATCTCCTCTTCTCTAACCTGTTAATTTAAAAATTGTTATTCAAATGATGCATTCATGGGAAAGCTCAATCACTTTTACTCAATAAAGCCTCCTAAAATATATCATAGTTAATTTGCCTTTTAAGTACATCATTTATTGAAATTCATTTGTTGATTCATTCACCAGGGCTTTATCGTGAATCCTTTATTGCCCAGGATCAATCCTGGACGATGGAAATCCAAAAGTGAAGACATATTCCCTGACCTTATGCAATTTATAGTTCAGTGGACAACAGTCCCCAAGACAGATAGTTATAAACACGTTATGTTAGTGTTTCCATGGGAACACCCGAGAGGAGCACCTGGCCAAAACCAAGGAGTCAGGGAAGATTTCCTGAAAGACGTGCCACCTTGTCTCACTAAATGTTAAAGGAGGAGCAGTGGTTAACCCAGAAGAGATTGAGAAAACACTATTTCCACTAAACAGCAGGAGCAGATAAAGACCACTGCGTTTGTGCAGTAAGTTTATCTGTAACACAGGGATGGTAAGAAGTGATGCTTGCAAACAGAGAAGTTACCCATAAATGAATTTGCCTTGTTTCTTTTCGGTTGCTGACAAGGATCTTTGACAGGAATTCAGCAGAAGGACAGCAAATGGTCACCACTGCCCACTGAATGAGGCATCTGGGTAGAGAGCTTAGATTACAACTGGATTCCCACATTCCTGAATTCTTGTGCATCAAAGTTCTCAAATTGTACTGCACTCAGTTGGTAACCTCCTTCACTATATTCAGTGTAATAGTAGGAACTCCAGTTCTAAATGAAAGTTGTTGATTCAAAAACTGAACAAATAGGAAGACAAAAATTATCCCTCTGTGTTCTTGGATTGATGAGAGACCAAGAAAAACAGGACTTTTGTGCCTTTCCTCATTCTCTGGGTCAACTAACCTATCTGGTAACTATCAGGGAAAAGAATTGACATTTTAAGAAATAATCCGAATTAGATATTTTGGGGTTTTATGTAATGAGGTTAAATTTGAAATATAATAAAGATTATGCTTCTCCTTTTTTCCCCCCAAGGGCTTCAAGAACAAAATGAAGAATCATAACCATAATTATGGCAGAAACTCTGAAAAGTTCTTCATTCCACTACCTCATGGAAGACACACAGGTCCTAAGTAGTTTTCCCTCTTATTATTTCATAGCTTCTCTCTGGAGCAGAGATCCTTCTACATCCCATCCTTATAACTGTTTTGAATCAAACTTTTCCCGTTCATATGCTTTCCCATTCCAATTCACTATAATGCTTTAATTTGATATTTCTTATTAAATAAGGAAGTAAAAAAATCAATAAATCAATAACCACTGCTCCTCCTTTAACATTTAACGAGACAAGGTGGCACGTCTTTCAGGAAATCTTCCCTGACTCCTTGGTTTTGGCCAGGTGCTCCTCTCAGGTGTTCCCATGGAAACACTAACATAACGTGTTTATAACGTGTTATAAGTTTGTTTTCAAGATTAAAATTGGAATCTGGCCGGCCGCGGTGGCTCACGCCTGTAATCCCAGCACTTTGGGAGGCTGAGGCGGGCGGATCACGAAGTCAGGAGATGGAGATCATCCTGGCTAACACAGTGAAACCCATCTCTACTAAAAAAAAAAATTCAAAAATATTAGCCTGGCATGGTGGCTGGCGCCTGTAGTCCCAGCTACTCGGGAGGCTGAGGCAGGAGAATAGTGTGAACCCAGGAGGCGGAGCTTGCAGTTAGCCAAGATAGAGCCACTGAACTCCAGCAGTATAATATGTAATTTATATAGAATATAAATATAATATATATATAATTTATATAGAATAAAAATATAATATATATAATTTATATAGAATAAAAATATATATATAATTTATATATAATAAAAATATAATATATATAATTTACATATAATATAAATATATATAATTTACATAGAATATAAATATAATATATATAATTTACATAGAATATAAATATAATATATATAATTTACATAGAATATAAATATATATAATTTACATAGAATATAAATATATATAATTTACATAGAATATAAATATAATATATAATTTACATAGAATATAAATATAATATATAATTTATATATAATATAAATATAATATATAATTTATATATAATATAAATATAATATATAATTTATATATAATATAAATATAATATATAATTTATATATAATATAAATATAATATATAATTTATATATAATATAAATATAATATATAATTTATATATATTATAAATATAATATATAATTTATATATATTATAAATATAATATATAATTTATATATATTATAAATATAATATATAATTTATATATAATATAAATATAATATATAATTTATATATAATATAAATATAATATATAATTTATATATAATATAAATATAATATATAATTTATATATAATATAAATATAATATATAATTTATATATAATATAAATATAATATATAATTTATATATAATATAAAAATAAGGAAGTAAAAAAATCAATAAATAAGCAAAATGTATGCTTCTTGCTCACATATTCTATTAATAAAATGAATTATAGCTTTCTAAGCCTATAAATTTCCCATAAAAATCTACCTGTATCTTCCACATTAATTGAGATGTTAAAAGTAATTACATGTGTTATTCAAGGAATCATACCACATTTCATATTAGTATTTTGCCTTTGGAATTAAATTATGATTACTTCTAAAAATATGGAGTCACTGAGATGTAAATTAACCATGAAAATAAGTACTGGCCTAGACAGACATGGAAAGCAGAGAACCAATAGCTCAGTAAGAATCAAGTATTCCCTTATGAATACTTCCATTGCTTTTGAGTTGCTTCTTCAGATTTTATTTTTGGGTATTAATTGTTACCTTCTCAACTATTCTATCTTCTCCAAGCAAAAAAAGTTGGATTTTAAGTGAAGGATAAAACCTATGCCATCAAGACGTTGGAAGCTAACAGCCTATACTCTATTATAGGTTTTTGAACAACTAACCACACAGGCACTTCCAAACTTTATCCATACATACCACTGACTTTAATTGATTGATTGTTAGTTAATTGCTTTGCTATGTATTCCTTGTCTTAACCCACTAACATGGAGCTACACAATGCATTAGTACTAAATAGGAGGTGTAAGATTATATAACTTTTAACTGAAAGGTTGGATCAGATCTGGATCATAAATAGTTTTAGGATGCTAATCATTTTAAATTGCATATATATTATATCCACTATATTATATATATGTTGGATCAGATCTGGATCATAAATAGTTTTAGGATGCTAATCATTTTAAATTGCATATATATTATATGCATTATATTATATATAGGATATATAATATGTAATATATATTGCATAGATATTATATATAGAATATATGTGTTTATATAGCATATATATTATACATATTAGATGCCTTTGATCTAGGATGACAAACATTTTTCCCCTTAAATGTATTGCTTTATTAGGCAAAGATGAGCATCATCAAAATATACACTAGCAACACATGTTTAATACTTATTTGGTAATCTACCATGACATTTGCTAAAGCAATATCTACATGAAATTTGTTAAAGCAAGGAAAAGATTACTTTGAGGTTTATTTTTGAAGATTTTCAGTAGGTAGTCATTTTATAGAACATCAGTGGTATATATTTGATTTGTTAAATACATTTGCTTTTCCATCTCTTAGTATATTTGATTTTATATATCTCATATATATATATTCATTACCATCTTTATCAAATGTTCTAATAGACAGTACTATATTTGTGATTGCCCTATTCACTATGTACCTTTTACTGTAACTTCCATTCACATGTGGTATAAGAGTAGTTTTAACAACCAAAATGATCTAGAAATCAGACTCAATTTTGTGTTTCTCATTATAAATGGAAAATTTACGTACTGGAATAAACATCAAAATACATTTTTAGGAAAGTATAAAGTAAGTATTTTTAATGACCTAACTCTAAGTGTGAACATTAATAAACACTATAAGCCTCAAAATTTCCTGTTAACAATAGCGCAGAATTTTTTAAGTTTGTTTTCAAGATTAAAATTGGAATCTGGCTGGGCGTGGTGGCTCACGCCTGTAATCCCAGCACTTTGGGAGGCTGAGGCGGGCAGATCACGAAGTCAGGAGATGGAGATCATCCTGGCTAACACAGTGAAACCCATCTCTACTAAAAAAAAAAAATTCAAAAATATTAGCCTGGCATGGTGACTGGCGCCTGTAGTCCCAGCTACTCGGGAGGCTGAGGCAGGAAAATGGTGTGAACCCAGGAGGCGGAGCTTGCAGTTAGCCAAGACAGAGCCACTGCACTCCAGCCTGGGTGACACAGCGAGACTCCATCTCAAAAAAAAAAAAAAAAAAAAAAAAAAGGTAATCTAATTAACAAAGGTGAATCTGAATTTTAAAAGGCAATTACAATAAGTTCTGAACAATTAAAAAAGTTTTCTGAAATTCTTTTAGAATTTCCTTTTGATTCTTTCCCTGAAGAATACTGTCAAATTAGAAACGCAGAACTTAACAATAAAAGTTATATTAAGAAACAAAGCAACTGAAAGAACATATATTGGTGTACACTATATACTCTTTTTTGTTGCTAACGACATTTTACGAAACTGGAAGTTTTTTTCCTAAAACATCAATCTGTACTGATCTCCTCCCTTTTCCAAAGTCACAGCTTCCTGATTTTATAACTAATTTGGTATCCATGTTAACTATTGTGCATTGATGAATAATATTAATCAGTAATCATCAATTTGACAGTCAATAATTACATTCAAATACTTTGCATTTACATTTTAAACAAATTAGTCACACAGTTCACACTAAATTGCACAGTTAGTAGCCCTTTTCCAATATGTTTTATGAACACATTTAAAAGTAAATATGCTTTTTCCAATAACAAGATTATATGTTTCGAATTCAAACACTGTAATGTTTGGTATTCCTAAGCCAATTTTAACACCAATCAATGGAAGTATAAAGCAGAAACTGAAGTGTTTTATTAGACAGCAATTTTGAGATAGGAACTAAACCAAATACTTCTGAGTGCTCTACCATTAGAGCCTCCAGGGAAAATATGAGTCAAAAGGTTAAATTACACGCAACAAATAGCTTCCCCATTCTCTCAATATACAAGATCAAACATTTCCTAATTATCAGAATTGAAGTCCAATGAGTTTTGATTGCCTGAATCAACATAATTATATAGCTCATTCATAAAAAAAATTTTAAATCCACTTCTCTGTGCAATATGCTTTTTTTTTTTTTACTTTAAAAGAGGTTGTATAACAATCAATAAGAAGGCAAATATTTCAGGCTATTAATCAGTGCAAGCACCCCACCTAGTAGAAAATGAACATGAACCCACAGAAGGGCCCGAAGGGAAGAGAAAACTTGAGTGAAGGGAACAACCCAGGAGAGTGGCCCATGCTTTGACTTTTCCATGATGGGGGATAATTATACCTACCTTATGGTAATTTATTGTAGCAGCTCAAACTGACTGATACACATAGCTAAGGCTAAAACACCAATCAGAGCTTTCAGTTTCTGCTACTACAGGAAAGATGGAGTTTAGAGTGTGAGTCAAAGGTTAATATTTTAGAAACACAGGCAAATGACTCCAGTGACTTCACAATGTTGAGGATACAAGTCAAAGTTATTAGATATGTGAGGAACAGAAAAAATGACTCATACACAAGAGAAAAGACAACATACATTGAAACTAAGATGTCACAGATGCTGGAACTGGCAGAAAGGAATTTTTAAAGTAGCAAGTATGACCATTGTCAAAAACTATTTAAAAACATGCTTATAATTAATGAAAAAAAAGGAATCTTAGCAGAAAAGTGGAAGATATAAAAATCAATCAAATAAAAATTATAGAACTAAAAAGTATAAGATCATTTTTTAAAATATACATCCTTTAGGGATTAGAAGTCAATTAGATTTACAGAAGAAAAAAACAGTGGGCTTGAAGAGAGCTCAATAAATATTGTTCAATTTAGAGAAAGCAGAAAAAAGATTGAGAATGATTTCATAGAACCTGAGTGACTTGTAGGACTTTATCAAAACCATGTGTTTCATGTAATTTGAGTCCCAAAATGAGAGGAGAGAGGAAATGGAACTATATATATATATGTGTGTGTATATATATATGTATATATATACACATATATATATGCAAATTGAATGATATATATATTTCCATATATATGCAAATGAACCTATATATAATTCCATATATATGCAAATATATATAAATGAAACTATATATGATATATATAAGATATATCATATATATTAGATATATATCTTACATATATCATATATTACATTATATATTATACATAAATATATATCTTGATATATAAGAAATAGTGGTGAGAAACTTCCAAAATTTTGTGGAAGACATAATTCACAGTTTTAAGAATCTCAGCAAGCCCCATACAGGGTAAATAAAAAAAATTATGTCCAAGCATGTCAGAGTCAAACCACTGAACTTCCAAAATGGCATAAAAATCTTTTTCTTTTCTCTGTCTTATAAATTTAATCTTTTTCACAAAGAAATATTCACTTTATTAACTCAAAGTCAAATGAATTAACAAGGCTTTCTAGACACACATTAGGTATTATCACAATTAGTAATAATGTTAACACAATTAGTAATGTCCCAAGAGATATCAAACTTACTAAAATGTTGTTATGGCTATTTTAAAAGTTATTAGTGCCATTAATTATATGTATTATATATTGTTAGTTTTTTTAACATATGAAGCAAGGTATAATATGGAAACAAATATTAATTATGTAGTAATTAATTTTAGGTGTTGAAAAAATGGCATAAAAATCTTAAAAGCAGTGCCCCAAGACACATTACATACATATAAAAATAAGGCAAACAAAAAATAGAGGCCAGAAGAAACTGTAGCAATGTTTAAAGTGCTACAACATAAAACTGAGAACTAAGAATTATAAATCCAGTGAAAATATCCTACAAGAATGAAGGGAAACAAAGTCAGTCTTGAAACAAACTAGCACAAAGAATATTCATCCTCAGCAGACTAACACTATAAGAAATCATGAAGAAAGTCTTTTTCAATGAAGAGAGGTGATACCAAATGAAATCTCAGGTCTTATAGAGAAAATAAGAGCATCAGAAGTTGAGTTGAGGTGGTTAAACACAATTATTTTTTTTCATAATTTGATAACACATCACTATTTACAACAAAAATTATTGTGTGTATGTGTGTTCCAATGTTTTAAAACAAAAACAAAAAAATCTATGGATCAAAAAGATGTACGAATCAAAGAAACTCTCAAGAGAGATGCAAAATGTTTTATATTGAATTATAAAAAATAGCATATTATAAATAATGAGATACAACTACAGCAATGTTTATAAGGAAATAGCTTTAAATGCTTAATGAGAAAAGTAAAAACATGTAAATCTGACATATACAAGTATATCATGTATAGATGTACTATATATGACAATGATAGCCAAAATGGAGTGAGAAAAAATGACCTATATGATTGCAAGGTTTTTACATTTCCCAGTGGGGTGTGAAAAGTTAAAAATGTGTATTTTATGCCTTGGAGCAACCATTTTAAATGTTCCAAAGTAGTATAATT
Organism: Homo sapiens; assembly: GCF_000001405.40. NCBI lineage: Eukaryota > Metazoa > Chordata > Mammalia > Primates > Hominidae > Homo > Homo sapiens. The sequence goes on along the minus strand of NC_000008.11, from coordinate 87,131,332 downwards.
TTAAAGCAAATAGATAAATTAGAGTAAAATATTTTTGTAAAAATGCAATTAACTCAAAAAAGTCAGAAAACAAATACCAGAGAAATAAAAAGTAGTAAAAATATAAAACAAGTAGTGAAGTGGTAGACAAAAATCCAAGCACACGAAAATTTCATTGAATGCAAATGAACTAAGGATTCCAATTAGGAATGCAGATTTTTTTTAATATTTGGAAAAGCAAGACATAACTATTCTGCAAGAGGTACAGTTTAAATTTTAAAATGCAGATAGATTAAAAGGAAAAGAATGGACAGATACATATTATGTAAACCGGGTAAGAAGGCTGGAGTTGTTATATTAATAATATATAGCAACTTAAGGCAAAGGAAGAACATTTCATAATGATAAAATAGTGATTTCACAAGACATAAAATCATAGATATGCACATATCTAACAGAGCCCCAAAATACATAAACAAAAAAATGGACAAAATTAATAAAAAGAGAGCTAGACAAATTTACAATCATATTTGGATAGTTGAATTATCCTTTCTCAGGAATTTTTTTTTTTTTTTTTGAGACAGGATCTTGTTCTGTGGCCTGAGCTACAGTGCAGTAAGGTGATCTCAGCTCATTGCAACCTCTGCCTCCCAGGCTCAAGCAATCCTCCCACCTCAGCCTCCCGAGTAGCTGGGAAACAGGTGCCTACCACCATACCCAGCCATTTTGTTGTATTTTTTGTAAAGACGGTGTCTCACCATGTTGCCCAAGCTGGTCTTGACCTCCTGGGCTCAATTAATTCACCTATCTTGGCCTCCCAAAGTGCTAGAATTAGAGGTGTGAACCACCACACCCAGCCTCTCAGGAATTTTTAAAAGACAACCAGAAAAAATGAGAAAGGACAAAGAAGGGCCGAATAACATTATTATCCACTATGACTTGGCTGAAAATTATACAACACTATACTCAAAGCCTTCAGAGTACACATTCTTTTCAAGAGCAGATGGAAAATTCATCAAGATGCACTGTATGTTGAACCATAAAATAAGTCTCAGTATATTTTGAAATACTGGAATTGCACAAAATATGTGCTCTAACCATAATGGGATTATTGAGAAATCAAGAATAATAATGTAGCTAAGATAAAAATCAAATATTTAACAATTTTTAAAAATCACTGATATGGTTTGGCTGTGTCCCCACCAAATCTCATCTTGAATTCCCATGTGTTGTGGGAGGGAACTGGTGGGAGGTAATTGAATCATGGGGGCAGGCCTTTACTGTGCTGCTCTCATGATAGTGAATAGCTCTCATGAGATCTGATGATTATATAAGGGGGAGCTCCCCTGCACAAGTTCTCTCTCTGCCTGCTGCCATCCATTTAAGACATGACTTGCTCCTCCTTGCCTTCCACCATGATTGTGAGGCTTCCCCAGCCACGTGAATCTGTAGGTCAATTAAACCTCTTTCTTTTCTAAATTTCCCCAGTCTTGGGTATGTCTTTATCAGCAGTGTGAGAATGGACTAATACAATAACACTTTCACAAAATATCCATGGGTCAAAAAAACAAAAAAGAGAGAGAGAAATGTTTAAATATGTGAGACTGAATAAAAATAACAACATAACCTAAATTATGGATAGAGCTAAAACATTGCTTAGAAAGAAATAGATATCTTTAAATGCTTACATTAAAAAAGTAAAGTCTAAATCCAATGACCTAAAGCTACATCTTGAAAAACAAAAAGGAAAAAAATGATCAGAGGAAAAACTAATAAAATAGAAAACAGATAACCTAAAGAGAAAATTAAGAAAACCAAAAGTTGAGTCTTAGAAAAGACCAACAAATAAACCTCTCAGCAGATTGATCAAGAACAAATGAGACAACTGAGTAAAAATGACGATTTCTTAAAAGACACAAAGTACCAAAATTCAATCCAGAAAAAAATCAATAACCTGCATAATGATTGATAACAGAGAGATAAATAGGTAGATAGATACACATAGATATATAGATGAAATGTAACTTGTAGCTAAAGATCTTCCCACAAAGACGACTTTTGGCCCAGATGGCTTTCTGGTAAACCCTACCAACATTTTAGGAAGAAGTAGTATTAATTTTACTAAAATTATTTCAGGACATTGAAAAGGAGGGAATATTTTCAACACACTCTGTGAAACTAGAATGATTCTGATACCATCCACAAAGATATTACCAAAAAAGAAAATTACAGATTCATATCCTTCTGAAGATAGCAAAATTCTTTTTTTTTTTTTTTTTTTTTTGAGGCAGAGTCTTGCTCTGTGGCTCAGGCTGGAGTACAGTGGGGCGATCTCGGCTCACTGCAACCTCAGTCTCCCGGGCTCAAGCCTCCTGAGTAGCTGGGACTACAGGTGCATGCCACCAATCCCGGCTAATTTTTTTTTTTTTTTTTAAGTGGAGACGGGGTTTCACCATGTTGGCCAGGATGGTCTGGATTTCCTGACCTCATGATCCACCCACCTCAGCCTCCCAAAGTGCTAGGATTAAAGGCATGAGCCACTGCACCCGGCTGAACATAGCAAAATTCTTAACACCATATTAGGAAAGCAAATCCAACAATATATAAAAAGACAATATACTGTGACCAGGTGGGGTTTTTCCCAAGGATACAAAGTGGTTTAATATTTGAAAATCAATCAGTGTAATTCACCAAATTAACAAACTAAAGAATAGAGACTATACGATTATCTTCATAGAAACAGAAAAGGTATTTGTCAAATCCATTATCCATCACAGTTCAAAACTTTCAACAAACTAGCAAAAGAAAAGAATTCTACCTTAACTTGATAAAGGGGATCTGTGAAAAACCTGTGAAATAGGCGAGTTCCCTGACGTCCCTCACAGAACTTGCAACAGGGGTGTGGCTCATCTGTTCAGCCACCATGCCCTGCTCAAACCCCCTTCACGAGAGGGAGCATGCAGGAGGGCAGGTGCCGGAGCTAAGGTGTGTGCCCCTGAGCTCCAGCCCTATGGCAGCATCCAGGGTTGAGTGTCTGCAACTCCCAAAGCCCAAGTGGGCCTGTCTTACAGTATCCTCTTTTAGCCTTGCCATCCGGGATGGCTTAAGTGTTAACCAGCTCAGTGCCTTCTTGGTACCCAGGTACTTGTTCGGCTTCCAGGAAGAATCAGGTCACACACATACTTGAAGGATGAATGCAGGGGTTTTATTGAGTGGTGGAGGTGGCTCTCAGAGGGATGGATAGGGAGCTGGAAATGTAATGGAGTGGGAAGATTATCTTCCCCTGACTATCCCCAGCCAAACTCCTCTCGACATTCAGACACTCCTTCTCTTCTCTTTATCGTGCCATTCTGCTATTCTTCTGCTCTTCTGTTTGTCTCCTCGTGGAGCCGGGGGTTTGGGGTTTATATGGGTACAGGATAGGCGGGCATGGCAGACCAAAAGGCAACTTTGGGACATGAAAAGATAAATGCCTGTTCCCATTTAGGGCTGTGGGTTTCCAGGATTTAAGGTGGGGCCTTTGCTGGGGAACCATCCTCTTCTACCCAGTATTTATCTGCCTCCTGTCCGTATCACCTACAGCTGAAATACTTAATGATAAAAGATTGTATGCTTTTCCATTAATATCAGGATATAGGAAACAAATGTCTGTTCTCATCACTCTTGTTAAACATTGAAGTGGAGGTTCTAGCTAAGACATAAAGTCAAGAAAAAGTGATATAGAGACAGTAAAGAAGAAATAAAATTGTCTTTATTCGCAGACAACATAATTGTCCATGGAGAAAATCCAAAGAAACCTATGAAAAAATCCACTGGAATTAATATGTGATTTTGGTAAGGTTGTAGAATTCAAGATTAATACACATAAATCAATTTTATTTCCATACTGTAACAATGAACGTCCAGATAGTGAAAATTTTTAATACAATTTAAAGTAGCATAAAATTTATAAAATACTTAGGGATAAATCTGACAAAAGATGTACAAGACTTAAACATTAAAAACTAAAAACATTGCTGACAGAAATTAGAGAGGACCTAAAATAAATGGAGAGCTATATTGTGTTCGTATGTTGGAAATCTCCACAGTATTAATATTTCAATTCTCCCAAAATTGATCTACAAATTGAATGCACCTCCAATCAAAATACCAGCAGGATTTCTAGCAGTTGACAACCTAATTCTAACATACATATGGAAATTCAAAGGACCTAGAATATCCAAAATGATTTTGAAAAATAAGAGCAATTTTGGAGGACAAACATTACTTATTTATTATAAAGCTATGGTAAGCAAGCCAGTGTAGTCTTGTTGTAAAGACAGGGGAATAGATGAGTTTGCGTCACTATTTGTTTCACTCATCTATTACCCTGTCTTCACAACAAGACCCCCAAAATTGACTCAATCATTTATGAACAAATTTTCTACAAAGATGCAAAGGCAATTCAGTAGAGAAAATAATAGTTTTTCAATAAATAGTTCTGGAACCACTGGATATCTATATACAAAATAATAAACTTCAACCCACAGCTCACACCATATAAAAATTAACTCAAAATAGATCATAAACCTAACTGGAATGCCTAAAACTATAAAACTTCTAGAATAATACATTGGAGAAATTCCTTGTGTCTTTGAGTTAGGCAAAAATTGCTATGATAAAATGCAAATGTGCAATCCATAAAAAAAACTGTTAAACTTCATCAAAATTTAAAACTTCTACTCTTCAAAAATGATTGTATTTAGAGAATGAACATATAGGTCATACTGGGAGAAAATATTTGCAAATTACATATTTGATAAAGGAGATATAGCCATAATATATAAAAATTTATCAGAACTCAGTAATTTAAAAAACAGTTTAAAAAACAAATGGACATAAGATTTGAACCGACAAAGATTTGTACAAGTAAAAGGTTCAGATGGGAAATGAATACACTGAAAGATGCTCAACACCAGTTATCACTAGGAAAATGCAAATTCAAACCACAAAGGGATATCACAAGAATGGCTATATTTAAAAAGACTAAGGATGTGGAGAGACCAGAGTTTTTATATACTGCCTTCTGGAATGTAAAGTGGTACAACCACTTTGGAAAGCTCTTTGGCAAATTCTTAAATAGTTAAACATACACTTGCCATAGGAGAAACTATTCCACTCCTAGGTATTTACTCCAGAGAAATGAAAGCACATGTCTTTAAATAGACTTGTTCATGAATGTTCAGAACACTTTATGTGTAATAGCCAGAAACTATAAACAATTGAAATGCCCACCCACAATATGTTGGATAGACAAATGGTGATGTATTCATACAATAGAATATTACTCAGAAATAAAAAGGAAGGAACAAATGATACATGCAGCAACATATATAAATCTCATAATAATTTTGCTGAGTAAAAGAAATCAAACAAAAGAATAATATATGATTCCTTTATATAAATTTTAGGAAATGGAAACTGATCTATATAGCAATAGAAATGAGATTAGGCTTTGTCTAGAAAAAGGAGTGGTATTGGGACAGTTAGGACGGAGGGATTAAAAAGAGATATGAGGAAATGAGGAAGTGATGGGAATGTTCATTACCTGAATTGTAGTGTTCATTTATCATATATCTCAACACTTATTAAACTATATACTTTTAATATGAACAGCCTATTGTTTGGTTATTATACCTCAACAAGCTATTTTAAAAGGAAAGAATGAGAGACAACACAAATTTTTAATAATCAGGAAAGAGGAACTTCAGTAATTTAAAAAATAAGAAATTTGTGAATAACATTTTTGTAGTGAATTTGACTATTCAGATGGAATGGTCAAATTAATGAAAAATGTAGCCATCAAAACTGACACAAAAATATTTTGACTATAAATGCATGGGCATATTTATGGGTTTTGGATACTGTTTTATTGGCCGATATGCCTGTTTGTATGCAGGCGCCATGCTATTTTGATTATAAGTTCTTTATAATATGGTTTGAAATCAGGAAGTGTGATGCCTCCACTTTGTTCTTTTTGCTCAAGATTGTTTTGGGTATTTGTGGTGTTTCCATACAAATTTAATATTGATTTTTTTATTACTGTGAAAAATGATATTGGCATTTTGATAGAGATTGCATCAAATTTATAAATCACTTTGGGTAGTACAGACATTTTCACAATATTAATTTTTATATATCATGAACACAGGATATCTTTCAATTTATTTGTGTCTTCTTTAACTTTTTCGTCAGTGTTTTTGTTGTACAGGACTTTTACTTCCTTTGCTGAATTTAGAACTAAGTATTTAATTTTTGTTGCTATTGTAAATGGAACTGTTTGCCTAACTTCCTTTTCAGATAATTTGTTATTAGTATATACAAACACTATTAATTTTGTGTAATAATATTGTATCCTGTAACTTTACTTAATTCAATTTTAATTGTAACAAATTCTTTAGGGGTATCTTTAGGGTTTTCTCTATATAAGATCATGTCATCAACAAATACAGACAATTTTACTTCTTTCTTCCCTACTCGGATGCTTGTATTTCTTTCTCTTGCCTAATTGCTCTGGCTAGGACTTCCAGTACTATAATGAATACAGGTGGTGAGAGTGGGCATCCTTATCTTATTTCTGACATTGAAGGAAAAGCTTTTAACTTCTCACCATTGAGAATGATGCTACCTACAAGTTTGTCATATATGGCCTTTATTGGGTTGAGGTACACTCCCTCTATATCTAAGCTGTTGAAAACTTTTTCCATAAAAGGGTGTTGAATTTTGTCAAATGATTTTTCTATGTCCATTAAATGGTCATATAATTTTCATCTTTCATTTTATTAATGTTGTGTATCACATTTACTGATCTGCATATGTTGAGCCATCTTTGTATTCCAATGACAAATACCACTTTATTGTGGTAATTATTAATTTCCACATATTTATGTATTTTCCAAGATTTTTCTTGTTATTGATTTCTAGTTTCATACCATTGCCACACACAGAGACACCTGATATAATTTGAATCTTCTTAAATTTATTAAGATTTGTCTTGCAACCTAACATATGTCTGGAGAATGTGCTGTGTGCACTTGAAAATGAGTCTTTGAAGTAATGTGTTTGAGTTCAATTCTCAAACTGAACTCAAGGTGAGAATAAGTTGCATTATTTCATCAGAAATAATTGCCTATAAATATTTTTCTTGTAGTGTCCTTGTCTTTTTTGTCAGTGTAATTCCAGCCTCATAAAAAGAATTTAGAAGTATTCCCTCCATTTCATTTTTTTGGAAATTTTCAATAATTGGCATCAGATCTTCTTTGAATGTGTGAGTGAATTTAGCAGTGAAGCCATCCAATCAAGGATGTTTTCTTTTAATTGAAGAATTCTTATTACTGATTCATTCTTATTTTACATTGTTCTCAGATTTTCTATTTCTTCAGGTTTCAGTCTTGGTAGGGTCCATGTGTCTAGAAATTTATCAATTTCTTCTAGATTATCCAATTAGTTATTAATTGTTCACAATTGTTCCTGTAATATCAGTTATAATGTGTGCTCTTATATTTCTAATTTTATTTAGTTGAGTCATCTTTCTTCCCTACTTAATCTAACAATTTGTCCATATTGTTTACCTTTTCAAAAAACCAACTCTTCATTTTGTTGATTTTTCTATTGTTTCCTAGTCTCTATTTCATTTAGATCTGCTCTGGTTTTTACTATTTTCTTGTTTTTGCTAATTATGGACTTGGTTTTTTCATCTTTTTCTAGTTTCCTGAGGCTTAACATTAGATTATTTATTTGAGATCTTTCTTTTTTGATATAAGCATTAAATGCTATAAATGTCCTTATTAGGACTGCTTTTGCTGCATTCCATAATTTGGGGATGTGTTATGTTTATGTTTATGTTTCCATTTGTCTCAAGATATTTATTTCCTTTTTGATTACTTCTGTGACCTACAGGTTGTTTAGGAGCATCGTGTTTAATTTCCACATATTTGTGTATTTTTCCAAGATTTTTCTTGTTACTGATTTCTAGTTTCATACCATTGCCACACTTGATATAATTTAAATACTTTTAAATTTGTTAAAATTTGTCTTCTGACCTAACATATATATGCCTGGAGAATGTTCTGTGTGCACTTGAGAAGAAAGTACATTATGGTATATTATGCTACTGTTGAGTGGAATATTCTTTATGTGTGTTAGGTATATTTGGTCTAAAGTGTAATTCAAGTTCATACTGCCCAAAGTGATTTATAAATTCAATGCATTCTCTGTCAAAATTCCAATGCATTTCTTCAAAGAAATAGAAAATACAATCCTAAAGTTTGTATGGAATCACAAAAGGTCCTGAAGTCAAAGCAATCTTGACCCAAAAGAACAAAGCTGGAAGCATCACATTACTAGATTTGAAAACAAATTACAAAGCTATAGTAATCAAAACAGCATAACACAGCTACATCATCAGTCAAATAGGACAGTGAGCCTAGAAACAAGCCCATACATCTATGGTTAACTGATTTTCAACAAAGGTGCTGAGAGTACAAAATGGGGAAAAACACTGTCTTCAGATTATGCTCTTGGGAAAGCTGAATATCCACATGCAAAGGAATGAAATTGGACCTTTATCTCACCCCTTATATAAAAGTCAACTCAAAATGGATTAATGACTTAAATATAGGTCCTGAAATTGTAAAACTACTCGAATAAAATAGGGGGAATGCTAAATGACATTGGCCTGGAATGCTAAATGACATTGGTCTGGGCAACAGTTTTTTTGGCTACGACTCCTAAAACACAGGCAATGAAAGCACAAATAGACGAAAGTGATGGCATCAAACTAAAAAGATCTGCACAAAATAAAAATAATTAACAGACTGAAGAGGCAATCCACAGAATTAGAGAAAATATTTATAAACCATACACCTGGTAAGTTAATATCCAAAGTATGTAATAAACTCAACTCAATACCAATAAAGCCAATTTTAAAATGGGCAAAGTTCCTGAGCAGAAATTTCTCAAAGAAGACATACAAATTTCCACCAGATGCATGAAAAAATGTTCAGCATCACTATAGAAAAATGCAAATTAAAAACGAGATATTATCTCACGCCTTTAGAATGGCTTTTATCAAAAAGATGAAAGATAAGGTTTGGTGAGAATACAGAGAAAAGGGAACTCTTGAACACTGTTGGTGGGAATGTAAATTAAAAGAAATGTTATGAAAAATGGTATGGAGGTTCCTCAAAAAACTAAAAATAGAACTACCATATGACCCAGTAATTCTACTTCTGAGTATACACCCAAAGGAACCAAAATCAATACATTAAAGAGATACCAGCATTCCCATGTTCACTGCAAAATGATTCACAACAGCCAAGATATAGGAACAACCTAAGTGTTCATCAGCAGATGAAAGGATAAAGTATCTGTCATATATATATATATGACAATAAATTATATGTCATATGTGTGTGTATATATATATACACACACACAATACTATACAGCCTTAAAAAGGGTGGGGGTCCCCTGTTATTTGTGACAACATTTGAATTAATCTGGAAGACATTATTATAAATGAAATATGACAGGCACAGAAAGACAGATACCACATTGTCTTACTTATATGTGAAATCTAAGAAAGTTGAACTCATAGAAGTAGAGAATAGAATGGTAGTTACCAAGAGCTGATTGGGAGTACAGGGAGGGAACAAATGGGTAATTGCTGATCAAAGGGTACAAAGCTTTAGATGAATGGGGGGTTTGTGATATACTGCATAGCAGGGTGACAATAGTCAATAATAATGTATATTTCAAAATAACTAGAAGAGTAAATTACAAGTTTAATTTCCCCATAAAAAATGATAGGTTTGCAAGTTGACTAATATGTCAATTGGCTTGAATTAATTATCCTACATTGCATATATATATCAAAACATCACATTGTACCTCATAAATGTATAAAATTATGACCTGTCAATAAAAATAATTTTAATAAATACATTTTTATTTAAGAGTGCTAAATACACTCTTATTTCCTAATACAATTTTGTAGTCTAATTTTATTTTTTCTAATATTTATATAGATGTATATATTTCCTTAGTATTTGCACAAAATTTATTTCATGATTTGACTGATTTCATGGAAATAACTTGTAGTTTGTGTTTTTAATATTTAGCCTTTCAAGTTTGGTCTTTTAACTGTAGGGCCTTTTACAACTGGTTAAATTACTATAATATCTGAAAGAAAATAAAACTTGAAACTAGATTAAATAAAAAATCTGAATAACTCTGTATGTATTAATCAAACTGAATTTAATATAAAAACCTCCCCACAATGAAAGTACATGCCCAGATAGTAAAATATTATCAACATTTAAGGGAAACAATTAACACAAATCTTATAACAAGTGCTTTCAGAAAATTAGAGGAAACACTTGCCAACTGATGTATGTGCCCAGCACAAATCTGATGCTAAAACCTGACAAAATATCTACAAAACAAAAACAAAAATAGAGACTAATAGCTCTCATTAACATAGACAGATAAATTCCTAATAAAATAACCATTAAATGTTATTCAACATAAGAAATTACTTTAAACAAATGAAAATGAAAACAGCATAACAAAACCTGTGAGATACAGCAAAAACAGTGCTAACAGGGAAGTTTATAGCAATAAATACCTGTATCAAAAAAGCAAAAAGATTGGGGCAAACGAACAATCTAACACTGTACCACAAGGAACTAGAAAAGCAAGAACAAACCAAACCCAAAATTAGCAGAAGGAAAGAAATAACAGAAATCAGAGCAAAACTGAACAAAATAGACTACAAATCAATACTCAAGAAAATAAAAAGTTATTTCTTCAACAAGATGTACATTAACACTAGCTAGACTAACCAAGAGAGAAGAGAGAAGATGCAAATAAACAATATCAGAAAGGAAAAAGGAGGCATTTCAACTGATACCACAGAAATACAAAAGATCATCAGAGACTGTCATGAACAACTATACACTGACAAAATGGAAAACCTTGAGGAAATGGATAGATTCCTTGAAACACACAGCCTACCACGATTGAATCAGGAAGTAATAGAAAACCTGAACAGACCAATAACGAGTAGCAAGATTGAATCAGTAACAGTCTCTCAAAAAAGAAAAGCCCAGAACCAGATGGAATCACAGACAAATTCTAACAAATATACAAAGAACTAATACTAATTCTCCTGAAACTATTTTAAAATTATCAAAAAGGAGGTAATTTTCCCTAACTCATTTTATGAGGCCAGCATTATCCTGATACCAAATTCAGATGAGAACACAACAACAAAAAAGAAAACTATGGGCCAATATTCCTGATGAACTTAAACACAAAGATTCTCAACAAAATACCAGCAAACCACTAACAGTACATCAAAAAGATAACACACCATAATCAGGTGGTATTTATGCCAGGGATGCAAGGATAGTTCAACATATGCAAATAAATAAATATGATATATCACATCAACAAAATGGACAAAAACCATATGATGATCTCAATAGATAAAGAAAAAGCATTTGAAAAATTTCAACATCCCTTCACTATAAAAACTCTCAACAAACTAGACATAGAAGGAACATACCTTGAAATAATAAAGGTCATATATGACAAATCTATAGCTAACATCATATTTAATGGAAAAGGACTGAAATTATTTCCTCTAAGGACTGGAACAAGACAACAATGTCCACCTTCACCACTCCTATTCGACGTAATTCTGGGAGTCCTAGCAAGAGCAATCAGGCAAGAGAAAAAAATAAAAGGCATGCAATTTGGAGAAGAGGACATCAAATTGTCCCACTTTGCTGATGATATGACCTTATATCTACAAAAATCCAAAGACTCCACCAAAAAGACTCCTAGGTTTGATAAGTGAAGTGAGTAAAGTTGCAGTATACAAAATCAATGTACAAAAATCAGTACCATTTCTACACACCAATAATTATCTAGACAAGAAAAAATCAAGCAAGCTATCCCACTTACAATAACTACCAAAAAAAAAACCCTAAGAATTAATTTAACCCAAGAAGTAAAAGGTATCTACAAGAAAAACTACAGAAAAGTGATGAAAGAAATTGAAGGTGACACAAAGAAACAGAAAAACATCCGATGGTCATGGATCAGAATTAATATGACCATATTTCTCAAAGAAATCTACAGATTTGATTCAATCTCTATCAAAATACCGCTGTCATTTTTCATAAAATTAGAAAAAAAAATCTTAAAATTCATATGGAACCAAAAAAGGCCTGTGTTCTCACATATACATTTGACAGTACTTGGCATACAGTAGGTGCTGAATACATGTTTGTTAAATGAAAGTGCATAAATGATAGAGCTTATGGATAATTGTGTGAGTTTAGATGTAAAAGATAAAAATGAAACTGTGTAAGCCTATGCCTGAGGCTTTTACCTACTTCTCTGAATAAAGTTTCAAAGAATTTCGATGAAAATAAAGTATAAAGAAAAATATGTAGGGCCTTCTGCCAAATATTAGGTCAGGAAACTAATGAAGCATATAATTGTGCCTTTCCCAGGTGTGTTAAATTATAAAGTGTAAATGTGAAGGCAAAAGTGACAAGAGATCTTTCCAATATTAGCCAGTGGAACCACTAAGAGGAGAATATATAACGAACGTTCATTTGATCCCAAATCATGCCAAGGTACCTTCACTCAGCACAAAAAAACAAGGTACTTATACCTTATCTCTATGATCCCATGTCCTGTTCACTGTATTCCAGCTACCTACTAACCTCTTTGCTCTCGCTAGAAACTGACTAAACCTGCTCTTGCCTTTGAATTTCTCTACTGATTGTGCCTTCTGCCAGGTGGATTAATTTCTCAGTTATCAGCACAGTTCACTCCTTCAAATTTTCTCAAATAATATTTTCTCAGTGAAATTCACCCTGACCCTCCTATTTACATACATGAACCATGCACCTCCACCTACAATACCAGCGGTATTCTCATATACCGTTGTACCGCTCTATTTTTTTTTTTTTTTTTTTTTTTTGAGACAGAGTCTCGCTCTGTCGCCCAGGCTGGAGGGCAGTTGTGCAATCTTGGCTCACTGCAACCTCCGCCTCCTGAGTTCAAGCAATTCTCCTGCCTCAGCCTCCTGAGTAACTGGGTCTACAGGTGCATGCCACCACGCCTGGCTAATTTTTTGTATTTTTAGTAGAGATGGGGTTTCACCATGTTGGCCAGGCTGGTCTCAATCTCCTGACCTCATGATCCGCCCGCCTCGGCCTCCCAAAGTGCTGAGATTACAGGTGTGAGGCACCGTGCCCAGCCATACTGCTCTATTTTTTAAATTATGCTTAACATATTCTAACATATTTTATGGTTTATTATTGTCTTTACCCCAGAATATAAATACCACTAGGGCAGAAAAGTTTGTTTTGTTCATTGATGATATATCCTAAGTTCTTATTACATGGTAGGTCCTCAATAAATATTTTTAAATAAATAGAATGTGATTTATAATTTGACTTAAACACTTCAAATGAATTAAGTAACCCAAATATATTTGCAAAATTTTAGCCAAATATTTGGAGTACCTTTTGTCTCCAATTCACCAGGCTGTATTCTTTTAGCTAGCTGTCCAAGGTCTACACTAATAGTTGAGTCTTTGCAATTTATCTTAGTTCTCACTCCTTATCTTGATTTCTAACTCTGCCAGTAAAACATTGTTCTTCCCTGTACTTTGTGAAGCATATAATGAAAGACCAGCAGTAAATAAAAAGAGGAAACTGATCAGTCATGCTTGTCTTTTTGGAAATAAGATGTCCCTAGAGTGAGGCTGCTCTCAGTTTCTCTTGGCTACTCTTTTGTAGTCAATAACTAGTAAGTGTCTCTCATCATGTCCAACTATCCTAGGTTCATTATCCATATCTGATGTGTTCTCAGTTCTTTTTTTTTTTTTTTTTGAGACGGAATCTTGCTCTGTTGCTCAGGCTGGAGTGCAGTGGCACGGTCTCGGCTCACTGCAACCTCTGCCTCCTGGGTTTAAGCAATTCTCGTCCCTCAGCCTCCTGAGTAGCTGGGATTATAGGCACCTGCTACCACATCCAGCTAATTTTTGCATTTTTTTAGTAGAGATGAGGTTTCACCATGTTGGCCAGGCTGGTCTCGAACTCCTGACTTCGTGATCCACCCGCCTTGGCCTCCCAAAGTGCTGAGATTACAGGCGTGAGCCACCACACCTGGCCCCAGTGGTTCTTATAAATGATGTTCAAGTAGATATAAGATGGTTAATTCGCCATTCAAAGCTATTTATTTCGTGATGTTTATGTGCCATACACCGTGGTAGGGGATGAAGACAAATAGCCAAAAGACAGATTGTCTGCCCTCAAAAGTTCTGGTAAGAAAAACAGAAAGAGTAAGTAAATAAGAAATATAATAATAGACTTAATAAGAACTGTTAAGAAAATAGGGGCCCTGAAGAGGTAAAGGGGAGTGTGTGTGTATTGTTCTGAGGTGGGAGATGTTGAAAGGTTGTTATTTTGAGTAGTGTTAATATAGAACTCTCCTGGCACATTGCAGTTGACCTCAGGCCTAACCAGCTTAGACATGAAGAAAAGTAAATCTCAAATATCATCCTCTGTTTTATATTTCAAGCCTTCAGATTAATGTCATTTACTGAAATTGGAGGACTAGGTGGGGAGGAGATGAGGAACACAGATTTGACTGACAGAGGATGAAATTGAACCTGTTAATTCTGAAATATGTGAGATATCCAAATCAACGTGACAATAAAAAGCAATTAAATACATAACTCTGGTAACTTAAAAAAAGATTATATAAGACATGAGCACCAGGTGCAGTGGCTTATGCCTGTAATCCCAACACTATGGGAGGCTGAGGCAGGAGAATCACTTGAGCCCAGGAGTTCAAGACCAGCCTGGGCAACACAGTGAGACTCCATCTCTACCAAAAAGACTTTAAAAACCACAAAAATTAGCCAGGTGTGGTGGTGCATGCCTGTAGTCCCAGCTAGTCAAGAGCATGAGCTGAGAGGATCACTTGAGCCCAGGATCTTGAGGCTGTAGTGAGTCATGTTTATGCCCTTGTACTCCAGCCTAGGTGACGAAGCAAGACTCTGTCTCAAAAAAAAAAAAAAAAAAAAAAAAGACATGAGAATAGAATAAAATAGCAAAGGAATATAGACAGACAGACAAAGAAGAGAAGGAGACCAGGACAAAATTTGTAGGTTTAATAGAGAAAAAACAAAGTCATCAAAAGAGGCTAAAATTTTAAAAATGGCCAGTGAGTTAGGAAAATGCACAGAAGCAAGTGAAGAGAGTGTTCCAAGGGAAGAGATAGTGGATTCACTCAGAGTTTGAGTTTCATAGGTTAGGATGATCTAAGGATTGTACTGGCATTGAAGGTATTTGTAATGATGAGCTGGATATAAAGGGAAACAATGACAGAAGGCCCGATGCACAGTGAGAAGGTAAACGGATCGATTAATCAAAAGCAGTGTGAATATGGAGACTTGGGAAGAGGTAGCTTCCAGAGGGCTTATGCAGTATCTTTGACCTTTTAGAGATACGAGAGATACGAGGTACAGAAAACATGAGAAAAGATAGTACTCAGTAGGTGAAACCTGCTCTTATCATACCATCTTTTTTAGGCTCTCAATTCTAAGTGTCTACACCACAAGCTCTCTAGTGGGAACTTCAACCTTAAGAACTATTTCCCATGTCATAACACTATGTATTTGTGCCTTGTCATTGACTGCCACTCCATAAATGTGTCCAGCTATATTTCCACATGTCTATCAGGTATGGACTCCTCATTGCACTATTCTTTTGGATGAAAAATAGAAATAGTGAGCAACTTGAAAATCTGCCCATTTTCATTCTTATTTATGTAATTATAGGACAAACATAATGAAAATGATTGTAAAATGATTAATATTAACATAAAATATGGTAAATACCTTAATCTACACAACAAATGGAGACAAGCTTAGACATATATTCCCAAAAAATTCACATTACTGTTCGAAATGGTTTTAAAAATAGAGATACTGATTTTATTGTGATAAGTACTGCATGTATCTCAGTTTTTAAATTGTTGCTATTGTCTAAAGTAATTGTTTAAGTGAAAAAAGGTTATTTGCCTGAGATGAATGTGGTTTTGCAAAGCAAATGTTTACAGATTCAGTTTCTATCTCCATCTATTGATGGCTCAATATATTAGCTGTTGCATATCATCTCTGGTAAAGCAGGTTAAGTTGATTAAATTGCCATTAAGGTCCAATATTCTCCAAAAGTAACCTCATTATGCAGCTTAACTTTATAATTGCTTCATTCTGTGGTACCATATTAGCCTATGACATTCTATTGAGTTGGTTGTATATTTATTTCATATTTGATAAGCATAAAAGAAATATGCTTACCTAGAAGACAACCTCCTAAAGGGAAGTAGTTAACAATAGGAATCATGCCCCTGATGAACGTGAACATGTGTGTTCTTGTGTCAAAGAGACACAAGTAGTAGTTATAAAGGGTATACCAAAGCAATTAAGTAAATCAGTGTCATTCCCTAAATGCAAACGCCCTCAGAATTAAATGAAGAAACCCAAGAACAGCAGACACGGTACTTGCAAAGGTTCATCTACCAAAAGGAATTAGATAAATAAGAATCAACAGACAAATGTCAATCATTGGCAGCTGGGAGCAATGGGTCATGCCTGTAATCCCAGCAATTTGGGAGGCCACACTGGGCGGTCACCTGAGGTCAGGAGTTCAAGACCAGCCAGGCCAACATGGTGAAACCCCATCTCTACTAAAAATACAAAAATTAGCCGAGTGTGGTGGCATGTGCCTGTAAACCCAGCTACCTGGAAAGCTGAGGCAGGAGAATCACTGGAACCTGGGAGGCGGAGGTTGTAGTGAGACAAGATCAAGCCACTGCACTCTAGCCTGGGCAACAGAGTGAGACTCCATCTCAAAAAAACAAAAAAATTAGTCAATCTTCAGGAGATGAAATGACAACAAAAGAAGAGAAAAATAGTCAAGAAGCAATCATTGTATACTCTAATGTAATTTACTGAATCACTTATGTTCAGCAAATGCTGGGCCAATTGTGCCAATATATATCTGAATGTATAGAGATATTTATTTGTGTGTGAGCAATTTCATTTAATGCACATGTATCATTTCATCAATAACCTTTTCAAAAATTACTGAGTAGTATGTTGAAAGGAAATTCTAATAGTAGCTCACTTTCTCTGAATATTAATCATATTGATTAATGCATATATAATACCTCATTTTAAATATTATACTTTTATTCTTACATGTGAGATTAATACAGCATTATTATGACATTAATTTATTTTGCAAATGAACTAAGAGGCATAGTGCCATCATTTCTATTTCTTTCTTTTCTTTTTTTTTTTGAGACAGAGTCTCACTGTCTCCCATGTTGAAGTACAGTGGCGCGATCTCGGCTCACTGCAAGCTCCACCTCCCAGGTTCACGCCATTCTCCTGCCTCAGCCTCCCGAGTAGCTGGGACTACAGGCGCCTGCCACCACACCTGGCTAATTTTTTGTATTTTTAGTAGAGACGGGGTCTCACCGTGTTAGCCAGGATGGTCTAGATCTCCTGACCTCATGATCCGCCCGCCTGGGCCTCCCAAAGTGCTGGGATTACAGGCGTGAGTCACCGTGCCCGGCCCATCATTTCTTTTTGAGGTAAGTAAAAGATATCAATTAGCTTTCTGTGTTAAATAGAATTAGATAAACATACATATTATTTTCTTGGTAAATAGCCAAGTTCTACTTTCTTTGTCAACATAATAACATTAATTTAGCACCCATTATAAAGCAAGTACTCTACTGGAGACTTCACAAATTCATCCTCGCTTAAACCCTTTCAAATTTAAGCTGAGTTATTATTCCTGTTTTACTGTAGAGGAAACAGTCAGAAAGGTTAATTATCTTGCCCAAATGAATGCAGGTCTGTAAAACTCCAAAAGCTGACCTACTAATAGTAATTTATTTTTCAGTATTCTAACATGAGGTGACGTGTAGCAGATGCTATAGGTGTCCCCATCCAATCCCTCTTAATGGCTGCTTATGCATCCCCTACCTACTGCCCATGGCTCACACTGGAACTCTTCTCTGAAGAATTGCCCTTGACTGGCATTAGCCTCTTGCCCAGGGATGCCCAGGTGATCCTGCATCCACCCTCTGCCTGTGGGCTGCCCTTGGCTGATGACTGACCGATGCCCAGATCTTTTGCTTCTGGAGAGGACAGTCTCTATGATGCAATTTATACTTCAGAGCTCCCTATGGGATCAGGTTGAACTGTACTTCTCTTGAGACCATATCATGTCCTAGCTTCTTCCCCCATCCTGATCTTCCCTTACTTCTTTACAGGTTGTTTTCTGAGAACCCTGCCTCACAAAGGAATCCCTTCATCAAGCCCCCCTGCTAGGAAACCTGACATAAGACAGCTAGTGCCAGGAGTACCTTAGGAAGTAGACTCTTTAAGGATGGGATTCTAAAACTGAATTTCTCAGTAGCCAGATGCAATAAAGTCCCCACCACTGGACAAAGTGTCATCTGATAGTCCCTGGCATGATGAAGCAGGACAATTGCTGAAATGTTCACCTGTGATGGATGATACAAGATATAGGTTACAGATGCACCAGTGTATGTGTTATCATTGGTGTTTGAAAGATAAGGGGAAAAAATAGGAACTGCAAAATTAGTGTGCAATTGAGTGACTATTCCTGAGAGCAACTTTTGCTTTAGAGAGAGAAACAACAGGCTCCAATCACTAATCAACCATATGAAGCAAAGTGTGGAAATCTGAGGGCTTCTCTGTCAGGGTTTAGAGAAACCCTCATCTACCACACTTGAAGGGCTAATCAAGCTGAACACCAAGACTAGGACTTAATTGTGAAAGTTACAGAACATTAGAGAAGGCAGGATTCACAGCTTAGACAATGCTCACATGACAAAATCAAGGCCTTATTAGATAGGGGAACTGGATAGATGAAAGGTTGGCAAAAACAGGGCACTATCCCATGACTCAAAATTGAACGCCCTGGCAATGATGCTTAGAGATGCACTAAAAACAATGCTCCATAAGAAGCTCAGAGAAGACAATGGCCCACATTAAATATGGGAGAGATTCAAGAGTGAGCAGGCAGATGATGGAAGAATCAAAAGCACAGAGAAGTGGACATGCTAGAGTCAACCCATTATAGGAGACTGAAAGACCCTCCACCTGACTCAGTTCTGCAGAAGTGTCCAGGAGACAATCTGTTTACAATCTGTTTACGGAAACAATAAGGGAGGTCTTGGTGACGGAGGTACCAACATTTTTGAAAACTCTGTAGTTGTACGTGCTCTGTAGGTAGGAGATAAAGTTGCAGAACTGAGCTCCCTGGTAGTAATGGAGATAATGGCTTCCCCAAATATCAGAGACATGTAACAGTACTTAATTGTCAGCAGCAAGGTGGGAGTAATTACTGTAACAAGTGCAAAGTCTTAATGGCAGGATGCAGGGGGCGGGAGGGGGGTGTCCTAACCCACAGGGATCCATGGAAATGCTCATAGACTATGGTGTTCCTAGAGAAAGGATACATGAGCACTGAACGAGAGTACTACTTACTATATAACCCAAAGAGATCACGAATAAATAAACAAAAGGCTGACCAGCTTCCTCAATGGAAAGTCAATCCCTTTCCCAGTTCTCAACCCTGAGCCAGTTCTCAAACCAAGGCTGCATCAACTGAGAGAGGTCAGATCTATTTGAGGAATAACTGCAATTCCCTGGCAGGTACATACAGAAGTGACTCCCCAAGTCCATCTCCAAAGAGGCTGTGCAACAAGGTAAGTACACACTGAGAAAAGGGGAATACCTACATATTTTAAAGGTTGTGGATAGGATACAGGATTTGAGCAGATAACGACATTATGAGATCAGATAATAACCAGAGTGCTGGCCACGGTTTTCCATTAGGTTTTTCTCAGTTCTAAGTTTTTTAAAATTTTCTGCTGGGTACATGGGCCTACTTGGTTGTCATTTCCCCAGTCCCTGAATGTACAGATGGGATGGACATACTTAACAGCTGTCAGAACCCTCACACTGATTCTTTGTCCAGTGGTATAAAGGTTATTGTTACAGGAAAAGCCAAGTGCAAGTCCCTGAAACAGACCACGTTAGTAAATCAAAAAATATAACATCCTAGGGTTAATTGCAGAGATTAGTTTTAGCCTCTGAGGTGCAGAAGTGATAGCTCTCATTATATCTCAATTTATTTTACCAGTCTGTCACCTGCAAAAAAATATATAAAATACAGATAGGTCATGGCAAGTGAAAATGGGCCACTGAAAACATGGTAGCTGTAATGCAGATGACATACCAGATGTGGTATCTTTACTAGAATGCATTCCCATAATCTCTGGTATGTTACATGAAGCTATTGATCTGACAAATGCATCCTTTTCCATATCCATTAGGAAGGGGAATTAAAAACAGTTTACATTCACATGTGGTGGATAATAAATACATTTGTTGATTTGCCCCAGGGCTTAGTTTAACCTTCTATCACAAGATAGTCTAAAAGGAACTGAATACTCCAAAGAACATCAAATAAGTCCATTATGTTGATGATATTTTGTAAATTATGCTTGATGAACAGAAGTGGCATGTACTCGGGATGCCCTTGGTCAGCAACATGCTCCGGAGGGCAGGGGATATTTGCTATATGCATAAAGTTTTCAGAGGTTCACTGGCCTGGGGCTTGCTGAGACAACTCCTCCAATGTAAACGACAAGCTATTACACCCGTGCCACCCATCACAAAGAAAGAATCTCAACATCTTGTAGGCCTCTTCGGATGTTGGAGGCAGCGTGTATTATTGCTCTGACCCATTCATTAGGTGATGCAGAAGGTCATTTTTGGGTGGGGTCCAGAGCAAGAAAGGGTATGGTAGCAGGCCCAGGCTGCCAATATGCTTAGGCCACACAGCAGCAGATTCAATGTGTAGAGGTCACTTATGTATAATTCAGTGTGGAATCTTTGCAGGCCCCAATAGGACACTTAAAGGGAGGAACCCTAGCATTATAAAGCAAGTGCATGCCATTTGTAGCAGAAATGATACACCTTTTGAAAGCACTGTTTCTGCATCATAGCCTCACTCAGGGTGCCCCTGAGGACAACTGTGAGGGATAATCCTCCCGATGGGCTGAGCTTCAGTCCATCAGGTCATTCATTCACTGTGTGTGGGAAGAAAAGTAGCCAAGATAAGAATATGCACAGACTCACTGGCAGTGGCAAATGGTTTAGCTGTTTTCTCAGATGTCTGAAAGAAGCAAAATTGGAATATCAGGAAAAAGAAGGCCTGGGGAAGAGGCAAACTATAAACAAATTGCAGGACAGTGATATTTTTGTTCATTTCCAGTACGAATTATCTTCAAGCCTATGTAGCTCAGGATTCTGTGTACAAAAAACTCTGACTTGGCTGGGCACGGTGGCTCACACTTGTAATCCCAGCACTTTGGGAGGCTGAGGCAGGCAGATCACAAGGTCAGGAGATCAAGACCATCCTGGCTAACACGGTGAGACCCTGTCTCTACTAAAAATACAAAAAATTAGCCGGGTGTGGTGGCGGGCGCCTGTAGTCCCAGCTACTCGGGAGGCTGAGGCAGGAGAATGGCGTGAACCCAGGAGGCGGAGCTTGCAGTGAGCCAAGATCAAGCCATTTTACTCCAGCCTGGGCGACAGAGTGAGACTCTGCCTCAAAAAAAAAAAAAAAAGAAAGAAAGAAAGAAAGAAACAAACCCTGACTTTTAAATTTTCCAAGTAGTTCAGGTTACTAACAGAGGTCTATATAATGATAATAGTTAGATGAGTTGAATTATGGTAACTATTTTTATGCCATCAGGTATTAATAAATATATATTATTTCCGTATCTTAGCCAAAGGGTGCCAAAGCTGCCTCACACAAAAATATTATCCATCTGGTGCATAAATACTGATGTCAAAGGTCAAGGAAAGGGACCCTCCGAGTGCTAAATTTAAAGACAAAATAGTCCTATGAATTAGAAGAACTGCCCCCTACCGGCTGGATACACTTAGGGTTTAATCTCAGCCTTTATTTTTTTCCCTCAATAAGAAACAATATAAAATTATTTCCCGGTGGTGAGATGTCATAAAATTCATCTTAACCTCTTTGATATTTTCCTATATTCCAAATTTTCCTGCAATTAAATCTAGTTCTGATTATGTATTTGGATAAACTGAATATATTAACTTTCTCAGTCAGTTAAAAATAATAGTATATAAGCAGAACAAAGTCAAGGGCAAATTAGAATAACATTTTATCAGCTGTATAAATAACTTTTACCAAATGCTATTTTTGTTATTCACGAAGGACTACATTTTGTTCTAGTAGAGGCCATGAGAGTTGTTTGGCCATAATATAGACCAAGAGATTAAAGGAACTGAAATACAAGAAGAATATTTCATTATAAACCGAGGTGAGTTATAAAGCATTCCCCTACAAACAAGAAAGCCATTATTATCATGACTATAGGTCTAGATTCCAGGTAAAGAAAAGGTAAGTAACCTGAAAATTCCAGATATGTAAAGTAAGATAGGAAAATAAAATTATCGCATTTCCCAAATTAGGACTTCCTTGACATTCACATAGTGAAAAGCCTTAAAACCCCTTCCTCCAACACACCTTCTTTTAATTCATGGATTTGGAAAATTTCAAGAGCAAATTCCCTGAATGTTGGTTCTTAAGAGATGTGTATTAGAGTCACCTGTGAAGCTTTTAAACAATGCATAAATATCATGTCACAATGCAGATTCACTAATTTATAATCTCCCACATTGGACCTAGTAACTTGTATACTTTAAAAGCTCCATGAATGATTCTGTTATATACCTGCCTGAGAACTACTGACTGCTGGAATGAATGTAATATATTGTACATCCAAATTTGACTTCAGATCCCTATTTTTTATAGAATACCAAACATTATAACATTATAAATAATATATTGTTTGAAATTGTAGTATTACGATTTCACTTTAAGAATATTCAATAGGCTTTAAGAACTAGCTTGAGGACTAGATGAGAAGCCTAATAACCACATATATTATATAACTTTTATGGGAAATATGAGTGTAATGTCACTCTACCCACAAATAAACTCTTGATATACAGCTGTCAGGAACTATCTATTTTCAAAACTATCATGTCATTAATGGAGAGAAGGAGAATCCCTCTGCCAATTAGGAAACTAATTATTTATGAGTACTATATAATACTATAAAGATTATGATTGTATTTCATTTCTAAATGAAACAAACAAATAGAGGGATAGGTAAGCATACTATTTGAAGAGATAGATACACATGCAGTTTAAAATGAATTGATAACAGGTAGACTTTAAGGGAATTCAAACTGATCAGGCCCTATGGGTATGCTGCTGGGTATAGGTTGAAATATGCTGTTGCCAGGCAGAGTTTTGGGCCTTCCCAGGAGATCAGTTCTAAGTCTAGACTAGTGCCATTGGTCAGATACTTCACTGAAGCTAATGCCACAGCATACATAGACAACTAAAAGGGAGTGATTTTAACAAAAGAAATTCTTAAGATGCAGTCACTCAAATATTTATTGTATATTCACCAGGCACTAAATTAGGTAATAGGGATACAAGGATATACTAGAGCAATGTGATTCTACCTTTCTGAAACATATTCTCATAGATAAAACAAAATAATTGCAAACTAGAGTCATTAGTACTGTTAAGAAACAAAGGATGTTGAAATAGAGACTAATGGGTGTGTGAGTTGATAAATGTAGATGAGTAGCTGGAATAGGCTCTCTGAGGACGTCTTATTTAAGATGAGACCTAAAGAAAGAGCATGGTGAGCAAAGAGTTCAGGATGGACAGTGTCCTGAAGTATTAATGTGCTTCCTAATGTTCAAGAAATGAACAAAGGTTAACGTTACTAGAACCTACGGAGCAAGTGGAAAGTTGGAAGGAAACAGGAGAGGTGGCAGCAGAGACATTATATGCCTTCTTGTAGGCAGGTGTTAAGAGATTTACTCTCTAAGCACAAGCACAATCTAGATTTTGGGAATAAAACCAAGAGTTTAGTTCTGGACATGCTACTTTTAAGACATCAGTGAAAAGTATATAAAAACATAAAAACAGGCCGGGTGCGGTGGCTCACGTCTGTAATCCCGGCACTTTGGGAGGCCGAGGCAGGTGGATCACAAGGTCAGGAGTTCAAGATCAACCTGGCCAAGATGGTGAAGCCCCATCTCTACTAAAAATACAAAAAATTAGCCGGGCACGGTGGTGGGTGCCTGTAATCCCAGCTACTCGGGAGGTTGAGGCAGAGAACTGCTTGAACTTGGGAGGTGGAGGTTGCAGTAAGCCGAGATCACACCACTGCACTCCAGCCTGGGTGACAGAGAGAAACCTGGTCTCAAAATAAAAAATAAATAAATAAATAAACAGAAGCAGCCCAGGATGGAGTAGTGGAGAACATCTACATTAAAAGTATGTGTTTAGGATAAAAGCCAACAATGAAAACCAGGAGAACATCCAGTGAGGTTGGGGAAAACATAGTTAAGTGTGGTTTGTATTCTTATCATGGAAGCTCAAAGATAGGAAGGAGGGAACCAAAAAAGGGTAGAGAAGCACATGGATACAGAAGTTTAATTAAAATAGTGAAAAGTTCAAGATGGCTCTAGAATATCAGAAAAATTAATAATCATTATTTGATTATAAAGTAACTGAATTATCTATAGAAACATCGAATATTGTCTGAGTGCAGTGGCTCATGCCTGTAATTCCCACACTTGAGGAGGCTGAGGCAGGTGGATCACTTGAAGTCAGGAGTTCTAGACCAGCCTGTCCTGCTTGGTGAAACCCCAGCTCTACAAAAATACAAAAATTAGCTGGGCATGGTGGCAGGTGCCTGTAACCAGCTATTCCGGTGGCTGAGACATGAGAATTGCTTGAACCCAGGAGGGAGAGGTTTCAGTGAGATGAGATGATGCCAATGTGCTCCTGCCTGGGCAACAGAGTAAGACTCTGCCAAAGAAAGAAAAGAAAGAAAAGAAAAGAAAAGAAAAAGAAAAGGAAAGGAAAGGAATGGAAAGGAATGGAAAGGAAGAAAAAAGAAGAAAAGAAAGGAAAGAAAGAAAAAGAAAATATCTAATATTCATCTCCAATACTAAAAGTAGAAATCACTCACAGCTAACTCTGATGTAGAGTTTGATAAGGGAACACTGGAATAAGAACTGTTTTCCCTGTAATTTATTTTGTAGGATGATGACTTGTCAAGGGTCAGCGTTATCAAAGATATGGTTTGCCTGTGGTCCCAATTGCTAAATCAAATTCTGTAACTATGTGGCAAAGAAAATCCCCAAATGACAAAAATCACAAAATGTGCACTGACAATGACTGCTCAGCTGTGAAGATACCGAGACCTCCTCTCAGGATCAGGAAAAAAGGGAAGCAAACTGGGCCTGAGCATCATTAGAGTTAGAACTGACAACTAAAATAAGTCCAAGAAACTTAATCTATAATGTCCAAGATCCAATCCAAAAAAAAAAGGCTTAGCCTAAATATATAATCTGTAGAATGAAGGCACAGCAGCTATACTCTTTGTCAGGTGGGAGGCCATGCTTTTTTCCCAGTGAATACCATCTTCAGACTGAGAAAGCCCACGTCTTTTCCAGGTGACAGAGGGGCAACCACCTGCTTTCAAACAGAAGGGTTTATCAAGGGCTGAAAAAGCTGTGAAGACCCTGGTGAAAAAGTATGACATCCAGGATATGGAAGAAAGTGCCACAAAGCTTGGACAAAGATATGGGATAATTTCATATTTATAGCATTCCTACCTACCCTAAGATCATACCATTATCCCAACACATTTCCATGTCTTCTATATTTTGTGTCCAATAAAGTGAAAGCCTGCATTTATGACTCTTTCACTAATATCTATTTTAATTTTAAGAGAAGTTTCACATGACTATTTGAAATAGTCATCTATTCTCAAAAATTACATGTGGTTTTAAAAAGAAGTGTATTAATTACTTTCATCATTTTCAAAGATGATAAAGTTATCCTAAGCTAACTGGTATTTCACAATTTTGATATAGCCAAAACCCTGTGTATTTGCCTTTAAATTAAAAAAAACCCATCTCCTCATCAAAAGTATTTGAAAATGGTCATGTTTTCTGAGACATTCTGTTGTATAATTAAAACCGTT
The DNA here is from genome assembly GCF_000001405.40 of Homo sapiens. Lineage (NCBI taxonomy): Eukaryota > Metazoa > Chordata > Mammalia > Primates > Hominidae > Homo > Homo sapiens. The sequence continues at coordinate 87,105,055 of NC_000008.11, read as the reverse complement.
TAGATCCTTAAAATCAAATAAAACCTACTTTCACCTGCTGTACCTCTAACATAAAAAACTATATAAAATTTCATACCGTGAAATAAAAATTATTAAACTCCATTTATTGGATGACAATTCTTTCCTTTGCATCACACCTTTAAGTTGTTTCATAACATATAATTACAGAATTATTTAGTAAGGCATACAATTCATAATGATTTCTATTTTGTAAATCAAGCACATATTAGTTCCCTTGGGAGAAAATTCTGCTTCACTCTATGGCACATAATAGTGTTTATATTTATAAAAAGATAAATGAAAAGTCATATAAATATATACAAAGAAAAGGCAAGACTGAAACAATAGTTCTGTTTTCTTCAGTTCTTACTATGGACCAGATACCAAGGTGAGGAGGTGGGCTTAGTACTCTCCACACTAGCTCTTTTAGACCATCAGTCCTTTACTCTCCCATAAAAGCCTCTTTTCTTTGGAAATGGGGCACAGATCTTTATTCCACCTCATTGGTCTCATCAACCAACTTATTCTGCCTCCACCTCAATCACTGAATATTTGTCTCCTCCTCCCAGTTTTGTCTCCATACCAAGTCCTGCCAGAATCTGGCATTTCTGATCCCTGGAAGCAAGTAATTCAGTAGACTATCTATGCATGTCTTTGACATCCTCATTTCCTGTTGCTTTTACTTCTATTTATTCTCACAGCCATTCTTGGAATTTGCCATCATTCAGAAGTGCTCCAGTTTTAAAATATTAAATGCAAAGACCCTGCTTCAGATAGCAACTTCCAAATATCTTGACTCTTTTGTTCAGCAACTGCCATTAAACTTGCCTTTTAAACTTGCTAGGACCTCCAGTCCATGACAACATTTTTATATTCTTATTAGCTTTTTCTGTTTTTACCTTTCAACATAGTTTATTACCTCATCCGATTCTTTGCCAAAGTCCATATTCCCACTGTGTCTTTTTCATTTGGTTACATGCTTAGCAAAACATCAATCATGGCTGACCATGACCATCATGGTCTCTATAATAAACAGGGCCTATAGTATGTCTCATCAATCTGTCTCATCTTCTAGCACCCACAGCAATTAAACTGCACATTTAAATTCTCATTTCCCTTGACTCTTGTATCACAGCAATTTCCTCTTACTCTCAGCAGAGGACCTGGTCTCCTTCTTCAAACTGTCTGTGACTTCAGGGTCATCATACTCTTGTAATGTTCCTTTTACTTTCAGATCCATTTTGTCTACATTTTTAAAGATCATTGCTATGGTTTGGCTGTGTCCCCACCCAAAACTCATTTTGAACTGTAATTCCCATAATCCCCATGTGTCGTGGGTGGGACCCAGTGGGAAGTAACTGAATCATGGGATGGTTACCTCCATGCTATTCTCATGATAGTGAGTGAGTTCTCACAAGATCTGCTGGTTTTGTAAGGGGCTTTTCCCCAACTTCACGCTGCACTTTTCCTTGCTGCTGCCATGTGAAGAAGGACATATTTGCTTCCCCTTCTGCCGTGACTGTAAGTTTTCTGAGGCCTCTCTAGCCCTGCAGAACTGTGAGTCAATTAAACCTCTTTCCTTATAAATTACCAAGTCCTAGGTATGTCTTTATTAGCACCATGAGAAAAGACTAATACAATCATCTTTCTCTATTTAGTGACTTGTAAAATGGAATAAGCATACATGTCTCATAGCATTTTTGTGAGGATGAAATATATTAAGATGTAAAAACAACTTATTAAAGAGTGCATGGCCCAGAATAATTATTTAATAAATCAAGGCTTTTTGTAGACCTTCCATTCCCTTCTTTTTTCCATTTCTTTCCCATCCTACTCACCATACCTCTTCTTGGAGATCTCAACAACCACATAGCTGGTGGCAGTTACCATCTGTATGCTGATATTTGGCAAATGCTACCTTCAGCACAGATCCTTTGGTGAAACTTTAAATCTATTTACCAATCATTTCTAAGACTAAACTCATCATCTTCTTTTCAACTTTGCTCTTTCTTAAGCATTCTATCTTAGTAAACGCTACCACCTTAAAACAAATTGCCTGAATCAAACTCCTGGGAATTTTCTTCAGTTCCTCTGAATCCCTCTCTCCCTATATTGTCTCTTTTATCATTTAACAAGTCCTGTGGCCGAGCGCTGTGGCTCACACCTGTAACCCCAGCACTTTGGGAAGCTGAGGCGGGCGGATCACGAAGTCAGGAGATTGAGACCATCCTGGCTAATACAGTGAAACCCCGTCTCTACTAAAAATACAAAAAAATTAGCCGGGCGTTTTGGCAGGTGCCTGTAGTCCCAGCTGCTCAGGACACCGAGGCAAGAGAACGGCGTGAACCCGGGAGGCAGAGCTTGCAGTGAGCCGAAATCGCGCCACTGCACTCCAGCCTGGGCAACAGAGTGAGACTCTGTCTCAAAAACAAACAAACAACAAAAAAAAGTCCTGCTGCCTCCACATTCCAAATGTCTTTCAAATGTCAGAGTTGTTTACACACTATTAACTATTTCTTGCCATCATCATGTCTTACTTGGCTTATAGCCATCTCCTAATAGTATGGCTACCTGCAATCTTGCCCACAAAATAATTGCTCCAAACTATAATTACAATGGCCTTCTAAAACCACAAATCTGGTTGGATCACTTATCTGGCAGACATAAAATGTGAATTCATACGAATTCTCGCCATGCTATCTATCTTCCAGTATCTTTACACATGTAAACTGCCTTCCTTCTCATGTTACTGTAAGTAAACTATGTCTGCTCCTGTACCCATGCCCACTCAGAGACCTCCAAGTCTCCTCTTTCTTACACCAAGTTTACTCTCACCAATCAGTTATGTCCATCAACATAAAAAATTCTGGGCCGGACGAAGTGGTTCACACCTGTAATCCCAGCACTTTGGGAGGCCGAGGCGGGCAGATCACGAAGTCAGGAGATCGAGACCATCCTGGTTAACATAGTGAAACCCCATCTCTACTAAAAATATAAAAATTAGCCAGACATGGTGGCGGGCGCCTATAATCCCAGCTACTCAAGAGGCTGAGGCAGGAGAATCACTTGAACCCGGGAGGTGGAGGTTGCAGTGAGCCAAGATCGCACCACTGCACTCCAGCCTGGGTGACAGAGCAAGACTCTGTCTCAAAAAAAAAAAAAAAAAATTAAATCTACTGATCCCACTTCACCTCCAGCTGCATCATAACAGCAAATTGTCCCCTCAAAGCACTGCCTTATACTTCTTCTATGATTACCTTGATTTCTTATTTAATTTCATTATGGACAAGGAACATGAATTTTTATTGAGATTTCTTAATATTCTAGCATACATTCTATCTCTATAAAATTCCATATATGCTTTAAAAGACTGTCAATTCTGCAGTTGTCATGTTCTATAAATGTTAATATGATAAATGTGGTAGATAAAACCATTCATGTCTTCAACATTATTATTGACATTTTGTCAAGTTGTTCCATAATTTACTGAGAAATGTGTAAAGTCTCCAATTACGGTTTTGTCTATTTCTCCCTTTTAGTTCTGTCAGTTTTTCTTCATGTATTTTCAAGTTGTGTTATTAGGTATATAATTATTAGACATATATATATATATTTATAGTTGTATCCTCCTCAGATATTGGCTCTTTTATATTTGTGAAATGCCTGCTTTTTCTCTATATTTGTTTTTAATTCTAGAATTTCCATTTGGTTCTTTCCCACACTTTCTCAAGTAAGATTTCCCACCTGTTCATTCACTATAATTATGTTTTTCCTTTGGTTTTTGAAGATGTTAACAATACCTGATAAAAAGGCCTTGTCTACTACTTACAACATCTTGATCATCTTAGAGTTTCTGCTGACTGATATTTTTATTAAGTAACTTTTCCCAGCTACTTTACACCTAATAAATTTTATTTTATCCTTGAAATTGTGTTAGAAATATTGTAGATTCTCTGGATTTAGTAACTTTTATCTGAAAGGTGTTGAGATTTTGCCTAGCAGGCAGTTAGATTCAAACTAAAATCTTTCTCCCCCAGTGGCCAGGAACTGAAGTTTTTCGTTTTGTTTTGTTTCATTTATTTCTCTTTCTGGATGCTGGTTTTACTAAAATTGGAATCTTCCCTACATGGGTGGTTCAATAGGAAGACAAGGATTTTGGTAGTTTTTATACAGATTTTAGAGACCGTTCCCTCTGTAAACTTCCCATTTAAATTTTCCAGCCACTCTGTCAGCTCTGAACTTAGTCCTCTAACAAAATAAGGCTTTAAAATTTGGCTTTCTGGCCAGGCATGGTGGCTCACACCTGTAATCCCAGCACGTTGGGAGGCCAAGGCAGGAGGATCACTTGAAGACAAGAATTCAAGACCAGCATCAAGAGATGGTGAAACCCCATCTCTATTGAAAATACAGAAATTAGCCAGGCATGGTAGTAGGTGCCTGTAACCCCAGCTACTCAGAAGGCTGAGACAGAATTGCTTGAACTTGGGAGGTGGAGGCTGCAGTTAGCCAAGACTGCACCACTGCACTCCAGCCCCGGCAATGGAGTGTGACTCTGTCTCCAAAAACAAACAAACAAACAAAACCTTGGCTTTCTGTTATCCCCATTCAGATTGAGAAGTACTATGAGACAATACACACACAAGCAAACACACACACCTCATTTGAAATAGTTTCATTTTTCAAGGGTTAATTGCTCTTTAGTTTTTGCCTGTTTCTGGTCATTATTCAGTTTCGTCAAATATTTTCTTTTAAAATATTTAAAATATTTTATCTAGATATTATTCTTGTTATCCACAGATTAGCTAGCATGACAACAAGGCTCTAGAACCAGAAGCCATCTCCCTAACACCACTGAAACTTCTTTTGTTAGCATCACCAACGGCCCCAAATTGCTCGATGCTATGGTTAATTTTCAGTCTTCAAGTTACCCAGACTTTCAGAAGAATTTGACATTCATTCCTCTTAAGATCACTGTTCACACTTGCCTTCCAAGAAAATATCCTCTCCTGGTATTCTCTTACCTAACTGGACACTTCTTTTTAGGCTGTTTTTCTGACTCTTCCTCTTCCTCCAGACTTCTTAACATTAAGAGTTTGCCACAAATAGGGTTTGCCACTTCTATTCTCTACCCACAAGCATACGGACACAGAATGATCCTTGGCAATGCCATCTAATCTAGTTGCTTTAAAAATTTCCAAATTTATAGCTACTTTCTCTGAATTCCAAATACTTTACCCAACTGCCTATTTAAATTCTCCACTTAAGAGTCTGTTAGACATCTCAAAGATGATTATGTCAAAATCTGAACTCTTAACCTTATATCATACAAACATGTTTAAACTGTTTTCTTTCTTATCTTATTATTGGGAATTTCAAACTTCCAATTGTTCAGATAAACAAAAATTGGGAGTGTCTTCCTTGAATGTTCTATTTTGTCACTCACATTCAACATGTTAGGAAATAATTAAATGATCTAACCTAAAAATATATCCAAGAATATTTCCACTACTTGCCTTTGAAGCCAGTCAAATTCATCCTGGTCATCATCACTCATCTTAGCATTGACGACGGCCCTCTAATTGATTTTCGACATCTACCATTGCCACCCTACTATTGTTCCTAAATCAATAGCCAAGTGATTCCTTTGAAGTATAAATCAGATAATATTATTTACCCGCCAAAAAATGTTCAAAGGCTTTCCATTTCACTTACAGTAAAAGTTTAAGTCTTTACAGTGATCTGTCCCACAGAGGCCTCTGGTGACATCTCAGGCTCTTTTGCTATCACTCTCCTACCTGCTCACTGTGCTGCAGCCATTCTAGATTATTTTTTTCTAAACTGACAAACCCCTAGCCTTTCTCCATTTTTAAAACAACAACAACATTTTCTACAATAGCGCTGATATTCTTCCTTCAAATATAATCATGTATTTTTTATATTGAGGTTGTCTTTTCACAGTGGCATATAAGCATAAGGGTCAAAATTTGGAGTTTTGTTTTTTTTTTTTTTTTTTTTTTTTTTGAGACACAGTCTTGCTCTGTCCCAGGCTGGAGTGCAATGGCATGATCTTAGCTCACTGCAACCCCTGCCTCCCAGATTCAAACTATTCTCCTGCCTTAGCCTCCCGAGTAGCTGGGATTACAGGCGTGTGCCACCACGCCTGGCTAATTTTTTTGTATTTTTAGTAGAGACAGGATTTCACCATGTTGCCAGGCTGGTCTCAAACTCCTGACCTCATGATCCACCCGCCTCGGCCTCCCAAAGTGCTGAGATTACACGCATGAGCCACTGCGCCTGGCCCAGGAGTTTTTTTTTTTTTTTTATTACTATGTTCCTAGAACCAAAAGTAGTGTCTAATACATTTGTTGATGAACAGTTGTTGAATTAACAAATGAATAAATCAAACTCTATGTGGCTTCTGTTTGATCTTTGGATATAGTCCAAACTCCTAATATGTATTCTGATTTCCACATAATCTTGCTTCTGCCTACCTCTAAAGAGCTTCATGTCTTTGGTAATACACTCTCTCTCACTACTTAGCTAATTTATGCTCATGTTTTAAGTCTTAACCCCAGCTGGGATTAATTTCACTTGCTCCCAGGACACCTCATACTACACATCATAGAACTTGTCACATTGTGTAACATTTATTTGTTTATTCAACTAAAATTTACAACTGTAAGCCATATCAGAGTGGGGCTACCTCTCTATTTTGTTCACTATTTTATTTAAAATATTTGGCACAGTGCCTTGTGTAGTTAGTAGTCTAGTAATATTTGTTAAAAATAAAGCCTAAAACTTTATCTTAAACTTTCTAAAAGTGAGTAAACTCAGACTTACTTGTGCCTAGACAGCCAGTATGTTGAAAAGCCAATATTTGCCCCCAAGTCTTTCCAGCATCATATGCCTTCCACGTAAAATATTCATGAGTTATGTAACTTTGTTTTAGAAATTCTTAAGTAACAATTATATAGCATATTACACTATTTTGCAGTAAAAGTTGTTGATCATTCTTGAGAATTTTTGACAAAATGAGTGTTTTTTTCCTATAGCAAATATGCAAAGGGAAGCATAACAATGTTATACTCATCTTTAGACATACATATTTATGTGCCATCCATCTTCAAACCACTTAGAAAACATTACAAGGATTGTATGTCACAACAGTCAGAATTATGATGACTCCAGTGGAATCTGACAGATCACGAAGTTAATTTACCTGTTAGGGTGTCAAGAGTGCAAATCTCCTTAGTTCCTGATTACTGCAGGAATCTGAAAAACTAGCACCTGGGGCACTAAGGAGGAAAGTTTGAGCCAAGGCACAATCAAATGCCAGTTACTCTAATCAAATTTGTGGCACCACGCATTGCATTAAAAATCTTCAGAGGGAATCAGCATGACAAAATGCTCAACATGAGGTAAACTAATGAAGAACAAAGTCAAAATCATAGTTAAAATGTTATTCTTCCCTACAAGACATACATCAAAGTAGAAAACTGCTTTCTGCCCCACTGTGAAGGCTATAATTATTTCTAATGGTTTATAAAGACAGGACTTGTGCTTGTCAAGTGAAGAAACATAAATGTTTTTCTTGGTACACATCGAAGTATTTTATATGAAAAGACAACACAGTCTTTGGAGTCAGTCACTCTTGGATATGAATCATGGCCTTAACCACTTGGAGACACGTGATCTCATGCACACTACATAAACTACGAACCTCAGTTTCTTCTTTTGTAAATTGTAGAAAATTTTCCAGTCCTTAGATTCATTTTTGAAACCAAATGAAAATTCAAAAATTAGTTTTAAACAATATAAATATATATTTTAAAAAGGACCATGTGATATCAAAGCCAAGATTAAAACAGGAAACCAAAGTGGTTTAGATATACAAGACTCATTGCACAAGGAAATGCTCAGAGAACTCAACATTTTCCTTCACCCTAAAAGGTTGAATAAACCTTTTAATTTTTTTCCTCACTAAAAAGCAAGCTTTTGAGGCTCAAGTAGTACTCTGGAAATAAAAATGTCAAACGAAGAGAAAGCTATGTAGTTAAGGAAGCTGTGTCTGCTTCCAAGTATATCCTGAGCTGCTGCTTCTTGCTTGCTTTGATTAACACTTTATCCAGTGCTTCACTGCTTTCTGGCATTTAAACTTGTCTTCTCTCAAATTTCCTTTTAATCTGCTAATATTACCATGTAGAGCTTTGCAGGCTAAAGGTGTGGAGAGGAAAAGGTAAAAAAAAAAAAAGGGAAGAAAAATGAGCAGAGTCAGAAGCAGCAAAGCCTCTCATCTCTGTTCTGTGAGCTTTTCTCCCACCCTGAACCTGTTTTCTGGTTTGTATTCTGAAAGTCAACATCTAACTTCTAGAACTGGATGGAACACGCATTTTGCTTTCCTTATCCTCTTCTCAGCTAAAAGGCAGGCATGTGTGGAAGGAAAGTGGCCTGGTGTGCATTGGCCATTTTGCTGAGTTTGCTTCATATGTAATCATGCTTTCCAGCATTAAAAATTGAAATTATATTAAAAATTCTTCAATTCCCCACTATGGATCTAATTGTTTACCCTAAAATTCAGGTTGAAACTTTTAACAACCAACGTGACTGTATTTGGAGTAGGGTGGTAATTAAGGTTAAATTAGGTCATAAGGTTGGGGGTGGTGCTAATCTGATAAAATTAGTGTTCTTATTAAAAAAAAAAAAAAAAAAAAAGACACCAGAGAGCTATTCTTCTTTCTGTCTCCACTATGTGATGACATAGGGAGAAGGCCGGCTATAAGCCACAAATAGGGACTTCATCTAGTCAGATGGCACATTGAACTTAAACTTCCCAGTCTCCAGAATTGTGAAAACATAAATTTCTATTGTTTAAGTTGCCCAGTCTATGGTATTTGTTGTGGCAGCCCAAGCTAATACAGCCACTGTGTTTCATTTCCTACAAAATAGTCCCTGTACATGGAAAGGCCTGAATGCCTCAGAGTGTAAGGATGATTCCAGGGGCAGAGAATGCCCAATTACCTAACATCTGTTACCTAACTTCCTCTGAGGTTACATTCAGTTAAGAAAGGAAGCACAGGGTATTTTAAAGACAATAACAGGGCCGGGCGTTGTGGCTCATGCCTGTAATCCCAACATTTTGGGAGGCCAAGGCGGGCAGATCACGAGGTCAGGAGATCGAGACCATCCTGGCTAACACAGTGAGACCCCCGTCTCTACTAAAAATACAAAAAAATAGCCAGGTGTGGTGGCGGGCACCTGTAGTCCCAGCTACTCGGGAGGCTAAGGCAGGAGAATGGCACAAACCCAGGAGGCAGAGCTTTCAGTGAGCCGAGATCGTGCCACGGCTCTCCAGCCTGGGCGACAGAGCGAGACTCCGTCTCAAAAAAAAAGACGAGAACAGATATATATATATGGTCATTCAGATGCTAATAATTGATTGTTTGCCATAGGCCTAGTTGCTCAGTGAATAAGATGCAACAGGCAATTGCCAACAGGCAGTTAAAAGAGGACGTAGACACATACTCTAGTAAATATGATGCAAAATCATGAGTAAAAAATAACAGCTATTTATTGATTGTTATAATAGGAGAGAAGAGAGACATCTAATCTAGTCAGAGTGAAGGAATATTAGAAAAAAGACAACACTCAAATAGGAAACTATCCAAAACAAGCACAGACTTATGCACAAACTTATCTTCTAATCTATTTAGTATGTTTAATAAAGGCTGTCAAGTGTATTATCTTAAGAAAGCACTAGGTTTTCCAGGAATTCAAATCAAAACTAACCAACGTCTTAGTCCTAAAAAAAGAATAAAAATTCTCATTCCTAGCTTCTGGGTTATTTTGCTTTGCATTTTGTACTTTGTAGAAATATGACACTGTAGAAAACGTAATTAACCTTGCTTTAATCTGAAGGTTTCACACTTTAGGTGAAGAGGCCATGCTATTGTGAATATGATGTTTAGTAGGTTATAGGCATCTCCTCACAATGCATAAATTATTACTTTGTTTTTTTTGAGAAGGAGCTTCGCTCTTGTTGCTCAGGCTGGTGTGCCACGGCGTGATCTCGGCTCATTGCAACCTCTGCCTCCCAGGTTCAAGCGATTCTCCTGCCTCAGCCTCCAAAATAGCTGGGATTACAGGTGACTTTCACCATGCCCAGCTAATTTTTTGTATTTTTAGTAGAGACAGGGTTTCACCATGTTGGCCAGGCTGGTCTTGAACTCCTGACCTCAGGTGATCCACCTGCCTCGGCCTCCCAAAGTGCTAGGATTACAGGCGTGAGCCACTGCACCTGGCCCATAAATTATTTTTGTGAATTTAACAGAAACACCACTGGGCAAAGGCGCCTGATAATTTGACTTCTGGATTAAATTATTGGGTTCCCTCAGCCTCTATGTCCACAAAGTTTACAGGAGCAAGCATTTAATAGCAGTGGAACCAGATCATCTAACATCCCTGAGGGCAAGATGGGTTTGAAAGTATAATAAATTAGCATTGTCAATATGAAATGAATAAATCTGCCAACATGACAATACAGCAGTCCTTCTTCCTTTTTGATATTTTTTAGTTCATATGCTAACATGAACCTGGACAGGGAAAAAAAAAAAAGCATTAAAGAAAAAAAATCAAGGAAAGTAAGAGTTAAAAAAATAATAATACAAAAATAAAAAAATTTTAAAAACCATGTGCTCTAAAGCCTGAGAAGAGCTTCACAGAAGAGCTTATTCTAATATTTATGCCAAGCTTGGGCCCCTCCTACCTGGGGCCCAAGCTATGCCAATAGCCTCTGTTCCCTCTAATTGTACCAGCTGCTACGGGAAAGAGAGAAGAAAAAGCTAAAAAGTGATAAAGTGAGCGTTGTGCGCAACCTAAGCCTTTAGTCTGTTTGCTTATCTCAATATCCAACATAGTCATTCAGTGGACCTGCCCCACCCACAAACATAGCTTCTCAACTTGTAATTAAGGGGTGAGGAGGATAGAGAAAATTGCCATAGATGTCACTCTCAGCAAAGCAGAAAGCTATGGAACCAACAGTGCAGGTTAAGTGTGTTCTAAGGTAGATCCAGCCATTACTTTAATAGTTACTGCATGCCTATTGTGTTCTCTGTTCCTAGAAAGGAACAGAGATTTTAAACAAATGATTAGCAGAGGGTTCTATGGAAGCATCTAACAGAGGAATTGACCTAATCCTTAGAAAAGTAGAGACTCCTCTGATAAAGCTACATTCAAACTGAGACATAGGAAATGGAAGACGTTTCTTATATATAAGTATGGGAGAAGATCTGGGGCTGAGGGAAGAAACCCTGAGAGATCTCTAGGATATAAGATACAAAAAAATAATTACTGGAACTGAATCAGGTGAAAATAGAATAGATCCTCTCTGTCATGGTTGATTGTATATGTCAACTTGACTAGGCAATAGTAACCCGTCATTTGGTCAAACAGCAATCTCGGCGTTACTGTGAAGGTATTTCTTAGATATTATTAACTTTTATATCAGTAGACTTTGAGAAAAGTAGGTCATACTCATAATGTCAGTAGGCCTCATCCAATCAGTTGAAGGCCTCAAGTGAAAAGAAAGATTGAGGTACTCTGGGTAGGAACGAATTCTGCCAGTAAACTGCCTTACAACTCAAGTTTCAACATTGGCAGCCAGATTTTCCTCTCAACACACAGCTCTCTCACAGTCACAGGGCCCACTCCCTAACCACCACACAACGCCATGCTACTTATTCATCTCCTCCTAGCAGGTAATGTTCATCAGCATTTCCATTCTCATCTGTCCGTTGCCGCACAAAGGTGGCCGAAAAATTAGCTCTCAACAACCCAAGTTTCCCACGAATGGAAAGACTCAGGGATCCTTTATTGCATTTCCTGCAAGAATTAGCCATTTTCCTAAGTTCTATACAGTAAATAAGTTGCCAAGAGTTCACAAAAGAAATAAGCATACATCTATTCTAGAAGTCAGAGGGAGAAGAAAAGATTGTGTTTATTCATACATTAAAAATCCTTAGTCCCTGATACAATCAGGAGGAAAAAGCCAAAGACTTAGTGATGAATTGGAAGGAGTAGATATGAAAGGAGAAGAAATAGTGGTAACGCCCAGGTTTCTGGCTTTTGCAACTGTGGGAGGAGCAATTTCGAATTCAAAGGGGTTTTGGAGAGTTCATGAGCTAAGTTTTGGAGATTTTGAATGTGGGAGGTTGTGAGACATCAAATTTCAGAATTGATAAATGGATCTGGAGCTCAGAAGAGAGGTACCAGCTGGCGTTACAAATCTGTGAGGTGATGACATATAGATTCTTATCTAAATCATTGGTGACCTAGCAAAAACTGAAGAGAATTTTTTTTAAAAAGTAAAATAATTAGCTCTGAAAAGTACCAATATTTAGCAGTCAGATACAGGAAGAGGAGCCAACAGAGAAGATAAAAATGAACAGCAAAATAGATAGGAGAGGGGAAATACATATATATATACACACACACACATATGTGTATATATATATATACACACACATACATACATACACACACATACACACACACACATATATATACACACACACATATGTGTATATATATACACACACACACATATGTGTATATATATACACACACACATACATACATACATACACACACATATACACACACACACATATATATACACACACACACATACATACACACACACACACACACACACACTGAGCCAGTATTATGGAATCCCTGGGTTCATCAAAGTCCTATTGTAAATGGAATCTGCAGCCATAAATTGATCACAGAAATAAATACTAAAACTGAACTAAAGACATGGGACAAGCAAGAACTTCCCTATTACTGGAAATAGATAAAGCCAAGTTGTTCTTCCCAGATAGAAGGCAGACTAGAGTTAGAGGTGAAATAAGTAGATCTAAATTTCTATCCTGACTATTTCTCTTGCTATGTCTTTGCTCCTCCATATTTAAATTTTCTTTGTCATAGTTTTTTCTTCAGATTAATATGAAATAAATATAACCATCTGCATTTGTTATATGTAAAAATTAAATTAATATAACGCATAATAACAATATAGTATTTAGAAAAGCACTTCATGAACTATAAATCCTCTACAAGTATTATCATTTTTGGAGGACTTTTTCCTACGCATATTTATAGGTATACTTATAGACACACATGTCCTATATATTTCATAATTGCTGAACGTGTGTGTGTGTGCTTTTACATAAAATGCCACCTTTAATGCAAAAAAAAATTTATGTAAAATTGCTCTACCTCCTTTACACATGAAGGATACAGGATCTGGAGTCATAACTATTCTGCTAGTAAACAGTAAAACAACTCTCAAGACTGTATTTCCTGATCATTTACATTTAGTCACCCAGTCCCTGAAGAAAATGGAACTCCCTTTATTTTTTATCTTGGTTGACATTTAAGATCCATGGAATTCTGAGAATTTGTTTGCTGAGCTATTGAACATGGATTATAGAAAAAGACTCAAGAGTCAAGATGACTTAAAAAGCCTAGTTCCCTGAGACAAAATGAGCACAGGGCTATTAGATGACAAGGATTCACAAGAAGAGTTTAGCATATATTCTGGAGTTGATGTTAGAGATGGAAGTAACCAGATGACTGATTCTCACCATACTGAGTATATTCCTCCATAGCAATGCTACATGTGTGCAGTTATGTCATCTTAAAAGGGAGATGAAACTGGTAGAAGACTTTATAGAATTGTCCTAAGGAAAGGAATTTGTTGTAACCTATGTAAGAATTAGGCCATAAACTGTATGTCTAAATACAGGACTGGGCATATTGGCTTAAAGAAAATATATCTGCCAAGTAACTACAAGCCAGATAGGTTCCAAAAGACTCTATGAGGCTAGATTAACTTTTTTTTTTTTTTTTTTTTTGAGACAGAGTCTCACTCTGTCACCCAGGCTGGAGTGTAGTAGCACTACCTCACCTCACTGCAACCTCTACCTCCTGAGTTCAAGTGATTCTCCTGCCTCAGCCTCCCGAGTAGCTGGGATTACAGGTGCCCAGCACCATGCCCGGCTAATTTTTATATTTTTCATAGAGACAGGGTTTCACATGTTGGCCAGGCTTGTCTCGAACTCTTGACCTCAGGTGATCCACCTGTCTTGGCCTCCCAAAGTGCTGGGATTACAGGTGTGAGCCACCGTGCACAGCCTAACTTTCTAAAAAGAATCCCAGCACTAGAAAAAGTTTAATGTGTCATAAGCTATCATTTAAATAACAAATTAATTGTGATAATATTACAATGTTTCCATTTAACTATTTTTAAAAATATGTAACAAACTCAATCTAATTGTTTAAATTACCTGATTTAGAAGAAAATTTCTAAAGAGAAAAATTAAATAAATTAATCAAATTCAATCAGTAAATTTATTACACGAGTTCATTCAGTGTAGATTTTACAGACAAATGAAGATAGCTTTTGGAAAAACCAAGTCTTCTACTAAAATTAATTTTGAAGATCAGAAAGTTAAGAATGCTGTTGTAGACACTTACATCCACTACATCCAAATATAAATGTGTTCCACTAAAAATGCATAGTCGTTAATTCAGTAGGATATTGAAAATGACTATATCCAGATGGATTACTGTCTTTCCAATCACTTCCTCATCATCATAGGATATTGGTGAACACTGTACTATTAAGTCATCTATCATTATATACTCTTAACTTAGAAGGTTATTTTTGCCACACAAGACAGTCATTCAAAATAAGTTAGCATTCTTAAGAGACAATATATTAGAGAATCACCAAAGGAAATAATCTCATTTGAATCTTTATAAAACGTGTATTGTCCTGCATATTCTCAAATCATAGCCCAGAAGGAATGAACAAACAGTGTTTGGCTTACTTATCTTTTGTGAATTATTACATTTATCCTCCTCACTTATGAACTGCATATTAATTAAACAGCAATTAAGTGAAATAGAAACATTACATTCTTTGAAAGGGTGTGCCAGAAGAACTAAGTAATTAAAAATAGAAATGGTATAAAGGTGTACTCTTTTTACATTTGTATTCATGGAAATACAATAAAATAGGAGAAATAGAAATATTGTCCAACCTGAATTCCCTATTCATATATGTAAGCTAAGGCTGGGTATCTGAATATCTAATTTTTCAGGAATTTATTAGCTGTATTATCAAATACCTACATGTTACTAATGAAAGACATTTTGTATGAACAAGTAGCATTTCAACACTAATAATCCAATAGTATAAAAACTTAAACAGAAGGAAATAAAAAGTTAAATTCTTTGAGAAAAAAAAGTAAAGTATAATTCCAAAGCCATTTTCTCACCTTTCAGTTACCCCTCAATTCTTTATAATATAGTCTCACCCCTATGACTCTATACAATTGAGAAAATTTCTTTATTGAAAGAAGCATCTTCAAATCACTAACTCAATATCTTGTTTAGTCTTCCGTCTTCCAACCTTCCTTAAAGTAACGGACACCTTTTCTCAAATATGTCTCTTAATCCCCAACAAATCCAGACAAACCATTAGTTAGTCACAATGTCTTGCCAAGTCAATTTCTATAATGCTAATTATATTTAACCTCTTTTCCATTTTCTGGTGCCAGAACTGAATTTATTATCTCTTGCTTGGAATACGTGATAACATCATTAGATTTTTTTCTATGCCTTTCTAAACTAACACACATATTCAAGTCCATCCTATATCTAGTTACAAAAAAATTATTCTTAAAGTATATTTAGATTATATGACTATGAGCTCTCAAGCTCATACTTTTAATAACCAGCATTAGCTACAGAATCATGTCTGTGGTCCACTATTCCTAGTCAAATTACCCTTTTTTCAATCTCTAATTCCATTGACTTCACTTCATAGATCCATCTCTCCCACCAAATGATATTTTCTGCCTTTCCCTGAAATGCTGTGATCTTTCTTGCCTTTACATCTTTTGTTTCTCTTTTTTATCAACTAAGCATTTGTAAAGCCTAGCCCAACTAGTTTATTCTTTATGAAGCTTCCCGTAAATCTTCTTAGTCAAAGTCATCTCTTCTCCTTTGTATTCTGAAGTTACTGGGTATTACTCATACAGTTCATATCACATTTGTCTGTGTATAGTTATTTATATGTTCATGCCATATTTCTTCTAACAGATTGTCAGTTTTTTAAAGATAGAGATTCTCTTTCAGTTTTACTTTTACACACCAAAATTCCAAGAGCAATAACAGTGCTCAATTTCTGCTGTTATATCACATTCTGTATTTTGATATATTTTCAAAAAGACTTAGTTTACAGGCCATTCTTTTTAAAATACACTTTTACCTTTATTATAAAGAGAAGTAGAATTAATGAAACCTTTTAGTAATAGAAAACTAGTAAAACCAATGTCAAAATTTAGATTCTTCCTAATAATCTTTATCATAATATAGCTACTATTACTATAATTAACATGTAAAACAATTTCATTGTGATTTTAAAATTTTTCAATTTAACAATATTAAAAGTTAAATTACTTGGCATGATATTTTAAAAACAAGCACTACTAAAAGAGTAATATCTATGAAAAGTGGTAAACTCATAAATGATTTATAAAAGTCATACATACTCTTTTTATATTATCCTGAAAGACATATATGTCACACAGATATACCAAAATAAAATCCTATTTTCCTCAATCACACAGGATATAACCAGGACCACTTAGTTTTGCTGTAGAAAGAGCATTTTATTGAGCATTTCTTGCCAAGAGGGTCCAATTGAGTTACAACAACCTATCATTAGTAGTGCATTAACCTCTAACATTATTTAATATTCATAAGTGTGGGCAGGTGGCAGTGTCAAAGGTAAAACATTTGAAAAATGTCTTTGAAACAAAGGGGAAAAAAACTAATAAGCACTTTAATCTAAAGTTACATTCATAAGCAGACACACATACAAACTAGGCCTTTGAAAAGGAGGATGGAACTTTTGCCATCAATGTATTACTGCAGTAAGGCTATTCTATGGTGACAAATGACTTTATGTGCATATAAGCTAATCAGAATTTTTTTCTCTGTTTCAAAATAAATATGGAGTAATGGAAAGAGCTGCAGTCTCAAAGCCAAAAATATGTTCTTGCCTAGGATTCACCACCTGCTGACCGCATGACCTTTGCAAGTCATTTAGCATCTGTGGTCTCCATTACCTCATCTGTAAAATGAGAAAGGTAAACTCAGTGATCTCTCAGGTAATTCCAAGCTCTAAAATCCTGAGATTCTCAAGAATGTACTTCATGGCTGGGCACAGTGGCTCACGCCTGTAATCCCAGCACTTTGGGAGGCCGAGGCGGGCGGATCACGAGGTCAGGGGATCGAGACCATCCTGGATAACACGGTGAAACCCCGTCTCTACTAAAAATACAAAAAAAAAATAGCCGGGCGTGGTGGCTGGCGCCTGTAGTCCCAGCTACTCGGGAGGCTGAGGCAGGAGAATGGCGTGAACCCGGGAGGCGGAGTTTGCAGTGAGCCGAGATCGCGCCACTGCACTCCAGCCTGGGCGACAGAGTGAGACTCCAACTCAAAAAAAAAAAAAAAAAAGAATGTACTTCAATAGAGGAATCTCTGAATCATTTTTCTTACAACGTTCTTCAACAAAATGCTTTCTCATATTTTGCTCTAGTTTTTAAAAGTAAACAGTGATTTCTCTTCATCCCCTCCAAACACCCAATATGTCTAGTTTGGTGTTTTATATGTATTGGGCAATAAAAAATATATATATATATATACGTATATATATATGTATATATATATATACGTATATATATATGTGTGTGTGTGTAGAATAGATACTGGGGAGTGCCTCACTAACATTTTTTTTTTTTTTTTGCCTCATACATATTCCTGATATTCATTTACAATATGTTTCATTCTCAGGAAGTTGAATTAACTGCCACTTCCAGGAAAGAGTCCTGTAATTTAAATCAATCCAAGAAGTACACTGCATCCTCTTGGGGACAATGACTGGTTCAGAGGAATATCACTGGAGTCCTGTTAAACATTATAAACCTCTGGTTCAATCTTTGCATAAAATCTTACTGTCTTTAGTTTCTTGTCTTTATGAGAAAGCACATTCACTTTTCTATTTAAGGTAGTTTAAGTTGGATTTTCTGTTACATGCAACTGAAGCTTTCAAATGAAGGCAATAATTAATGAACTCGTAAAGGATCTACCTAGCCATCCCTTAAGGATTACTCAAAAACTAAATACCTACTATAAGAAATATAGCATTATAATATTTTGTTTTGTTTTATAGATTAAAATCAATTTTATCATTTGTATTTTCAGTAAATAATCACATAATTTAAATTTTTTTTCATTTTTCACAAAATCATCATTTTGAAAATAAATAGTATTTTGGCCTTTAAAAGCAGGTTTATAATATTCACATTGCTCTAGGGAAAACATCTGAAAATCTTAACACAGTTATCATTGTTTCAGCAATATCTTCATATACTTATTACAACATAATGTCTTTTCTGAGCCTGTAGACTTTTGCCAATATACTTTCTTTTTCTACTTCTCAAAATTGTATTTGCATTTGGCTTAGCAAGTAAAAAGCTGGAAAGAATGCCTCTCCCACCTTCTAACAATCAGAAAAAGCTAATCTTCAAAAGCATAACTTTTCTTGCATAAATCAGAGGGCTGGGGTTACTCAGCAAAAATCTTGTCTGATACCTAAGAAAAGTCAGGTGTCTCCAAGGACAGAGGAGCATAAGCTGAGGCAGACAGAGCATGCGAGGAAGAGGCACTGGGTGCTTTATAACCCAGTAAGAAAAACCCAGCTAAAAAGTATTATTGAATTTCTAAAAGGGGATGAGTGTGAGCTAGAATGAGATTATAAAACCCTTCAGAGCCTCAGATTCAAGAATTCAAACCCATTCACAAACTCTTCTCCAGGGATCTCACCAGGAACTTAGATGAGAGACCCATTGCTGAAATTACAAAAGCTCCCTCACTAAAAGACCTGAAAAAGGGAAGGAACAGACACTGAGGGAAAGCATGATCCCTTTGCCCTATCCCTATTATGAAACAAAAGCTTAAGCCCAAGGGTAAAAGCATGTAGGTGGGGACCCATTACAACTGCAAACTAAGGTAAGGAGACAAATAAACCCTAATCCTAGCTGGATTAGGGCCAGAATCACTGAGAAAGTACCATCTCTGAAGCCCAGGGACCTGCCTAAGACTGAGGCTGAACCCAGGTAGCAGAGAATGGCCCTACACCCACCAACACAAGGCTAGCAAGCAACAGGAAGCAAGTAACAGAAGTCTCCTGCTGAGAAAAGTACAAGAACATGGGAAAAGAAAAGAACCTCTCACAGGCACAGACTCACAGGGGAACCCTAAAGCTGAGGTTGTAAGAGGAATATTGAGGAAAACTTGCTACTCAGCTGCCACTCTAAGTAAAAGACAACACTAGAGGAATTTGAAATCAGCAGTGCACTGAGGATAACCATAAGAATAAAAATAAATAAATAAAACTAGCTCAACTTCTGACTATATTAGCTCAATCCCTCATGATAAAAACTGAACAAAGAGAGAAATTAGCCCCACTTCTAGACACAAATAAAAAAAAGACTCAATAAATTTTATTTATATGTATACATATACATATACATGTGTATGTATCTTATACATACCATCAGCTTATCAAGTACAAAATTTGAGAAACACAACAAAGCAAGGAAAAACAGCACACTACTAGAAGACAAGGCAATAGGAAGAATCAGGCCCACATATGATCCATATGATTAATGCAGTGATTATAGAAATAAAAAGCATGGTAACAGATAAGAAGAATGCCTTTGATGGGATCAACAGCATGCAGGATCTGTGGATGAATTGCAAACCATCAAATACACATGTAATTGAAATCTCAAAAGGGGAAGAGAAAGAGAATGGGGCAGAAGAAATACTTGAAAAGATAATGACTGGGAATTCTTCAAAAATAACTAAAGGAATCAAAGTACACATTTAAAAGGCTTAGAAAAAAACACAACATAAGTATTGTTTAAAAAGAAAACTAAATACGGCTGGGCGTAGTGGCTCACGCCTGTAATCCAGCACTTTGGGAGACTGAGGCAGGTGGATCACCTGAGGTTGGGAGTTCGAGACCAGCCTGACCAACATGGAAAAACCCCGTCTCAACTAAAAATACAAAATTAGCTGGGCATGGTGGCACATGCCTGAATCCCAGCTATTCAGGAGACTGAGGCAGGAGAATCCCTTGAACCTGGGAGGCAGAGGTTGCAGTGAGCTGAGATTGTGCCATTGCACTCCAGCCTGGGCAACAAGAGTGAAACTCCATCTCAAAAAAAAAAAGAAAAGAAAAAAAGAAAGAAAACTAAATACATCATACGAAGACTAAAGAAAAGGTTTTAAAAGTGAAAATCTTGAAAGCAGACAGAAAAAAATGACCCATTTCATACAATACAGGAATATTTTACATACAATACAGTAACTTTTCATCAAAAATTATGCAAATCAAAACACAATGGGATGACATATTTCAAGTGCAGAAGAAAAAAAAACCTGTTCATCCAGACTTCTTTATTAGTGGGAACATCTCTCAAAGCAAAGAAGAAACAAAGGTTAAACATAATTTCAGATAAAGGCTGAGAGAATCCATTGTCAGCATGCCTGTGCTACAAGAAATATTAACTCAATTTTTTCCAGTAGAAGGATTATAATACCAGACAGAAACTGAATCTAAATAAAGAAATGAAGAGTTCTGGGAATGATAAAATAATAAAGATACAGATTTTAAAACTTTTTAAAAATGTCTTTATAAGACACTACTGTTTAAAGCAAAAATAATATTAAAGTATTTTGGGTTTTACAACATATATACAATGAAACATGAAAACAGTGGTATAAATTATAGATAAGTGGAAATATACTGTTGTAATCCTTTAACATGTCAATGAAAAGAATCAAATTCTGTAAAACATTTGAAGAGATTTATTCTGAGCCAAATATGAGTGACCATGGGCCATGACATAGCCCTCAGGAGGTCCTGAGAACATGTGCCCAAGGTGGTCAGGATGCAGGTTGTTTTTATACATTTTAGGGCAGCATGAGACACCAATCAAATACACTTAAGAAATACATTGGTTTGGCCAGGCGCGGTGGCTCAAGCCTGTAATCCCAGCACTTTGGGAGGCCGAGGCAGGCGGATCACGAGGTCATGAGATCAAGACCATCCTGGCTAACATGGTAAAACCCTGTCTCTACTAAAAACACAAAAAATTAGCCGGGTGTGGTGGTAGGCGACTGTAGTCCCAGCTACTTGGGAGGCTGAGGCAGGAGAATGGAGTGAACCCGGGAGGCGGAGCTTGCACTTAGCCGAGATCCAGCCACCGCACTCCAGCCTGGGACACAGAGTCAGACTCCGTCTCAAAAAAAAAAAAAAAAAAAAAGAAATACATTGGTTTGGTCCAGAAGTCAAAAGCAGGGGAAGAGGGTGGGGAGTCCAGGCTATAGGTAAATTGAAAGAATTTTTGGTTGACAGTTGGTTGAGTTTGTCTGAAGACCTGGGATCAATAGAAAGGAAATATTCAGGTTAAGATAAAAGATTGTGGAGACCAAGGTTCTTTTGAAGTCTTATAGTGGCTGCCCATAGAGGTAATAGATGACAAATGTTTCCTGTTCAGACCTTTAAAAGGTGCTAGACTCTTAGTTAATCTCTTCAGGATTAGGAGGGCCTGGAAGAAAAAGATCTAGCTATGTTAATAGAGATTATATACAGGTGCAAATTTGTTCCCACAAAGGACGGCTTAGTAGCGCCATTTTAAAATATCGCAAAGAAACATGTTTGGGAATAAAATATTTTGATTTTCTTCTTTGTCACATAGTGTTATGCCAGGGTGAGACTGGAAAGTAAGTCATGATATATAGTGTTAAATAAAACCCATCTGATGAGAATTTATGGTTTGTAGGGCATGACTCCCCAGACCCCTTAGATAGGAATTTGGGCAAGATAAGAAAAAATCAGAGCTTAGTTTTCAAACACAACATGTGAGGTGATATTATTTGAAGGTAGAGTGTAATAAATTAAAGTTGCATATTGTCAATTCTAAGTAGCCACTAAAAAGTTTTTGTAAAGATTTAATAAACCAATGAGGCAATAGAATCATTTAAAATGGAATCATTTTAAAATCAATCCAAAAGGAGACCTAAATTGAGAAAAAGAAAACCAAAGAATAAACAGATGGAACATTTTGAAAACAACCAAAGAGATGGTAGATTTAAATTCAACCACAGTGATACATTAAATGTATATGGTCTAAACACCTAAATTAAAGTACAGAGATTATCTGATTGAATTAAAACACACACACACACACACACAGGGTTCAGTTGTATGCAGTGTATAAGAAACCCACTTAAATATAAAGACATAAATAGTTTAAAAATAAAATGAAAAGAAAAAAACTATACCATTCAAACATTAATAAAAAGCAAGCTCGGGCAGATGTTAATGCAGGTGAAGCAGACAACAAAACAAGGAATATTGTCAAGATAAAGAAGGACATTACATGACTATAAAGTGATCAGTGTCATGCACATCCCTGTGAAGAGAGTCCACCAACAGGCTTTGTGTGAGCAACAAGGCTGTTTATTTCACTTGGGTGCAAGTGGGCTGAGTCCAAAAAAATAGTCAGCAAAGGGAGATAGGGGTGGGGCAGTTTTATAGGATTTGGGTAGGTAGTGGAAAATTACAGTTAAAGGTGGTTATCTCTTGCGGGCAGGGGTGTGGGTCACAAGGTGCAGGGTGGGGAGATCATGTGACTCATTGTCCGGGGGGAATGTCACAAGGTCGATTGATTAATTGGGGTGGGGCAGGAACAAATCACAATGGTGAAATGTCATCTTTGTGGTTCTTCAGTTGCTCCAGGTCATCTGGATGTATACGTGCAAGTCACAGGGGTGATGATGGCTTAGCTTGGGCTCAGAGGCCTGACAATCAATTCACCAAGAAGACGCTGCTATGTTAAGTGTGTATTCATCTAACAGCAGAGTTTTAAAATGCACGAAGCAAAAACTGATAGAACTGCAAGGAGGAATAAACAAACTACAATTAATCCTCTATCAATAATCTAAGTAATGCATAGACAGAAAAATTAGAGACTAAATTGACACCTGAACAACATTATCAGCCTATTTGAATTAATTTTCATTTATAAAACAGTCCATCCAGGCCAGGCGTGGTGGCTCATGCATGTAATCCCAGCACTTTGGGAGGCCGAGGCAGGCAGATCACGAGGTCAAGAGATCGAGACCATCCTGGCCAACATAGTGAAACCCCGTTTCTACTAAAAATATGAAAAAAAATTAGCTGGGTGTGGTGGCGCGCCTGTTATCCCAGCTACTCAGGAGGCTGCGGCAGGAGAATCGCTTGAACCAGGGAGGCGAAGCTTGCAGTGAGCCGAGGTCGCGCCACTGCACTCCAGCCTGGAGGCAGAGCAAGACTCCATCTCAAAAAAAAAAAAACAAAAACAAAAAAAACAAAAAATAGTCCACCCAATAACAGCAGAATGCACTGTTTTTTCAAATGCACATGGTACATTCACTAAGATAATTGATATTGTAGGCATGAAACAAGCCTAAACAAAATTCTGAAAAAACACATCATGTGAAGTATGTTCTCTTATCTCAAGGGAATTCAACTAGAAATACACACCAGAAAGATAGCTAGAAAATTCTCAAATAAGTAAAAATTAAACACTTCTAAATAACCCATTTGTCAAGAAGAATCAATAAGGAAAGATTAGAAAATATTATGGAAAAAATGAAAATGATAACACAACATATCAAAAACAATAGGATGAAGCTAAATAAGTATTTAGAGAAACATTTAGAAGACTAAATGCTTATTTTAAAAAACAATAAAAGTTCCAAATCAATAATGTAAACCTCCACCTTAAGAAATAAGATAATGAAGAGCAAATTAAACACAAAACAAGAGGAAAGAAGAAAATAAATGTAATTGAAAAGAGAAAATATATGAAAGCAAAAAAAAATGGGTGAAAGATTTAAAAATTGGCAAACTTTTAGACACAATGACAAGGGGAAAAAAGAAGCAAACTACTGATATCAAGAATGAGAGAAAAAATAGTCACTACAGATCCTACAGATATTAAAAATAATATTAAGTGAATATTATTAACATTGACCAAAAAACATTTTGAAGATTTAGTGAAATGGACAAACTTAATGAAAGACTCAAACTACCTTAGCTCAGAGAAGTATATAGTCCAATATCTATTAAGATAAATAAATTATAATTTAAAATCTTTCCATAAAGAAGACTACAGAACAAGTTCACAACACTGGCAAAGTCTACAACATATTTAACTAAAAAATGATTCAAATCCTAAATAATCATTTGCAGAAAGTAAAAGGGAAATCAAAAATCTATTTTTTTTTTTTTTGAGATGGAGCTTCACTCTTTCACCCAGGCTGGAGTGCAATGGCACAATCTTGGCTCACTGCAACCTCCACCTCCCGGGTTCAAGTGATTCGCTATCCCTCAGCTGGGATTACAGGTGTGTGCCACCACGCCCAGCTAATTTTTGCGTTATTAGTAGAGACGGGGTTTCACCATGTTAGCCAAGCTGGTCTCAAACTCCTGACCTTGTCATCCACCTGCCTCGGCCTCCCAAAGTGCTGGGATTACAGGTGTGAGCCACCATACCCAGACCTAAAAATCAATTTTTAAGTATTACACTGACCTAGAAAATCCAAAGTAATTTTGAAAAAGAACAAAGGTGGAAGACTTACCATATCTGATTGCCAGGCTTATTATAAAACTACACCAATCGAGACAATGTGGTATTCATGAAAGGACAGATACACACATAAATGAAGTAGACCCAGAAATGTAGGCTCAATTGATTTTTGACAAGGATGACGAGAAATGTTAATAGGGAAAGGAAAATAGTTTTCAACAAATATTTTTGGAACTAATGAATATCAATATGGAAACAATGAACACTGACATTTACTTCACATTGTATCCAAAAATTAACCCAAAATGGAACAGAAATCTAAATTTAAAACTTAAAACTGGAAGAAAAAAATGAGAAAAATCTTTGCATCTATTGTTAGCCAAGTATTTCTTAATTACAACACAAATATCACAAAGCATAACAGAAAACCCTGAAAAATTAAACTTTATTACAATAAAAGTATCCCGCTATTTAAAAGATCTTTTTTAAAAAATTAAAATGCAAGCCACAGAATTGGAAAAATATTTGCAATACATTTGTGAGACAAAATATGTGTGTTCAATAAGAAGTCCTTCTAACTCAATAAAAAAAGAAACAACTATATAAAAAGTGGGCCAAAGTTTTGTACAGATACACAAAAGATAAATCAATAAGCGAAAAAATATACAAATGTCAATATGTCCACGAAAAGATTCTCAATATCAAGGATTATGAGAGAACTGCAAATTAAATTTTTAATGTGATGCTACTACACATTTATTAGAATAGCTATATTAAAAAGACTGACAATACTAAGTGTTGGTGAAAATATGAAGGTAACTGAGACTCTCATATACTGATAATGGAAATGTAAAATGGTACTGCCACA
This sequence comes from Homo sapiens, assembly GCF_000001405.40. Lineage (NCBI taxonomy): Eukaryota > Metazoa > Chordata > Mammalia > Primates > Hominidae > Homo > Homo sapiens. The sequence continues at coordinate 87,079,405 of NC_000008.11, read as the reverse complement.
TTAGAAAACAATTTGATTATTTCTTAAAATATTTATAAAAATTACTCCTTCTATACAATCTAGCCATTCTAGCCCTACGGCTCTATGAAAACATTTACATAAATCTTCATAACACCTTTATTCACTATCCAAAATTGAAATCAACCCAAATGCACAATGAATGAAAAAAAATTGTATTATCATAACAATAAAAAACTATTCATTATTAAAAAGTAACAGATTACCACAAAACTTGGATGACATTAAAATCTGCATGCTGAGTGAAAAAAACTAGACACTGTGAAATTATTTTGTAAGACTCAATTTATACAGAATGTCTTAAAATTGGAAACTAATCATACTGACCAAAAAAAAAAATTGGTAGTTTCCTGGGTCTAGAAAAAAAGGGGGGGATAGACTGCCTATGGGCATAATGAAACTTTTTGGGAGTAACACAGTTTTGTCTAATATTGGTGGTGTATCAATTTATTTACTTTAATTGGATGAAATAATTGTAAATAAATTATGCATAAAGTTGATATTAAAAATGATTCTTAATAAACTACTGAGAGCAAACACTATATATACCTATAGACCATATTATTTGACTGCTGTCATTGGATATCACTTTATTTATATTCTGGATCAACTCTAAATCATGCCTGAATAGCTTTTGAAAAGTTACAGCTCTTTTTAATACTAAAATCTCCCTAATTTTCTTTTCCTGTGATGCTCTTAAACACAAACAAAAGAGCCAAAGCCATCAAGACTCTATTAGTCCCTTTCAGTCCTCTGTTTCCAACTGCAGCAAACTCCTCGTAAATGGAGAAAATCAAGCATATGAGTATCTTTGATAAGGAAGTAATGGATCAAATGCAATGATTCCCCTCAAACAAATAATGTTTATTTTTGTAGAGGAGACATTAAAACCAGAGTCTGGTCTCTGCATTGGCTCCTAGGTCTGTTAAATTATTCTCGTGGCATTTGTTCCTTGTTACATTGCTTGAAATAGATATTTTATCTACAAATGTACTGCTTTGAGAAATAAAACTAGCAACATTCACACAGCTTTACACTGACATTAACATTATTTTATTATTTTAGCAATCTGTTCCCAGGAAAGTAAAATTGCAGAAATATTCAATTGTTCTTTCAGGAACCTTTTGAAAGTACTCATCTAAAAATAGTGGACAGCCCACCTAGTCTTATTGACTGGCCAAGGCTCATTTAGGAACTCTTGCCTCAAAATCCTTGCTTCTCTGGGTCTATCACTTTTAAAATATTATATCCTGAAGCTTGCCCAATTCTAATGAACTCCTACAATAGACTGAAGGTTTGTGTTCTCCCAAAATGTACACATTGAAGGTCTAATTTTAATGTGATGACATTTGGAAGTGAGACCTTTGGGAGGTTATTAAGTCATGAAGTTGAAGCCCCTATGAATGGGATTAGTGTCCTTTTAGAAATACCATTTGACCCAGTGATCCCATTAGTGGGTATATACCCAAAGGATTATAAATCATGATACTATAAAGACACATGCACACGTGTGTTTATTGCAGCACTATTCACAATAGCAAAGACTTGGAACCAACCCAAATGTCCATCAATGATAGACTGGATTAAGAAAATCTGGCATATATACATCATGGAATACTATGCAGCCATAAAAAAGGATGAGTTCATGTCCTTTGTAGGGACATGGATGAAGCTGGAAACCATCATTCTCAGCAAACTCTCGCTATGACAGAAAACCAAACGCCACATGTTCTCACTCATAGGTGGGAATTGAACAACAAGAACACTTGGACACAGGGTGGGGAACATCATAAACCAGGGCCTGTCATGCGGTAGAGGGATGGGGGAGGGGGGAGGGATAGCATTAGGAGAAATACCTAATGTAAATGACGAGTTAATGGGTGCAGCAAACCAACATGGTACATGTATACATATGTAACAAACCTGCACATTGTGCACATTGAACTTAAAGTATAATAAAAAAAAAAAAAAAAAAGAAGAAGAAGAAGAAGAGGCCTAAGAGCTAGTTAGCCGTCTTTCTGCCATGTGAGGCCACAGCAAGAAGATAGCCATTCATAAACCGGGAAGAGAACCCTCACTAAGAATCCCACCCTGCTGACAGCCCGACCTAGGACTTTAAATCTCCAGAACAGTGAGAAATACAAGTTTGTTGTTTAAGTCGCTCCATCTATGGTAATTTGTTATAGCAGCCCAAACTGATTAAGGCGAGTTCCAACATTGAAAAGATCCTTTTTAAGCCAGGTCCCTCAAGGCCTCAAAAATATCCTTCCTTTGCCCTCCCTCTTCTGAGACACTACTAAAACTCTATCAAAGTAAATGTTTCCCTTTCCATGGTAAGCAATAAACTCTGATTTGCTTTGTCAACAAATTATTTTGGTGATATTTTCAACAAGCAAATATTAAATAGCTTTTTAATGTCAACAAAGTCAAAATTTTCAGAATGTTCAATTCCTCATTTATATCATGTGCAATGATGCAAGACAGTCTTGGATAAGTCAATTCATATAATTTCTGTATTATTTATCATGAATGCTTGTCCTTTGAATTTCTCAAATAAATCTCTCAGTTACATTTTCCTGACATATGACACAGAGAGCTTTATTGTGTTTAAATAGGTGAGTGGTTAGCTAATGTAATTAATAGTTCAGCCGGGTGTGGTGGCTCACGCCTGTAATCCCAGCACTTTGGGAGGCCAAGGCAAGCAGATCACAAGGTCAGGAGATCGAGACTATCCTGGCTAACACGATGAAACCCCATCTCTACTAAAAATACAAAAAATTATCCAGACATGGTGGGGCATGCCTGTAGTCCCAGCTACCCAGGAGGCTGAGGCAGGAGAATCGCTTGAACCCAGGAGGTGGAGGTTGCAGTGAGCCAAGATCATGATACTGCACTCAAGCCTGGGCAACAGTGTGAGACTCTGTCTCAAAAAAAAAAAAGTTCCATTACACTATTTAATATTTTATTGCAATTAGGAGACCTAAATAATTTAAGTAATAAAAAATATAGGCCACCAATAGCACCAGTCAAAAGTCCTATTTGTAGAGTGACCATATGCTAGGACTACATTATATCAGGCCCTATTACCATATCATCCAGATATAGGTTGTGATTACCATTATGGTATCAACACTCTGTGCAGACTCTAGAAATCAGGGCATTCCTCTGAAGTTTAATAAAATCTACTTCCTGCCTTGTCACTCAACCTCCTCTGTAGTTCTCACCCACTTCATGCTGGATATATTAGAGCTTTTCTTATATAGGTGGTAAATCTCTGCCTTCCTCACTCTTATCCCATCTGCACTATTTCAGAAACATAATTGAAATTGCTTCATATGTAATGTATCCTGATTTACACCACTAGTGTATGTATAATATTTTTCTTTAGTATGCCAATGGAAATTTGAAAAACAGAAGTTAGATGCAAGGGCTAAAGGAGTCTCTCTCACTCAGAGAGCTATTAAAGACAAAAATAAAAAGATAATAATATTTCCCAAACTCCCATGTACATTTTACCAAAACCCCAGGGGTTCAGTCTAGGCACCATTGCTCACCTCACAGAAAGCTGAGAGAGCTATTAAAAACAAAAATAAAAAGATTAAAACATTCGCCAAACACCCATGTACATTTTACCAAGACACTAGGGGTTCAGCCTAGGTCCTGCTGCTCATCTCATGGAAAGCCAATCAGGGACACAATGATTATTGCCAAGGAAGAAGGCTTTAATCAGGTGCTATGGCCAAAGAGATAGAAGCTCAACTTCAAATTGACTTCCCTGACTCACTAAAGCTAGGAGTTTATATAGTAGGGAAGAAATTTAACAATGTCTGAAAAAAACAACAAAAACAGGAACTAGGGAGGGAAAAAGAAGCAATCATGATGAATGAGGACTCCAGCATCTCACTGTCTGGATGTGGTAATCAGGAGAGTTTCAATTTTTTATACTTTTTTTGGTGAGAGACCTGAAGTTTGTTTCCTAAGGAAGGAACTCAGATAAAACAAATGCAAGTTTTGAGCTTTAAGACCAGTGGGATCGATTTCTTTGTTTAGAAAAAAACTATCTATCTATGGGACTATTGGGTTGGTTTCATACAAGCAGTTCAATAAAGAACTGCATGGGCATCCTATATGTTTTACCTCACTAGTAAACATATGGGCATCCTATATGATTTACCTCACTAGTAATTGAGGATATACAAATAAAAGAGACTTTTCTTCTCATAGAAAAAATATTTTTAAATGAGTGATTAACTTCATATATGCTCACTATGTGCCATAGTGCTCCAGGAGTTTTACAAATAACTTATTTAATATTCATAATATGCCTAAGAGATAAGTAGTACTACTAACCCCATATATGGATGAGCAAACTAAAACAGACAGAAGCTATGTACTTTTTCCAAAAAGACAGATTAAATAATTGAAAGAGCCAAGATCTCTGCTTCTAACCACTAAATTATACTGAAATTCAATTCCTAATGCTAAAGAAATGAAACTAGTGGTTTCTGCAAGATGGCTGATTAGAAGCAGCTTCAGTCTGTGGCACTCATGGAGAGGAATGAAAGAGGCAAGTGAATTCAGTGCCTTCAACTGAAATATCCAGGTTCTCACCTTGGGACTGATTAGGCAAACAAGCTGACCCACGGAGAATGAAGAAAAGCAGGGTGGGGTGATAGTCCACCCAGGAGTGGTACACAGCCAAAAGAGCCCTGACTCCCAGCCAAGGGAAGCAGCAGGTGATTGTGTGACCTCACCCAGGAAACCACACTTCTCTCACCGATCTTTGCAACCCATATATCAGGAGATCCCCTTGTGAGCCCATGGCACCAGGGCCTTGGATTCGATACATATTGCTGTGTGGAGTCTCAGCAGAGCAGTTGCTTAGGCACACACAGAGATCCTGGAGTTTTACATACTCCAGCCCCAGGATCCCCAAAAAGGTGGGAGATCTGTCTGTACATATCCCTAGGAATGGGGAAGAATCCAGAGAGCCAAGCAGCATCATTCTGCAGGCCCAAATTTCACAGCACCTCACAAGTTAAGACCCACTGGCTTGGAATTCCAGCCAGCCAATGGCAACAGGCTGGAGTCTGCCTGAGATGGGACCATGTTCCCAGGGGGAGGGTGTGGCCACCATCTCTGTGGTTTGGTCAACTCAGTCATTCCAGCCTGCCAGCTTTGGAGAGTCCAAATGTAACAACAAATGGCTCCCCTCCCAACAACCCCCAGTGCAGCACACCTGCTCTACCAAAAAGCAGCCAGACTGCTGCCTTTTTTTTTTTTTTTTGAGATGGAGTCTCGCTCTGTCACCCAGGCTGGAGTGCAGTGGCGCGATCTCGGCTCACTGCAAGCTCTGCCTCCCAGGTTCACACCATTCTCCTGCCTCAGCCTCCCGAGTAGCTGGGACTACGGCGCCCACCACCACGCCTGGCTAATTTTTTTGTGTTTTTAGTAGAGACGGGGTTTCATCATGTTAACCAGGATGGTCTCAATCTCCTGACCTCGTGATCTGCCCACCTCAGCCTCCCAAAGTGCTGGGATTACAGGTATGAGCCACTGCACCCGGCCCAGACTGCTTCTTTAGGAAGGTCCCTGATCCTGTTCCTCTTGACTAGGTGAGCCCTCTCATTGGGGGCCTCCAGACACCTCCTACAGGGATGTTCAGGCTGGCAACACATCAGTACTCCACTGGGACAGAGCTTCCAGAGGAAGGAGCAGGCTGCCATCTTTGCCACTTTGCAGCCTTCACTAGTGATACATCCGGGTATGAGAAAAACTAAGGCAACTATGGTCTGGAGTGGAAACAGCAGCAAACAGCAGCAGCCCTATGGAACAATGGCCTGACTGTTAAAAGAAAAACAAACAGAAAACAACAACAACACAACATCCATAACAAAGACCTCATGAAAACCTTATTCAAAGGTCAGCAACCTCAAAGATCAAAAGTGGATAAGCTCACAAAGATAAGAACGAATCAATGTAAAAATGTAAAAACTCAAAAAGCCAGAATGCCTCTTCTCCAGATGACTACAATACCTCTCCGGCAAGGGCACAGAAGTGGGCTGAGGCTAAAATGGCTGAATTGACAGAAGTAGGCTTCACAAGGTGAGTAATAACAAACTTTACTGAGCTAAAGTGGCATGTTGTAACCCAATGCAAAGGAGCTAAGAATCATGATTAAAAAAATACAGGAGCTGACTGCCAGAATACCCAGTTTAGAGAAGAAGATAACTGACCTGATGGACCTGAGAACTTCACAATTCAATCACAAGTATCAGTAGCAGAATACAACAAGCAGAGGAAGGAATCGCAGAACTTGAAGACTATCTTTCTGGAATAGGACACACAGACAAGAATAGAAAAAAAAATACAGAATGGAAAGAAAAGAACAAAACCTCTGAGAAATATGGAATTATGTAAAGACACCAAACCTATGACAGATTGGGGTGCCTGAAAGAGACAGGGAGAGTGGAACCAAGTTGGAAAACATACTACAAGATATCATCCAGGAGAACTTCCTCAACCTAGAAAGACAGGTCAACATTTAAATTCAGGAAATGCAGATAATCCCAGTAAGATCCTACACGAGAAAATCAACCCCAAGACACATAATCATCAGGTTCCCCAAGGTCAAATGGAAAAAAAAATATCAAGGGCAACCAAAAAAAAAAGGCCAGGTCACCTACAAATAGAACCCCATCAGACTAACGGAAGACCTCTCAGCAGAAACCCTACTAGCCAGAAGAGATTGGGAGCCAATATTCAACATTCTTAAATGAAAGAATTTCCAATCCAGAAGTTCATATCTGGCCAAACTAAGCTTCATAAGTGAAAGAGAAATAAGATACTTTTCAGTCAAGCAAATGCTAAGGAAATTCTTCACCACCAGGCCTGCCTTGCAAGAGCTCCTAAAGGAAGCACTAAAAGTGGAAAGGAAAAACTGTTATCAGTCACTACAAAAAACAATAAACAAAATAGACAAACCAGTGACACTATGAAGCAACCACATAAACAAGTCTGCAAAATAAACAGCTAGCATCATGATGACAGGATCAAATTCACACATAATAATACTTACTTTATATGTAAATAGGACAACTGGTTAAAAGACACATAATGGCAAGCTGGATGAAGAGCCAAGACACATCAGTATGCTGTCTTCAAGGGACACATCTTACACGCAAAGACACACATAGGTTCAAAATAAAGGAATGGAGGAAAATTTAACAAGCAAAGAGGAAACAAAAAAGCCGGGGTTGCAATCCTAATTTCTGACAAAACAGATTTCAAACCAATAAATGTCAAGAAAGACAAAGAAGGGCATTACATAATGGTAAAAGGTTCAATTCAACAATAAGAACTAAGTGTCCTAAATATATATGCCCCCAACACAGGAGCACCCAGATTCATAAAGCAAGTTCTTAGAGACCTATAAAGAGACATAGACTCCCACACAAGTATAGTGGGAGATTTTAATACCCCACTGACAATATTAGACAGATCATTGAGACAGAAAATTAACAAAGATATTCAGGACCTGAACTCAGCTCTAGATCAAGTGGACTTGATAGATATCTACATAACTCTCCACCCCAAAACAACAGAATATACATTCTTCTTATCGCCACATGACACTTACTCTAAAACTGATCACATAATCAGGAGTAAAATATTCCTCAGCAACTGCAAAAGAACTGAAATAACAACAGTCTCTCAAACCACAGTGCAATCAAATTAGAAGTCAAGATTAATATATTCATTCCACTACCACCACCCTACCTCAAATCACCTCCATTGAAATCTGTTACATGAGTTTTTAATGGTCTGAATGAGAAAACATAAATGAATAATATGCATTTTGCCATTACCAGAAATCAATATTAAGACTGTCTTGCCTAATTCTCCCTACTTTTAGAATTAGTTTTTGTGTGGGTATGTTTGACTTTTACCAGAAAACCTCTCAGTGTCTCACACAAAGCCTGCTAATGAATGGAGCCTTTTCAAGAGTTTTGTTAAGGATTCTCAGAAATGTCTGAATTGCAGCAATGAGCAAAGTTGAGGCTCCATTGCCACATGTAGAACTATAGTATGCAGTAGTGTGTGAATTAAAAATACTATAAATATTTGAAAATTTTAGAAAGTGGTGAAAAATTGCATTTTCATTTTATAAACCTTGAGAAATTTATATATTGAATAACCATGAAAATATGCAAAAATACATAAAATAGATTAAACATTCACTAAAACATTTGGACTACTGTATTTTGGTTCAAAAACCACCACAGAAAAGAGTCATTCCACAGAAGTTCTTTGCCTTTTTTAAAAAACTGTTTTTTTAATCATCAGTCGAAATTTCTCTTCCAAAGAATAATTAACTAATCAACAATTGAAGAGAATAAATATTCAAATGAGAACAGTAAACATTATCCTATCCCATTTCACATATTTAATATAATATTCTTTAATACCTTGGAATCATAATAAAAACTAGGGATGTGCTCTTCCTTATTAATATGGTGAAAACATCAAGGCTCTGGGTAATGAGGTCAGCACTAAAATATTTACTGCTGGTGCCTAGGGGTACATAGTAGCTACTTAACAAATATTTACTGCTTGGGTTAATAAATGCCAAAAGCAAGGTAATTACCTTTGATTGTATTTCCCTTAATCACCCCTCCCAATCTAATCCAGCTATCACTTCTGCTCCTTATAGCCTAAACTAATCCTCCAAAAACATACTATAAGCCATATAATTCCACAGCTCAAAAATCTATAATAATGTCCCATTACACTTAGGAAAAAAAAATCTCTTTTTCTCACAATTTCCCTCAAAGTCATACATAGTATTTTTGAGAGAGCAGAGAACTTGTCTTTTTTAAAAGTGTGCCATTCTCAGCATTTAAATATATTTTTGAGTAGTAACAGGCATTTGATAAATATTTGTTGAACAAGTATGTGTAGGATCTTATCTGTAATTAACAATCCGTGTATTTTATGTTTATTTCTCTTACTTCCACCTTTTCCTTCAACAATTCCAAAGGTGGTTTCTCCTCTTCCCCATCCCACACAAAAATAAGACCCAAAAAACACTAATGCTAGTCAAGAGAGAATATTATAGATATATGCGGGGTAGGACTAGAGTTATAAAAGGAAGAGGTGGTGACAGAATGACAATTCAGCCAGACAGGAACAAGTGAACGGAGCAGGATCCATGAAGTGACAATGGAAGAAGGATCTTTCCTCACCAGGACTAAGTAAAGGAGATACTGTGCTCAAATGTCCAGAAATGTGGATACCCACTAATTTATTAAACCTTTGAGTATCCAGCTATCTGACACTCTCTGACATGAGAGTGGAGGATTATTCATTTGTTTAGACACCAGATGAAAACCTCAGCCTTCAACCAAAATAAAACTGAACAGAACCACATGGGAATTCTCCTAGGATTTGGGGTAGGATTTGGGTAGCTGTGTATGTATCACACTATTATGAATGAGTAACTGGATTCATGAACAAAGGTATTTGGAACATTTGAGCACAGTGTACAAACAAATCAAAAATTAAATTGTAAAAAGGTAAATGTATTATATGCCCATATGAAATTTATCCATAACTAAAATGCTAAATTACAGAAGCACTAAAAATTTACAAGAAAAAGACAAGGTGGAGCAAGAATGGCAACTCCAGTAGATTCCTAACATTTTTATATTCCAAGTTTTCACGGTTCACTATACAGTCATGCATTGCTTAATGATGGAAATAGCTTCTGAGAAATTCCTTGTTAGGCAATTTTGTCTTTGTGTGAACATCATAGAATATCCTTACGCAAACCTAGATGGTATATCCTACTATACACCTAGGCTATATGGTATAGCCTATTGCTCCTGGACTATAAACCTGTATATCATGTTACTGTACTAAACACTGTAGGCAAATGTAATGTAATGGTAAGTATTTGTGTAGCTAAACATATCTAAACATAGAAAAGGTTACAGTAAAAATACAGTGTTAAAACCTTATGGGACAACTATCATATATGCAGCCTGTCATTGATCAAAATGTTAATTATGTAGCCATGACTATATCTGCCACTGCTTGACATAGGCATTGCCAAAATTTCCTGGTCATAATTATTCAAGTTACTTTTCAAAACAGTAACAACAGCAGAGGCAGCCAGGGTAACAATAACAGATAAATGATGAAATAATACCAAAGCTATCAAGTAATACAAAAAAATGTATAAACGGGTACGTTTACAAAGCAGAGATGTGTTTATTCATCCTAAAAATGGCTTCATCTTAGCACCAAATTAGCAGGTGTAGTTTATAGAAACAAAGACTTGTCCCTTTTCCTCACCTCAACCATATCTCTATTAGTTCCTACGTCACATGCAGCATGCAGTTTTGTTCAAGATAGTTTCTGAACTTGCTCTATTCATAGGCACTGAAGTACCAAAAGGTGCTTACTATTTTTCTTTCTGTATGAGAGTGTCTTGGATTAGCTTAAGAGCTCTGAGGCTTTACCTCCTCCAAGGGTACAACAAAGTTCCAGAGCACTTCCCTCTTGGCTGAGAGAGGCTTTAGGAGGAGAAAGGAATGATGGAGGGCAGGTGACTTGGTTGAGAAAGGAAAGAGAAAATAGCAATTCTATCTGTAGATTCCTCAAATGTACTTTAATAATGCTCTACCTAAACAGGTTACATCCTAAACAGATTCTGACAAATTATCTTTCCTCTGATTTGTTAATTTTATGGATGTACTTATTTACTATATATCCCTTGCTTTTAGAAAATACTTAAAATTAGCTTACCAAAACACAAGCAAGATTATTAACAAGACACGTCCAGGCTCAAACCTTGGCCTAAACACATACACACTGAGAAACATTGACATACTGGTGACGTATTTAATCACCTGGAGCCTTGGTATTGTTTCTTTACATAAAACCCAATTAAAAGATTTGTTGTAAAGATTAAATTGGGTTAAAGTGGAAAAGCAATTGATATTTCCTTTCATTACCCCTTAATACTTCCGAAATGAAAAAACAAAACAGTATTTTTACCATTGTAATTATATATTACCTAAAATTTTATTAGATCCATTCATTGAAAACACATTTTTAAGTGTCTCTCTGTGTGCAAGTGGTTTGTAAATTAACTAAACACTTTGTCAGAATTTGATGAGTAAGATAACATTCATCTACAAGCACTTCTGCTGCTGTCTGAGTAACCCAGTAAGTCATGCTTGCTTTATATTGGAGGTCAAAATCACAGTTGCAATTAAAAAAGCAATTAAATACTGAAAGAACAGATGATTACTTGCCCACACCTCAGAATGCTTAACGTATGTTCAAAATCTGATTTGCTAGAGTTGTAAAGGAGATTAAGTGTGCCTGTTTTTAGAATATAAGTTATTTGGCTATTATTTTTTAGATAATTATTTTCAAGAAAAACTCAAGTGCTAACTACTCTTAGGTCAAACTAGTTTCAGCTATTGTAGAGGAGCATGAAAATCAAAGGATAGTCTTTGGTCTTCTCAGGTGGAAACACTAAGTATATTGTGAAACATGAAAAAAATACACAGAGAAATAATACGTTAATGGAGATCAATCGCACTTTAAAGAGACAAGTTTTAAAAATACAAGATTATAAGTTAAGTACTGAGTTAAAGCAGATGGCCATTGTTCAGTCATTTTAATTTGTGAAGACTGAAAAATGCAAAGAATGTTCTAAAATCTCTAAAAGAAATGCTTATACTTACACTGGAAAATGGTGAAAAAAGATTGAAATATTTATGACCAAGATAACTTGCTTTTGCCCTGAAACCTTCCGTATTTGGTTCATTAAAAAGTTTTCAAATATTAAAATGTGTATAGAAACACTGTATCTCATGAAATTTTTATAAACAACATCTTCAAAAATCAAAGGAAAAATGTTATACTTGCGTATAATAAATGCTTCCCGGTAGCAACAGGGGATTTAAAATTTCAATAGCAAAGTCAAAAGGCTGCCATGAGAATAAGTAATTCCATAATAATAACTGCACAATTATAAGGGTGGAACTGCATTTTTAAGGCATGAGAAAAATGTGTGTTCTTTATCTTTGTATTCTTTCTCCAACTTTTTTCCAAGTTTATTTGCTGGAAAAAAATATGGTCAAATTGTCAATATTTAAACTTTGTTAATCTATAAGCACCAGACGTAGACATATTTAACATTCTATCTCTAAACAATTGAGCTCAGCTCTCAAGTGCATCATTATATGGAAGAGGCGATGCTTCTACACCCAGCCCTAACTAATGATGGCAGCACACATGTGCATTGTACCTAAATTTAAAATGCAGCCAGTAGAATGACTTTCTTCCTAATCTGTATTAATGAAGTAGTTGTGAAATTTTAGATCAGGAACATATCTTCAATATCATCTACTCCAAAGCTTTTTCTTTACAAACAAAATCCTGAAAAGCCAAATGTCTAACTTGAATATATAAAGAAGTAATTACATCGGTGATTGTAATAATTATAGGAAGTAAAATTAAAATAAATATTTAATGATAATTTTAACTTACACAAGGATATACATCCATATGACTTTAATCACAATTTTTGAAACTATTAGTTTTCAAAATATTAAATTATATTCTAATTGAAGCAATTTTTACAGAATTTATAAAATTCTAAATACTTGATTTTCTCAGTATATATCAGACAAGAACAATGTGTATAACACCTATCTGGAATTGTATAAAGATGCACACTGAATTATTGTTTAAAAAAAGTCTTCCTACACAATCAATATATTTGACTATTCCAAAACTAAAATAAGAGTGTAATTCATTATTTAATTGAAAAGTTTTAGAATATCCAAATCTCCAAAGTGTTCTGGATATTTCTTCATAGAGGCAAGACTGATTTAAAAAGGGGTTGGCTATCTTAGCACACTGAAAAGGGAAACTTCAAAATTAATAAGGTGGCAGCACTCACTCATGTAGAGGAGAGGATGTCCTGGTCCATGGATTTAAGAACTCATGACTGGAGACTGGGGTAGTGTAACTATGTAACATCTGAATAATTCTTATTCTGATTTCATAATTCTGATTACATAGAACCTTCTGATTCCAGTTCATCTTTGTTTCAATCATTTATCAACAGTCATAGAAATCACTAGTTGTCTCACATAAACCTTCCAATGTTCAGGATAGCTTAATTTTTTAAATTATACATTGATACACTGGCATTCTGACTTGCACATTACCTTTCATGAACCTAGTATTGTGACTATGTCTGAGAATTTAAATCACTGTCATGCTGACAACACTGGGTCACTAAACCTAAAAGAATGAAGTCTAACTCTGGCTACTATTAACTGTCAAATGTTGCTACAAGACTATATTGGTGTTCATAGTCTCTAATCATCCGTACTTCTCTGGTGACATCTAGGAATCATTGTGCATTGTTCTTTGAAACTTATCAACAACCATGTAGTGGGAAAGTATCACATATAGGTTAAGAAGATGGACTTTAGAGCTACAGTGAACTGGGTTTGAGCGCCAACTCTCCTATTTATAGGTGTGTGTCTTTGAGCAAGTCCCAGTTTTCTCCTAAGGCTGGTAGAAAATTGGGAGGACAACTTCAAGACTTGGACAAAACATAAAAATATTTACATAAAGGCATTAGAGGGCTAATAATGCCATGAAGAAAAGTAAACCCACTATTCGGAGTTGCCTTCCCCTTATAAATCTGTCAGTTTCTGATGTTTTTAAATGGAAAAGGGAGAACAAAGATTGGAAATCATGCCTGCTAAGAGTGTGCCTAGTAAATATTCCCACAAATTGGTTTGGTTCCTCAAAGAACTGCATTCTCATAATAAGGGCAAACTAGAAATAATGCCACAGAGGGACTACATCCAACATTAGATAATATCAATTCCTTAAACTGTATTAAGAAATCCAAATTTCTGGTGCTATTTGAAGTCCATCAGAAGCAATGTAAATCCTCTCTGGAGAAAGATAACATCACTGCCATCAAAATATTTCCAGAATTTTTCAAATACAGTGACTTGTCACATAAATAAATAATCAGGCCCAAGAGAAGAAAGACATTATAAACAAAACAACAGAAAAACAGACAATAGAAACAAATTCTTAAGAATTCTAAATATTAAACAGACATATGCTGTAAAATAAACTATACTTACCATGTTTCAAGGATATAAAAGACAAAATTAGAGCTTCTTCAAAGAACTAGAAAATCTATAAGAAACATATGGAAGAGATGAAATTACAAGACTGAAAGACACCACCAAATTAAGAACCAAACAGATTGAAGCAACAACAGAATAAACATAGATGGAGAATTTCTGAGCCAAAACTTATTTTTAAAATTATTGCCATATTGCAATATGGAGAGACAATTGATGAAACATCTAGAGGATAAGAGACACAGGGGATAAGTTGAGAAGGTCTAACATACATGTAATTTTGTTCTAGAAGAAGAAAAGAGAGTGAATGGAACAGAAGCAAATTTTAAATTAATGTCTGTTGTACTAAAGTGATGAAAGATGATAAATTACAGATTTTAAAAGCCAATTAAATTCAAAATAAGATAAATAATATGGCACCTACACTAGGACACAATCTAGAATTCTACAGCCAGAGAAAGTATCCTTTAAAAGTAAAAGTAAATAATAACATTTTCAGACAAACAAAAACTAGGAAGGTGGGTTACTAGAATATCTGAGCTAAGAGAAATATTAAAAAGGTGCTCCTTCAGACAAATAAAATTGGAGAGATGACTAGAAACAAAGGTCAAAAAAATGTAATATTGACTTTATAAAACAATAACATCCTTTAAATTTTAAAATATAAAAAAATTAAAAGACAGAAAAGTAACATGTAATTCAACAAAGAAGACAGTGGATTTAATGTGTTCTAAGCCCCTTCCTTACTCAGAAAGAAAATAAAAGTATCAATTCGCATTATACTTTGATAAATTGAGAAGAATTCTACAGAAACAAAATGATAGTAAAATAATCTATATTTTTAAGCTGAAAATTGGATAACCATATAATAAAAATATACAAAAGATAACAAGATGGAAGAAAAATCTAATATACAAAAGATAAAAAGAAAGCGAGATTATTTATTTAAATCAGATATGTTAGGAATATTGGCAAATGTCAGTAGACTAACGTCTGTAATAAAGGTTGTTTTTAGGTTATGGAGAGAACCACAACTCTATGCTGATTGCCAAGAGTAACATTTTACTGAAGGTAGAAGCCAGTGTAGTAACAATGCTAGGGGAAAAAGGGTATAAAGA
This sequence comes from Homo sapiens, assembly GCF_000001405.40. Classification (NCBI taxonomy): domain Eukaryota; kingdom Metazoa; phylum Chordata; class Mammalia; order Primates; family Hominidae; genus Homo; species Homo sapiens. The sequence goes on along the minus strand of NC_000008.11, from coordinate 87,064,071 downwards.
TTAGAAAGAAGGAATACAGCTTTCAACATTTCACAGATAATATGATTGTATATAAGAGAAACCTACAAAATGACAGATAAATTTTTGATTTAACAAGTGAGTTTAGCAAAGTGTTAGAAATAAGGTCAGTATACAAAAATCAATTGCATTTCTATAAAGTAGCAATAAGTAAATAAAAAATAAAAATTTTTAAATATATCATTTATAATAGCATCAAAATATAAAACTGCTAGAAATAATTCAACAAAAGATATATGTAAATCCTCCTTTCAGAAAATTATAAACTCTATTGAGAGAAGTTTTTGAAGTTTTAAATAAATGGATGAATAAACTTGGATTGGAAGACTCAATACTGAAAATATGTCAATTTTCCTCAAATAAATATATAGATAATAGAACCCTGATTAAAATCCCAAATATTCCCCTCAAAATCATCTTATTCTAACCTTTATATAGTGATTCGAGGGTCCAGAACAGCTATGACTCTCAAGAGTCAAAGAACAAGGTTTCACAATATTATCAGATATCAAGCCTAATTAAAAAGTTAAGTAACTGAGGTGATACAATGTCAGCATAAAACTACACAACTAGATCAGGCAAGAAAATAGAGCCCAGAACTAAACACTTGAATACATCACTGTTTTATCTAGAGCAAAGTTGGTACTTCAGAGCATTGAAAAATTCATGGTCTTTTCAATAAATGGTGCTGGGGCAATTGGATATCCATAGATATCTATATGGACCATATTGTTCCAATTCTTATAATGCTGATGAAATCCACACTCCTCTTTCCAGGAACACAGTCCCTGTGTTGAACAGGTGTAAATGTGCTTGAAGATACCTTTCATGGGATTTATATGTATTTTCTGTAGCTAAGTTCCAAAGTTACTTGAACTGTTCATCATATGATAGGGTTGCTTGAGTACCCACCATATGGTTACTTTCATCCAAGTGGGCTACAATAGTAGTTGTCATTGCAGACCTCAGTAGTTGGCCAATTTACCAGTCTCCCATTAAAAATACACAACCAAAAGTGAATACTTGCTTTGCAGGGGTCTGATCTGCACTATAGTTCTTATTTTTCAGTTGTTATACTAATAACGCAGCTATATGTTAATTTTCTTGACAACCACACCAGTAGACGGCTTGTACTATGATTATATTTAGCTAAAATCCTAACTTTTTTTTTAATATGCATTACTATTAAGACCTATCTTCTCCATTTTGAATTGCGGAATTTCAATATACTTTTAACCAAAGCCCCATGGCTCACATTAAATCCTATTAAATTTAAGGAGAAAATAAAGTATAATGTACAAAGCATTTTTTTTTTTTCAGATGGAGTTTCGCTCTTGTGGCTCAGGCTGGAGTGCAACGGTGATCTTGGCTCACCGCAATCGCTGCCTCCCGAGTTCAAGGGATTCTCCTGCCTCAGCCTTCCTAAGTAGCTGGGATTACAGAAATGTGCCACCATGCCCAGCTGATTTTGTATTTTCAGTAGAGACAGGGTTTCTCCATGTTGGTCAGGCTGGTCTCGAACTCCTGACCTCAGGTGATTCACCCACCTTGGCCTCACAAAGTGCCGGGATTACAGGTGTGAGCCACTGCATCTGGCTGTACAAAGCATTTTAATAGAGTACATGGTTTATAGTAAGCAATCAAAATATTAGCTGTTAAAAAATGTCCATTTTTTCTTAATAATGTAAGTACCTCCTAGGAAGATGACAAAGCTCACTTACATGCAAACATACAACAAACTCACATACACACTCAGGCAGTGATTTGTCCTTTTGTTTTTTCAAGCCTAAAATGACAGTACTGAAAAAAGCTGCCACTGTCAAGAATTATTCATTGAAATTAACTTTACCTTGAATAACTAATAAAATATAAACCTACATAGAAATTGAAAGTAACCCTAGTTGTCATTGCAGACCTCAGTAGTTGGCTAATAATTTTGAATGAATATTTCACTTGCCGGGAGCTGACTTGCTGACCATCAACAACCTCAGTTCACTTTTCATTCACTGGTGTCACAGGCTTAATGTCACTAATGAGAGTACTCACCAATGGACAACTATCTGCACTCAGCAATCATTCATTGCTCAGTTGAAAAGAGATCCTGAAAAGCATTGATCACTTCATTGGCTCTGTCATACTTAGCTGTACTGACAGGGCATACCACAGGGTAGAATAATTATGGAGACGCCTGCAGAGAAAGCTATTAGGAGAATCATGTGACCCTCTGCCAGAGCTCCTTTTTTAAAATAACTATTAATATTGGGGAAAAACGTGCCTCTACACTTTACACATTGATTGTATATTGATAACATATTTTCTGACACAATTTTCATATTCTTTGAAATGTCCTTGATTGGAACATACAGTATACAAAGACAAATTAGGCTATTTGAAATGTCATCAGCTTACCCTACACTCTTAAACAAATCTCAGAATGGGGCAAACACAACATATTGAAGCATGGTGAACTCAACCAAAATAATTATTTCAAGTTGTGAAAGAAGTGCCATTAAAACAATTCACACATTTAACATGAATGTAAATGCATATGAAAGCCATTCTGGGAAGTCAGTGGGGACAGAGGATTGAATCTTTATGATTAGAAAAATTCAGAAGGAAAAAAGTAAATTAGCTCCTTATGGGGATCGTAGAGCATTGTAAAAATATGACCATTTGCTGTATTATTATGGAATCTGCTGTTAATGCACTTCAGGTCACTCAAATCCAAATAAATTTTCCACTTGAAATGATTGATTAGTCCTGATTAAGGACACTAATCTTATTTAGTTACTTCTTATCTCACAGAATCCTGCTTGTCACTTGCATGACACAAAGTTCAAGCAAGCCAGCACCGATTGGTGAGTGTTGAGCAGAAGAATTTTTTCCAATGGTACAAGAGAAGCAAGGACATTGCTCATTGCAAACAGCCACAGAAAGTTTGATTACCAGCTTGACAATCATGCACTTGGCATTTTGAAAAGGAATTTTATATTAAAAGAATAATTTGACTTTCACTACCATTGAAATCTGGGCTGTCATGATGAGCCAGGTCACTAACTTTCTGAGGGTCAGTCCTGAGTTGCCCACTACTCATGCTCCTCAGGCTTTGACCAAAGTAAGGAATATTTATTGGTGACCAGCTTCTTCCTCCATAAGCAAAAATGCTACAATATAACAATTACTAGTTGCATTTTATCATTTGTAAGTTATGCTCTGCACCCACTTTAATTTACAGATTGGATTTGCTCCCTATATAATATATATATTAAACTTTTTCATATTTAATGAAAACATTCTTTTAATTTTAAAAATTTTATTTTAGTTGTAAAATTGTGATGATCGGTTTTTAAATATTCATGTAGGCTTTTTCTCTCTGACCTATTTTTATCACTCTCAAGCTTAGAATGGACTAAGATTTGAAAAATGCTTTATTTTAGCTTTCCTGTGATTTGAACTTTCACAATACAATGGGCCTAATCTGCCTGTTATTTATTTCAGTGATGTATCCGTGATTCCCAAATGGAGAAAAGGAGTAAATAGTACACCAGGCATGAGTGGATACTTAAATGTAATTTGTGATGTTTTGTAATATACTAGGTTATCTCCTATAATAAAATTAAAGTTGAAATTATCTCTTCCATTGATCTACCTGTCCATGCACCAATACTTGTATTTTCAGTAAGAGTTGCTGTAATATAGGACTTTAATGTTTCTATAATTTCTGTATTCTTTTTCTATTGCTGCATAATGAATTGCCACAAACTTAGCAGCTTAAAATAACGTATTTATTGTGCCCCAGTTCCTATAGATCAAGAGTTCAGGCACGGTTTAACTGGATCCTCTGCTCATGGTTTCACAAGGCTAACATCAAGGTGTCAGTTGGGCTAGATTCTCATCTGGAGGCTTAACTAGGGAGAACTACACTTCCAGATTCATTCAAGTTGTCAGCAAAACTTGTTTTCTTGCATCTGTGTGGCCAGTGAAGGGCTGGGCAACTTCCCAGGAACTATTCTTGGGAGGAGTCACCCCAGGGCAGAGGGTCCAGATGCTGTGTCCCCCTAGGGCAGGCTTCTAAGGCCTGGGAGTTGTCCTGACCTCTTAGCAGCTTTCAGCTTTGTTAGCACAGGCTGCCAAACTAATGAGGCCACAGAGATCAGGACAAGGGGTACCTTCCCTTGACTGAGCCAGTTTCCCACTGGATCTCAAGTAAAGGCTGTCCTCAGAACCTAGAGGTCACCAACAGTGCACTGCCATGTGGCCTGATATGGTCTGGCTGTGCCCACGCCAAAATCTAATTTTGAATTATAGTTCCCATGATTGCCACATATTATGGGAGGAACCCAGTGGGAGGTAATTGAATCATGGGAGTGGCTATCTCCATGCTATTCTTGTGATAGTGAGTGAGTTCTCACAAGATCTGATGGTTTTATAAGGGGCTTCCCCAACCTCCTTCACTCTGCACTTCTCCTTGCTGCCACCATGTGAAGAAGGATGTGTTTGCTTCCCCTTCCATCATGATTTTAAGTTTCCTGAGGCCTCCCCAGCTCTGCAGAACTGTGAGTCAAGTTATCCTCTTTCCTTTATAAATTACCCAGTCTCAGGTATTTCTTCATAACAGCATGAGAAGAAACTAATACAGTAAATTTGTACCAGAAGTAGGGTGCTGCTATAAGGAGCTTGAAAATGTGGAAGAAACTTTGGAAATAGGTAATAGGCAGAGGTTGAAATAGTTTAGAGGGCTCAGAAGAAAACAGGAAAATGTTGGAATGTTTGGAAGTTCCTAGAGACTTTGAAAGCTCAGAAGACAGGAAGCTGTGGGGAAGTTTGGAATGTCCTAGAGACTTACTGAATGACTTTGCCCAAACTGCTAACAGTGATATGGACAATAAAGTCAAGGCTTTGGTGGTCTCAGATGGAGATGAGAAACTTGTTGGGAGCTAGAGCAAAGGTGACTCTTGCTGTGCTTAGCAAAGAGACTGGCAGCTTTTTGCCCCTGCCCTAGAGATCTGTGAAACATTGAGCTTGAGAGAGATGATTTGGGGTATCTGGTGGAAGAAATTTCTAACTAGTAAAGTGTTTAAGAGGTGACAGAGCATAAAATTATCAAAAATTTGCAGACTGATGATGCAATAGAAAAGAAAACCCCATTTTCTGGGGAGAAATTCAAGCCTGCTGCATAAATTTGCATAAGTAACAATAAGCCAAATGTTAATCTCCAAAACAATAGGGAAAATGTTTGCAGGGCATGTCAGAGACCTTCCCATCACAGGGAAGTCCTTCCCATCACAGACCCAGGAAGGAAAGATGGTTACATGGACTGGGTCCAGGGCCTTCCTACTGCGTGCAGCCTTGGGACTGCATATCAGCCACTCCAGCCATGGTTAAAGGGACCAAGGTACAGCTGAGGATATTGCTTCAGAGAAGGCAAGCCCCCAGCCTTAGAAGAATTCATGTGGTGTTGGTCCTGCAGTTGTGCAGAAGACAAGAATTGAGGTTTGGGAACCTCCACCTAGATTTCAGAGGATGTATGGAAATGCCTGGATGTCCAGGCAGAATTATGCTGCAGAGGTGGAGCCCTCATGGAAAACCTCTGCTGGGGCAGTGCAGAAAGGAAATGTGGGGTTGGAATCCCCACACAGAGTCCCAACTGGAACACTGCCTAGTGGAGCTGTGAGAAGAGGGCCACTGTCCTCCAGATCGCAGAAGGGTAGATCCACTGACAGCTTGCACCACATGCCTGGAAAAGCTAAAGACACTCAACACCAGCTGTGAAAGCAGCTGGGACTGAGGATTGTACGCAAAGCAACAGGGGTGGAGCTGCCCGAGGCTTTGGGAGCCCACCTCTTGCCTCAGCATGACCTGGCTGTGACACGTGGAGTCAAAGGAGATCATTTTGGAACTTTATTGTTTAATGACTCTGCTATTTGGATTCTGGACTTGCATGGGGCCTCTAGTCTTTTTGTTTTGGTCAATTTCTCTCATTTGGAATGGGTGTATTTCCTCAATGCCTGTATCCCCATTGTATCTAGTAAGTAATTAATTTGCTTTTGGTTTTACAGGCTCATAAGCAAAAGGGACTTGCTTTGTCTTAAATGACACTTTGAACTTGGACTTTTGAGTTAATGCTTGAATGAGTTAAGACATTAGGGGTACTTTTGGGAAGGCACGATTGTGTGTGTGTGTGTGTCTTTGTTTATCTGTTTTTTAGATGGAGTCTTGTGCTGTTGCCCAGGCTGGAGTGAAGTGACATGATCTTGGCTCACTGCAACCTCTGTCTCCCAGGTTCAAGTGATTCTCCTGCCTCAGCCTCCTGAGTAGCTGGGATTACAGGTATGTACCACCATGCCCAGCTAATTTTTGTATTATTAGTAGGGACAGGGTTTCACCATGTTGGCCATGCTGGTCTCAAACTTCTGACTTCAAGTGATCCACCCACCTTGCCCTCCCAAAGTGTTGGGATTACAGGGATGGGCCACTGCGCCCAACCATGATTGTGTTTTGAAATGTGAGGACATGACATGTGGAAGGGGCCAGGGGCAGAATGGTATGGTTTGGCTGTGTCCCCACTGAAATATCTTGAATTGTAGTTCCTATAATTCCATATATCATGGCAGGGGCCCAGTGGGAAGTAATTGAATCATGGTGGTGATGACTCCCATGCTGTTCTCATGATACTGATGGAGTTCTTACAAGATCTGATGGTTTTATTAAAGTAAGGGGCCTTTCCCACCTTCATTCTGCATTCCTTTTTCCTGCTGCCATGTGAAGAAGAACGTGTTTGCTTCCTTTTCCACCATGACTGTAAGTTTCCTGAGGCCTCCCCCGCCCTGTGGAAGTGAGTCAATTAAACCTCTTTCCTTTGTAAATTACCCAGTCTCAGGTATTTCTTCACAGAAGCATGAGGACGAACGAATACATGGCCCTTTCCATAAGTAGTCACAACATGGCAGGTTGCTACTTCAAGGTGGATGGTCTTCCTCCCCAGTCAGGTAAGATTAAGTCTTATGAAATATAATAATAGAAGTAACATTGTATCAACTTTGCCACACTCTTTTGGTTGGAAGCAAATCACAGGTTCCATCCACACACAAAGGGAGGAAGTTATACAGATGTAACACAAAGGACAGATCATGAGGGCTTTCTTAGAATTCCACCTACCAAATAGTTGTCTTAATATTTTTAAATATTTGTGCAAACTTGTTTTGCTATTTTATAAATTAAGTCTTCTAGTTGTGATGTGAATCTGTTCAAATTTTATATATTTTAATTTGGTAAAAAAAAATTCTACCTCTAAAATATATAATCTTTCTAATTAGAAGTATTATATAATCAGTCAATATAATTAAATTCTAATTTTATCTCTTTAAAATATTATAATTACCTTCACATAGTTCACATATATTCTAGTTGAGGGACTTTTTTGGTCAAGAATATTTCTGGATGATAATGGCTAGTAAAAATAGATTTGTATTTATTAAATCTTGTGATTATTTATTGCTCATATATTAAAATACTGTTGGTTTATAACCCGTATTTATATTGATGATATACACCTTCCTGAAATGTTTTATTCTAACAGCTTTAGTAAACTAATGAATTTCTAAGATAATATTTTTAATATGAGTGTCAATGCTATTAACATTTTCATTTAATATTCCTTGTATTTAAGTCTAGGGACTGTAAGGCTGTACAGTTGTGTGTTGCCCCCATGGAACCAGGGCAAAAGTGCAGTAGGAGCCTGGCAGCCATTCCTCATCTCCCAGCCCAGCAGTGTGCCCTGATATGGGGCCACATGACCATGGAAAGGAGTGCCTTTTGTCATTCCTGCAGTTAGAGGTAGAGATGCTTTTATATAAACTGCCCAAAGGCTCTGTATAGGCTAACAATGCTTCTGTTACATCTACCTATTCTATGACATATTGGGCAAGCTGTTAGATCTCTCTGTATCTAGGACTCTTTATCTGTAAAGTGGGGATAATAGTAGGACTTACTACATTGATTGTTGATTTTTGCAAACTAGCAGTTCCTGGCTCATAGTAAGTGCTCCACAAATATTACCTATAGTTGTTCTCATTATCATTATTGTTTTAGTATCCTGAAGTTTTTGGAAGGAAGGAAGGAAGGAAGGAAGGAAGGAAGGAAGGAAGGAAGGAAGGAAGGAAGGAAGGAAAGGTCAAGCAGGGAGGGAAGGAGGGAGGGAGGGAGGAAGGAAGGAAAGAGAGAGGGAGGGAAGGAAGGAAGGGATGGATGAAAAGAAAGGGAAGCAGAGAGTGAAAGAGAAAGGTGGGGTAGAAGGAAGGAGAAAAGGAAGGAAGAAAAGAAAGAAAAAAGAAGGAAGGAAGGAAGTGAGGTAGAAGAAAAAACCAGTTCGGTAGACAACTAAGGCTAGTCCTCAGAGAAGCAGCCTGCCTGAAAAATCACAGCTACAGGCAAAAATAGAGCAGCCTGAGGAAAACTCAGACTGCAGATGTACAGATAAGCAGGCCAGGCAGGCAAGGTCCAGCATAGAAGCCTTTTGTTCTTTGTGTAATTAGTGGGCTCCCAGGAAAACATTCCCTCCCCTTTTCAGACATTAACATGGTGGGTTTCATGGGAGCTTGCACAGGGAGGGAAGGGGGGGACTTACCTAAAGCAAACCCACAATTATATAAACAAGAGAAGCTATGCTTTGTGCCTACCTAGGAATGTCCCACAGTTGCATAGATAGGGGGAGTTGTACAGACAGCTTTTCAGATAAGAGAAGTTACTCAAACAGCAACAGAGATGAGAGAAGTTTCTCATAAAAGCTTTAGCATTCAACTGTAAAATGGCAACCCGTCCAGGACCCCTCTCTGCTGTGGAGAGCTTTCTTCTTTTGCTTATTAAACTTTTGTTCTAACCTCACCCTTGTGTTCATGTCTACACTTCTTAATTTTCTTAGTCATGAGACCACAAGCTTGAATAACATCCCAGACAACGTAATCAGTGACCCTATACTGTTTTATTAGTGTGGGCTTGCCTGGGATCCATCGAAAGAGTGAGTAGGAGCAAACTCTTAACTCTTGACTTTTATTTCTGAGGCTTCTCGTTCTCAGTTTTGTTCTCTCAAGAGTGAAAAAAACACACTGGCCCATCAGTCAGTTAAAAGCCAATAGGGTAACTTCCAGTCTTACAAGACTCAGGGGACAGGCTTTCTTGAGAGGACTTTATCAACCCTGCTCACCCTTGGTTGTTGGGAATGTTGGCTGTGTTCCAATCAAGTTCCCTTTTGTGGAGGACCTAGCCATTGCATGGGGCTGGAAGGAGGTCCTCAGGCAACCAAAGGTTTTTGGCCAAGGCTACACTTCGGTGTAACCTGGAGGCCCTTGGACTAACTCCAGTCCCTGACAGCCTGCTGGGTATTGGCACCAGGACTTCCAGAGTTTTCTGTTGCATTTTCTTCCTTTCGTTTTGCGGCTATCATGTCTCCTATTCCTTCTTTGAATGCAATATTGCAAGTGTTTTTACAACCTGGGCATATAATCCTGTTGGGTAAAGTCAGCTGGGGCCTTAGTAATCAAGAATGTATTTCAAGGAATTGCTGTCTCTGTGATTTTCTTGAAACAGGGAGATTCCAAGACTTGGATCTAAAGACCTATTTATCTCTCAATGATAGCCCTCAATGGGGTTGGATGGGGGGAATATTAATTAAGCTGTCTCTTTTTCCATGTGAGAAGCCAGCACTGTGCAGCATAACTAGACAGTCTCTCTATGAGATGGATTATTTTTTTCTTGTGGGGAGGCATGTTGTGGGGACAGCCCCAAACTTCCCTTTCTAACCTTTGTCTGGAGAGTAATTGGAGTCAGAGCTACTTTTTAGTGTTCCAATCTCTGTCATACCAACTAGTCAGATGGGATTTTTCCCTGGGGAGACTTATTAGTCCTTTGTCCAAAATCTATAATTTCCCAACTCTTCTCTCATCTGCACCTTTCTATCAGACATCTGGCTCCATGTCTTATCTGTGAATGGAGAAACTATGTCTTTGACAGTGTGGTGGAAATTGCCCTTGAAAGGCAGATTTTAGCCTCCACGCTGTCTCCATCTGAAGGAAGACAGCCATTCAATTCCTACATTCTTTTAAGGCATCCATTCTGCATCCAATTGCAATGGCATCTAAAAGAAAGAGGGGTTTTATGTTTGGAAGCCAATCGGACCCATTGTTTAGGAATGAGTACTTTAGTCTGGGCCAAAATACCTGAATATAGGTATTTAGAGCTAGAACATTCCCTCCATTAGGGGGCTTTGCCCAAGTACAACTATTATACAGTTTTTTCCCAGGATCCATATACCTGGGAGACCTGGGATCCATACCAGTCACGCAAGGGAGTTAAAGGGGAAGCACCAGCAGAGAGCTAGGGACTTCAGCAGATAAGCCTGACTATTCCTGCTAACTAGCTCCTCGGGATCCATGAAAAAAAGGTCACACTTGCATTCATGGGCAGCATCTACAAAGGTTACCAGGACCCAGACAACCAAAGAGAGAAGGGGAGAGGGGGGACACCCCTTCTGTCTTTTTCTCCATGCTGGGTCACTCCAAAAGAAAGGAAAGAGACTAAGGAATGCCTTCTCTTTTCTCTTTCTAGATGGGTAAAAAACCATCCTCAGCCTGCACTCCTCTCAAGTACAGCCAGAGACACTGGGATTGCTTTTATCATCAGACCCTGAAGAAAAAGTGGCTCATATTCTTTTGTACAAGAGCGTGGCCTTATTACCAACTGCAGGGCAGACAGGCCTGGCCTCTTGAGGGAAGTGTTAATTTTAATACTATCCAACAATTAGATTTTGTCTGCAGACAGGAGGGCAAATGATTCAAAGTTCCCTATGTACTGGCTTTCTTTGTCCTGCGACACAACCCAAATCTTTGTAAGCATTGCACAATTGATCCAGCTCTTTAAGCAGTCATATCAGGCAGGCACATAGTGGATGATTCCCCAAAATCAGAGAAACTAATTCCTGGAAAACCATCAAAGAAAACTTCTGAGTGCCTCAGCCCCTCAAACCCCCCACCCCTTATCTTGGGCCCCCTCCAGCTATATCATCGGCCATTCCAGCACCATCCACTCCAAAGCCTCCAACTCCCTTGACTTCACTATTATGCCTGCAAGAAATGCCCAGTGGATATGATGCCACTATGGTTCAAGTTCCCTTTTTACTACAAGAACTTAGGCAAATAAAGGGAGACCTGGGAAGGTTCTCTGATGACCCTGATATATAGAGGCTTTCCAAAAGTAACCCAAGTATTTGATCATACATGGAGAGATGTTATGTTCTTCTAATCCAAACCCTGACTGCTGTGGAGAAACAGGTAACCTTACAGGCAGCAGAAAAGTTGGGATAAACAACATGTCTCCTATAGCCAAAGAAAACCTCCTCATCCAAGAAGGGGAACTAAAGAACTTGGAAGAAACTGGAAGGGGGATTAGAGAACAATAACAGGAACAAGAAACTCCATTTCCAACAGGGAGTGAGGCAGTACCCCTTAAGAATACTAATTGGAACCCCAGTGATCCTATACATGAGTGGGAAAGAAAACACTTTCTAATGTGCATACTGGAATGCTTATAAAGGATCAGGGCCAAATCGCTTAACTACTCTAAGCTATCTATGATAGATCAAAAACCAGATGAAAATTCCTTGGCCTTTATGGAAAGTCTGAGGGAAGCTTTACTGAAACAGATCTCTCTATCTCCTGATTCAATTGAGGGGCAGTTAATATTAAAAAACAAGTTTACTAATCAGACAACCCCTGATATCAGAAGGAAGCTATGGAAGCAGGCTATAGGACTGAGTAGCACCTCAGAAAAATCTCCTGAGCATGGCCACCTTGGTCTTTTACAACAGGGACCAGGAAGAGGCCCAGGAAAAAGAGAGGAAGTACAAGAGAGAGACACAGGCACTAGTGCTTGCTTTACAGGCCTATAAACTCCAGGATCCCCAGGGTACGCCTGCAAATTGTTACCAGTGTGGTAAGCCAGGACATTTCAAAAGGGAGTGCCCAGGCAACAAAAAGAAGCCACCTTGACCCTATCTAGCTTGTGGTGGGGACCACTGGAGGTTGGACTGTCCCTGGAGGCATAAATCACCAAGTCCAAGGCCAGTCTCACAGATGGTCCAGCAGGACTGATGGATCCTGGGACTTAGATCTGTTGGGAACAGGTCCCCCAAAATCTGGCCATAAATTGGCCACAAAACTGGCCATAAACAAAAATCTCTGCAGCACTGTGACATGTTCGTGATGGCCATGATGCCCATGCTGGAAGGTTGTGGGTTTACCAGAATGAAGGCAAAGAACACCTGGTCCACCCAGGGTGGAAAACCACTTAAAGGCGTTCTTAAACCACAAACAATAGCATGAGCGATCTGTGCCTTAAGGACATGCTCCTGCTGCAGATTACTAGCCAAACTCATCCCTTTATTTCAGCCCATCCCTTTGTTTCCCATAAGGAATATTTTTAGTTAATCTATAATCTATAGAAACAATGCTTATCACTGGCTTGCTGTTAATAAATACGTGGGTAAATCTCTGTTCAAGGCTCTCAGCTCTAAAGGCTGTGAGACCCCTGATTTCCCACTCCACACCTCTATATTTCTGTGTGTGTGTCTTTAATTCCTCTAGTGCTGCTGGGTTAGGGTCTCCCCAGCCGAGCTGGTCTTGGCAAAGATCCTTGACTCCAGAAGCTCAAACTGCCCTCACTATCCAGGAGCCCTGGGTGATTCTGGAGGTGGAAGGCAAGAAAGTAGACTTCCTTCTGGACACTGGAGCCAGTCTTTTGGTTCTCCTCTCCAATCCAGGCATTCCCTCCTCCCCTAGCATGACTGTGATGGACATCTCAGGGAAGCCCTTAACTTGAAATTTTTCTCAGACCCTCAGCTGTAGTTGGAGGAACCTGCTTTTATCCATGCCTTTTTAATTATGCCTGAAAGTCTCACTCCTTTGCTAGGCAGGGATATTCTAGCCCATATGTGAGCTGCCATCCTAATGGCTTCAGAACAAACTCTTTATCTCCTCTTAGTGGAAACCAATATTAACTTACAGGTATGGGTAATTCAGGGAAAGATTGGCTGAACAATCGCTATACCAGTCCAGATTCACCTTAAGGATTCCACTTCTTTTCCTAAGCAGAAACAATACCCCCTACAGCCAGAAGCTGAAAAAGGACTAGATATCATCATGGATAACTTAAAAGCACAAGGCCTCCTTAGGCCCTGCAACAGCCCCTGCAACATCCAATATTAGGAGTGCAGAAACCCAGTGGGGAATGTAAGCTAGTTCAGGACCTACATCTCATTAATGAGGCTGTGGTTCGAATTAATTGGGTGATTATTAATCTCTATACTCTGCTAACCCAAGTATCTGAGGGATCTAAATGTTTCATGGTTTTAGACCTAAAGAATACCTTCTTCTACATTTAGTTGCACCCTGACTCTCAATACCTGTTTGCCTTCAAAGATCCCTCTGGCCAGACTGCCCAACTAACCTGGACAGTGCTGCCTCAAGGATTCTGAGACAGCCCTCACTTGTTTGGGCAGGCAATTTTGAGAGATCTCTCTTAGTTGTCTCATCCTCACATTAAAATTTTACAATGCTGATGATATTCTCCACTGTACCTCATCTGAGAAGGCTTCTCAGGAAGGCACTGAAGCTCTTCTTAATTTCCTAGCTAAGAGAGGATATAAGGTTTCAAAATTTAAGGCTCAGCTTTGTCAAACCTCAGTGAAGTACCTAGGTTTACTCCTGTCAGAGGGAACTAGAACATTGGGCAAAGAGAAGATTAAGCCCATTACCTCCTTTCCCCTTTCCCAAATCCTCAAACAGCTAAGAATATTTTTGGGTACTACAGGCCTTTGCAGATTGTGGATACCCAGGTATGGTGAAATTGCTCACCCTTTGTATCACCCTATAAAAGACACTCAGGTGCTAAAACTCACTCTCTTAACCTGGGAATCTGAGGCCCAAAAATCCTTTAACTAGCTAAAGCAAGCCTTACTTAAAGCACTGGCCCTTAGTCTTCCCATAGGAAAGGCATTCAATCCTTATGTCTCAGAAGGAAAGAAATAGCCTTGGGAGTTTTAACTCAGGCCCAAGGTCCATCCCAGCAGTCTGTCAGTTACCTAAGTAAGGGGCTTGATTTGGTGGCTAAAGGTGCCACAGTGGCTCTTCTGGTGCCAGAGGCCACCAAGTTAACCATGGAGAATAATTTAACTCTTTATACTCCACATAATACAGCAGGACTGCTATCCTCTAAAGGGAGTCTCTGGCTAACAAACAATCACCTCCTCAAATATCAAACCTTGCTGCTAGAGGATCTGCAGTTCAGTTAAAAATGTGCCCTTGCCTAAACCCTGCACTTTCCTCTCAGAGGAAACCAGAGAACCTGAACATGATTGTGAACAGATAGTAGTACAAACCTATGAAGCCAGGGAGGATCTCAGAGAAACTCCCCTAGAAAATCCAGATTGGACTGTCTTCACAGATGGAAGTTCCTTCACAGAACAAGAAACCCATAAGGCAGGGTATTCAGTAGTCACCCTGAATGTCATTATTGAGAGTGCACATCTCTCACTGGGCATCAGTGCTCAACTAGCTGAGCTAGTTGCTCTCAGAAGGATGCTCAAATAAAGCAAAGGAAAGGCAGTTAACATTTATACTGATTCTAACTATGCTTTCCTGGTTCTCCATGTCCATGCTGATATCTGGAAGGAAAGACACCTCCTCACTGTTAATGGATCTTCCATTAAATTCATCAGGAAATAGGCAGACTTCATCCTCAATTTTCCTTCTGTAGGAAGTGGCAGTAATGCATTGCAGAGTACATGAGAAGGGTGTGGATGACATAACTGAGGGAAATAGACTAGCAGATCAAGCAGCCAAATCAGCAGCAAAAAGACCCAGGAGATCTGACACATTTGAGACCCCTGTAATCTGGGAGGGCTCCATAAGAGAAGTAAGACCTCAGTATTCTTCTGCAGAAATAGAATAAGCCACATCTCAAGGATACACTTTTCAGCCCTCGGGATGGTTACACTCAGAGCACAGTAAAGTCCACTTGCCAGCCTCTAGTCAGTGAAAAGTTCTTAAACTCCTTCACCAAACCTTTCACCTAGGTGGGGATAAGACTTATCAATGCACCCAAAGATTGTTTTGGGGGGAAAACCTACTAAAAATGGTCAGCTTGTTAATGCTTGTGAAACTTGCCTTAAAAATAATCCCCTCAACAGGCAGCTCCTTCCCCACCAAATTCAAAGGATAGGAAGTTATCTGGCAGAAGACTGGAGGATAGACTTCACCCATGTGCCAAAAGTAAGGGGCATTCCATATCTTTTAGTATAGATAGACATCTTGATTAACTGGGTGGAGGCATTTCCATGTCAAATAGAAAAGTCCTCTGAGGTGGTAAGAGTACTAATTAATGAGATAACTTCTTGTTTTGGACTCCTGAAGTACCTCCAAAGTGACATTGGACCCCTCATTTAAGATGTCTGTTACCCAAAAGCACTGGGCATATAATACCATCTACATTGTGCCTCGAGACCACAGTCTTTATGAAAAATAGAAAAAACAAATGATGTCATTAAGAGGTACCTGAGGAAGCTCTCTCAAGAAACTCACCTCCCTTGGGTTACTCTTCGTCCCGTGGCTTTACTACAGGTGAGAAGCACTGCCTCCAAATTGGATTTAAGCCCTTTTGAAATAATGTGTGGTTGGCCTTTTCTTACCAATGATTTTCTATTTGACAAGGAAACTTCTGAATTAGCTAAATATATAACCTCCTTGCCCACTTCCAATAGGAATGAAAACAACCATTGGAAGCTGAACCCCCAAGAAATAGGACTGCCCTTATTTAACCCAGAAGACTTGGTGTTAGTGAAGACTCTTCCCTCTCTTTCCCCTTCTCTAGACCCCGATTTGCAAAGACCTTACACTGTCCTCCTCTCTACTCTCTCAAAGGTTAAGGTTGCAGGTATCAACTCTTGGATTTATCACACTCAAGTCAAAGCCTGGAAAGCAGAGAAAGCAGCCCCTGACATCCCAGAAGAGCATCCCAGGTACCAATGTGAAGAAGTCAGGCACCTTACACTGAAAATTAGAAAAGATAAGTAAATGAGTGAGGACTACCCATCTAACTCAATCCCACCTTTACCCTACCAGATTCTTTCAGTTATTTCCACTTTTCCTTTTGAGATCTGCTGTCAGGTATTGCAGCTTCTTTTTGATGCAAATTTATAGGGGGACTTTGATTATCCATGGGACCAAATTCATAACTCCATAGACCCCCCCAGAGGAAAATCCAATATTTTGACAAATAGAAACTCAGATGGAAATCATTAACTACACCATACTTGCAGGAATTATTTTGCTTACTTTGCTTTTGCAGTAGGGTTACACCCTGTGGCACCTCCTGAGTGGAAAAGCAGACAGACAGTCTCACTTCTGTAATATTTTGCTTAGTTATTATCTTCATTGCAGGGATGGCAGTAACAGATAAGAGGCAAATTTGTTTCTGTCAAGCTTAGTAGCATTCACTGTTAGAGGCAGGAATGCTTTTTAGTCTTTGACCCGAACAGTACCAGCCATTGCTCATCTATACAGCAAGACTAATTGCTGGGTTTTCCCTGAACAATTTGCTCAGTTTAATAACACTGAAACTGGGAGGCTTCTTGATGATCCTTAACTCATAGTCCTGGGGTTCCCTTTGATAGCTTTGCCCTTAACCATCAAGAACTTGTCAGGTATAAATGGAACTTGATATGGGAGCACTTTTAATTCTACCCAGGAACACACATCCCCTGGGGATAAGACACATCCTTAGACTAGGTGAAGTTGATAGAATGATAGCAGATGCCTCCCTCTGCTTTGAAAGCAGAGGAAAAGTGCCATACCCGGGAAATCTCAAATACTGCAACATTACACTTACAATCTCTAAAAGTGAGGAGGTCTGGAGGGTAAAAAAAGGAGAAAGCTAATCTAACACGTGAGATAAAATGTTGAAAAACTTAAAAAACCCATCCACGCCTCCTAACTGTGATTCTAAATTTGAGCGGCAGCCCCTGCGTAACTCCTCTTACCAGTATTACATCAGAATAGCAAATAACACACGGTCCTTTCCAAATATGCCACCTCAGGGAATCCCAGACCCCTGTAAGATATTTGATACTAGTAATAACCTACACACTAGTGGGCGAAAAGGAGATGTCTGGACTGAGAGCGCCTGCATTAAGAATCAACTGAGATACTGGTCAGGACATATTATCTTCCAAAGCTCCATCTGTCAGCAGGATCCTTCCCACCTAGTGTGTAGAGTCCCAAATGGCACCATAAATGACTATACTTTGTATTTTTATCCCTATATCAAAGATGCTCCCATTAGATATAAGGGGAACCTCTTTATGAAGCGGATGCAAAGACTAGCTGCATCTCTTACACATCACAACCTAGAATCCTCCCTTCAAGGGACAGGGCTTTATTTTCTCTGTGGTTCCTGGTTACACCTAATTCTCCCTAGGCATTGGAGGGGAACATGCACTATAGTGGCAGTGGTCCCCGACCTATTATTTTTAAACTCCACTGACATGGCAACATCATCTGATGGAATTCATAATCTGTGCTCCTTTCTAGAAAGTACCCTATCTCAGGTACACTAAACACAGAGGTCTATTACTTCCATAACATGGTATGGAGATCTAACTGAGAGAGAGGACTGGGGAGGACATGCACACAACAATCCTATACTGGAAAAACCAGGAATGGGACATGCTATAGCCAGAGGCCTATTTTGATTTGCTGGTATTTCTCTTTTTGAGAGATCAGTACTTAATATCTCTATTATGATGCAACAAGGGTGGAAGACATCAGTAGGAGCCAAAGAGGCACAACAACAATCCATAAACTCTCTAGCCGCAGTGGTAATGCAAAATAGATGAGCCCTAGATGTTTTTACAGCCAAAGTAGGGGGGCACCTGTGCACTCTTTTTTTTTTTTTTTTTTTTTTTTATGAGAGGAAGTCTTGTTCTGTCTCCCAGGCTGGAGTGCAGTGGCACGACCTTGGCTCACTGCAACCTCCGCCCCCCAGATTCAAGCGATTCCCCTGCCTCAGCTTCCTGAATAGCTGGGACTACAGGCGTGCGCCACCATGGCTGGCTAATTTTTTGTATTTTCAGTAGAGACGGGGTTTCACGATGTTCGCCAGGATGGTCTCAATGTCCTGACCTCGTGATCTGCCCACGTCGGACTCCTAAAGTGCTGGGATTATAGGCGTGAGCCACCATGCCTGGCCGGCACATGTGTACTGTTTTTTTTTTTTTTTTTTTTGAGACGGAGTCTTGCTCTGTCGCCCAGGCTGGAGTGCAGTGGCGCAATCTTAGCTCACTGCAAGCTCCGCCTACCGGGTTCACGCCATTCTCCTGCCTCAGCCTCCCGAGTAACTGGGACTCCAGGCACCTGCCACCACGCCCGGCTAATTTTTTGTATTTTTAGTAGAGACGGGGTTTTACCATGTTAGCCAGGATGGTCTTGATCTCCTGACCTCGTGATCCGCCCGCCTCCGCCTCCCAAAGACCTGTGTACTCTTAAATGAAGCATGTTCCTTTTGGATCAACACCTCTAGCCAATTGGAATAAAACTTACAGGTGCTTAAGAATCAAATTAGAATCATTGACACATTAAGAGAAAGAGCAGGCTTCAGTCCCAGGTAGCTACAATCCCTTCTTGAAAGATTCCAGTCTTCTTTTTAGACCTAGTTAGCTCTCCTTTACTGGGACCTCTTTTTCTTGTATGTCTTGTGTTAAGTTTGGACCCTGTATACTCAATGCTATAACCGGAATTGTTTCCTCTCACCTAGAGGCTATTAAACTCCAAGTAGTGCTGCAAATGGAACCCCACATGGACATGCCATTCTTCCAAGGACCTTTGAACCAGGCCCAGAAGAAACCCTAGCTGGTGTTCTCGACACAACACCCCTCTCCATCAGGAAGTATCTAGAAATACCATTGCCTGACCTTCCTAACAGCAGTTAGGGTCTCTTATCCTGAAGTGGGGGGTAATGAGGGAGAAGAAAAGGAAAAATCAGTTAGGCAGACAACTATGGCTAGTTGGAGAAGCAGCTCTGAAAAATCACAGCTACAGGCAAAAATACAGCAGCCTGAAGAAAACTCAGGCTGCAGCTGTACAGATAAGTAGGCCAGGCAGCCAAGGTCCCGCATAGAAGCCTTTTGTTCTTTTTGTGATTAGTGGGCTCCCAGGCAAAATGTTCCTCCCTTTTTCAGACATGACTATGGCAGGCTTCATAGTAGCTTGCACAGGAAGGGGAGGGGAACTGACCTAAAACAAACCCACAATTATATAAACAAGAAAAGCTATGCTTGTGCTTACCTAGAGACATCCCACAGCTGTAAAGATGGGGAGAGTTGTACAGACAGCTTTTCACATAAGAAAAGTTACTCAAACAGCTACAGAGATGAGAGGAGTTTCTTATAAAAGTTGGCATTCCACTGTAAAATGTCAACTTGTCCAGGATCCCTCTGCTATGGAGAGCTGTCTTCTTTTGCTTATTAAACTTTTGCTCTAACCTCACTCTGGCGTCCGTGTCTATGCTCCTTAATATTCTCGGTCATGAGACCACAAGCTCAGATAACACCCCAGAAAACATGACCAATGACCCTAAACTATTTCAAAAGGAAGGAAGGGAGGGAAGGAAAAAACAACCATTTAACTTATCCAAGGATATATCCAGATTTTGTGGAATCTGACACTTATATAACATTATCTCTCTTTAATAAAAATAATACAAAAATAATGCACTTTTGCAAAAAAACAAAAAAAAAACCCACAAAAACATATGATCATGTGAACAGACTGTGAAGCTCAATTTTCATTAGCTTCAATGTAAATATGCTTCTGTAGAAAACCAAAATAAAATTTTGAAGAAATATTAAGTCTTGAAAATAAAACTAAAGTCCTTTCTAAAGCCATCTATCTTGCATTAACATATAAAGGACACAAATAATGACTCAGATCATAGAGATTATTTCACCATGTGTGGCTCTTTCTACCAAAGACATTAAAGCAATAAAGTCCAAGGTAGAAGTAAAATATCACAGAGAGGAAGGGGAAAGCCTGAAACCAACTTCTTTCTGACAGTGGGATGGGGAGGAAGTATGACCAGGGCAGGGATGAAATAGCAAAGAAATGAAATACCAGATTTCTTGCTGTTGCTACGCTAAAGAAATAATGAGTTTTTAGAAACATCGAGAGGTAAGAGGGAGCCTGAGAACATTAACCGGGGACTGGCAGAGAGTAAGGAAGAATGCAAACAACTGGGTTATCTGGGTGATTAAGGAATGATTGGGCAGAGACAGTGATGAGTCTTCTGATTCTGGATACTGCTGGTTAGCTACAGCTCCTATGTGATGAGCATATAGCAGAGCTGTTTCCCACGCAGCTGAGGGAACCAGAGTTCCAGGGGACTGACCTAGTATCAGAGCCCAAAGGCCACTGAGTAAAGGGAGTGAGACTGACATTTGATATCAGAACTAAATATCAAAAATTCAGAAACATTAGTGGAACATATATATGGTTTACAGACAAAATGTGTTGAATCAAGAATTCTATATACATAGCAAAATATAAGGAGAAATTAATACAACCAAAATTATTGTGAATAATTGTCATTAATCTCTCTCATTATATCAGACTTTATAGATATGTGTATTATACACACATGGAGTCCTGATGAGTAAGCAACTATGAGGAGGGAAGCCCAGGTCAGGGAGGGTCCTAGATTGGGGAGAAAAATGAACAATTGCTCTGAGAGAAGGCTAATTGCAAACAACCTACAGGTACAACCACCTCATTCCATTGGCACAACAACCTGTTCCACACATAACCCCCTCCAGCATGACCCTGTAACATTTCCCACTGGCCCCTGCCTCTGCAGACAGCCCCTTCTCTGCTGTGCTGCCTGTTGCAGCATTGCAACATATCTTCATACTTTCTCTAATAAATCTGCCTTTCCTTACCTACAGCTGTCTTGGCAAATTCCTTTATTGCCCATAACATCAGCCCCAGCTAGTTCCACCCACAACAACACACACAGCACACATATGCACATATGTACATAAGTGTATTTATGTGCATTATAAATCTGTATATAGATATAATTTCTAAGATTAAAATTATATCTATACAATTTAGAGGAATTTATAAAAATATAACAAGCATATTTATAATACAATCTACCATATTTTACATATTATATTTATATATTTACATGTTTATTGTATAATTATTTATAACACATAATTGTTAGTGAAAACATATAACCAATTATCTACTTCCAACTTTTTGCTCTGAAAACAGATGAATATAACACACTCTGTTGACCATAAAATATTTTTAAGTATTATTTCACAGAAAACTCTCCAAAAGGGGTCTTGCTGGCTCCTGATTGTCCAGTCGCTCTTTAATCTATTCTGGTCAATATTTCTTCCCCATCATTTAACTTTTGTTGAAATCACCAACTACCTCATCTTTCCAAATATAATTATCAACCCCCAAATGGCAATCAATTCATACTCACAGCATCATTGTATATAGTTTATTACTTAGCCCCGTTCTGCCTTTCTTTATCTACAGAAAGGCAGACACCACTACAGAATACCTGCAGGCAGTTCTTTTCAAGACCGTGGTTTTAACACTATCCCTGGGCTGATGGCTCATTTGTATCTTTGCCTCAGGCCCTCACCTGAGCTCCAGATGCTTATATTCCATGGTCAAAGCAATTTCTCCACTGGGATATATTTAATAGACAAATTCAAAGTTAGTATCTAAGACAGATTTATTGATTTAT
Organism: Homo sapiens; assembly: GCF_000001405.40. NCBI lineage: Eukaryota > Metazoa > Chordata > Mammalia > Primates > Hominidae > Homo > Homo sapiens. The sequence goes on along the minus strand of NC_000008.11, from coordinate 87,042,189 downwards.
CTGACACCAAAAACTCTGCCTTTGGCCAACCCATCTTCCTCTTAGTAAACAAAAGCACCAAAGAGCACAGGCCGAAAAGTTGAGCAGTAACTTTAACTCTCTTTTGCATAGGCCCCAAATTCAATTTATTAGCAAATCCTCTCCACCCACAAATCAGATGGTAAACCTGACTACTTCTCACCATCTCTAGTGTAGGTTCAAACTTAATAAAGTCACCTTCGTCATCACTCTCCTAGATTACTAGAATATTCTTCTACCTGGTGTCCCTGCTTTCTTTATTCCTGCAGCATGATATCTAGTCCACCCAGTAACAAACACAACACTAACCATACTTAGGTCAGAGCATTCCCTCTCCTGCTCAATACCCATAGATGGTTTTCTTATTTTTTTTGAGACGGAGTCTTGCTCTGTCGCTCGGGCTGGAGTGCAGTGGCATGATCTTGGCTCACTGCAAGCTCCGCCTCCCAGGTTCACGCCATTCTCCTGCCTCAGCCTCCCAAGTAGCTGGGACTACAGGCACCCACCACCATGCCCGGCTAATTTTTTGTATTTTTTAGTAGAGACGGGGTTTCACCGTGTTAGCCAGGATGGTCTCGATCTCCTGACCTCATGATCCGCCTGCCTTGGCTTCCCAAAGTGCTGGGATTACAGGTGTGACCATAGATGGTTTTCAAGTCCAGCTTTCTATGGATTGTCAAATAATCTGCCCCCAATCACCTTTTATCTCTCATCTAAGAACATTTTTCTCCTCCCTCACCATACTTATTTCACACCGACGTGGTTGCTTTTGTGCAAATAACCTAGTTTCTGCCTGAGACTTTTACACTGGCTATTCCCTTAGTTCTGCACCACAACCCCCTACACCCAAATGCTCACATTGCTCAGGGATATCCATAAGTTATCTTTTCAAATGTCACATTCCTAGGCCTTTTCTGAACACCATAGCTAAACATGTCTCCCCTACCCCTCCTGTCATTCCCTAACCGTTTATCTTTCTTTATCTGGCTTCATAGTAGTTCTTACAGCTTCAGGCTATACTATTTTCTATTTACATACCTTTTATTGCTTGGAACCTCACTAAAAATATATTAGGCTGGTGAAAAGTAATTGCAGTTTTTGCTATTACTTTTAAATGGCAAAAACTGCAATTACTACTGCACCAGACTAATATAATCATTTTTCTATATTTAAGTATTTTAAAAACAAGTTTGCAATTACTTTTGTAATCTGAGGCAATAAATTATTTTAACTAGAAAGTGTAATGACATACAACATATAAATTAATAATGGGAGGAATGCTTCCTAATGAAACACTTATTTTATCATATCCTAGTAGAAAATTTAAAAGCTTTATTATATTTATTATTGAATAATAAATATTAAAAATAAATTAAATATTCAACTCAATAATTTTAAAAAACACACAAAATAAACCTAAGAAAATTTCATGTTAAGAATTCATTACAGGCCAGACGCAGTGGCTCACGCCTGTCATCCCAGCACTTTGGGAGGCCAAGGAGGGTGGATCACGAGGTCAGGAGATGGAGACCATCCTGGCTAACACCATGAAACCCCATCTCTACTAAAAATACAAAAAAATTATCCAGGCGTGGTGGCAGGCACCTGTAGTCCCAGCTACATGGGAGGCTGAGGCAGGAGAATGGCATTAACCTGGAAGGCGGAGCTTGTAGTGAGCCAAGATCGCACCACTGCACTCCAGACTGGGCGACAAAGCAAGACTCTGTCTCAAAAAAAAAAAAAAAAAAGAAAAAGAATTCATTACAACAAAGCACAAAGTAAATGCATTTGTAAATACACATGAATTCACCATTGCAAAATTGTAACTGAAAAAATTACAGTCAAAGAAATCTGACCTAACCAACTCCATCTTGCTTTTAATCTCCAAGCTGTCCTTGTCCATTCCTGGGCATAGCCCAAATTAACTATGGGAAGAACTTAGTTTACAGTTTGAAACAAAGACAGTAACAATCTGTCTCAAAAAACCCCCCTTCCTCCTGGGAACTAGACTGTCTTTGTAGAACAAACAAATTACCCACAAGATTAGAGATTATGGTTTAGGAGTCATACAGTTGGAGGCTACAAGATTTTGACCTTCCCCAAATTGCTCCTGGAGATAACATCACTATTTTGGAACCAAAGATCAGTGTTTGAGATATTTTGCAGACCCTGTATTTGATGGATCAGCTGTCACCACCCAGATCAGTAAACTGACTCATCTGGTCTTGTGGCTCCCCACCCAAGAACTGACTCAGTGCAGAAGACAGCATTGACTCCCTATGAAATCATAGGGATTGATATCCATAGGGAGTTATCTCCAACCCAACCAGTCATCTCCAACCCTATGGAGACTCCATCTCCATAGGGAGTCATTTCCAACCCAACCAGTCAGCACTCCAGTTCACTGGCCCCTATCCAACAAATTGTCCTTAAAAATGTCAATCCCCAAATTCTCGAGGAGACTAATTTGAGTAATTACAAAACTCTGGTCTCCAGCACAGCCAGCCCTGCATGAATAACTCATTCTCTATTGCAATTCCCCTATCTCAATAAATTGGCTCTATCTAGGCAGCTGGCAAGGTGAACCTGTTGGGTGGCTACACATACATTTTTTTTAACAAAAGAAACTGGAAGTGAGAAATAAAACCAAAAAGCAGTTTCTTAGAAAGGGACAATAAAATAGATAAACCTCTAGTAAATCCAACCCCCCCAAAAAACCATGGGGAAATAATATATCATCAGAAACAGTAATGACAAAAGGGCTATAATGATAGCTAAGGAAAAGATCAAAACTTTTGAGTACAAACATACTGAATAAATATATGATCCACTGAGTAAATTAGGAAGGCAAATATAGGAAAGGGTAGAAAATATACTTATAAATTCTAAAATGTTTTATACCCATAAAAACCATAGAATATTAAAGTTAGCATATTTAATGTATAATCAACCTCCAATTAAACATAGGTTGAAGAAATGTGTTATGTTCACTCCTCCTGAAATATACTAAAATAAAAGGCAAAGAATTTAAAAAGATATATTAAGCCAAACACACAGAGATAATAGAAGAGACATTAATAGCAGAAAAAAGAGGTCATTACAGTTTTGGAAAATGAAAAGATGATGGATAATAATAATTGAATGCTTCAGCTTTCTGAGTTCTGCTAACAGCCTATAGTGGGAAGGAAGCCTGCAAGAGTAAAAGATTTGCAACTCAAAGGGCCACAGAAGCTTAAGAATCAGAGGCAGCAATGGGTATCACTGAAGGCAATGGTGGAAAGTGGAGTGACCTAGAAACCACCTTTGCAAAAATTACAACAGTGAGAAAATTATGATACTGAAAGAGATCTGATCTAACCAACTCCCATCTTGCCTTTAACCTCCAAATTCTTCTTAATTACTAGAGGGCTTGGGCCAAGCTAACTTTGGAAGACATTTAGTTTATAATTTAAATAATAATAGCCCTTCCTCAAAACTAAACTACCTTTGTAAAGGTAATGAATGGCCAATACATTAGGAAGATGTGAGGAGCCTGAATACAATTACCAGCCACTATTCTGGAGGTTGCAAGATTTGTAACTCCCATAATTACTCCTGCAGATAACATCACTATTGTAGAACCTAAGATTGGCCTCTTGAGCTGTCTTTTGCAGGTTTTTGCATGTCTGGAGAGATGGCTTCACCCAGACCCACCAGTTATCCTGTGGCCCCATCCAGAAGAGGACCATTTTTCCACATCATCATCCCTTTGCTCACCAAAGTATCCTTGAAAAACCCTAGCCTCTGAATTTTTGGAAAAATTGATTTGTGTAATAACTCTGTCTCCTACATGGTGTAGCCAGTCTCGCGTCAATTAAACTCAGTGACTTGGCTTTGTCTGTGCTGGGCAGGAAGAAGCCATCAGGAGGTTATAGCCTGCTGAATAAAAAAGATATTGATTAACTTGAGCCTAAATATTAGTTCTCTAAAGTCCCCCTCCAAACCCACATATCAACATGGCTACCTCCTTTTCAATTGTAGATGACACCAAGATATTTACAATTTGTGGAGGCTCTGGACAGCAGAAGACAAAGTGAGGCATGTTACTGAAGACAGAGATTTAAGTGCAAGTCAAACTGTGAGATCCTCATTCACCTCTCTATCATCAGGCCCCATGAAAACTTGGTGTGAGACTTTGACCCATTCCACCACCAGATGGGAGACTGAAAGTTTATACTAAGCTTTAGAAAATAACATAGACACTGAAATTCCTCAGTAACCAGCTATTTCATCCTATATGAGGCCTGAAAGCACAATTTTGAATGAACATTTTATTGTCTCACTCTTAAATATGAAGACATCATATAGTTTGGAAAAGTTTCCACTGTGAAAGACAGCAACAAAAACACAAACATCAAAACAAAGTTTTTGAAGAATCAGAAATGTTACATAAAGGGTTAGGATACAAAAGTTTTAATTATCAGTAGCCCAAAAAAACCAAAATATTAAATTCTTAAAATAATAAAAGGACACTAATAAATACTTTGATAACAAAAAATTGTTGGAACTTAAAATTTTGGTAGAAGTATAAATTCAGTAGAAGAGTTGGAAGACAAAGCTGAAAAAATTTTCATCTTAAAAAGGAGAACCAAAAAAGGATAAACTGGAAAATATAAGAAAAAATCATATAATCAATTTAGGAGAGCCAATGTTTATTATGAATTCCAGAAGAAGAATGCTAATGCTTAATGAGTTTCTGAAAAATGGAAAGCAAGATGATTATCACTGAAATAATAATTTTTTTATACCCATGGATATGACTTAGACACTGATGAAGACAATCAAATGTTCAGGAAAATGAATGGAAAAAGTTTATATAGAAGTATATCACTGCAAAGCTTCAGAACTCTAGAAAAAAAATCCTAAAAGCTTCCAGAATAAATACCGTTTTTTAAAAAATAGGCACTTTTAAAGAATTGTGAATTACAATGGCATCAAACTCCAGAAAAGCAACCTGGAACCTAAAAAGTAAGGAAACAAAATTCCAAGATAAAATTATTTTGAACTCTAGAATTCTATGACCAGCCAAGCTAATAATTAAATGTGAGAGGTAAAATACATATTTTTATATTCGAGGTCGCAAAAAATTTACAAATTCCTAGAAGTTTACAGAGAAATCCTGCCTTCAGTATTAAGAAGTAAATGAAGCGAGAAGAAGAGACATCATTTGCCAAAAAGGTTTGTCTTCACAAGTAAAATTGGAAGGGACTTCACAGGATGAAGGCAAAGAAAATCTTAGGATGACAGCTGTGTAACAGGCCTAGAGAACATCTAGTGTAGAATAAAGCAAGAGGGCAGAGGCCTCCAGGTGGCTTCTAGGGAAAAAAATGATATGTTATCTGATATATTGGACTTTATTATTAGAGTTTTACTTTTATTTGAACAATTGAAAGACAAATCAATGACAGATATAGAAACAAGTGAATAAATGAAAAGTACTTATTATCTCCAGGAAAAACAAAAATTGTATGAGAAAGGAAATGTAAAACTATACGGAACACCTGTGACCAATCTTTTTTTTTTTTTTTTTTTTTTTTTAGAGATGCAGTCTCGCTCTGTCGCCCAGGCTGGAGTGCAGTGGCACAATCTCTGCTCACTGCAAGCTCCGCCTCCTGGGTTCAAGCCATTCTCCTGCCTCAGCTTCCCAAGCAGCTGGGACTACAGGCGCCCACCACCACGCCTGGCTAATTTTTTGTATTTTCAGTAGAGATGGGGTTTCACCATGTCAGCCAGGATGGTCTCGATCTCCTGACCTCGTGATCCGCCCGCCTCGGCCTCCCAAAGTGCTGGGATTACAGGCGTGAGCCACCGTGCCTGGCCGTGACCAATCTTTACTCTGTAAAAATAATAGTGAACAATAAATAGAGATTTAATTTTTTAAAATACGAGGAAGAAACATAAATGGTGAGGAGAAGGATCAAGACTTGGAATTTAATGGATGTAAGAGATCCCAATCCTACATTTTCATAACATGTTAATAGAAAATGTCTAGAATTGCAAAATCAAGAAATAAAAATGGAAAATCACTCCCTATCCTCTAATCTCTATCTCCCCTTCTCCACAGCAATGGGCTATGGAGGTGCAAGGCTGCGTTTCCCTACTTCTCTTGCTCCTAGGTGTTTACAGTCACATGACTGAGTTCTGGCCTGTAGATATGTCAGGTATTAGTTTCCCAGCATCTTCCTTAAAAGGCAGCCAGGGAATTCTTCATCTCATTCTTCTTTCTGCTAGCTGGAATGTAACATCTGGAGCTGAAGCAGCCACTTGGTCTATAAGGTAACATTAGCAATACAGGACATGTTCTACTGAGCCACAAGATAGAAACATCCATGGAGAACTCCATGGAGCCGGGCTGCCATACATTGCCTGGACTATCCACCCTCCAGACATTTATATGACAGAGAAGCAAAGTTCTGTTTTATATAAGCCACTGCCATTTGTGATCTGTATTAAAGCCAAACCTCATCATAACTGCCACAAACACATTCAAGTATTTTATTTAGAAACACAGAATAAAAAGAAGACAGCATTAATAGAGTTGGCATCTGAGAAATTGCCCTTGTGAATAAGGTCAAAAGATTGTATCTGCTTTGAACCTTGTACTACCGTTTTACATTTTAAGCTATGCACATGTATACTTTAATAAAAATTGAAGTATATGTAATAAAGTTTAAGAAAGTTTGTTATTTAAACTATTCTAAAGCATTGCAATGATTAAAATCTTCCTAATTTATTTCATGAGGCTAACATCACTGGGGACTCCAAAAATATCCAATCTAATGTTGAACATTGTATCCAATGAGAAAGGAAATGTAAGACTATCCAACTGAACACTGTATCCAATATTCAATATTTGGGTTACAGTTATACTAGAAGCCCAATCCCCATTATTACACAATATACACATGTAACAAACATGCATGTGCACCCCCTGCATTTAAAATAAAAACATAAAATAATTCATTTAATTAAGGAAATAAAGATGGCATAAACTTTGAAAAAACTAGTCTGGTTTCAAACATATCTTGCCAAAAGACAATAAAATAATATTTATAAAAAAGGAACATTTGGTTAAAAATTATGACAACTCCCCTTCCAAATCCTATTCCAGTCAAGTTGTTCAAATGTAAACATACAGCAAAAAATGTCAAAAAAACTAAAAAATCCGCATAAATTCCAGAAAAAAAATTATCCAGAGATGTACATTGACCATCTAAGAACTTAAATTGTACATATCTGAATTACAAGGTCGCATCCAAATCTATATATATGTATATAGTTGATCCTTGAACAACATGAATTTGAACTGTACAGGTCCACTTGTACATGAGTTTTAAAAAACAAATATACTAAATTTGTCTGGAGATTTGTGATAAATCAAAAAGCAGATGAACTATGTAGCCTAGGAACATAAAAAAATTTAAGAAAGTTTAAGTATGTCATGCATGCAAATAATATATGTAGATATTATATACGAGTCTATGTTATCATTTACTACCACAAAATATACACAAATTATAAAATGTTAAAATTTACCAAAACTTACACACATGAACAGATCATACCTACATGGCACCATCACAGTTAATAGACATGTAAATAAATACAAAGATTCAGTATTAAATTTTAACTGTATAAAATTAACTGTAGTACATACCATGCTACTGTAATAATTGTGTAGCTGCCTCCTGTTGCTGTTGAGATGAGCTCAAGAGTTGCCAGTATTAGCTTAAAACACCAGGTGATTCTAACCATTGCCTCATGAGCAGTTCTCTCCAGTAGGCTGCTTTATCACAGTAAAAAGTGGTCTGTCATAGTTCTTGCACATTTTTCATGTTTAGTGCAATACCATAAACCTTGAATGATATTATGATACCTTGGGAGCACTCCCAAGAAGCAGAGAAAAGTCAAATTATTACAATTAAAAGTTGAGTTGCTCAATATGTAATCATAAAATGAGGTCTGTAGCTGCAGTTGCCTGACATTTCAAGATAAATGAATACAGCATAAGGATCATTGTAAATAAATGGAAAAAAGAAAATTACTGAAGCTCTCACTGCAGCCACACTAGCAACATGAAAACCTTGCTCTTTTTATGAAATACCTTTTTATATCATATTAAAAACACAGCTTTTTTTTGTGGATGCAGGACAGCCATAAGAAAAGCATACCTATAAGCTCTAATATGATTCAAGAAAAAGCTAAGTCATTATGTGACAACCTAAAGCAAAAGAAAGGTGAAAGAAAAAAACTAATAAATATAATGCCAGCAAAGGATGGTTTGATATTTTAGAAAGAGGTTTGGCTTAAAAAACGTCAAGTTAACAGGAGAAGCAGCTTCTGTTGACCAAGAGACAACAGACAAATTCCAGAAGCCATTAAGAAAAGCATTGAGGAGAAATGATATATGTACCTGAAAAAGGTTTTAAGACAAAAGTGCCCTATGCTGGAAGAAAATGTCAGAAAGTATATTTATTAGTAAGGAAGATAAATGAGCACCACGATTTAAGACAGGAAGGGGCAGGCTAACTCTACAGTTTTGTGCAATTCATTTGGGTTTATAATCAGTACTGCCTTTATCTATAAAGCTGCTAATCTCTGATCCCTGAGGGGAAAAGATAAACATCAGCTACCAGTCCTGGTTGTACAAAAAGAAGGCCTGGACAACAAGAACACTTTTTCTGGACTGATTTCATCAATACCTTGTCCCCGAAGTCAAGAATTACCTTGTCAGTAAGAAATTGCCTTTTAAAGCTCTATTGTTATTGAACAATGACCTTGGTGACCCAGAACTTCATGAGTTCTACACCAAAGGCACTGAAGTGGTCTACTTGCCCCCAAACACAATGTCTCTAATTCAACCTTTAGATCAAGGGGCTCATCAGGACGTTTAAGGCTTATTACACATGGTACTCTGCGTAAGAAATTGTCAATACTGTGGAAGAAAACCCTGATATAAAGAATGTTGGAAAGTCTGGGAAAATTACACTACTGAAGATGCCATCATTGTTATTTAAAAAGCTGTAAAGGTCATCAAGCCTGAAACAATAAATTCCTGCTGGAAAAACATGTGTACAGATGTTGTGTATGACTTCACAGGGTTTATGATAGAGTCAATCAAGGAAACTGTGAAAGAGATTGTCGATACAGCAAAGAGGGAGTGGGATGAAGGGTTTCAAGATATGAATCTTGACGAAAATCAAGAGCTAGTAGACACCACACCAGAAGAATTAACAGAAGATGGGAGGATAAGTGCTTCCAAATCAGTGACAATGAGGAAGATGTAAAAGAAGCAGTGCCAGAAAACAAATTAACATCAGACAATCTGGCAGAAGGAGTCTGATTTACTCAAGACTGATTTTTACTCTTTTATGACATTGATCTTTCTACAATATGGGCAATGAAACTAAAGCAAATGGTGGAAGAATGATTGGTAACATATAGAAACATTTTTGGAGAAAAAAGGAAGACAAAAATTACAATGTATTTCTGTGAAGTTACAGAGTATCCCTGTCTCTTCTGCCTCCCCTTCCACATCCTCCACCTTTTCTGCCTGTGCCACCCCTGAGACAGCAAAAGTAACTCCTCCTCTTTCTCCTGCTCCTCAGCCCATTCAGTGGGAAAACAGTAAGAATGAAGACTTTTATGATGATTCACTTCCACTTAATAGTAAATATATTTTTTCTTTCCTATGATCTTCTTAATAGCGTTTTCTTTTCTCTAGCTTACTTTAGTGTAAGAATATAGAATATAACACATGTAACATAAAAATATGTTTGTTGACTGTTTATATAATTAGTAAGGCTTCCGATCAACAATAGGCTCTTAGTAATTAAGTTTGAGGGGAGTCAAAAGTTCTATGCAGATTTTCAACTGCACAGGTGGTCAACGCCCCTACCCCCCACATTGTTCAAGGGTGAATTGCATATAATTTTGGATTCCAATAAAATTTTAAAAAACTGACTAGATTAGGCAAGATCCATACCATTAAATGTATGCAGCCATTAAGAACCTTCTTTCAAAGAGAAAGATGTTGTCTTCAAACAAAGTTGAAACAAAATTTTGTTTAGAGATATATAAAGGAAGGGTTAGGCTGGGCACTGTGGCTCATGCCTGTAATTCCCAGCAGTTTGGGAGGCTGAGGGGGGAGGATCACCTGACTTCAGAAGTTCAAGACCAGCCTGGCCAACATGATGAAACCCTGTCTCTACCAAAAATACAAAAATTAGCTGGGTGTGGTGGTGCATGCCTGTAATCCCAGCTACTCAGGAGGCTGAGGCTAGAGAATGGCTTGAACCTGGGGGGTGGAGTTTATGGTGAACCAAGATGGCACCACTGAACTCCAGCCTGGGTGATAGAGCGAGACTCCATCTCAAAAATAAATAAATGATAAGAACGTAAAGGAAGGGTTTAGTGACTAATTGGATGTCAATACTAATGGAGGAATGAGATTTAAGAGTGTATTAACTTTTCTGTCTGGGGCCAACGAACAGGAATATTGTCATTCACTGAGACAGATAACCCCAGAAAAGGAACAGATTTAATTGCAGAATACAGATGCTAAATTTAAAGCAATGGGAATGGATGAGATCATCCTGGAGTATGAGTAGCTCCTAAATTATAATTCTGAAAAAATAGTGGAAAATGCTTGCATAGGCTTCTCTCAATTCTAGCCACTAATCAAAATGAGCCCTACTGATAAGGAGGCATGATAAACAGGCTGAAGTGTAGCAACAACTCCACTGATCTCTCTGAACCTCAGTTTGATGCTTTACTTGCCTTACTATGAAAGCAATGTTGCACACACGAGTTATGTGCAACATTTCCATGATGTGGTGTACTCCAAGGCAATAATTAAGTGCTTTTTGCAAAAATGTTACTTGTGTTTAAGACACACTGCCTTCACCATTTTTCCATCCTTAATTCACTGAGAAAGACACTTCAGACTGACTATAGAAATGCCATTTCTAACCCCCTATTCCCTTGCCATTTTTAATTATATATCGATGCTGAAAAGTCGTGTTTAATTTTTTTAACTTCTTTAATCTGGGAGCATCTATAAAACCCAACTGTGAAACATAATCAGAAATCTGCTTGGTGAAGAGGGCTTCTGGAAGAATTTTTTTTCCAGATTACAAAAAAAGGAGAAAGAAAGAAGGAGAAAGAAGGGGGGAGAGGAAGAGGGGGAGGAGGGGGAAGGGGGGCAGGAGGAGGGGGGGAGGAGGAGGTGGGGAGGAGAGGGGAGGGGAAGGAGGAGAGGGGAGGAGAGGGAGGAGAGGGAGGAGAGGGGAGGGGGGAGAAGGGGAGGAGGAGACATGGCTGTCATCACCCTTTCCCTTTCTGCCTTGAACACAGATGTTATGGCTGGAGCTGTGTGTCCCTCCATCTTATCCTGAGTTCTAGCTGAATCACTGCACATCCTGCTTCAGATAATGAAGCAAACATGTCAATTTTTACTAAGAACAGTAATGATACAGTGCATCCCTGAATAAATCCTGAAGATCATTAAAATACACTGTCTATTTTTAATTTAAAAAAATTTTAGAAGATATAAAGTGTCAGGCAGATTAGGAAGAGAAGATTAAAAAAAGAGCAAAAGGATATGTAGCATGGAGATAAAGGAGTGAAAAGGAGCAAGTGATTTCTAAATACTTGGACAGAATGTCTTGAATTTTATGATTTTTTCTAATCTTTCACTATCTTTCAAAAAGTAGGAAAAATCTATAAAGATAAACCAAAGTTCCTGAGTAGTTCATAAGAATTCCAAGAGTATCTTCTGTTTTAATGCTTATTTCTCCATTCCCTTAGCAATACCATTACATCATAATTTGAGAAAATGTAAATATTCTTACAGCTGTCAAAGTGTTTATGTTTTTAAATGGGTATTTTATATCTCATTCAACTGCAAAGCATTGTGAGACAGTTTCCATGGTGACTCCTATTAAATCTAGCAGCCATAAAAGTTACCAAGCTGCTTTAAAAAAAAGTTAGTGCCATCAAGCATTTTAAAATAACATTTTTGAAATGTTTATCTTTACTAATCATTTCTGTTGTGTGATTACAATAATTTTGAAAACTGAGCAGATGTGTTAAATTCAATGAACAGAGTACAGAATTCACTTTTAAAAAGCATATCTAAATTTATTTCATTTTTACTTTCAATTGACTATATTTGTGACTTCATTACTATATAAAATGCTGAACACACGTATATGTGCCTGTCATAGGCACCTATATGTGCCTTTGCATTTTAGGAAATGTACCCTCAAAATAAAAATACATATTAAAAGCAAAACCTCAGAAGCTTATAAATATTGACAATCACACCAAAAATCTAATTAACAAATAAAGATGTAAAATAATAACATAATTATTTTCCATAAATATCTTTTCTCCCAGTGATCCATTTTTTTTCCTCAAATATTATTTAAGACTTTTAACAAAATAGTGTGAGGCCCTTTCTCACTCCTCCTCTCGTCTCTCATAAAAGGCAATCACTTTTTACTGCTTTATCTGCTTTGGTTTCTGGCATTACCAGATTTCTAAATTATATACATAATTTATTATCTTGCAATTTATCAATTTTAGATTTTATTACCTTTCTATGAGAGCACATGAGGGATTTTGTCTTCTCTACACTGCTTTACCTCCCCATTTCCCAATGTGTCTATGTGACATAACTACACAAAATGATAACCACCCAAAAATTGGAATAAGTTTGGTTGACTCTATATTCAGTATTTAAATTAGTAAGCCTTTGAAAATATTACTTACAACTAAGTGCTGAAAATTACCATGACTGTGATTCCTTTGTTGTTTACTTGTTTGCTTGTTTGGCTTCTCCTACATAATACTGCACTATGCTCCACTTTTCACGTATATTGGTCTGAAAGAATACTTTTAATTGGAACACACACAGATTTCAAATGGAGAGTAAAAATGAGGGAGATTGAGGAATTGGAGTAGAAACACATTATCATGGAAACAATTTAGGGACAAATAATTCCTTTTTTCTCCCAAATCACCTTCTATTGAAGACTAAATGTTTTGCTAATGTAGTAAGTTAGAATAAATATAAGTTTAAATAATGCTAAAAGCATTCTTTTTAAATGTGTCAATCCAAAGCAAAGAGATATCACCTCACACTTGTTAGGATGGCTAATATCAAAGTCAAAATGTAACAAGTGTTAGAAAGGATGTAGAGAAAAGGGAAGCCTTGTACACCTTGTTGCAGAGAAAATAAATTGGTGAAACCAAGTCAATGGTTTTTGTATATAAACAGTTTTTGTAGATGAACAGAAATTGACCCTGCTGGTCTTAAAGCTTGAAACTTACATTTGTTTTATCTGAGTTCCTTCCTTAGGAAACAACACTTAGGCTTCTCAAAAAAGGTACCAAATAATTGAAAATCATCAGATCACCACATCCAGACAATGAGACATCAGGCCCCCTGCATTTATCATAATTGCTTTCTTACCCCTCCTTAGTTCCTGTTTTCTTACACATTGTTACATTTCTTACCTGCTATATAAACCCCTAGTTTTAATCAGTCAGGGAGATGGATTTGAGACTGTTCTCCTTTCTTCTCAGCTGCATCACCTGATTAAAGCCTTCCTCCTTGGCAATACTTATTGTCTCAGTGATTGGCCTTCTGTGCAGTGAGCAGCAGGACCTAGATTGAACTCCTGGTGTTCTGGTAATAGATTTTCATTCCCTGACTTGAAAAGCATTGCTCATGGTTCAGCTGCCAAGGACTGGGAGTCTTAGAAGATCTCCTAAATAGCTGCTTGCCCAATTTTGGCTGGAAGCAAGTTTCTGTCTCTCTCCGGCCCCATTGCATCTGGCCCCAACCACATTCCTGATTGCCTCAGAAGAGCTGCCTTTGAAAATTGGCACCTGCATCTGGATAGGTGTGTGTGTCCTTTGTGGGCCCAGGTAGCAGGATCTGCTCTCAATTTCTCAAATTTTTAAAGGAATTTCCATTTGCAAGTTGAACAAGCCTAACTGACTGAGAGAGGAATGCACCCTGGCTGTTTCAGTATGGATACACTTGGGGACATGCTTGTAATTGTGTGTTGTGTGTTGTGTGTGTGTGTGTGTCCAGGGAAGTGAATGTCTTTTGTGGGTACCAGACACTGGGATGGGCTCCTCTCAATTGAGAAATTCGTAAGGAATTTTTGTTTGCAGCTGATCAGGCCCAACTGAGAGAGAGAGGAAGCATACCGACTGTTTCCGTTTGGACACACTTGGAGCTTGTTTGTTGCTGCAGCAGTTGGATTGTGTTTTGATGACTTTATGTTTGATACAGTAATGGGAAATTAGAATTTGGTAAACTGATGTTCTTTGTGATACTGTTTGGCCCCAATATTCTTTGGAATCTGGAGATTGCTGTTGAATGAGAAAGTGGGACGGAGTCCCGTGTATTTAGGCTTTTATGTTGCTATACTAAAAAGGGTTGGGCCTCCTGTTTAATAGATTCCAGGTGATGTTCTTCTGTGGTACTTTTTGGACCCAGTGGTCTTTGGAGTCTGAAGAGGTTTGGCCTTTAAAAATCAAACTGCCAGGCCAGGCACGGTGGCTCATGCCTATAATCCCAGCACTTTGGGAGGCCGAGGCGGACAGCTCACGAGGTCAATAGATCAAGACCATCCTGGTCAACATGGTGAAACCCCATCTCTACTAAAAATATAAAAATTAGCTGGGCATGGTGGTGCAGGCCTGTAGTTCCAGCTACTCAGGAGGCTGAGGCAGGAAAATCACTTGAACCCAGGAGACGGTGGTTGCAGTGAGCCGAGATCACGCCACTGCACTCCAGCCTGGCAACAGAGCAAGATTCCATCTCAAAATAAATAAATAAATAAAAATAAAAATAAAACTGCCATGGGAGCTGTTTTACCCAAAATGTTGGTTCACAGTCTTCATTGCATTACCTATTGAGCAAACAAAAGTAGCCTCTAAACTGGTGAGTTTGTATTACTATCAGAAGTATTTATGTACGTACATTTATTATGTTATATATTGCGTTTACCAAATTGGCTTATTAAAAAAAAAGCACTCATAAGTTAAGCCCAAAGTATTTTTCAAGTTCACATGACTTAAGGAAATTTTTAACAAACAAGGTGGCTTTAAAATTATTGATACAATAAAAATAGAAACTTCTTCAGAACTGTCAGCATACATTTTTGTCCGGGTGTTATGTTTGTCTTTGCTGGATATTTTGAGGTGTCAAGGTTTGGCATAGAAACCCAGCCAAAATGAAATGATCTTGGTTTGTGTGTCTTCTCTGACAAATGAGACTAATTTAATGTTGTTTGCTGAACTTCCTGAGTTATTGGGAAAAATACCTACGTATAATTCAAATTATCAGCTTGAAAAGGTTATTTATGAAACAAGGTAGTAAGGAACTAGTAAGTACGGGAAAGAGATTTGAAGGAAGTTATGAAAACAAAGATGTATTTTTGATAAGGAAGGTTATAAAGAAAAGAAAATTTTTTTAGAGAAAGGATCTTGTTTGGTGAATTTTTGTTCTAATATAAAATGACTAGTTATTTTTTAAAAAGAGAAGAGAAAATCATAAAATATTCCCATATTTTATTTTGAAATATAAACCAATAATCTGAAGATTAGGCAGAATTTAGAATAGATTTTGCTTACCTACTTTTTTTAAGAATAGAAATATCACATTTTTCCCTCAAAGTAACTTTTAATAAGCAGGGGTTCTTTGTATTCTTAGCAATAGGAAAGAAAGGGAAGAAGGGAGGGAGGGAGAGAGGGAGGGAGGGAGAAGGGAAGGAAGCAAGAAGGGAAGGAAGAAAGGAGCAGGGAGGAAAAGGGGAGAAACGGAGAGAAAAGAAAAGAAAAACTCTTCAGTCACAACCATTTTAGCTCTACTGATTATAAGGTAGCTATCAGTATAAAGACAGAATTTGGTCCTCCCATTAATACAGTATAGGTAGATCTCTTTGATTTGTATGCTATTGAAAAGAACCTTTTAAAAAGAATGCTTCTGTGGCATTTATTTCTTCTAATTCAAAAAATAAGCAAAACATTTGACCTTAAATAGAAGGTGATTTGGAAGAAAAAAGTTAACATCCCATAAACCTATTTTAAAACATAATGGCATTCCTCTTAGAGAATTTAGAAAATGTTTCCTGTAGAAGAAAACATATCAGTTATAACATGAGCTCACAGAGTTGAACTATTTCCCTTTCCTCCATCCTCATCAATTCATCCTGTGTCCTGAATTGGTTCCTTCCGGTGGGTTCTTGGTCTCGCTGACTTCAAGAATGAAGCCGCAGACAGTCGTGGTGAGTATTACAGTTCTTAAAGATGGTGTGTCCGGAGTTTCTTCCTTCCGGTGGGTTCGTGGTCTCACCGACCTCAGGAGTGAAGCCGCAGATCTTCTTCACAGTGAGTGTTACAGCTCTTAAAGGTTGCCTGTCCGGAGTTGTCTGTTCCACCCACTGGGTTCGTTGTCTTGCTGACTTCAGGAGTAAAGCCACAGACCTTCACAGTGAGTGTTACAGCTCTTACAGGTGGCATATCCAGACTTGTTTGTTCCACCTGGTGGGTTCGCGGTCTCGCTGATTTCAAGAGTAAAGCTGCAGATCTTCACAGTGAGTGTTACAGCTCTTAAAGGTTACCTGTCCGGAGTTGTTTGTTCCACTCACTGGGTTTGTTGTCTTCCTGACTTCAGGAGTAAAGCCACAGACCTTCGCAGAGAGTGTTATAGCTCACAAAGGTTGTGTGGACCCAAAGAGTGAGCAGCAGCAAGATTTATTGTGAAAAGCAAAAGAACAACCCTTCCACAGAGTGGAAGGGGACCCAGGTTGCCCCAGCTGGCTGGGGTGGCCAGCTTTTATTCCCTTATTTGGCCCCACCCACATCCTGGGGATTGGTCCATTTTACAGAGCGCTGATTGGTCCATTTTACAGAGTGCTGATTGGTCCATTTTACGGAGTGCTGATTGGTGCGTTTACAATCCTTTAGACACAGAGCGCTGATTGGTGCATTTACAATCCTTTAGCTAGACACAAAAGTTCTCCAAGTCCCCACCCTACCCAGACGCCCAGCTGGCTTCACCTCTCAATCCTCCTTATTCTGAATTTCATTCATCTCACCCAACAATTTGGCCTAATATACACAGAAAGATGTTAGCCTCTTTGTCTGATTCTTAGTCAGTTTCTATGCACTCAGGAAAGTTATTTTTAAATGCTTTAACTTGAGCATTTAATTAATAAAATTTTATTCTCAAAAAACAGTTTCTTGGGATTATTGTTATTTGTACAGTCTTAGGTAGTAAAGCACCAATCAAAAACCATGGCAACTGATGCAGAATCAGCAAAGTTACAAAATTATCTCGTTATCTAGGAGAAGAAGTCTTTAAAACAACACAGAAAATAAATGAAGTTGAAAGTATCAAAATGTCTTATTACTTCTACAAAAACCAAAAATAATCAATTACTTTTTTTTACTCTAAAAAGTTATTCCTGGCTGGGTGTGGTGGCTCATGCCTATAATCCCAGCAGTTTGGGAGGCCGAGGTGGGTGGATCATTTGAGGTCAGGAGTTTGAGACCAGCCTGGCCAATATGGTGAAACCCAGTCTCTACCAAAAATATAAAAAATTAGCCAGGCATGGTGGCACACATCTGTAATCCCAGCTACTTGGGAGGCTGAGGCATGAGAATTGGCTTCAACCTGGGAGGCAAAGGTTGCAGTGAGCCAAGATCATGCCACTGCACTCCAGCCTGGGAGACACAGTGAGACTCCCTCTCAAAAGATAAATAAAATAAATTATAAAAATAAATAAAATAAAATAAATTTTAAAAATCCCTATATTTTGTAAACTCTAATGATTCCTGGATAGCTTTTTTTTTTTTTTTTCTTTTTTTTTGAGATGGAGTCTCGCTCTGTCACCCAGGCTGGAGTGCAGTGGTGTGATCTCGGCTCACTGCAAGCACTGCCTCCTGGGTTCACACCATTCTCCTGCCTCAGCCTCCCAAGTATCTGAGATTACAGGTGCCTGCCACCAGGTCAGGCTAATTTTTTTTTAATTTTTAGTAGAGACGGGGTTTCACCGTGTTAGCCAGGATGGTCTTGATCTCCAGACCTCGTGATCCACCCGCCTCGGCCTCCCAAAGTTCTGGGATTACAGGCATGAGCCACCACGCCTGGCCGGCTAGGTCTCTTTCAATACGAAATGAGTCAGAGGTATTCTAGTCTTTAACACAAATAAAATGTATAATTTGAAGCTAAACTGCATTTATAATACTGTTTTAATAAACAATCAAACCATGTAACTCAAATAACACTTTCTAAGAAGTCAGAACAAACTTTTAAAATGATAAAGCCAAGGTTTTCTGGCAAGCCAAGACATCCAGCCACACTAACAAAGCAGGTTCACTCATTAAGATAGTGGTTAGGGATTCTAACTCAGTGTGATTAAGCCTGATGGGTATCCAGGAACACAAGGAAGAGCTGGTTAAAATGATAATTTGATACTTGAATTAAAATTTGACTTAAAGAAATATATGACATAATTATACATTTGGAAAAATTAGTAGTATTAAGGGTCTCTACAGATAAGGAAATAATGCAAAAAGTCAAAATGTAAAATACTATTTGGATGTGGTCTCTACAGATAAGGAAATAATGCAAAAAGTCAAAATGTAAAATACTATTTGGATGTGATACATTTTTCAGATTCCAAAAGCCTCACCGAGGTAAATAAAATAAAAATAGAGGTTTTAAATTATCTAATTACACTAGATTATTATTTTACATATTTCAAATTTAAAGGTATATTTTAATGGAATATTCTATGTTTATTCTTAACTTGTTAACTGTGTTCCATCTTATGGATTCATCAAGTCTGCTTTAGGAGCCCCTCATCAGCAATGTGTGTGTATTTTTCATCTGTTACCTTCAGCAAAATCACTCATGCAAAATAGATTCAATGAAGTCATGAACATTAGTATAAATTCTGTCAAAAAGAAGGAGCATATGAGGAAAGACCAGTAACTTTCATTTCAAAGGAACTGAATTCAAGCTACCTCCCTAGTTAGGAGCTGGACACTGAGAACAATTAGTCTCATTTCCTTTTATATAATGATGATAATAATATCCACTTAAAATAGTTACAGTAAGGTTTAAATACTATGATAGTTGAAAGCACCTGGGTTCATGATAGTGTTCTCTTCCTAAACTGCCTCCTTTCTTACCTCCATTCTTTCAAATTTGGAATGCAAATTTTGTGACTTCAAGCAAGCAAGTTCAAGTTGTCTTTAAATTTCAAACTGTCTCCATCTAATAAAATATTAAAATGCTTCCAGCAACCATTATCAGTTGATATTTGAGAATCAACTTGCAATTAGACTCACTTTTTCTGAAGTTTATTTGACAATCTACAGAATTCTAACAAAGATGATTTCATTACCATGGTTTCAGTAATAGTGGTTACAGAAAAGCTAAAGTATAAATGTGTACGCAATTGGAAATTTGTAGATTTAATAAATTTAAGGGCAGAGTAAACAAAATGTAATCAAGGTCATCTGAAGTGTCAAGCACACACTTGAAAGCATAAAGCTTCCAGTATTTTCATTTCTTTATGGTAGGCTACCCCATTTTGAAGCAATCTCCTATTTCTCTTTTCACCAACAGAAAAATATAACCTTCCCATTTCACAGTTCTCCACAGTAAATTGTATTACAGATGACTGCTAAATATTTCATGTGGAGTCCTGATAACTTAACAACAAAGAGGGGCCCCAGGGAGGGGAGAACAATTGTTTGGAGACAGCTAACCACAAAAAACCCAGTGGCACAATATCCTGTTCCCAAATGCCTCACTCCATGCAAGTAGTCCTAGCACCATGACCCTGTAAAACTTTCCTCCAGCCCCTGCCTCTTTGCAGACATTCCCTTCTCCGCTGTGTTGCCCGTTGCTTCCTTGCAAAGTACTTTCTCTCTAATAAACTTGCTTTATTTAACTCACTGCTGTTTCAGTAAATTCTTTTACTACCCGTGATGCAGGCCTCTATTCATCTCCACCCAAGACATTCCATGAGATGCATTTTATGCTTAATCTGTAAGTTCAAACATGGGTATGCTATTTACATGCACAAATTCCTCGCCTATCTGTTACTGTCATTTCTGATATAAATAAATTATTTTTCATAAAAATACTTATCTATTAAAAATGTATATTTGTGTGTTTTATCTCTCACATAGATCTACATTCACCTTTGAATAAGCACAAATCTGGTAAATACTAGACACTCATAATGCCTACTAATTTGAGTAACTGCATTTATGTGTATTTTCTTTACATTTTTATTCATATTATTTTTATCTTTAGATCAGAGTTCCTCAACCCTGACATAACTGACATTTTGGGCAGGATAAAGCTTTGTTGTAATGGGCTCCCCTGTGCACTTTGAAGTATAAAACAGCATCTGGCCTCTACCCTACAAGTGTCAATGGGAACTTCTCCTTTGTGCAAACAAGAAAAAGTGTCTCCAGGTATTGTGAAATGTGCCTTGGAGGCACTTAGTCCATAGCTGAGAACTACTGGTATAAATCAATGAATCCAAATTTTAACCTTTGATAAGCAAATGTAGCCAACAGAATACTAAAAAACTAAAATGTATGTCAGTAGTTCAAATTAGTTCAAATTTGGAAGAAAGATTGCTCCCAAATAGCATCTTATTATTCATACACATTTCTTGTATCTATATGGTATGAACAATGCACTGAAATATAATAGGATAATAGAATTGCTACAAAAGTATTCCCAGACAATGAGAAAATTTACTGAACAAACATTTATACAAGTACTTGGTCAGAATAAAAAAAAAATATTTAACATTATTGATGAAAAGAGTGAAACTCTAAAATATTTGAAGAGATTTATTCTGAACCAAATATGAGTGACCATGGCCCATGACATAGCCGTCAGGAGGTCTTGAGAACACGTGCCCAAGGTGATTGGGTTACAGCTTGGTTTATGTATTTTAGGATGCATGAGACATTAATCAAATACATTTAAGAAATACACTGGTTTGGTTTAGAAAGGCGGGACAACTCAAAAGCAGGGGCTTCCAGGCTATAGGGAAATTTGAACATTTTCTGGTTGACAATTGGTTGAGGTTGTCTGAAGATCTGGGATGGATAGAGAGGAATGTTCAGGTTAAAGATAAAGGATTGTGGAGGCCAAGTTTTATTGTGCAGAGGAAGCTTTTTGGATAGCAGACTTTAGAGATAACAGGTTGTAAATGGTTTTTCATTGGACTTAAATCATGTCTAGCTCTTAGTTGATTATCTCCTGGATCTGAGAAGGAAGGAAATAAAACAAAGGGGCAAGGGGATTCTCTATAGAATGTGGATTCTTTCCACAAGTGACTTTGCAGGGCAATTTTAAGGTATGGCAAGGAAATATATTTTGGGGTTAAACATTTTTTTTCCCTGTCTCATAATGTTATGCCAGAGTTAGATTGAAAAGTAAGTCACAATATATAGGGTTAAATAAAACCCATCTGATGAGAATTTATGGTTTGTAGGACATGACTCCATAGACCCCTTAGGTAGGAATTTGGGTAAGATAAAAAAAATAAGAGCTTAGTCCTTAGTCCCCACTCTTGGCCAAAAAGCTTTCCACAGAATGCACCTGCAGGCCAACTAAACAGCATCGGTTCCCACAGCACTAGGAGGCTTATTCCTAGGGGTGTTTGATTTGGTCATTTGGTGAGGTTTCATGGCACTAGGAATGCTTATTCCCATGTAGTCTGATTGGTGGTAATAGTTTTAAATATTAGTGATTTGAATAATGGGGGAGGACATGGTCTGATGTGATGTAATAGCCAATTGTTTAAGGGGTGAGATGGAGTCAGGCCTAGGGTTTGTTTAAAAAAAAAATCCTAGATCAGATTTTTTGAGCTATTATGATTCGAGTCTTTAATCGTGCCTTTTCTTCTGCTGCATTTGGCATAACATTTACAAGAAAATGTTTAATGTTAATATAGTAATATGATAAAGATAGTGAAGGTTTGGGCATCCAAGGTTACAGGTAGAAATAGAGGGCAATAAACAAACTAATGAGCCAGAAAAAACCCATATGCATTATTATATTTTTGATTAGACTTACAATGTGTTTCCCTTCCTTATTAAGGGTTATTTGGATCTTTTGATAAATCTTACTTGAGAATTGTAGGACCAACATTAAATTAGAATTTAATAAATGTAATCTTTTCTTTTTTTGAGATGGAGTCTCACTCTGTTGCCCAGACTGAAGTGACAGTGGCGCAATCTCGGCTCACTGCAACCTCTGCCTCCTGGGTTCAAGCGATTCTCCTGCCTCAGCTTCCCGAGTAGCTGGGATTACAGGTGCCTGCCACCACATCCGGCTAATTTTTGTATTTTTAGTAGAGACAGGGTTTCACTATGCTGGCCAGGCTGGTCTCGAACTCCCGACGTTAGGTGATCCGCCCACCTCGGCCTCCCAAAGTGCTGGGATGACAAGTGTGAGCCACCGCACCCAGCCAAATTTAATCTTTTCCTCTGGCTAATTTATCTTTATAGATATAGCATCCTGAGGAGGGTATAAATTAAATGCAAGAAATGCCTGGTTCTTGGTGTTTAAATTGTTATAGACTTGTTAACAATAGACAAATCTATTTTTCTCCCCACTTTTGTATTGCACCATATACTGGTATTTGGGAGAGAAAAGGTTTTGTTACAGGGAAAGTTATATAAATCTACAGTGTCATTTTTTTCTTGGCAGGACTTCCTATAGCTGAGGGCCTTAAGAGTTAAAAGACTTATAGCCAATTAATTGTTTTAGGCCAGATAAAAATGGATGTGGACAGGCATTTGTGACTTTTTTAAACTATTGTTTTAAGTAAAAAGGCAGATAGAAAAACCAAAAGGAAAAGCTGTAAGACTGACTTGTTTTAACTTTTATGTGTTGAGCTGTTGTGTGTGAGCTTGGTTTTTGTTACAGACTTACAGCAATTAGCCATACAAACATAAGCACTGTTCTGAAAAATTAAATATATATAGATAGATTTATTTTTACAACTCATAATTGGGAGTATTATACCCAGGAGACTTTGTTACAAGGTATTTTATCCTGTTAGTAAATATTTTCCTTTAATTTTATAGTAAGCAGAAAATTTTTATGGTTGGGGTGGATGCAAAAGTGACACATAACAGTTTAAAAGGCAACCAAATTGTTTTACCAGCGGTTTAGGCATTTTTAGTACCCCCTTTTTGATTTGGAGGGTTTGATTTTGTTTTAATTTTATCCCTTAAAACTGGCCCTTACAATCTTACGTGCCTACCTCTTCTGCAATAGTCCCTGGGCCTAGAGGGAGGCGGCTTGTATAGTTTTAGCAACAGAGCATTAGCAGTGGAACAGATCTGGGCCCAGTAGGATGCCAAATGAGGGAGATTTGTATCTCTGGTCTTTAGAATACCATGATCTTGGTTTTTTTGGAAGTAAAACAAAAAGAGATAAATAACATTTATAGTTTGACAGCTATAATAGTAATTTGTATGTTAGACCAGGAAAAGGAACCTACTCCTTTAGGGTACCAACTAAAAATATGAAGAAAAATTATAATGTAGTACTTTTTAGAGGATTATTATGCCAAGAAATAATGATTTAATTTGTACTTAAAAAAAGTTAAGGCTGAAATCCAGTATTAAGTGTTATGCTTTGCCTTTGAAACAATTTTTTTTAGCCACCTTTTTTATTAAAGAGAATATTATAGCAAGGTCAATTTGTGTGCAAGGTAAGTTTTAGGCTTATTATGTTTGCCTGATTATTTGTATAAAATGTAGTAAGAAATTGATTTGCAACAATTTTTTTGTTTTGTTTTTTGTTTTGTTTTTGAGACACAGTTTTGCTCTCGTTGCCCAGGCTGGAGTGCAATGGCACAATCTTGGCTCACCACAACCTCTGCTTCCCAGGTTCAAGCGATTCTTCTGCCTCAGCCTCCCGAGTAGCTGGGATTACAGGCATGCGCCACCATGCCTGGCTAATTTTGCATTTTCAGTAGAGATGGGGTTTCTCCATGTTGGTCAGGCTGGTCTTGAACTCCTGACCTCAGGTGATCTGCCTGCCTCAGCCTCCCAAAGTGCTGGGATTATAGGCGTGAGCCACTGTTCCCGGCCAGAATTTTTTTAAAGTTGGTTTTACTGAAACTTTACCTAAAAATAGGTTATTTTAGTTTCAGTCTTTATAAAATAACGAGTGCCTTTGTTTTTTAAAAAATTATTATTGAACTTATGCAGACAACTATATTGCCATAAAACTACAATCTGAATTCTGGAGGACTTAGAAAGGGAAATTTGCCTATAAAAACATACTTTCCCCAAATAAAAGAAAATATATATACATATATTTTAATCCTTCTTTAACCAGAGCAGCAGCTTTTGAAACGAGATGTTTGTTTACCTTGGAAATGCCATTTACAGACCAAACAGCTCACGAGAGCTATTAGGCACTGGAGTTTAGCAACTCCTTACAATTAGTTTTAGAAAAGAGGCTTTTTGCTTATCAGGTAGCAAGATTTCATGTAAACCATTTTTATTTTATTATGGAACTTTTTGGGAAACATTACTTCCATTAATATAGGGATAGCTTTAGTTAATATTCCATAGCAAAGCAGTAAATGCCCCATCAAGTAGAAATTCTCTAGCTCAGTCATTGTTACCGAAAAATACTTACGGTTTTTGCCATTAGCCCCAATAAATGCTCCACACAAAAGGCTATGCAGCGGAGAATTTACATGAGCAGATTTACATGTCTTTGGTTTTATAGTATTAGAAAGGGGAAAACATTCCCAGTTAGATATAGTACCTATTTTTATAAGGCATTTAAGTAAAAGTGGTTATGACTAACTTACATAAATCTTGTTTAAACATCTTACATTTTATAATTCTATTAACCTGTATGTTTTTGTGCTCTGGTTCCAGAAAGCCGTTTTACCCCCAGACCAATTTTACCTTTTCTGGTGAAAAGGGTCGGGGTTCCCAGCAGGGGGTTGCATCTGTATGACCTATGGGGGATAGCAGATTTGATAAGGCTTCTTAAATAAACCTATGATTCTGTGGGAGGGGTACCCATGTAAAAGGGGCCCCTTTAACCCCCACATTTACCATGACGTGGGTAACAGACGTATTAGGTGGGAGGATATCCCAGTTATCATAAAGCTAGTCCAACATGTCTTGCATATGAAACATGTCAACTGCTTCATCTGGGGTACTTTACTTGGTATTTTATAGGGAGCGTTGGGCAATCCCCTTCTCAGGGCAAACAGACCTTATAATGGGCATTATCTGGCCTACTAGGCTGATTGCTTTTTTAGGAATAGCTTCCTGTGCATCAGTGATTGTTCACTAATGAGCTGTGGGTCCTGCATTAATTCAAACAAGGGCTTACATTTTGAAGCATTTGAAATTAAGAATTTTGTTTTTAAAGTAGTTATTTCTACAATCCACTAAAGTTTTTTTTAAAGAAGCTGAATGATACTAATCTACAAAATGAAACAATTCCTTAACATTACACCCTTTGGTTTTTAAATAGTTACATGGTTTTGCCCTTTCCCTATATCAACTATTTTCTTGATAACCATAGGGCTTAGGGTGTTGTTGCCCTAGATAGTTTTTTTTTTTTTTCATTTAATTTTATCTGTATAATTTCCTTTATTTTAAAGCAAGTTTTAAACAGTTTCTTAACCAAAAACCTTACATTTATTGAAAATTGACATCCTTGTATTTTATAAAATTTTAATAAAATTTTAACAAAAGCTTATTTTATGCTTTTATTATTTTAACTTTTTAGTAACCCAAATTTCCAGTGGTGCGAAAAATCCTGAAGGTTTAAACATGACTTTAAGAATTTTAAATTACTGGAGAGTTTTGAGATTAAATGTACCAAATTAATTTTTAATAAAGATTACTAAGGTTATATAAATTAAGAGGCATCTGAGCTAGCTTTTGCCAATCTGATAAGCACTTACATTTTTAAGTTATTTGATTAGAGCTATTTTATTTAGTTTGAAAGTGAAATATTACTTCCACGTGATACATATAAAGATAGAGGTATAACAGCTATGCAGAATAAAAGGCTTTTTTTTTTTTTTTTTTTTTTTTTGAGACGGATTCTCACTATTTCCCAGGCTAAGTGCAGTGTTACAATCTCAGCTTGCTGCAACCTCTGCCTCCTGGGTTCAAGCAATTCTCCTACCTCAGCCTTCCAAGTAGCTGAGATTACAGGTACCCACCACCACACCAGTCTAATTTTTGTACTGTTAGTAGAGATGGGGTTTCACCATGTTGGTTAGTCTGTGTCTCAAACTCCTGACCTGAAGTGATCCACCCGCCTCGGCCTCCCAAAGTGCTGGGATTACAGGCGTGAGCCAAAAGGCATGTCTAAAATATGCTATATTTGCCTGTTTTCAAAAACAATTTTTTTCCCTTAGATTAGTAAAAGTTACAGGAGCCAACAAAAGGTGAAGGAGAAAGTCATCATTTAAGACTTTTTTAAAAGAGAGTAGTGCTTTAAAGATCTCAATCTGAAAAATGTTAAACAGATTATAGAATTTAAAAACTTAAAAACTTTTTGCATTAAAAATAAGCCAGTATTTCGCTGGGCATGATGGATCACGCCTGTAATTCCAGCACTTTGGGAGGCTGAGGCAGGCAGATCACAAGGTCAGGAGACGGAGACCATCCTGACTAACACGATGAAACCCTGTCTCTACTAAAAATACAAAAAAAAGTTAGCTGGGCATGGTAGCAGGTGCCTGTAGTACCAGCTACTCGGGAGGCTGATGCAAGAGAATGGCATGAACCTGGGAGGTGGAGCTTGCAGTGAGCCAAGATCGTGCCACTGCACTCCAGCCTCCAGCCTGGGCAACACAGCAAGACTCCGTTCGCCCCCTCCCCCACAAAAAGTCAATATTTGTAATAAAATCTTGTTTTAACCAATTATTTAGTTTTGTATTCATGTACGTTTTTTAGTATTAAATATCAATTTCTAGAAAGATTATGATTTCTTTTTAATTATAGCCAACTGAATTACACAAGCCCCTTATAAATTCATTTTACTAACCTTATTATGACTTACATAGATCATTCACAATGGTTAGACTTTTTGTTTTACCCCAAATATCTTTCTTCCTTGAACAACGCAGTTATTTTATTTTAGGGCAAAAATTCACCATACAAGATTCTTTTTTGTATAAAATAATTTTTCTTTTTACATTCTTTACCAAAAATATCTTTCTACATCTTTAACTTTCTTTGCATCTATTATTTCCTGATTTTTTTTTTTTACCTTGTTTTAAACCTAACACTTAAATAAGGTTTGGATTAGACAAAGATATTTTACCTCTAATAAGAATGTTAAAAAAGTATTCCTATAATTTTTAAATTACAAATTACCCAGATACTTATATCAAATAATAACCTTAGATCCTAAATTATGACAAGTTTGTTTACAAGATTTTATTTCATTACACTTACCCAATTAATCTTGTAGTTTACCTAGATTATTTACAAAAAACTGTGATAGCAAATATTTAATATATTTTTCTATAAACCCTTTTTATAGCTGTGAATTTCAGATATTTACTTTAGTAATAAAGCTTATGGTTAGTTTTAAGGGTATTTATACCAATAACTCAGTATGCAGTTGTTTTCATTTAAGCCAACAATATTTTATAAGCATATACAAGCAAAGATCATTCTGTCTTGGGCTGGGTTTTATCGTTTATAACTCTTATGGCAAATCTTATAGTATTCTACAGGAATAAACATTAAACTACTTGATCAACAGATGCAAAAAAAAAAAACTGCTAACAATTCTAAAGACATTGCTGATATTATTTACTGATAATTTTAATGCTGGTTTATTTAGTAAAGATTTTACTTAAGTCACATGAACTTGAAAAAACATTTGACTACTCTTCTGGTTTTTTTTTGTTTTCTGTATTTGATTTGAGTGCTTTTTTAAAGCCAGTTGATTAGAGCTCTTCATATATTTTTAGTAGTGAAAATATTGTATACACACACATAAACATGTAGATGTAATTAGGCATTCTGATACAAGTATTTTATAGATTTAGAAAAGACTTTTGTTTTCCTTTTTTTTTTATTTTAGACTTTTATATTTTTGATAATATGTTGCATCACCCTAGGCAGTAGTTAGCTAAATAGCCCCAAATTTGCATATTAAAGGAAATAACTCAGGTGAAGATTAGATAGCAAAATTTACATGATAAGGTATAAGGAGAAAAAGTTCGGTGTGCCAGAGGGAAATTAAAACATTTAACTGCCAATTAAACATAACATTATAGAATTTATAAAGGCCTTTAAATATACACATGCATATATACATACATACACATACAAACACAAAGATCCTATAGCTTTACTTTAGTACTTTAGCCATGAGATGAATATAAATTTTCTGGCTTGCAAAAAAAAAACAAAAAACAAAAAACAAAACAAAACAAAGAAAAAAAAACTGTTAGATCCAAACAGCGGTTATTATTATTTTTTTTAATCTCAGTAGAAAAGTAACAGCAGATTTAAAGCAAGCAGAAAAGAAAATAGAGAAAGATAACTTAGAATAGAAACTCTACAGTTTGCAGGTCAACCCTAGGACTTTTTTTCTGAAAGTAAACTGTGCACAAAGACCATATTACTTCAAGTGGAGGTGCCATAAACCTCTTTTGAGAACCCCTTTTGAGAAGTGCTCAAAAGGGGGTCATTCTACTTGTTTTCTCCTTATTCTTAGTTAATTCTGAGAGAAAAGCAATTGAGAAGACCCTTTAGAAATGCACCTCCAAACTTGCATTAGGATCCTTTAACAACAACTTCCTAGGGAAAACCAGCTTAGAATAAATCAAGGACGTTTAACCTAAGGGAGGTCCTGGGGTCAGAAGGACTTACCAGTTCTACTGGAGGAGGAGCTTGAATTCAGTGGGGCTTCAATGGGCCCCTGCTTGTACCTTAGCTCCACTTTCAGTCAACTCCTTTGGGGTCTTGAGTCTTCTCTGAGGCCGCACATTAGGCGCCAGCCTCTCTTTATATTGTTGACAAAAAGAGTCAAACTCTGTAAAATATTTGAAGGAATTTATTCTGAGCCAAATATGAGTGACCATGGCCTATGACATAGCCCTCAGGAGGTCCTGAGAACATGTGCCCAGGGTGATTGGGGTACAGCTTGGTTTTATGTATTTTAGGATGCATGAGTTATCAATCAAATACATTTAAGAAATACACTGGTTTGGTTTGGAAAGGCAGGACAACTCAAAGTGGGGGCTTCCAGGCTATAGGTAAATTTGAACATTTTCTGGTTGACAATTGGTTGAAGTTGTCTGAAGACCTGGTATTGATAGAAAGGAATGTTCAGGTTAAAGGTAAAGGACTGTGGAGACCAAGTTTTATTGTTCAGAGGAAGCTCTTAGATAGCAGACTTTAGAGACAGCAGGTTGTAAATTGTTTTTTATAGGACTTAAAAGGGTGACTGGCTCTTAGTTGATTATTTCCTGGATCTGGGAAGGAAGGCCGGAAAACAAAAGGGGTAGGGGTTTCTCTATAGAATGTGGATTCTTCCCACCAGAGACTTTGCAGGGCAATGTTAAGGTATGGTAAGGAAATATATTTTGGGTTAAATATTTTTTTCCTTGTCTCATAATATTATGCTAGAGTTAGGTTCAAAAGTAAGTCAAAATATATAGGGTTAAATAAAACCCATCTGATGAGAATTTGTGGTTTGTGGGGCATGACTCCCTAGACCTCTTAGGCAGGAATTTGGGTAAGATAAAAAATCAGAGCTTAGTCTTCAACCCTGCTCCCACAATAATCAACAACCACAAGTACAACCAACAAAATTGCCAACATTTCTGCAACCAATGACCTAATGACCTCTACTATCAAATGGACAAAAATTTCCTACTCATTTATCGGCTCTTAAAGAAGCCATTTTTCAGTGTTCACTTAGTGACTTTCTAGTTCTTTCTAACTTATAAATTCAAACCACAATGAACTTGTCCTACAACAGAGCTACATGTCCCCTAGAGAATTTCACCTTCATCATTTTATTTATAGTAGGATTTTCTGTGTTTTGTATAAAAATGTAAATTGTTTTGTATTTATACAAAACAAAGTTCCCAGATGTTCTTTAGCTCTTAAACTCCAATTAATCTGTTTTCCCCCTTCAAGCACAAATTATTCCATGTAAAATTATTCTTAGTATCAATTATCGGAGCTATTCTTCTAATATTTTTGTTTATCTTCTCCAGAGTTTCAATTAGTCTTCCATAAAAACAATATGAGCCTCATGTTTGTTTTTTAAATTAGTGTACTGTAACAAACTGACAATATCTAATCTTAAAACTCCTAAAGTAGAAAAGAAGAAAATGTGTTCTTTCTATATAATGTTTTTCTTAAATTAAAATGCTTTTTATTATTCAAATGAGAATAAAATAAAGATTTAATTCATTTATAAAGATTTTTTTACAACATTTTTAGATGAAGATTTTAATAAGTACTTATGTTCCTGCTTATGATAAAGTGGCTTGTCTCAGATAACAGCCCCACACCCCTACCTCCAAAACAAGAAAAAATAAAATTATCCAACTTTTATGATTTTTCAACAAGAACAAATAAACAAAAGACAATATTTTGAATGTATCAAACACAACCAAGATAGACAATGGGTCAAAATGCTGCCAAGTGGAAACTAACAGAGGCAACCCAAATGGTCTTTGCCACTTTTCCCCTCAAGGCATTTGATGATTAATAAGCTACACGAGGGTGGAGGCCAAAGAGTCAAGCAGAAAATAAACCTAAGAGGATACAATCTAAGCAGAGAATTCTTTAGTTGCACAGTGCTGTGAGAGTAAATATTGGGATTTAGGGACTGAAAAAAAAAAAAAAACCAAACTCTAATAAACATCCATTTTTTTAAACTGAAAACCCTACAAAAGTACACTTTAGGGACAAAATAAACAGAGCAAGACCCTAGAAAGGCTCAATGAGCCATAGATTCTCCAACTATGATTGCAACAAGATAACATGTTTCCATTCTCTCTGCCAGAAAAGAATTAAATCCTCTCCAAAGGAAGATACCATCATCCAGAATCTCTATAACATTTCACACTCAATGTCCAATTTACTAATAAATACTAGTAGGAGAAGAAAACAAGTCATCAAATATAAAGAAAAAAATCTGGACTAGAAACACACCTACAAGGAAATCAGACATTGGAAGTTTCAGATATCAATTTAAAAAAAAATGTTTTCAGTGTTCAAGAAAACAAGTGAAAACATGGAGAATTTTATCACAGAATGGGAGTTTTTTGTTTTCCATTTTTGAGACAGAGTTTCGCTCTGTTGCCCAGGCTGCAGTGTAGTGGCGTGATCACGGCTCACTGTAACCTCTGCCTCCCAGGTTCAAGCAATTCTCCTGCCTCAGCCTCCTAACTAGCTGGGATTACAGGCATGTACCATCAGGCCTGGATTTTTGTATTTTTAGTAGAGATAGGGTTTCACCATGTTGGCAAGTCTAGTCTTGAACTCCTGACCTCAGGTGATCCACCCGCCTGGAATCCCAAAGTGCTGGCATTACAGGCATGAGCCACCATGCCTGGCATGGAGTTCATTTTTTTAAAGAGTAAAATATAAAATCTAGAAATAAAAATACAAGCACAGAAAAAAAGAACCTAGTAGATGGATTTAACCACATATTAGATATAAAACAAAGCATTAGAAAATTGGAAGACAGACCAATGTCAGACTGAAGCTTGGAGAGATGAAAGAATAAGAAAAAAAAATCGTGTCAGGAACACATGAACCATTGTCTATACATCTAACACATGCATTTGAAGTACCAAGGGAAGTGGGGGGAAAAAGGTAGGAAGAATATTTGAGAAGCCTATGTCTGGTTTTCTTCCCCAAAACTAATGAAAGACCACAAGCTGTAACTTCATTGAATTTTATTAACTTGAAGGATCAAGAAACAACAAATTTTGGGAAAAAAATAATTCCAAAAATTAAAGATAAGGAGAAAAACCTAAAAGTAGCCACAGAGGTAGGAGAGGATATTCCCTTCAAACAGCCAAATAAAACTATTAGGTGACATTTCAAAAAAAGAAGACAAAAGAAGGATGAGGAACAGGAGGAAGAGAAGAAAGAGAAGCAGCAGCAAAGGCCACCTGAAGATGGTAGGCTGACATCTTTAAAGAACTTAACAAAATTATTGCATCTTAGAATTCTCTTATATCCTCTAGAAATAAAGATAAAATGAAGATGCTTAAGATAAACAAAAGCCAAGAGAATTTGTCACCAGAAGATGTGAGCTATAAAGAAATACTAAAAGTTCTTCCGGCAGAAGAAAACTGACCTCATATTAAGTCATAGAAATGCAGGAGGAAATGAAGAGTACAAGAAAGGGTAAATGTATGGGTGAATTTAAATGAATAGTAACTGTATAAAACAATAGTAATAATGTTTTGGGGGGCCAGGTGTGGTGGCTCATGCCTGTAAACCCAGCACACTTTGAGAGGCTGAGGTGGGCAGATCATGAGGTCAGGAGATTGAGACCATCCTGGCTAACATGGTGAAACCCCATCTCTACTAAAAATAAAAAAAATTAGCCGGGTGTTGTGGCACGTGCCTGTAGTCTCAGTTACTCGGGAGGCTGAGGCAGAAGAATCCCTTGAACCCAGAAGGCAGAGGTTGCAGTGAGCTGAGATCACTCCACTGCACTCCAGCCTGGGCGACAGAGTGAGATTCTGTCTCAAAAAAATAAAAATAAAATAAAATAAAAAATAATGGTTTGGGAGTGTGAAAATATATGTAGAATTAAATTAAATGGCAGAAAAAGAGCAGAAGGCAAAGAGAATTGAAAGGCATTAAACTATTTTAAGCTTATTATAATTTTCTAGAAGTATAAAGGCACTAATTTATCATAGACTCTAGTAAATTAAAGAGATATTTAGTAATTTCTGGGGAAATAAAAAAATATGTAGCTCGCCAGAAAATGATCAGGAAAGAAACCAAGAAAATGGTAAAGTAAAAAAGAACAATAATGGTAGTTCAAATAAAAAACCAATAGTTATATGAAAAATTTCAACCCAAATTATAATTATATTAAATAATAAACTGAATAAATGTCACAATGAAAAGACAAAGATTATCAGACTGAATAAGAAAGTATCTAAGTTTATTCAAAATGTGAGCAAAAAACTCCTTTTTTGTACCCAAGCAAACTACTTTTTTTAGCAATATGAATAGAATGTTTTATTTATAAGGAAGATGAACAAAGGTTGTTTGGTAAAAGAAAGAAATAGTGATTCCTCAAATAAGCTTACAGGAACATTCTGGCACAAAACCATTCTTTCTTAATTGCTCCTATTGGTAACATCAACTCAGTTTTGTTTCCTGTGGGTCTTTCATGCATCAAGCTAACTCCCTGATGATTTCTGCTTTTCTTCTCAGACTTTTAGCTGTAGCAAAACCTTTCACTCAGCAGGGACTTAGATGCAAGGATATATTTGACTTATCAAAACTGAGCATTCAGACATGCATTAAAAGTAAACCCCAGGCTATCCAAAAACTAACTTTTACTGGATAAATTCTGCAGAAAGGACTTCTAAGACCCACCCCGGCCAAAAAATGCAAAGGTTATAGTTAAGAAGAGTAATTACTGTGTAAAACATCTGAGAAAATCAGTACTGTGATATTCACTTCCAGATTCCCATATTTAGTGCTTCTAAAACTAAATTAAGCATGTAACAAAGAACCCATAAAACTTACAGAACACTAAAGCATATGCTTAGAAACTAATGTAAATAGATTCAGATAAAGATTACGTTAAAAACAACTGAGAGAACCTCAGAACACATGTAGGACTTAATAGCCACCCATTATATTAGCCCTGAATTGGCACTGGAAAAAACAATAAATTAATGATATACATTGCAAACCAGTATTTGGTAAGAGAAATATCTCAATTTCATAGAAGTAGTCAGTATAGATAAAATTCCAAAACTTCAATGTAAAATGTCAAACCAGAGTAATTTTAAAATCCGTATGAAAACAATATGAGCATGCAGACAAAAATATTAATTTGTTAGGACTAGTTCTTTTTTTATCCCTCACCTCAAGTATCACTTATAATTACCCATACATGAATTACGTTTTTGGAGTCATTTAATGATCTTGTGAGCAATGTCCTATAAAGGACAAAAAACAGTAAATCAATCTGCTCAACTTCTTATCTAGATGTTTGAAAATTTAATAAATACATAGTAAATTTAGTAAAAACAAATATTAATGTATGACAAACATCTCAACAGAAATCTAAACATTCTTTTGTAAATTTTTAAGGAAAACTTTAAGAATGTTATCTAAAATACATTTGTCTGTAATAAAAGTGTTCTAATTCCACTGAAGTATAGTAAGTGACTTAATTTCATCTGCTGAAAGAAAATTAAAATCAAGATGGGAAGCATTTATTCAGGTGATGAAATACCATCAGTAACATAGGAAAGAAACAAAGAAAACTTATCTTAGTGGGAAAAAAAATAGAATTACCAGTTCAAAAAGGGCAAAGTTCATACTTCAGCTGCTAAAACATAGCACTGAGGGCTCAAAATATACTTTTTACATCTGAAAGATAAAATATAAACCAATGGAAAATGGATCACATAATACAAAGGTATGCACAAGTTAAAAAAAATAAAAATAAGAGCTTATGGATTTTTTAAGTACTGTAAATATCTTATAGTTTGTTGAGGATCAAATCTCCAATGAGATTAATATTTTGGCATTCTCTACAGTATGAAAAGGTGAAAATAAATGGGGAAAATACATTTAGGAAAATCAGTAATAAGTTTTAAATTTTTTTTTTTTTTTTCTGAGATGGAGTTTCACTCTTGTCACCCAGGCTGGAATGCAATGGCGTGATCTTGGTTCACTGCAACCTCCGCCTCCTGGGTTCAAGAGATTCTCCTGCCTCAGCCTCCCAAGTAGCTAGGATTACAGGCGCCCACCACCACGCCTGGCTAATTTTTGTATTTTTAGTAGAGACAGAGTTTTGCCATGTTGGCCAGGCTGGTCTTGAAATCCTGACCTCAGGTGATCCACCTATCTTGGCCTCCCAAAGTCCTGGGATTACAGGCGTGAGCCGCGGCACCCGGCCAATAAGAAGTTTTATTGTACAATGTTCAATTACGTACTAACATAAGAAAGTCATAATGTTTAAATAGCTTTATCTTACCTTAGATAAATATTAACTTACATTATGGAGAGAAACATTCAAGGCAGGAAGAGGAGGAGATTAAAGAGGAGGAGTTGTCATCTGATATGGTTTGAGTATCTGTCCCTGCCCAGATCTCATGTTGAATTGTAATCTCTAATGCCGGAAGTGAGGCCTGGTATGGTGCTGCTTCATGATACCTGGTGAGTTCTTGTGAGATCTGGTCTTTAAAGTGTGTGGCACCTACCTCTCTTACCCCCTACTCTCTCACTCCTGCTTTGACCATGAGGAGTGCCTACTCCCACTTCACCTTCCTTCATAAATAAAAGCTTCATGAGGCCTCCCCAAAAGCTGAGCAGATGCTGGCACTATGTTTCCTGTATAGCCTGCAGAACTATAAGCCAATTAAACCTCTTTTCTTTATAAATTACCCAGTCTCAGGTACTTCTTTATAGTAATGCAAAAATGGCCTAATACATCCTTTTCTTGGTTAATTTATTTTATACTTGTTATAATTATAGGAAATTGGGGCAAGTGATGCCTTCTGTTTTGGAAATATTATCACCTTCCATAAAGGTCACCTAGAACTAAAGTAAGGGCTGAAGGGACAGAGAAGAGAGAGACCTTAGGAGAGGAGGACACTTTTTTCCCCCGATTTAGAGTGAAAAAGTAAAAATGGTCAATCAGAAACCAGCAGAATTTAGGGAAAAGAGATGCTTGCTCCATCTTTCCTTTAATGTACATCTCAACTCCAAAATGGTGCCTGTAGAATCTGTTGACCAAGATGGCCTCAATGTTCCTCAGCATGACTGAATTTTAGACATGTTTCCTCCCTTTTCTTAGAGCATTTACTCTAGAAAACTTGCAACCATAAATCCTTTCTCTGCCCCCTGAGATACAAATCTTCTCCCAGCCTCTTTCAGTTTTACAACCCAGAAATGTATTTTTCAAACACCTGGGAGTGATCCCTTTGAATTACATTCATCAGGAAAGATAGAGCACCCCATCTCCCAGGCTCTTCCATAAGCACCAATTAGCAAACACAGATAGCGTAATCACACAGGCCCTCATCCCTAATGACCTTTAGTCCTTTTCCAGTAGCTCACCTCAGAACTTAAAAACTCTCCTACTTTTTGTTTCAATAGACTTGAGTTCAATTTCTTTCCTTTGTTGCAATAATCTTTAATAAAGTCTTCCTTGCCTGTTTAACATGTCTGGCACAATTTTTCACATGATAATCCTACTGAATTCCTAGGTCAAAAGAAATATATATATTTCTTAATAAATAGGCAAGCAGAAGTGCAAAAACATGGATACGAATTATGGAATTAATGTTTCATTTCTGATGTGAGTGACAGCAGTCAATACACTATCAACCATGACTTCTACTGTGTTTTAACTAGGAGAAATATTAAGTTAAATTATTTCAAATTTTGCTTCTCCTTATCACAAAATATAGATTTGGTGACCTGAGACTTTTTTTTTTTTGAGACGGAGTCTCGCTCTGTTGCCCAGGCTGGAGTGCAGTGGCGTGATCTCAGCTCACCGCAAGCTCTGCCTCCTGGGTTCACGCCATTCTCCTGCCTCAGCCTCCAGAGTAGCTGGGACTACAGGCGCCCGCCACCGTGCCCGGCTAATTTTTATATTTTTAGTAGAGACCGGGTTTCACCATGGTCTCGATCTCCTGACCTCATGATCCACCCGCCTCGGCCTCCCAAAGTGCTGGGATTACAAGCGTGAGCCACCGTGCCCTGCTGAGACTTTCTTTTTCAATATTTAAGACTTAACGATTAAAAAAAAAAAAATCTTCAAGTATCTTATATTACATGAATTAAATCATGCAGCAAACTATTGCATTTTGGAATGTGTCTTGGGTTTGAATTATCCAAGACAATTTTTGTGATGCCTGCCCAAATGAAACAGATTTTTATTTTATCACCACCCATTTTTTTAACTTCAGTGGTATTTTAAAGTATCAAAGTTCAACAATGAATGGTTTGAATTTCAAAAGGCTCAGTCTTGAGAGTGGTATGAATTACAAAGAGCACCCTTGCTTAAATAACATGTAAGACAATTCATTATATTGTTCGAATTAAAACCTAAAACCTAGTTTTAGGTTCCTTCTTACCCCTTCCTGTAGCATATGATATTTTTCTGCCAGAAACAACTCCTAGATAGCGTATCTATCCTGTGCTTGTGTTGGTAGAGTATATGGATTGATTCTCAGTATTGTCTTTAATTATATTTGGTAAAATAAGCACTTAGATTTTTGTGCTCTGTGATTTCAGAGTAAAATTACAGGGTTTTTTTTTTTTAGATAAATACTAATTTGCAAAAATAGAATTGACTAGGACAAAGTAAGGGTGTGAGTGCAATAATGAGTAATATAAAATGTTTATATTTACACATATGAGAAATTTTACAAATAAGTTACACGTTTTTAAAGGTTAAAATTGTGTTTAAAATTGATCCATGCAAACACAAAGGAAAAGACAATGCACATTACTGTGGTTTTCATATAGTAGGGGATCAACAAACTATAACTTTGAGTGCATCTTACTCCTGCCTTCACCATGAGAAGTGCCTGCTCCCACTTCACCTTCTCCCATGAATGAAAGCTTCCTGAGGCCTCCCCAGAAGCTGAGCAGATGCTGGCACTCTGTTTTCTGTGCAGAACTATGAGCCAATTAAACCTCTTTTGTTTATAAATTATGCGGTCTCCAGCAATTTATAAATCATTGCACCAATAGTTCATTGATATTCACTATGTGAAAAGCACAGTAATACACTTCATATATATATACGGTATGTCACGTTTAATTCTGAAGGTTTTTTTGCTGATTCTTGACCTGTGTGTTACTAGATTCATTCCTTGTTCTTTCCCTATGGTTCTTGCTGTCAGCAGACTTCTGGTGAGGACTGGATTTTCAAAGGTCCTGGTAGGAGACTAGAGTACAAGAGAAAGGAGAATCCAGAGTATTTCTGCCCACACTTTTCCTTAGGTACAATCTCCTGCAGTGGTTAGTCTCCCAGTTGACATTTGTCCCATGTGATCCAGCCCACTGTTACCACAGCCAGCAGGTGACCCTAGTTCACAGACTGCTATTTCCTCCTTCTCCCTTTGTCCTTCTTGTTGTAATTTTTGGGTTGGCTAACTTTTTGTTATTTGGCTTCTCATATCCTCTAGTACCTGTGTTCTCAATGCCCTAGGTTAAACGCCCTCTTTAAAAAAAATAAAATAAAATAAAGGGATTTATCTTTTCTTGATAAAGTGGTTTCTGCTTTTCTATTTGACTGATAAAGTTTTGTTATCTCCTACTTGACAAAGAAGGACTGACAAAATTCACAATATTTAAGTAACATGCCAAGGGTAACACATATAGTGATTAAGTAGCAGATGACATTTTTTGCTAAGACCTACCCAAGTCTTAAACTGTTCCTTCCATGCTCCCCTGCCTCCCTTTTATTATCATCATGATGAAATAACAAGTAATCACATATTCTAATAATCTAGGTATTTTAGGATATTGCAAAATCAGGAATCATTCTGTCCTTTTAATCAATTTATTATCATTCATTTTTAAAACCTGTGAGACAAATATTTTAAAATACCAAGAACCATACAACATGGAACAATCACAAAATGTTTTAAATATATCCCTTCATATCTACAAAAGATAATATTAACCAATGAGATTTTTAATATTGTTTTTCAGATCTCTGCTGTAAAAGTATTCCTTTTATTTTCAAGCATTCCAACAGATCTGGACTTCTTCCAAAATGAAAATAAGAGAAAGAGAACTGTGCCCTCTGCCAAGTTTCATGGACATGAACTGGTGGTCATTGCTTCAAGGGAAAAGGTGTTCGAGTATAATTTTCTTATCATCTTTTCTAGGGAAGAAATGACTAATTACCTAAAATAGTCAATAAATATTTTTTTACAAACATAATACATGCCAGAAACTTTTCTAGTCACCTGGAATACCACAGTCAACAAGAAAGACATAGAGACTTGAGCTCACAGAATTTACATTTTAGAAAGAGGAGACAGATAAACAAGAAACATAATCAAATAAATTACATAAGTATGTTAGTAATAAGTGATAAGGAAAAAGAAAAAAATAAGGGTAAGAGGGATGAAGAAGGCAGAGTTGGGAGAACAGGTTGAAAGTTTAAGTCAACTGACAAGAATAGGCCTTACTGAACATATGATGTTTGATTAAAACCTTGAATGAGAACTTA
Source organism: Homo sapiens (assembly GCF_000001405.40). Lineage (NCBI taxonomy): Eukaryota > Metazoa > Chordata > Mammalia > Primates > Hominidae > Homo > Homo sapiens. Next base: position 87,002,615 of record NC_000008.11, on the reverse strand, counting down.
GCATGGGATATTTGAAAAAAAAAAAAAGGTTTCAGCATGAGTAAGAGTAAGTGCAAAGGAGATGGTACATTTTGCATTTTTGAGAAACAGCAAGAAGACCACATGCCTGGAATAGAATGAAGGGCTGGGTTATTGCCAGAGTATTACGTGTGAAGTCATGTGGGAGGGAAAAACATGTACCACACTGTGGGATATCGAAAGGACTCTGGCTTTTACTCTCCTAGGCTTTGGAACAGAAGACAGATATAATCTGATTAATTGTTGTAAAAAACCACCCTGGCCACTATGCGAAGAACAATCTATAGGGGATAAAGGATAAAAGCCAGGACCAATTAGAAGCCTATGAAAATGAAGTATGAGAGAGATGCTGGTGACCCTGCCCAAATTTTTGTCAGTGGAGGTAAAAAGAAGTGATTGGATTAGATTCTGGACACACTGTTTTGAAGGTCTTCCCAGCTGGGATTCCTATTAGATTAGATATAAGGTATGAGAGAAAAGAGGCAAGGACTTGGAGCCTAAACCATTTGTATGTGAATTTCCATTAAAGTAAATAACATTTCTATAGAAAAGTACAATGGCACATTTAGGAGGTTCCTACCTCTGACTTCAGCCTCCAAGAGTGGTATCAACAAATGAAAAAATGAAAGAAAGAACATTTTGAAAACACTACTGAGAACAATAAGTTTAAACAGAGAAGTGAAAGACAAAGGTGACTTCCTAAAGTAGTGAACACTTCATTGATACTCATTAGATTGAAACACACAGAGAGGGAAAAAATCTGTGATATGTCACAATGGGAAATATCTTCCCAACTGAATTGAAATGAACCCCAGTTAAAGACATTAATAAAGAATCTCAGAAGGTAAAACACTTTGAAATATTCAAAGAAAAAAACTGAGCATTCCCTCTGCTGAGTTCATCCTTAATTATGCATGATCCCAGGCTATTGAAAAAGTGAAAAAATGAGTGATTACAGAAATGAATGATTGAATTAATTAAATAAACACATATTCAACTTTAGCTCATTAGCTGAAGTTTAGCTCATTCAACTTTAGCTCATTAGAAAGAACAGCTGGCCTCAAATACAGCGTAAAAAGACCAAAAAGTCACATAGGCTCCATTAGAGCACAAATACACTACTTTATCTGATATGCACATACATGGTCAAAAGGAAAAGAAACAGTAACTTATCTAGAGAGTGTAGAGGCACATATCCTCTTCCAAAAAATAAAGCAAAACTTAAATAAATATGAATAATTCAACCAGGAAGAAAATATAACACAAAAAACTGGAGAAGAGTCCTACTTATTAACTTACACTATAATACAACCTAAGACACCAGATTCCATAAAAAAGAGAATGAGATGGAGACACTGCAGACCTAAGAAAACAAATTAATCACCTAATCAGCATCTCTATGTAAATAAAATAAAAGCAATAACAGAACAGACATAAGTAAAAAATGAATAATGACACATGAAAGGCTTAAGAAAAAAAGAATGAAGACATAAGATAGAGAATAATAGAAAGCAAGGACTGTCCAATATAATGATAATTGTTTGTTCACAATGGGAGAATTCAATAAATGGAAGAGGAAAAATATTCAAAGATAAAATGTAGAAAAATGTTTCTAAAGTGAAGGGTTAATTATGAAGATTGAAAACAATAGATAAAAAACAGCAGGTAGCAGGAAAATTTGATTTATAATGCTCAATATTGAGACCTAGTCTACTTATATGGATAAACTTCAAAGAAAAAAATTCTTCAAATATATAGGTAGCAAAAGCAAATTACCTACAAAGGAGAGAAATAGCTAGGGTGACATCAAATCTGTAATGTAACAATAAATGCCATAAGATGATGGAACAACATTAAAAAGTTCTAAAAGAATGAAAGTGAGATCCAATAATTAACTTAGATCTAGCTAAGATGCTATTCAATTATGCAAACAACCAGAATATATTCCCAGGCATAATATCTAACATTTAATGTTATCATGGGCCAAACCTGTTCTAAGTGCTTTTTTTAGTGTTATCTTCACAACAATAATATAAGCAAGGTTCTGTTATTCACTTAACTACATATGAGAAAACTAAGGTAAAATGAGATTATATAATTTGCTCTAAGTCTCATTTGCATGTAGGCTATCTGGTTCCAGAGACCATACTTGTATTAGAGTCTGTTCTCACACTGCTATAAAGTAACATCCAAGACTAGGTAATTTATAAAGAAAATAGGTTTAATTAATTCACAGTCCCACATGGCTGGGGAGGCCTCAAGTAACATAATCATGGCAGAAGGGGAAGAGGCACATCTTACATGGTGACAGCCTACAGAGAGTGTACAAGAACAGGGAAAATTGCCTTAAAAAACCATCAGATCTCCTAAGAACTCACTATCATGAGAACATCATGGGGAAAAATGCCCCCATGATCCAATCACCTCCAACCTGGGTCCCTCTCTCAGCATATGGTGATTATTAGGATTACAATTCAAGACAAGATTTGGATGGGGACACAGAGCCGAACCATATCAATGCCTTATTACTTTACTTATGGAAAACCAAAAATTAAGAACTTAAAGAATATCTGATAAATACAGAACCCATGACCTTTTCCTAGGAAAAAAAATAAAAAATAATATTGATAAAATTCAGTCTAAGGCCAGCAAAATAATGCTTTGCAATGTTGCAGAATATGTGGGCGCAACACGCTAAGCAACTGTGCCCCTGGTTCTGCCCCATGGGCCAATGTCCATCTATAATTAATAAAGGAATAACACTGATGCTTTGAAGAGCATCACTGAACTATTTTCAGCTTTCTCCCCACTGCAGAAAAAGGAAAGAAATATCCAATTTTATCTCAAGCCAAGTGAAAAGGAATTCAAAAGATAAACTTTAGAGTTTTATATGTATCCTCTGAAGTTTGAGGAAATAAGGGATTAGTGTCTGCTATGTGCTTAAGAAATCTAAAGGCAAAATGGTGGGATCTCAACCGGGGGAAGGGCAGAAGGAAAGAGATTAAACTACTTTGGGAAGTACTGCCCTTTGAAATAAAAGACTTTTTTTTTTTTTTTAAATACCACAGAGTGGGTGTTCTTTCAGGAAAAAATCAGCCAGGAGCCAAGAGAACTATCTGGAATGGATGGGCAAGGTAGGAAAATCTGACTGAAGTTTAAAAGCAACAACTGCAGCTAGTAGATGCATTGCTCACATTATTGTAACTGTGCATGGAGGTTCCCAGTAGGGAAATATCTGAGAAACCCACAGAAGCCCTAGAAGAAAACAAGTAACATAGGAAGTCACCATAACCAGAGGACAAGTCCAGGTCACTAGATCCTACCAGCCCAAGGCTGCCTTTTCTCTTAATCCACTCTCCTTCTGGACCCCAAGAGGGGAAGAACCTTAGCTATTGGGTGAGAGAGAAGAGGCAAAAGAGCTAGAAAATCAAAGCAAAAAGAAGCCGTGAATGTCAACCTTCCCTGCCCTTCGGTCACTCTTCCGAAAGCTGACATTAACTCAGAATGTTCAGAAAGTTGATGATATCAATGGCATGGACATTTAAATATTGATAGCAGATAGCTCTTGTGATTACAATTGACCAAAGTCCACATAGATAGTGGGCAAAAAGGTCAAAAATGGGATGAGGAATTCGTTTTCCATTTTATAATGAGTTCATTGAATCACATTCCAATAAAACACAGTTACACAGAGGTGGATTGTGGGATGCTTTGAGGGTCCAGCATAAGGCAAGACTCATTTGTAGACATAAATCTACCTGTAAAATGTGGATGGAAGGGCATAAAAACTAGATGGGACACACCCACTGGTTGATCTGGTTGATCTGTTTCAGGGTTGAGCAATTCGAAAAACATGTATTTCCAAATCATTCAAAAGATGTAGAGTGCTATAAATTTAAAATCAAACATGGGGCCAGTGATATACAGTTGTCCTCATTATTTTCAGATTCTGTATTCATGAATTCACCTACTTTCTAAAATTTATTTGTAGCCCCATAATCAATACACAAGGTGTTTTCACAGTGATTTGTGGATATAGGTAGAAGGGAAAGACCTTGAATTGCCCAATGCACAGGACCCCAGCTGAAGCTGAAAAAAACAACATTGTGCCTTCTTCTTCAGCTCTCATAAACAAGTGTCCTTTTCAAGATCTATTTGCTGCCAGTTTTTTTGCATTTTTTGTGCTTTTTGCTGGTGATTTCACCGTGTAAAAATGGCCCTAGCATAGTGCTGAAGTCCTACCTAGTGTTCCTCAGCACAAGAAGACCGTGATGTGCCTTATGGAGAAAGTACATGCATTACATAAACTTAATTCAGGCATGAATTATGGTGTTGCCAGCTGTGAGTTCAATGTTAATAAATCAGCAATATATATTAAAAAAAAAAAACAGAAACACACACAAAACTAGGTTATGTAGTTATGAGAACATTGTGACTGCAAGGGACCTAACCCTGAATTTTCCTTAAGGGCAATGGTTAGTATCACCAATGACTTTGTAGACCAGAATGGTTGCAAGTAACAAGAATCAACTGCAACAAACCAGTATTTTATGAAATGTATTTGCCTTTGTGCTATAACATGGGCATGTAAGAAAGGAATCCCGAGTACATTATGGGCTCACTCTCAGCACTTAAAGGACAGAAATGTGTTTAACAAGGAACGTTAAACTAAATTGTCCCAGTTTACTCTGAGCTGCACATAGTGGGAGCTTCTTATAGGGGAGAATTCATACTATAAGGAAAGCATAACCTTTCCACCAAGAAAAATTAGGCCCTACTAAAAGAACAGCCACCCGCTGGGTCTGAAGGAAATTTGTGACTCAGGAAGTCAAATAAGCAGGGAAAATACTGTTAATCCTCCCAGTGGTAACTCCTTAGGAACCTGAAGGCTACTGCAATAAAGGTCATATCAGAAGACATCTGCTGTCTCCTGTGGTTTTTACAAGCCCTGCTACATTGGGCCATGGGAAAGGTAATCAAGTCAGTGAATGTGCCCCACTTTTACAGGCCCTATTTCATGTCCAGTAGGTAAACAGCCTCAGAGGTGATATTTCTCTGAACACTATTTCTCAGATAAATGAGGAACCATTGGCGATTAATGGCTTAATCTTTTTCAAGGAGGACTAAAAGTCTGAAATACCAAATCAAAGGATTGTGAATACTGACAAATTTATCATGTCTAATTACCTTTCCAAGGCAATGATAGAAGACAACTTCCTCCTAGTGTACACCCTAGAGGACTGAAGAGCAAGATGAAAACAGCAATGATGCTCAAGAGGTTCAACTTGTATTTTTGGAAATTTTTTAAGTGTTCCAAAAGGAGTCTTCATAATTTTCTGCTTAAATCTGTCTTCTCTAAATATGGCACTGCAATCCCCACAAAGGTAAAAAGAAACAACACTGTTCATGTCTGTTAATTACACAGTATGTACTCCATTCTAAAGGTAGCAAGTAACTTAGGGTCCTAGAACAAGTATTTCAGCTGTAAATTTTGCTATGGTCTGAATGTTTGTGATCCCCTCCAAATAAATAATCTAAAACCTAATCTTCAAGATGATGGGATTAGAAGGTAGGGCTTTCTAGAGATGATTAGGTCAGAGGGCAAAATCTTTATAAATGGGATTAATGTCCTTACAGAAGAAATGTCTTGCCTTTTCTATCATGTAAGGACACAACCAAAAAGGTACCATCTATGAATTATAAAGCTGGTCCTCACCAGACACCAAATCTGCCAGTGCTTTAGTCTTGGACTTCCCAGCTTCCAGAACTGTAGTAATAAATACATTGTCATTGTTTATCTGCAACCCAGTCTATAGTACTTTGTTATAGCAGCCCAAATGGGCTAAAGTAGTAAATACATAGTTGTTTAAACTCTGAACTCATTGTGCTTTCATTGTACCAACTTTGTGACACTTGCTATTCTGCTTAATATCCTCTCCCACTATAACTTCATCACTATTTAAGACAGAACACTTCTTTCTGCCCAAAGGTAAAAAATATGTCGATTTTAAAAACTGGAAACAGAAAGTGTAAAACTTAATATTCAGCCTGCTACTATAATATTGTAAGGTACAAATAATTGATGTATAAATATTAAACAGCAATGTGAGGAATGTTTTAGAAATCCTAATGAAAACATTGATCAGGTTTATAAACTAGTTTTGCATTAGTTTGTGCTCAGATAGAATTTTCAATGTTATTGATGTTTACATCAATTAATGTTTATTGAGAATTCTCAGCATCCTCAGCATTAAAACAAGCCCTTTTTATAGGAAGCAATGATTTCTCTGCTCAAGAAGTTTACAATCCTGGTGAGACATATGAAACATACAACAGAAGCACAAATAAGACCTTGCATAGCTAGGTGCCCAAAACATGAATCACAGTCAACGGAAGAGATCCAGGGTGGGAGAAAATAGCCTTAGGAAACATCTAGAAATGCTTTCTGAATTTATTAAAAAAAATAAAATAATAAACAGGAGAAGCTGATCCTTTAGATAACAGAAGCCAAATTACCAGGTGGAAATCAGTCTTAGGGAGGGGCTTTCTCTCTTGGGAAAATGAGAGCAAATAAAATTAGACTGGGGGTATAAGTGGAAATCATGGCAGGTCTTAATATCGATAGGGATTTAGACTTATTTGGCAAGAAACAGAAAGCCATTGGGGATTTTTGACAAGAAAAATACTTCTACTGTTGTCCAATTCCAATTCATCTTTCACATGAATGTCACTCAACATTTAAATGTAAGCATGGTAATGAAATATTTTAGGAATCTGCCTTTCAGTTAAGTCCAATGTCTTTGTATGTTTTTCAGAACGCCAGCCTGACCAGTTTCATTTTTATCATTCCATTGTGTTTTTGACTCTCTGTCTCTCTCTCTCTCTCACACACACACACACACACACACCACCCATACACACACTGCTGTCCAAATATGCCCCAGTTTTGCTACCCCAGCAATAATAGTATATTCCCTTTAATGTCCTTGTGCTTTGCTCTATCTGGTATATAATCCCCTTATTTTTCTTTTTACTAAAACACTTCTTACCCTTCAAAACTCTACCTGAATTTCCAACTCTGTGATTTTTATCCTGAGTCAGAATTAGAGGCAAGAACTCTTGGTTTATGTCAGGGGTCAGGAATCTATGGCCTATGGGCCATATCCAGCCACTCACTGTTTTTGTAACTAGTTTGTTGGGAACACAGCCACTCTCACTTGTTGATTTACCATGTCTGTTTCTGCAGTATAATGCAGAATCGAGTAGTTGCAACAGACATTTACTATCTTAACGTTTAAATTAAAAGCATGCCTGCCCCTGGTTCATGGTTTCTGCCTCCACTGTAGAACTTCCCATTCTGTTTCATAAATATTTATGTATTCTTATCTCCTCATCCATTAAGCCAGAAATTGTGTTTCCTACAATTGTCCACAAATCCCTACTTGACCTAAATCCTGCCTAGTTCTTCAAACTTATTTTGTTCCACCTGCATCCCCACCAAGCTTTATAAGCCTCCTCTCAGTTATTTGATGCCTCTAAAAGCATTCTCATCTAAAGATCCTCATACAAGTTGTTCCTTCATTTTGCTATTCATGAAGAGGGCTCTTTGTCCCCCTTCAGATTCCAGCTTAATTATCACAGCCCCAAAAAGGCCTCTTCCTTGACCCATACGTAGCACACAACCTATATCCTCCACTCCTATTATTATTCTTTATCAAAGCATGTGGCTTATTTTATTCATGGCACTTAACAAAAGGCAGGAAGTGCCACTCCCACTGAGAGTGACCAAAATATCAACAAAACCAACCTACTTTGAGCAGATCTTCAGACAGAAAACACCGAGAGTTGACGGAGAAGCGACACACACATTGAGGCTGAAGAGAAAGGAAGCTGGGGACCCTGCTGGGGTACTCAAATGTTAGAGCTAGTTTCCAGCCCTGAATGGATTCTGGGAAAAGAGTGGGTCAAGGGACAGAGAAAGAACCCACTCTTGCTGTGGACCATGGGGATGCTAGCTACAAGGGAACCAGTGTCCCTCATGGACATTTGAAATAGCAGGCTAATCTTCCCAGAGAGTAGGCAGAGACAGATGGAGCCAGAGGCCTTTGTGCCCATAGGCACCCTATCCCCCAGGATTCCACATCTCTCTCCAATTAGCTCTAGCCCCAGCTGTCCACCTGGCCAGGAGACAGTGGGGCTGGCTTACCCAAGGACTGTGGCACATCTGTTCTATAGGCCCTCCTGCCCACCAGTCCCTACCAGGGCCTTTTGTGCACATCACAGACTTTGCTGTCCAGCCTGGGTGATTTGCTCCCCGAGTAGTTTCCCAGTGACCTAGTATCACTTCAGATTCCTCAGCACAGTTGCAGCTCAACTCCAAGGGTCTGAAGGATGGAGCTATGGCCTGATCCCATTGCCCCAGGGCTGTGACAGGCATCTTGGGAATGCTGAGCAAAGATTTGTGGATGGCACCAGAGTTGGGGAGGAGCCTCCACTGTCAGAGTACTGAGAGGGATGAAACATGCAGGATCATTGACTGGTGCAGGAGCAGGATGGGCCTCCCTGTACTGGGCTGGGCTGGAAAAGGTGTGGCCTACCTCCCTGCCACGACCTCTACCCAATAGAGCCCTGTAGTCCAGAACATCTAACAAAGGAAGTGCACAGGTACAGCACCAGTGATCAGAGAGGGATCCCTCAAGGCCCAGGAGCAGACATAGTGATGAGGTCATCTCTCTCTTCCTCCACCAAAGAGCATGGCTGTTAATGCAAGGAAATATAAAAGAGCCATGTGGCTGAATAACAGCCTATCTGCTGGTCACTACTCTAAAACAGCATCTACTGGATCACAGCCCAAGCTGCAACACCAAAAATATTCTTTTAATACACACCCCTGTGATACCAAAGGCTAGAATCCAGCCACAAATAAAGATCCCATACAGAGCCTTGTCCCTCTGAAAGCATCCAGAAATGAAGCAATTGAGTCTACTCAAATTACACCACAGTAAAGAACACCAGCCTTCTCAGATGAGCTATAAGCAGCACAAAAACTCTAGCAATTTAAAAAGCTACAATGTCCCCTTACCTCCAAATGAGCCCACTAGCTGCCCAGCGATTGTTCTTAACCAGACTGAAATGACTGAAATGACAAAAATAGAATTCAGAATCAGGAAGAAAAGGAAGCCCATTGAGATTCAAGAGAAAGTTGAAACCCAATCCCAGGACTCTAGTAAAACAATCCATGAGATAAAAGAGATGAAAGAAAGCCATTTTAAGGAAGAACAACATTGCTCTTCTGGAATTGAAAAAAATTCAATAAAAATGTTCATAATGTATTCAGCAGTATTAACAGAAAAATAGACCAAGCTGAAAAAAAAAAATCTGAGAGCTTGAAGACTGGTTCTTCAAGTCAGTGCACTCAGACAAAAATAAAGAAAAAACAATTTTAAAAAATGAATAAAATCTCCAAGAAATATTGGATTATATAAAGAGACCAAACCTACAACACATTGGCATTCCTAAGAGAGAAGGAGAGAGAGTAAGCAACTTGGAAAATATATTTGAAGACATGGTCCATGAAAATTTCCATAATTTCAATAAAGAGGTTGACATGCAAATTCAAGAAATACAGAGAACCTCTGGTAGGTACTATATAAGATGACTATCACCAAGGCATATAGTGCCTTTCAGATTTCGCCAAAGTAAATGTGAAAATAAAAATCTTAAAGGCATCTAGAGAGAAGGGTCAAGGCACATACGAAGGGGACCCAATCAGACTAGCAGCAGACCTTACAAGCCAGAAATTGTGACCCTATTTTCAGCATCCTTAAAGAAAAGAAATTCCAAATAGGAATTTCATATCCTGCCAAAGTAAGTTTCATAAGTGAAGGAGAGATAATCCTTCTCAGACAAGTAGAGTCTAAGAGAATTCCTAACAACTAGATCAGCCTCATGAGAGGCTCTTAAGGGAATGTTAAGCATGGATTCAGAAGAATGACACTTGCTACCACAAGGACACACTTAAGCGCAGGCCACAGACACTTAAAAAAAAACTACACAATCAAATTTACAAAACAACCAACTAACAACATGATGATAGGATCAAAATTTCGTATATCAATACTAACTCTGAATGAAAATGGTCTAAATGCTTCATTTAAGACATAGAGTGGCAACCTGAATAAAAAGATAAGACCCAACTGTCTGCTATCTTCAAAAGGCCCATGTTATATTTAATGATACTCACAGGCTAAAACAAAAATAGCAGGAGTTGGTATTATTATATCAGATAAAAGAGATTTAAAACCAACAAAAATTAAAAAGAACAAAAAAGGGCATTACCTAACGATAAGGCGTATAATTTTAAAAAAAAAGACTTAACTATACTAAACATATATGCACCCAACATTGGAACACCCAGAGTAATAAAACAAGTTATCCTTGACCTATGAAAAGACTTAGACAGCTACACAATAATAGTGGGAGACTTCAACACTCCCCTGAGTGTTACACAGAACACTGAGGCAGAAAACTAAGAAAGAACATCTAGACTCAAAATTTACACTCAGTCAACTGGACAAAATGGATATCTACAGAATAATTCAGCAACAATCACATAATATACATTCTTCTCATCTGCACACAGAACACATTCTAAGATCAACTACATGCTCAGTCATAAAGCAAGTCTCAATAAATTCAAGAAAATTGAACTCATACTAAGCACACTCTTTACAACAGTGCAATAAAAATAGAATCAATATCAAGAAGATCTCTCAAAACTACACAAATACATGGAACTTGAACATTTGCTCCTGAATAACTTCTGGCTGAACAACAAAATTAAGGCAGAAATCAAAAAATTCATTGAAATTAATGAAAGTAGGGCACAACTTACCAAATCTTTGGGACACAGCTCAAGTAATGTTAAGAGAAGTTTACAGAACTAAACACCTTCATCAAGAAGTTAGAAAGATTGCAAAGTAACAATCTAACTTAATGCACCTAGAAGAACTGGAGGGGGAAAATAGTAGACCAATTCCAAAGCTAGCAGAAGAAAAGAAATAACTAAAACTGGAAAAGAACTGAACAATATTGAGACACAAAATTCCACACAAATATCAATGAAACCAAGGGTGGTTCTTCAACAGAATGAATAAGATTGGCAGAGCACTAACTAGATTAACAAAAGAGAGAGAGAGAGAGAGACAGAGAGAGTGTGTGTCAGAGAGAGAATATCTGAATAAGTACAATCATAAATGACAAAAATAAAAACCATATATGACAGACACACAGCTGGTATCACATTAAATGAGGAAAAACTGAAATCCTTTCCTTTAAGATCTGGAATATGAAAGGATGCCCACTTTCACCACTGTCATTCAACATAATACTAGGAATCGTAGACAGAGCAATCACATAAGATAAAGAAATAAAGGGCATCCAATTTCCAAAGGAAGAAGTCAAATTATCATTGTTTGCAGATGATATAATCTTATATTTGGAAACACCTAAAGACTACCACCACCCAAATTATCAGAACTGATAAATTCAGTAAAGTTTCAGGATGCAAAATGAACAAAATTTTGTAGTATTTCTATATAATGACAGTAAACAATCTGAAACAGAAATCAAAAAAGTAATCCCATGTACAATAGCCACACATAAAACTAAATACATAGAAATTTACCAAAGAGTGAAAGACCTCTAAAATGAAAACTATAAAACATTGTTGAAAGAAATTTAAGAGGACACCAAAAATGAAAAAGATATTCCATGTTCATGGATGGGAAGAATCATTATTGTTAAAATGTCACACTACCTAAAGCAATCTATAGATTCAATGTGATTTCTATCAAAACACATATTAAATTCTTCACAAAAATAGAAAAAGCAATCAGAAAATTTATATGAAACAACAAAAGACCCAGAATAGTGAAAGATATCCTGAGTGAAAAGAACAAAATTGAAGGAATCACATTACCTGACTTCAAATTATACTACAGAGCTATAGTAACCAAAACAGCCTGGTACTGGCATAAAAGCAGACACATAGACCAATGAAACAGAATAGACAACCCAGAAACAAATTCACACACCTACACTGAACTCATTTTTTATAAAGATGCCAAAAACATACATTGGGAAAGGACAATCTCTTCAATAAAAGGTATTGGGAAAACTGTATGTCCATATGCAGAAAAATGAAACTGAACTCTTCTCACTATAAACAAAAACCAATCAAAATGAATTAAAGATTTAAATCTAAGAACATAAACCATGGAACTACTACAGGAAAGCATTGGAGAAACTATCTAGGACGCTGGTCTAGGCAAAGATCTCAAGTAATATTCCACAAACACAGACAACCGAAGCAAAATGGACAAATGAAATAATGTCAAGTTATAAAGCTTCTGCACAGCAAAGGAAACAATCAGCAAAGTGAAAAGACAACCCACAGAATGGAATAAAATATTTGCAAACTACCCATCTGACATGGGATTAATAACCAAAATATATAAGAAACTTGAACAATTCTATAGCAAAGAATCTAATAATCTGATTTTAAAACTGGCAAAAGATCGGATTAGACATTTATCATAAGAAGATACACACATGGCAAATAGGTGTATGAAAAAATGCTCAACATGATTGGTCATCAGAAAAATGCAAATCAAAACTACAATGGGCTGTCCTACCTTCCCAGTTAAAATGGCTTTTATTCAAAGGAGAGGCAATAATAAATGCTGAATGCTGGCAAGGATGTGGAGAAAAGGGAACCCTCGTACACTGTTGATGGGAATTGTAAATTAGTACAAGCACTATAAAGAACAGTATAAAAACTAAAACTAGCCAGGCATGGTGGCTCATGCCTGTAATCCTAACACTTTGGGAGGCCGAGGTGGGTGGATTGCCTGAGCTCAGGAGTTAGAGACCAGCCTGGGCAACATGGTGAAACCCCATCTCTACTAAAATACAAAAAATTAGCTGGGCATGGTGGCATGTGCCTGTAATCCCAGCTACTTGGGAGGCTGAGACAGGAGAATCACTTGAACCTGGGAGGCAGAGGTTGCAGTGAGCCAGGATCGTGCCACTGCACTCTAGCCTGGGCAACAGAGCGAGACTCCATCTGAAAAAAATTAAAAAATAAAATAAAATAAAAACTAAAACTAGAAACTACCATTCTATTTCTAGCAGTCCCACACCTAGGTATATACCCAAAAGAAAGGAAGTCAGCATATCAAAGAGATATCTGCATACCTATGTATGTATGTATGTATGTATGTATGTATGTATTTATTTGTTTTGAGATGCTGTCTTGCTTTGTCTCCCAGGCTGGGCTGCAGTGGCATGATCGCAGCTCACTGCAGCCTTGATCTGAGATCACTGCAGCTTTGATCTCCCAGGCTCAAATGATCCTCTCACCTCAGCTTCCTGAGTAGTTGGCACTACAGGCACACGTCACCATGCCTGGCTGATTTTTTTAATGTTTAGTAGAGTCACAATCTCACTATGTTGCCTGTGCTTGTCTCAAACTCCAAAGTTCAAACAATCCTAACCACCTTAGCCTCCCAAAGTGCTGGGGTTACAGGTATGAGCCATCATTCCCTGTGATCTCATGTTTTTTGCAGCACTATTCACAACAGTCAAGATTTTGAAGCAATCTAATTATCCATCAACAAAAAAATGGATAAAGAAAATGTGATACCTGGACACAATGGAGTACTATTCAGCCATAAAAAAGGATGAGATCCTGTCGTTTTCAACTTGGATGGAACTGGAAGTCATTATATTAAGTGAAATAAGCCAGGCACAGAAAAACAAACTTCACATGTTCTCACTTATTTGTGGAAGCTAAAAATTAAGACAATTGCATCAATGGAGGTAGAGAAGAGAATAATGAATATCATAGGCTGGGAAAGGGGGGGATGTGGGATGGTTAAAGGATACGAAAATATAGTTAGATAGAATGAATAAAATCTAGTCTTTCATAGCACAACAGGGTGGCCACAGTCAACAATAATTTATTGTACATTTTAAAATAATTAAAACAGTATAATTGGATTGGATGGTTTGTAACACAGAGAAAGAATAAATACTTGAGGTGATGCATACCCCACCTGATGGATACCTCTGATATGATTATTATGTATTTTGTGCCTATATTAAAATATCTCATGTACTCCATAAATATATACACCATGTACCCACAAAAAATAAAAATAATTTTTAATAGAAATGACAAAAGTGACATTATAACTGATCCCAAAAAACACAAAAGATCCTCAGAGACTATTATGACCAACTGAATGCACGCAAATTAGAAAACCTAGTGGAAATAGATAAGTTCCTGGAAACATACAACCTCTGGAAATTGAATCAGGAAGAAAGTGAAAACCTAAATAGACCAATAGTGAATTTCAAAATTGAATCAGTAATAAAAAAAAAAAAAAAAAACCTATCAACCAAAAATGCCCTGGACCAGATTGATTCACAGCCAAATTCTACCATATGTACAAAGAAGAAATGGTACCAATCCTCCTGAGACTGTTACAAAAAATGAAGGAGAGTTTCCTTCCTGCTCATTATATTAAGCTAGCGTCAGCCTGATACCAAAATCGGGAAGACTGACAACACAAATGGAAACTTCAGGTCAATATCTCTGATGAACATAGACACAAAAGTTCTGAACAAAATACTAGCAAACCAAATCCAGCAGTAAATGAGAAAGTTAATACACCATGATCAAGTAAGTAGGCTTTATTTCTGGGATACAATGCTGGTTTAACATACACAAATCAATAAATGTGATTCACAACATAAACAGAATTAAAAGAAAAAATTATTCTCAATAGACACAGAAAAGCTTTGGATAAAATCCAATTCTCCATTATGATACAAACTCCCAACAGACGAGGAATTGAAGGCACACACTTCAAAATAATAAGAGCCATCTATGACAAACCCACAGCCAACATCATACAGAATTGGCAAAAACTGAAACCATTTCTCTTGAGAACTGGAACAAGACAAGGAAGCCCACTCTCACCACTCCTATTCAACATAGTACTGGAAGTCCTAGCCAAAGCAATTGGACAAGAGAAAGAAATAATATGCACCTAAACAGGAAAGGAAGCCCAACTGTCTCTCTTTATTGACATTATGATTCTATACCTACAAAATGCTAAAGACTGCCAAAAGGCCCCTAGAACTGATAAACAACTTCAGTAGTCTCAGGATACAAAATCAGTCTACAAAAATTAGTAGCATTTCTATGTCCAATAAGGTTCAAGCTGAGAGTCAAAATAAGAAACACAACCTCATTTATAGTTACCACAAAGAAAATGAAATACCTAGGAATGCAGCTAACCAAGGATGTAAAAGATCTCTACAAGGAGAATTAAACACTGATGAAAGAAATCAGAGATGAGACAAATAAATGGAAAAACATTCCATGTTCATGGATTAGAAAAATCAATGTTATTAAAATGGCCACACTACCCAAAATAATTTACAGATTCAATGCTATTCCTGTCAAACTACCTATGTCATTTTTTCATAGAAATAGAAAAACACTATTCTAGAATTTATATGCAACCAAAAATGAAGTGGAATAGCCAAAGCAATCCTAAGCAAGAAGAACAAAGCTGGAGGTATCCTACTACCCAACTTCAAACTATACTATAAGGCTAAAGCAACCAAAACAGCATGGTACTACACAAAAACAGACACATCAACCAATGGAACAGAATAGAGAACTCAGAAATAGCTGTACATCTACAACCAGGTGATCTTCAACAGAGTGGACAAAAATAAGCAATAGGTAAGAACATCCTGTTCAACATATGGTGCTGGAATAACTCGCTATCCATAAGCAGAAGAACAAAGTTGGACCCCTACCAATCATCATATACAAAAATAAACTCAAGATGGATTAAAGATTTAAATGTAATACCTCAAACTATAAAAATCCTACCAGAAAATTTAGGAAATATCCTTTTCAATGCTAGCTTTGGCAAAGAGTTTTTGAATAAGTCCCCAAAAGCAATTACAACAAAAACAAAAATTGTCAACTGGAACCTAATTAAATTAAAGAGCTTCTGCACAGCGTAAGAAACTACTAAAAGAGTAAACAGAACCTACAGAATGGGAAAAAAATATTTGTGAACTATGCATCCATCAAAGTTCTAATATCCAGAATCTATAAGGAATTTAAACAATTCAACAAGCAAAAAAGAAAAACCCCATTAGAAAAATGGGCAGAGAACATGAACAGATACTTCTTAAAAGAAGACATACAAATGGCCAATAAACATATAAAACTGCTCATCATCACTAATTGTCAGAGAAATACAAATCAAAACCACAGTGAGGGCTGGGCATGGTGGATCATGCCTGTAATCGCAGCACTTTGGGAGGCTGAGGCAGGCAGATCACGAAGTCAGGAGTTCGAGACCAGGCTAGCCAACATGGTGAAACCCTATCTCTACTAAAAATAGGAAAATTAGATGGACGTGATGGTGTGCACTGTAATCTCAGGTACTTGGGAGGCTGAGGCAGGAGAATTGCTTGAACTCAGGAGGTAGAGGTTGCGGTGAGCCGATATTGCACCACAGCACTCCAGCCTGGGCAACATAGCAAGACTCCCATCTCAGGAAAAAACAAGCAACAATAACAAAAAAACAATGAGGTGATATATTACACCAGTCATAATAGCTATTATAAAAGTACCAAAATAACAGGTACTGGTGAGGCTGTGGAAAAAGGGGAAGGCTTAACCATTGTTGGTGGGAATGCAAGTTAGTTCACTCACTGTTGAATGTAGTTTGGAGATATCTCAAAGAACTTAAAGGAGAGCTACCATTCAATCTAGCAAACCCATTTCTGAGTATATACCCAAAGAAAACAAATTATTCTACCAAAAAGACACATGCACTTACATGTTCATTGCAGTGTTATTCAATGGTGTACTGGTTAAAGGAAATGTAGTACACACCCACATCATGGAATACTATGCATCCATAAAGAAATAATAAAACCATGTCATTTGTAGCAACATGGATGCAGCTTGAGCCCATAATCCTAAGTGAATTGATGCAAGAACAGAAAATAAAATATTGCATGTTTCTCACTTATAAATGGAAACTACACATTGAGTATACATGGATGTAAAGATGGAAACAACTATCAGCTACTAGGCAGGAGGAAGGGAAGGCACCATGGGTTGAAAAACTGGCTAGTGGGTAATATGCTCACTACCTGGGTAATGAGATCAATAACCCAAACCTTAATGTATTAGCCTGCTTTCACACTGCTGACAAAGACATACCCAAGACCGGGCAGTTTACAAAAGAAAGGTTTAATGGACTTAAAGTTCCACATGGCTGGGGAGGCCTCATAATCATGGCAGAAGGTGAAAGGCATGTCTCACTTGGCAGCAGACAAGAGAAGACAGCTTGGGAAGGGAAAATCTCCTTTTTAAAACTATCAGATCTTATGAGACTTATTCACTATCACAAGTAAAGCACACGAAAGACCTGCCCCCATGATTCAATTACCTCCCACTGGATCCCTCCCACAACATGTGGGAATTCAAGATGAGATTTGGATGGGGACACAGCCAAACCATGTCATTCCACCCCGACCCCTCCCAAATCTCATGTCCTCACCAATTTCAAAGCCAATCATGCCTTCCCAACAGTCCCCCAAAGTCTTAACTCATTTCACCATTAACTCAAAAGTTCACAGTCTAAAGTCTCACTTGAGACAAGGGAAGTCCCTTCTGCCTATGAGCCTGTAAAATCAAAATCTAGTTAGTTACTTCCTAGATACAATGGGGGTATGGGCCTTGGGTAAATATACCCATTCCAAATGGGAGAAATTGGCCAAAACAAAGGTGCTGCAGGCCTCATGCAAGTCCAAAGTCCAGTGGGGCAGTCAAATCCTAAAGCTTTAAAATGATCTCCTTTGACTCCATGTCTCACATACAGGTCACACTGATGCAAGAGGTGGGCTCCCACAGCCTTGAGCAGCTCTGTCCCTATGGCTTTGCAGGGTATAAGCCCCCTCTTGGCTGCTTTCACAGGCTGGCATTGAGTGTCTGCAGCTTTTCCAGACACACAGTGCAAGATGTTGGTGGATCTACCTTTCTGGGGTCTGCAGGATGATGGCCCTCTTCTCACAGCTCCACTAGATTGCGCCCCAGTAGGGACTCTGTGTTGGGGCTCCAACCCCACATTTCCCTTCCTCTGCCCTAAGAGAGATTCTCCATAAGGGCCCCACCCCTGTGGCAAACTTCTGCCTGGGTATCTAGGTGTTTCTACACATCCTGTGAAATATAGGTGGAGGTTTCCAAACCTTGGGTCTTGACTTCTGTGCACTCACAGACTCAATATCATGTGGAAGCTGCCAAGGCCTGGGGCTTTTACCCTCTGAAGCCACAGCCCAAGCTCTATGTTTGCCACTTTTAGTCATGGCTGGAGAGGCTGGGATGCAGGGTGCCAAGTCCCTAAACTGAACACAGCAGAGGGACCCTGGGCCCAGCCCATGAAACCGTTTTTTTCTCCTAGTCCTCTGAGCCTGTGATGGGAGAGGCTGACACAAAAGTCTCTGACATGCCCTGGAGACATTCTCTCCATTGTTTTGGTGATGAACAAATGCTAAACCTCTCATTACTAGGCACATTTCTGCAATTGGCTTGAATTTCTCCTCAGAAAATGGGATTTTCTTTTCTATCAAATTGTCAGGCTGCAAATTTTTCAAACTTTTATACTCTTCTTCCCTTATAAAACTGAATGCTTTTAACAGCACCCAATTCACCTCTTGAATGCTTTGCTGCTTAGAAATTTCTTCTGCCAGATACCCAAAATCATCTCTCTTGAGTTCAAAGTTCCACAGATCTCTAGAGCAGGTACAAAATATCACCAGTCTCTTTGCTAAAACATAACAAGAGTTGTCTTTGCTCTAGTTCCCAAAAAGTTCCTCCTTTCTGTCTAAGACCACCTTAGTCTGGACTTTATTGTCCATA
The DNA here is from genome assembly GCF_000001405.40 of Homo sapiens. Lineage (NCBI taxonomy): Eukaryota > Metazoa > Chordata > Mammalia > Primates > Hominidae > Homo > Homo sapiens. The sequence continues at coordinate 86,983,573 of NC_000008.11, read as the reverse complement.
TCACTATCAGCATTTTGGGAAAAGCCATTCTACAAGTCTTTAGGAAGTTCCAAACTTTCTCACATTTTTCTGTCTTCTTCTGAGCCCTCCAAACTGTTTCAACCTCTGCCTGTTACCCAGTTCCAAAGTTGCTTTCACTTTTTTGGGTATATTTTCAGCAGTGCCCCACTCTACTGGTACCAATTTACTGCATCATGCTGCTGATAAAGACATATCTGAGACTGGGCAATTTACAAAAGAAAGAGGTTTAATGGACTTAAAGTTCCACACGGCCTCAATCATGGCAGAAGGTGAAAGGCATGTCTGACATGGCAGCAGACAAGAGAAGAGAGATTGTGCAGGGAAACTCCCCTTTTTAAAACCATCAGATCTTGTGAGACTTATTCACTATCATGAGAACAGCACAGGAAAAGCCTGCCCCCATGATACAATTACCTCCCCATGGGGTCCCTCTCATAACATGTGAGAATTCAAGATGAGATTTGGGTGAGGACACACCCAAACCATATCACTCAGCATCATACAATATGCCCATGTAACAAACCTGAACATGTGCTCCCTGAATCTAAAATAAATGTCAAAATTACTTTTTTTAAGAAACTCATACTTTTAAAGTTATAAAACACAAAATTAAATAATATCTAAATAAGTGGAGAAAGATAATATGCTAATGGATTAGCTTTGTTAGAATGTCAATTCTCCAAAAATTAATCCCAGTTTTACATAATCCCAATCAAAACCTCAGCAGGCTTGTTGTGTACTAATCATCAAGAGGATTCTAATACTTACATAGACAGAGGGGACTTAGAAAAGGCAAAACAATTTTGAAAAGAAGGTAAGATGGGATAACTCACACTCCCTGATTTTAAAGCTTAATAAAAGCCATTGTAATCATGACAAAATGTTATGCTGGCATAGGAATCAACATTTGGATTTACATAACATAAAATATAATTCAGAAATAGACTCATAGTTCTTTTATGAATCAATTTTTGACAAACTTACAAAGATAATTCAATGGGGAGAAATAGACTTTGCAACAAATCATACTGCCTATTTGCATGGAAATAAAGGAACCTCAACACTTATCCACACCATACACAAAAGTTAAATAGCCAATTAAAATGGATCACAGGCTTACATGAAGAGCTAAAACCCTAAAATCTCTAGAATGAAATATAAGAGAAAATTTTGTGACATATTAAAACCTTTTGCTCTTTGAAAGACACAAGGAAGTAAAAAGACAAGCCACAAACTGATAGAAAATATTTGCAGAAAATGCATGACTAATTGCTTGTTTCCAGAGTACATAAAAAATTCATAAAAGTCAATAAGAAGAAGATATACAAAGAAGTTTTAATGGGCACAAAAGACATATAAGTGGCAAATAAGCCCATAAAACATGTTCAACATCATTAATTATTAAAGAAATGAAAATTAAATCCATAGTAAAATAACATATCCATTCACAGGAATGGGTAAAATTTAATGGACTGGCAATTCTGTTTTGGTCAGGATGTGGAGCAACTGGAATTCTCACACATTGCCAACAGTAGTGAAACTTGGTACACCTCCGTTAGAAAATGGTAAGTCAGTTTCTTATTAAGTAAAACATAACATAGTATGACCCGGGAATCCCACTTCTGTGTGTTAACCCAGAGTACAACTGTGAACAGACAACAGATGTCCACATAAAATTGTCCAAGAATGTTCATAAAATCATTATTCACAATAGTCAGATACTAGAAACAGTTCAAATGACCATAACTTGTCTAATGGATGAACAAATTACAGTATATCCATACTATGGAATGCTACTAAGCAATAAAAAGGAATGAAATATTGAGGCATGCAACAACAGGAATAAATTTAAATATTATGATTAAAATGAAGTCTAGCACATACAACTTCACACTATATGATTCTGTTTAAATGAAATTCTAGTGAAGGTCAAACTCTGATGACAAAAAGGGCCAAGGTTTCAGGAAGATGTACTGCAAAGGGGCATAAAACTCTGTCTCTTGATTGCGGTGATGGTTATATAATTGTACACATTGCCAAAATCCATCAAACTGGACACTTTAAAGGGGGATTTCACTTTATATAAATTATAGCTCAGTAATTCTTAGGTTAAAGACCAGAATCTGGGTAATAAGAGAATTGTGATGTTACCAAGAGAACATGGTAAAAAGGAAACTAAAAACTCTAGAAATTAGAGAGAGGGAAAAACCAGAAATTTGGGGAAAATATAGCAAATGAAGGCCATAGAGGACTTCATAAGAAAAATATAGTGATGTTACAGTTCAGTGGTATCTAAAACCCATGTAACTTGGAATCTCTGCCATAATACTTGGGCATTCTTGAATGTGTGTGAGTACACAATGCGCGCGCGCACGCACACAGACACACACACACACAAAGAATAATGCCAGAGTCTTTCCATAGTCTGTGTCATATCCAAATTATATTCTCTACTTTTAAATAGAATGTTGATGTTTCTTAACTTTCTGTAAAAAGCTTCCAAAGCTTGCCCAATTTTCCAACCAAATTGCTATAACCACACCCCTCTTGTACACACACTGTGAAAGTCTGTCTCCATGTGTGGGTATGTGGGAGGTTATGGGCATATGTGTATTAAGTTCTGCAGATCACTATTATTTAAGAAGCAGTGGTTGAGAGAAGAGTCTTTGCTACCAGAATATCCTAAGTTTGTGCTCCAGATCTAAGTCCCAAGTAAATATTAGCAAACTCGGGTTTACCCATCTGTTAAAATGGTAAAAATAATAATGTCTACCTAATTACATGATTATGAATATTAAATGCAATAAATGTAAAGCTCAATAAATGTCAGCTTTTATTATTAGTCTACATCCTGAGATTTTTGCAAATCCCTTAATACCAGTACAGCAAATAATTTGCTTCCTAAAACACGGCAAAGTGTAACCAAAAAAAGTAAGCAATCCCTTTGACTCTTAATGATTCTACAATACATGAGTGAAGTCATTTTCAAAGCTATTAGAATAAACTTTATCTCTAAAATAAACTCTATCAAACTGTGTATTCACCTGAGTTGGTGAATTTTGTATGCTTTCTCGAAATATGTTTTAAATCTGGAAATAAAGTCACATTGAGGTGTAAATACAGAGCAGTGAGCCAGATATGCACTAAGGAAGTGGATAAATGTGTACAGTAAATATGGCATAAAATACCACTCACCCTGTGACCCAGTCATTAGATGTCAGAGAGGGCATAAGCTTGGCTGGATAGTACTCTTGCTCAGAGCTGGTGGCTGAAAGCCAGCAGCAAGCAATACTTCTCCCAGTCAAGGAAATAAGCACCTTGGAGGTCTGGGAAACACTCACCATATTAGTCACTGAAGCACCAAAAAGAATTATGGTACACTGTGTGACTTCCCTCATTCTTTAAAGTGATACATTTCCAAATGTTATGAATCCTAAAACTTCAAGCATGCATGAAGATGACCAAAAGAAAGTAGTCATAACAGAAAAAAGCAAGTATTTGAGAGCTGTTGATAAATCTGCCTTTTAAAACTTAAAAGTAACAAAATCACTTAAATTAGCAAAAACTGATTAATATGCATTTGTAGAAGCTCAATTCTTTATTATAAGTAAAGTAATTCAATCTAAAATATTTTTTCTGTCACATTTTTCAACAACATTGAAAGGATCTACGATGTTATCATATTGCTCTTATATCATCATTTCTTCATAAAACAGCATTTAACCTGAGAAATAAATGACAGGTGGTCAAGCTGATGCTTTGAGATCACAGGTAGCCTTTGACATAATGTTTGTAGAAGAACATACCTTATGGGACTTCTTATATGGGGACATATTATTTCTAAATAAAAATCTGTTTTTTATACTGAACAGCTAATTTGTCTGTAATATTTATTTATCCAGAAATATTTCTTTGAGAGAAATCATTTGGAATTACATACTCAGTGTGAATTTTAATTTTTTTTATTTTTTGGAAATGGGGTCTTATTCTGCCACCCAGGCTGAAGTAGATCACGGCTCACTACAGTCTCGACTTTGCTAGGCTAAGCAAAGTCCCACCTCAGCCTGTGAAGTAGCTGGTATTAACTGGTGAGTGCCACCATGGCAGGCTAAATTGTTTTTGCCTTTTTTTTTTTTTTTTTTTTTTTTTTGTAGAGATGATTTTTCTCCATGTTGCCCAGACTGGTCTCAAACTCTTGGGCTCAAGTGATCTGCCAATTTTGGCCTCCCAAAGAGCCAGGATTACAAGCATGAGCCACCACATCCAGCCCTCAGTGTTATTTATTATAGTCTTTATTCTTTTAATTTTAAAAAAGGAAAATATATTGCCCATAATAAAACTACACAAGAAGACAAATACTCTTGTTCTTCAGTGACTAATAAGAAAAATGGAGACTACAAAGGGAAAATATAAACTTTTTGAAAATTTTGATTTTGTGAATAACTCCCTGATTGACTCAAAATGTAAATTTTTTAAGTCATAATCTTAACATTACTAGTCTTAACATTACAAGTCATAATCTTAACATTACGACATAATCTTAACATTACTACCATGAAAAGTTACATTGTATAACTCATTACTTGGAATGTTCAGCTATATACAGTCAACTTTAAAATATGCCTAGACTGTGGCATAGATTATACTTTTTTCCAGAAAAAAATCATTAATTTGCTACATTGAGTGTTATAATCAGTTATTAAAATATAAAGCATGTCCAGCTGGAGATGGTGGGTCACGCCCATAATCCCAGCACTTTGGGAGGCTGAGGCAGGTGGATCGCCTGAGGTCGGGAGTTCGAGACCAACATGGAGAAACCCCATCTCTACTAAAAATACAAAAATTAGCCAGGCGTGTTGGAGCATGCCTGTTATCCCAGCTACTCTGAAGGCTGAGGCAGGAGAATTGCTTGAACCCGGGATGCGGAGGTTGCAGTGAGCCAAGATCGCGCCATTGCACTCCAGCCTGGGCAACAAGAGCGAAACTTCGCCTCAAAAAAAAAAAAAAAAAAAAAAAAAGATAAAAGCATGTCCTTTACAAATGTAAAAAGCATTATTAGGAGTATCAAATCCACAATATTTTATAAATCAAATTTCACATAAAAGCTGTGGTCAATCTTAACTTTAAATTAGAGACAAAAATTTTTTCAGACTGTCTAAATTATCTGCTATCTCATTTATCTTTGTTTTTAGAGGGTAAGATTAAAGAGTGTTCCTTATTCTGAATAATATTGTTGTTGTTTTCTCAATGGAAAGCTCACCCACACTGACACATAAAAGTCAACATAGAAATTGGCTTTCTGTAAACGAGATTAATGGTTTGAAGTTGATTTTAGTAAAAAGTGGATTTTTTTCCTATAAATTATTTACTAAAATATAAGAAAAAGCACATAAGTGATAAGCATAGGTCAAATGGCAAGAAAATAAGGAGAGTGATACAGTACATTCCAATCTTTTGAAAGTAGACATTAAAATGTAATTCATAAGCCATACAGATTACTTTAATATAAAGAGGACATAGTAAATTATCTCTTTAATGTACTGTTGAGTTTAGTTTACTAGTATATTGTTGAGTATTTTTGCACCTATGTTCATCAGGGATATTTGCCTGTAGCTTCCTTTTATTGTTGTGTTTTTGTCTGGATTTGGTATCATGATAATACTCATCTCTTAAAATGGTTTGGAAGTATTCACTTCTCTTTAGTTTTTGAAAGAGTGTGAGAATGATTGGTATTAGTTCTTCAAATGTTTGGTAAAATTCAGCCATGAAGCCACCTGGTCCTAAGTTTTTCTTTGATAGCAGACCTTTTATTCCTGTTTCAATCTACTTACTCATTATTGGTCTGTTCAGTTTTCTGATTTATTCATGATTCAGTCTTCAAAGGTTTTATTTTTCCAGGAATTTATCTGATGAATTTTGTTCTAGGTTATCCAATTTTTTGTTGTATAATTTTTATACTAGTCTCATAATTAAATTAATTCTCTTTACTTCTGTGTTAGCAGTTGTAATGTCTCCTCTTTGATTTCTGATTTTACTTGAGTCTTCTCTCATTGCTTCTTAGCTAACCTAGTTAAATGTTTGTCAGTTGCAGAAGAAATAATCAGTCAACTCAAAGATAGATCACTGGAAATCTTCCAATCTGAGGAGCAAAGAAGAGAAAAAGAATAAAGAGTGAAAACAGGAAAGAGACTTATGGGACACCATCAAGTGGATGACATATGAATAATTAGTGTATCAGAATGAGAAGAAAGATTGGATGACACAAAAATTATATTGAAAGAAATAATGGCATAGCCTGAGAAAGGAAATAGAAATCCAGATCCAGGAAACCCAAAGAATTTGTTGGAATTTTTAAAGAAATGTTCCCCAACACTATAAAGGCCATAGGTGACAAGGCAACAGCTAATATTATTCTCAAGGGTGAAAAATTGAAGACTTTTCCCCTAAGATCAGGAATAAAACAAGAATATCCACTCTCACCACTTCTGTTCAGCATAGTAATGGAAATTCTAGACAGAGCAATTTTGCAAGAGAAAGAAATAAAAGACATTGAAATAGGAAAGGAAAAAGTAAAATTGTTTCTGTTTGCCGATAGAATGATCTTATTGATAATCCTAAGGATTCCAAAAAAAAGTTGTTAAAACTCATAAGCAAACTTAGTAAATTAGTAGGTCACAAAACCAACATAAAGCAATCAGTATCATTTCTACTTTCTAAAAACTATTTATAAAAGAACTTAAGAAAGCAATAGCATTTATAAAAGCATCAGAAAATAAAATGAAATATTTAGAAGTAAATTTAACTAAGGACATGAAAGATCTATATACTGAAAACTACAGGACACTGGTGAAAGAAAACACAAATAAATGGAAAGATATTCTATGTTCATGAATGGGAAGAATTAATATTGTGAGAGTATCCATACTACCCAAAACAATCTAGGGATTAAATTCAATCCCTATCAAAATTACAAAGCCATTCTTCACAGAAATAGAAAAAAACTATTCTAATATTTATGTGGAATTACAAAAGATCTCCAACAGCCAAAGCAATCTTGGAGAAAGGAAGGTCTCTTTAATAAATGGTGTTTAGAAAACTGGATATCCACATGCAGAATAATAAAGTTGAACCCTTATCTCATCCCTTATATGAAAATCAACTCAAAATGGATTAAAGACTTAAATGTAAGAACTAAGACTATAAAACCACAAGAAGAAAATATAGGGGAAAGCTCCGTGACATTGGTCTGGATAGTGATTTCCTTAATGTTACCCAAAAAGTCTAGACGACAAAAGCAAAAATAGACAAATGAGCTTGCATCAAACTAAAAAGCTTATCCACAGCAAAAAAAAAAAAAAAAAAAAAGGTCAATGCACAACCCACAGACTGAGAGAAAATATTTGCAAATCATAAATCAGGTAAGGTGCTAATATTCAAATATATAAGAAACTCAAATTACTCAATGAGAAAACAAGTATCCCTATTTAAAAAACATAGGCAAAGGACTGGGATAGACATTTTTCAAAAAAAATATGCGTGGTCAACAGGTATGAAAAAAATATTCAGCATTACTAACCATCAGAAAAATATAAATTAAAACCAAAATGAAATATCACCTCACACCTGTTAAAATGGTTATTATCAAAAAGAAAAAAGATAACCAAGTGTTGGTAAGAATGGGGAGAAAAGAGAACTCCTTGTACGTTGCTGGTGGTAATATAAATTATGACAGACATTTTGGAAAACAGATGAGGGTTCTCCAAAAAACTAAAAATAGAATTATTATTTGACCCAGCAATCCCACTTTTGAGTATATCTCCAACGGAATGGAAATCAGCACGTCAAAGAGATAACTGCACTCCCACATTCATTGCAGCATTATTCACAATAGTCAAGATATAGAAACAACTGAAGTGCTCATCAATGGATAAATGAATTTTTTAAGTGGTATATACACGAAATGGAACACTATTATGCCTTAAAAAAAGAAGAAAATTCTGTCATTTATAACAACATAGGTGAATGTAGAGTGCATTGTGCTAAGTGAAATAAACCAGGCACAAAAAGTTAAATACTCAATGATCTCACCTATATGCAAAATCTAAAAAAGTCAAACATATAAGTAGACAGTAGAATGGTGGTCACTGGAAGCTGAAGGTGGGGATGGGGACAGTGGTAGACAGGAAGAGATGTTGATCAAAGGGTACAAAATTTCATTAGACAGGAAGGTTCTGGTTGTCTATTGCACAGTTAATAATAATGTATTGTACATTTTAAATTGCTAAAAAGAGTGGTTTTAAATGTTCTACCACAAAGAAATGATAACTATGTGAGATGACAGATATATTAATTTACCTAATTCAATCATTCCACAACGTATACATGCTTCAAAACATCACACTGTAAGCCATACAAAATACAACTATTATTTGTCAATTAAAAATAAAATATTTTTTAAAATGTAAACAAGAAAATCTGCTGTATACACTAAGGTAATTTTGTTGAACACAGAGAATATTTTCATTTTATCTGTGCCTAAAGGAGTTTCCCAATAGATTTTTTCCAAACACATTAGCCCTGCCTTTAATGGATTTTTAGTGTTTGCATTTGTAAATGGGAATAGACTTATTTTAAGGTTATTTACATAATTTTTAAAAATCCTATATGATATGTAAAAGATATGGATGAAACATAATGCACATGTAAATTTGAAATAATAAACTAAAAAGAAACCGAACATAAACATACATTATCCAGCTTAAGAATAGAACATTTCCAAGAAATTTGATTTTCTTTATAATTCATCATGTGTATTTATATTCCTAAATAATATTATATTTGGTATTACTTATTTTCAAATTTGATACAAATGGAATCATGTTGCACATTATTAACCATAATTTGCTTCTCACCTTTAAATTTAACATGTAACATTCTGAGGTTCAAATATGATGATAGGCATGTATTATTGTCTTAGTCCATTCACCATAATATAGCATTCTATTGTGTGGATAGGCTACAATTTACAACCATTCTATTGTGAATAGCAATTTATCATAAACAATGCTATTGTGAATAATCTTGTGTCTCTTGGTACATATATGCACAAGTATTGTATAGCACACATATGCAACTACATACATAGTTGCTCTGTGGTACTACAGGCATAAGGGTGAATTATAACTATGGGAATGTTTATCTACATTAGGTAATGTTGTTTCTCAAAGTAATTGTATGGATTTATACTCCCAAAATTAGCATGTAACAGCTATAGCATCATATCCTTAACAAAAATTTTTATTTTCCCACTTCTGAATTTTTTTTCAACTTGTTGGGCATATAATCATATTTCCTGATAGTTTTAATTTGTATTTCCTTGACTACTTATGAAGCTGAATATTTCTTCATATGTACATTTGTCATAATTATAAAATAAAACTGTAATTACATTTTTGAACATTTATCATTATAATTACAGGACAAAACATTCCCCATCCTCTTAGTAACCGTTTGGGGTATATTTTCCATTGTAAAAAAAATCCTCCTAGAAGATTAAATTTTTATTAGAAGATTAAATTTTTATTTGTACAATAGTCAATAAATATTTATTAATGCCTTACTCTTTTCTATGTGAGCACTGGAGAAAATCAAAATTCCACAGTATCAAGTCACTCTCCGAAATCAGCAAATTACTGCTTTTAAAATAGTGCAATAATTAAATTTTCTTTTATCCCCTCCTTTTCCTGTTTCAATGCTACTGGAAAAAGAGTCAATAGTGCTCTCAGACAGCTCAAACTGTTGTTAATCCCTGTCTGGTTTAAGCTCTGTGGAATTCCACCTGGTAGTACAAAAGCAATGTGTCAACTTGCTACAAAAACATGTCAGGGCATTGAAAATACATAAGCCCTACTTTCACACTAAACACAACTTCTGCATGATGAAGCTTACAACCTTTCTCACAATATTTCAATTCTAACATAAATTGTATGAGCTAACTCCTAATAATAATAGCTAGAGTCATTTATTATGTAAACATTTCTTCAGTACCTACTGTGCCATGAATTATATGTAAGCCATGGCAAAAACAATGATGAAAAGACAAGGCCACATCCTTTACAGAGATTCCAGTTTAATAACAAAAGTACAACTTTTGATCATGCAAATAAAATAAATTATTACTGCATTACTATGAGAAAATTCTATATAAAATTCCATGTATAGATAGATGTTTAAAAGATAACTGTAAATTTTTACCTAGTGTATCAGAAAAGACTTCAGAGAAGAAATTGAAAAGTGGATAGAAGAGACATTCAAAGCAGAGGAAAGAGCATTAGCACAGGCACATGAAATAGCAGCCCAATCAGAAAACTACAGATGACTTGTCAAGGCCAGTGGTCAGAATACAATTCTAGAGTAGGTAGGAGCCAAACAGTATGGATCTGGTTTAGCACTCTAGGGTTGTTTGGAAATGTTATATATGCTTACATAGATTCATCAAACAAGATGATTACACCCTCAGAAGGGACACTTAAGTGGATTTTTAATGAAGAAATTATTTACAAAAGTAAATAGGAAGTGGTGAGGGAAGTCAACGAGGGGATGAGGGGACAGCAAGAAGTTGTCTGTAAGCCTGAAAGTACAACGGAAAATATGGGTCCTTGATGTCCTGAGAGGGCTACAGTTGCAGAAGAGGGACTACTATGGCATTTGGCAATAGGATAACAGCCAACCTCGTCTAACAGGCAAGAAAGGAACCAGGGAATAATAACTCAGACCTCACCCTCTTTTCACCTGTAATATGTTCTGGTGTCTTCCATTGTATTAAATCCAACCAGAAACTAGATGGTCAGAAAGTACAGCTGATGCAGTTTGTAAAAGTCACATGGTTGAGGCATAAAGCAGAGTGAAAAATGGTGAAGATGTGTGTGTGTGTGTCTGTGTATCTTACCTATTATGTGCATAATTTTGTACATTTAAGTACTTCATATGCACTATCTCCTTAAGTTTCATAAGCATCCTAAGAACTAGCTAAATGCTTCACCTTTTTAAAAATGAAGAGACTCAGGTTAGATAAATTATTCATGATGTTATATCTACAAAGTTGCAAGTTAGATTTTAGATTTTCAACTCAAGACTTTTTGACAAGTATGCTTCTACTCTTACATTTTTCTTCCCTTAAACCAAGAGCCTACATCACACAATATGGTAAATCACTAGAAGCATACTATTAAAACAAAATACATTAAAAAACTGCTCACTATTGTCATAATTATTTAATACTATGTTTAAAAATGTTCTATTTAGGCCAGGCACGGTGGCTCAAGCCTGTAATCCCAGCACTTTGGGAGGCCGAGGTGGGTGGATCACGAGGTCAGGAGTTCAAGATCAGCCTGGCCAAGATGGTGAAACCCCGTCTCTACTAAAAATTCAAAAATTAGCCAGGCATGGTGGCGGGCACCTGTAATCCCAGCTACTTGGGAGGCTGAGGCAGAGAACTGCTTGAACCCAGGAGGCAGAGGTTGCAGTGAGCCGAGATCATGCCACTGCACTCCAGCCTGGGCAACAGAATGAGACCCTGTCTCAAAAAAAAAAAGTTCTATTTAATGCATTAAGATAATAAATGAAAATAAAATATATCTATGTGAGAGATAAAATGATAATTATTCCCAGATTGCATTGTTTACTTAAAAATAAATAAAAGAAAAACAATTGAAATGTTTAGAATTAATATGTGTTCATTGAGGCAGTTGGTTACAAATATAGAGAGAGCTAGTGAAATAGCTTTTACATATCCTAACAATGCTTAGTTAGAAAATATAATAAGAAAATAATCCTATTCACAAAATATTCACAAAACGATATAAAAACTAGGAATTACCTCAAAAAAAGTATAGAAACTCTATGGAACTGTATTGAGTAAAAAAGACTAAAATAAATGCAAAATATACACCATGTTCTTGAGTGAGGAAGTTTCTATTTTAAATATATAATACATTTTCGGAATAGTAATAAATTGTCTCATCAGTTATCCAAAGATAACATAAAACTAAAGCTATTTTTAAATCAATATGAAATCAGCATAAGACTAAACAAATTTCAGTGAAACAGAATGATATGATTTGGCTTTTCATCTCCACCCAAATCTCATCTCAAATTGCAATCCCCATTTGTTGAGGTACCTGGTGGGAGGCAATTGAATCATGAGCATGGTTTCCCCATGCTCTTCTCATAATAGTGAGTGAGTTCTCACAAGATCTGATGGTATAAAAATGTTTGGCAGTCCACTCCCTGGCCCCTTACCCACCGCCATGTAATATGTGCCTTCCTTCCCCTTTGCCTTCTGCCATGAGTATAAGTTTCCTGAGGCCTCCCCAGCCATGTGGAAGTATGAGACAATTAAACCTATTTTCTTTATAAGTTGCCCAGTCTCAGATAGTTCTTTATAGCAGTATGAAAACAAACTAATACACAGAATAAAGTATATATTTAAAATGTGATAAAACTGCATCACAAATTAATAATTATAATTGAAATGTCCAAGGACATTAAAGATAACATGAAGATTTTTGGCAAAGAACTGTAATCTGTAAAAAAGAATCCATTGAAAGCCTTGAGAAATGATAAACGTATAACTGAAATTAATAATTCTGTGAACAACAACAGCCAAGACATGGAATCAACCTAGGTGCCCTTCAGTGGTGGATTGGATAAAGAAAAGGTGGTATGTGTAAACAATGAAATGCCACACAGCCATAAAAAAGAATGAAACCATGTCCTTTGCAACAACATGGATGCAGCTGGAGGTCATAAATTCTAAGTGAATTAAGGCAGGAATAGAAAATGAAATGCTGCATGTTCTCAATTATAAGAGGAAGCTAAACACTACATACATAGGAACTTAAAGATGGCAACAATGGACACTGTGGACTACTACAGGTGGGAGGGAGAGAAGAGGGGAAGGGTTGAAAACCTATTGATTACTATGCTTAGTAAAACTGGGTGACAGATCATTCATACCTGAAACTTCAGCACTATACAATATACCCATGTAACAAACTTGCACATTTACCCCTAAATCTAAAATAAAAATTGAAAAAAAGAACTCCGTGAATGAGATTAACACACCAGATAAGTCCTAGCTAAAAGGGGAATTGGTGAGCAAGAAATAAGAGCAAAAGAAAACATAAACTGAAGCATGATGAGACAAAATCATAAGAACAGAAAAAAATAAGACACATAGGACATAATTAGAAGTGCTAACATATTACTAAGTGAAATTCCAGAAGGAGTAGGGAAAGATAGCTTATTAGAGGGATATTTAGTAAGTAAATGGTTAAGAATTTTTCAAAACAACTGGGTTAAAAATGAGCTAGGTTAAAGAGTCTTATTATTTTCAATGGAATAACAGAAAGACTGATAACTGAGTTTGTAGTTGAAACAAAGCCATATAGTTGTAAATAAAAATGACTGCCAAACTAGAATTCTATATTCAGCAAAAACATTCAAGAATGAAAAGAAAATAAAGGCATTTTCTGAACAAATAAAATCTGAAAGAATTTGCCATCAGCAGACCACAATAATGAAAATATTAATATATTTCAGGCAGAAAAAAAATGAAAAGAAATGCAAGTTTAAAAATAGGAGTAAATCTAAGTTAAAAATGATTGTTTAAAGTACTAGTGATATTGATTTTAGGATTTATACACATGCACGCACACACACTATATATATGTGTGTGTGTGTGTGTGTGTGTGTGTGTATATATATATATAAAACACTAGTCCTTAGTTGAATAGGAGAAAAAAATTTAGATGACTGTATTCCACATTATTAATTTGTATTAGACAATAACTCAAAAATACATATTGTAATAGGTAATATTATAATATAATATTGAGCCTTATAGTTTGTGAGACTCCATGTGTATGCACATAATAAATTTGTATGCCTTTTCTACTGGTAATCTGTCCATTCTCAGTTTATTTCAGAGATTCAAAGTATCAAACATTCAGTGGTATAAGGAAAAGCTTAACAGTAGTACCAATTAGTTCACTGTTAAGTAAAATTTCCTAAACATTAAAACATGGGACAAAATCACAAAGAAAAGGATTGATGGATTTGCCACTGGTAGTGGTTTTCAAAGAAGGTTCTGAAGGAGTGTTTATAAAGACACTGCAAAAAATGGGGAAATAACAGAATAGAAAAGTTTACAAATTTCATCTCTTCAATCAAAATATCTGCGTTCTTATTTGTTTAATGTATTATTTATCTGTGGAAAAGTTGTTTTTAAATGAGCTTTATAGTTAGATTTTAAAAAACACAATAAGACTCAATAAATACAGTTAACATAAAGCAAACATAACATTTAAAAGAAAATGAGAAAATGCAGAGAAAAAAAACAGTAAATAAGTTGTGAAAGGAAAATAAATCTTGGGACCCCAAACTCACTTAAACCAAAGGAAAATTCGAGCTGGGAACTGGATCACACAAAACTGTCTCCCATTTTGTTCCTAAATAAGATGGCTACAAAAATAAAAAGCTACATACTTCCCTCACAATTTGCCCACAAGAAAATTCCTTGTGGGCTCCAAGATCTCTACCCTCAAACAGTTCTGCTGAATTTCACCTTGTCAATGTAAATTGATAGCTTATCTTCACAGGTGCAGGACAAAAGATAGAACTCAAAGTCATTCCTCCACTCACCTGAGATAAATGCGTATCTGATTGCTTCCTCTGCCCTATTGTCTATGTTGTCTTACAAAAAATGCAGATTCACTAAGCCACACTAAGTTATGAGTAACTATTTCCTCTACCACCCTCTCACAGGAAAACTGTATATTAAGTGAAAGGCTGATCAAAGACTCAAAAGGATGCAACCATTCTGTCCTTTTATCTACTGAATCTTTTAAAAAATATTTCTCTTCCCCAAATATCTGCCCTTCTCCTTTGAATACTGAGGCCTTCAAAATCATCTTTGGAGAAAGGCATAGACCTGCCTCCCTGGTGCACGTCCTTAACTTTGGCGGATAAACCTCCTAAAATGATTGAGAGTTGCCTTAGTCGTTCTCTTTGATTTACAAAGTAAAATTCAGATTTTGATTGTCTTGTCTCTAAAAGAGAAAATACATTTTTATTCAGTGTTTACTCTTTCTTTAGGTATTAGAAACTCCAGAGGACCCACTCATGCTTGAGCAAGGGTGGGGGCAATTCACATTTTTGTGAATTTTACCCCCAGAACCTTATCAGGCCCTCATGATGAGTATAGGAGAAAAATCCTTTCAAGCTTCCAACCGGGTGAGTGGTAAAAAACAAAACAAAACAAAAAAATGGTTTGAAATAACCCAGAGCAATACGGTTTTCTTAACAAGGTGTGTCCTCAAAATAAACTATTTTACAAAAGCCTAACAGAATAGGGTTTTGTCAGACGAGCCAAATCCACCAGGAGGAAGGCAAATGCTCAACTTCAACCCACTCTAGCCATTCTGTCCCACCTAAGGGGAGGGGGAAAAATACTCAGAAGCACATGTAACATTCCCAGTCCAGGCCCACAAGCTCACCAAAAACTGAGACTTAATCACAGGGCTATAAAACACTTTCTTTCTCCCTACACCTTACCGCTATTATCAAAGGCCTATTTACTGCAGTTTCTTTTACCCAGTATCTCAATATCTACCTTTCAACAAAAAATTACAGAGCTACTAGCAGGCAAAAACAACAACAACAAAACTGCAGGTTAAAAAAAAAAAAAAAACTGAACAAGCAACGGATTCAGAGTGAGATATGACAGGAATGTTGGAATTACCAGACCAGGAATCTTTTTAAACTATGATTACTATGCTAATGGCCTTATTAAAAAGAGTAGGCAACATGCAAGAACAGATGGAAAATATAAGAAGTGATAAAATTCTGAGAAAGAATTTAAAAAATGTTAGAAATAAACACTGTAAAAGAAAGAATGCTTTTGATGGTCTCATTAGCAGACAGCTGAGGAAAGAATCTCTGAGATAGAAGACATTGATGGCAGAAGACATGACACTGGCTGCAGAAGGGAGGCTCAGTTGGTGCTGCACACTCCATGAAGCCAGTGGGAGCCCCGCCCCTTCTGAGTTGGGACCAGAGCTCCCGGGTTGCACCCAAACCACAGCTGCAAACCCAAGTCTCCTGCTTTACAGAGCAGACAGGAGCCTGGCCCTCCTGGGCAGGACTATAGCCATCCAAACTGCAGCTGTGTATCCGAGCCTTCTTGTGCTCTTTGGGTAGGGCCCGCAGCAAGCAAGATCTGCCTTCCTGGGTGTGGCTTCAGCCACCCTCCTAGGCACAGGACCAGGTGTCTCTGCAGCTTATACCCTTGGAAGCCCCAGGAAGGACCCCCCACACGCACTTTTTCTGCAGGCTCAAGGGTGTCTGGTCTGGCTGCCTGGCCTCTCTCCACTCCTGGTGAGAGGTGAAGCCGGGTGGGCTTCTGGGTCAGGTGGGGACTTGGAGAACTTTTCTGTCTAGCTAAGGATTGTAAATGCACCAATCAGTGCTCTGTGTCTAGCTAAAGGTTTGTAAATACACCAATCAGCACTCTGTAAAACGGACCAATCAGCACTCTGTAAAATGGACTGATCAGCTCTCTGTAAGATGGACCAATCAGCAAGATGTGCGTGGGGCCAAATAAGGGAATAAAAGCAGACCACACAAGCCAGCAACAGCAACCCCCTAGGGTCCTCTTCCATGCTGTGGAAGCTTTGTTCTTTTGCTCTTCTCAAAAACTCTTGCTGCTGCTCACTCTTTCGGTCTGCACTACCTTTATGAGCTGTAACACTCACCACAAACGTCTGCAGCTTCACTCCTGAAGCTAGCAAGACCACAAACCTATCCGGAGGAACTAACAACTCCAGACGCGCCACCTTTAAGAGCTGTAACACTCACCGCAAAGGTCTGCAGCTTCAGTCCTGAAGCCAGTGAGACGATGAACCCACCGGGAGGAATGAACAACTCTGGATGTGCCACCTTTAAGAGCTGTAACACTCACTGCAAAGGTCTGCGGCTTCACCTCTGAAGTCAGCAAGAACCCACCAGAAGGAAGAAAGTCCAGACACATCTGAACATCTGAAGGAATAAACTCCGGATACACCATCTTTAAGAACTGTAACACTCACCACAAGGGTCCACGGCTTCATTCTTGAAGTCAGTGAGACCAAGAACCGACCGGAAGCAACCAATTCCGGACACACCAGCACCCGCTCCAGTCTTGGAGTGGGAGTTGGGGAAGAGCCCCTGGGCCATGACTGGCACCAGGAGGCTGATTAATTCCTGGCCTGGCCCCTGGAGGCAGATTGATTCCTGGGTAGAAGGGGGCAGGTTCCCAGTGAACCCCCACCTTCAGGCCAAGGAGGTCCCGAAGGCTGGGGGCCAGACTGCTGGTCCTGCAGACCAGAGTGGGGACTCATTATGGCTCTTCTGGGCCCACCCATGGCCAACCATGGACCAATCAGCAGGCACTTCCTCCCCTTTGAGGTCCATAAAAGCCCTGGGCTCAGCCAGAGAAGGGCAGAGGACAACCAGAGGATGAAGAAGGCAGAGACAGGACAGGAGGACCAGCTGCAGAGAGGAGGTACCCTCTCTGCTGATAGCTGGAGACAATGGGATGACCACAAGCAGAGAGAAGCCACCCTCTCCAGGGCCTCCTCTCTGTTGAGAACTGAAGGCTCCACGGATGATCTGCCTATGAGAGGAGCTACCTGCTGCAGGTCTCCTCTGAGCTGTTGGAACACTCAATAAAGCTCATCTTCATCTTGTTCACCCTTCGCTTGTCTTCATACCTCTTTCTTCCTGCATACAGAACAAGAAGTCAGGCAAAGCCACCCGCAGCCACAGAGGTTTCCGGCCAGAAAATCCACCCCCCAAAGATCCCGTAACATTTTGAGGGCTCATCTGCAGGAAGGGTGAGTAAAAGTGAATTTGCTTTCTGTCCTTTTTTTTTGGAGTCTCTAAACTCCATAATAGCCAAAATGAAGAAAAAACACTGGACTCTTAGCCAGTTAAAAATGACTAGCATGGTTGCCAGACTTAAGGAGGACAGGCTTGCTGGGGAGGACACTGTTAATCCCCCATCACTCTCTGGTGTTGGGAATGTTGGTTTTGTTCCAACCCAGTTTCACTTCATGGAGGTCTAGCAGTCACTTGGGACTGGATGGAGGTCCTGGAGCAACTGAGAGTATCTGGCTGAGGCTACACCTTGGTGTTATCCAAAGGCCCCTGGACTAATTCCAATCCCTGACTGCCCATTAGGGTGTCCGCGCTAGGACCTTAGTCTTTCCTATTATTGTTTCTTTCTTTTTTCTCATGCTGTCATGGTTCTTCTTTTATATACAATATTAAAATGTTAAGAATGTTGCCAAACAAAGATACTACTGTGTAGAATGAGCATTTGGCTTAGTCATTGAAAGTATATAATATAAGGTTAAGAGTAGCACAGACAAAGAAAAGTATGTCTTGGTATCTGTATGTAAACTTGTGGTAAAAATGTTCTTGTAATTTACTTGGTTGACAACTTAGGTCTAAGCACCTTGAGGCACAGAAAAGAAGCATTGCCTCAAGAAGAAAGCTTTTCCATAAACACGAGGGCAAATAGTCCAACGTCCCTTATGTGAAGGGACCTTGGACTATTTTTCTTTGCCTTGTAGTGTAACCCAGATCTTTGCCAACGTTGTGGGATTGATTCAGCCTTCCTAGTGACCATCTCAGGAGAGGCTGCAAGGGTCAATCCCAGGGAACTGGGGAAACAAACCCCAGTGGTACCTTCAGCAGGGGAATCAGCTCCCTTCACTCCTCCCTATCCAGGTTCTCTTCCAAGCTTGCCTCATCTTAGAAGTCATTTTAGGCAGGTCCCAGTCTCACTCCTGCTCCTACAACAGATGTGTGGTAAACACGGTCCCATTTAGATTCGGGTCCCCTTTTCTCTTCAGGGCTTACAGCAAATTAAGGGGGATCCAAGCAGGTTTTCAGATGGCCCTGACAGGCATATATTGGCCTTCCAGAACTTAACCTAACTATTTGAACTCTCATGGAAGGATGTCATGTTACTTTTGCATCAAACCCTGACCACTGCTGAAAAGCAGGCCACCCTGCAAGTGGCAGAGAATTTTTAGGATAAGCTTTACATCTTATATAGGACCAGGGAAGGGGATGAGCCTTATCTAGTTGGAAGAATAGCAGTACCATTGGAGAACACTAAATGGGACCCCAATGATGAAACGGGAGAATGGAAAAGGAAGCCCTTACAGGTGTGCATATTGGATGGCTTGCAAGGGACTGGGACTAGACCTCTTGATTGCACTGG